>NC_000023.11:99337542-99962542 GCF_000001405.40 Homo sapiens
GAGAAGCCCCTCCTCTTTAATTTTTGGAAAAGTGTCAGTATAATTGGTGTAAGTTCTTCCTCATATGTTGAGTAGAGTTCAGCTGTGAATCCATCAGGCCCATGGCTCTTTTTGGTTAGTAGGATTTTTTATTACTGATTCAATTTCTGAACTTGTTACTGGCTGTTCATATTTGCACATTCTTCCTGATTCATTCTTGGGAGGTTGTGTGTTTCCAGAAATTCATCCATTTTCTCTAGATTTTATAATTTGTTTGTGTAGAGATGTTCCAATAGCCTCTGAATATCTTTTCTATTTATTTTTTCTCTTTGCCAATCTAGCTATTGGTATATCAATACAGTTTATTTTTTTTGAAAAATCAAACTTTTGGTTTCACTCACATTTGTATGGACTTTTGGGTATTAATTACATTCAGCTATTCTCAGATTTTAGTTACTTATCTTCTTTTTTTTGAAAAATTTTATTACATATTTTATTATATATATTTATTACAGAGAAGATTACAGTAAACATCTAATCTTTTTAAATTTATTTTATTTTATTATTGTTATACTTTAAGTTTTAGGGTACATGTGCACAATGTGCAGGTTAGTTACATATGTATACATGTGCCATGCTGGTGTGCTGCACCCATTAACTCATCATTTAGCATTAGGTATATCTCCTAATGCTATCCCTCCCCCCTCCCCCATAACAAACTGTCTCTCAGACCACAGTGCAATCAAACTAGAACTCAGGATTAAGAAACTCACTCAAAACCGCTCAACTACATGGAAACTGAACAACCTGCTCCTGAATGACTACTGGGTACATAACGAAATGAAGGCAGAAATAAAGATGTTCTTTGAAACCAATGAGAACAAAGACACAACATACCAGAATCTCTGGGACACATTCAAAGCAGTGTGTAGAGGGAAATTTATAGCACTAAATGCCCACAAAAGAAAGCAGGAAAGATCCAAAATTGACACCCTAACATCACAATTAAAAGAACTAGAAAAGCAAGAGCAAACACATTCAAAAGCTAGCAGAAGGCAAGAAATAACTAAAATCAGAGCAGAACTGAAGGAAATAGAGACACAAAAAACCCTTCAAAAAATTAAGGAATCCAGGAGCTGGTTTTTTGAAAGAATCAACAAAATTGATAGACCGCTACCAAGACTAATAAAGAAGAAAAGAGAGAAGAATCAAATAGACGCAATAAAAAATGACAAAGGGGATATCACCACCGATCCCACAGAAATACAAACTACCATCAGAGAATACTACAAACACCTCTATGCAAATAAACTAGAAAATCTAGAAGAAATGGATAAATTCCTCGACACATACACCCTCCCAAGACTAAACTAGTTACTTATTTTCTCCTACTAGCTCTTGGATTAAATTGTTCTTTATCTTCTAGTTCCTCTATTTGTGACATTAGGTCATTAATTTGATTTTTTTTCATTGTTTATGTTTAAGTTTTGTGGGTACATAGTAGGTGTATGAATTTGTGGGATACATAAGATGTTTTGCTATAGCCAAGCAATGTGAAATAATAACAGCATGGAGAATGGGGTATCCATCCCCGCAAGCATTTATTTTTTGAGTTATAAACAATCCAGTTACACTTTTTAAGCTGAATTCTATCAGACTTTTAAAGAAGAATTGATAAAAATTCTACTAAAATTATTCCAAAAGATAGAGGATGAGGAAGTCTTCCCTAAATCATTATATGAAGCCAGTATTACCCTAATACCAAAACCAGGGAAGGACATATCAACAACAACAACAACCACAAATACAGACCAATATCCCTGATGAACATAGATGCAAAAATCCCTCAAAAAACATAGATGCAAAAATCCACAAAAAACACAGATGCAAAAATAAAAAGAAAACAAACATTGTATATTCTCACTTCTAAGTGGGAGCTAAGCTATGAAGATGCAAAGGCATAAAAATGATACAATGGACTCTGAATACTTGGGAGGAAGGGTGGGAGTGGGGTTGAGGGATAAAAGACTACACATTGGGTACAGTGTACACTGCTCTGCTGATGTGTGCACCAAAATCTCAGAAATCACCACTAAAGAACTTATCCATGTAAACAAACATCACCTGTTCCCCCACAACTATTGAAATAATAAAAAAATTAATCAGAATTGTCAGAAAATGATTTTCTTGTTAACTGAATACTGGAGAATATTGTATATTCTATTGCCAATAATGTATATTTTTAATACATGTCCCAGATTATTCTGAAAGGCAGTCTTATTTGTGAATAACCACTGTATGTCATATGCTAATGGATCCTCAATTTTTGAAGAAAAAAATGAAATATATATCACTGAGAAACAGATATTTTAAATATACAATTAACTTATTATTGACCATAGTCACCGTGTTGTGCTATCAAACAGTAGGTCTTATTTATTTTTTCTAATTATTTTATTTGTATCCATTAACCATCCCTACCTCCCCCAACATACTTCCACTACCCATCCCATCCTTCTACGCTCTAAGTCCATGAGTACAATTGTTTTGATTTTTAGATTCCATAAATAAGTAAGAACATGTGAAGTTTATGTTTTTGTACCTGGCTTATTTCACTTAATATAATGATATCTGGGTTCATCCATGTTGTTGCAAATTATTGGAACTCATTCTTTTTAAGGCTGAAGAGTACTCCATTGTGTTTATATACTACATTTTCTTTATCCATTCGTCTTTTGATGGACACTTAGGTTGCTTCCAAATCTTTGCTATTGTAAAAGGTGCTGCAACAAACATAGGAGTGCATATATCTCTTCACTATCCTGATTTCCTTTATTTTGGATGTAGACCCAGCAGTGGCATTGCTGGGTGATATGGTAGCTCTATTTTTAGTTGTTTGATAAACCTCCAAACTGCTCACCATAGTGATTGTACTAATTTACATTCCCAAAACAGTGTACAAGAGTTCCTTTTCATCCACATCCTTGCCGGCATTTTTTATTGTGTGTCTTTTGGATATAAGCTACTTTAAATGGAGTGAGATGATATCTCTTTGTATTTTTTTAAATATTTTTACTTTTAATTTTTGTGGGTACATGATAGGTGTGTATTTATGTGTTACATGAGATGTTTTGATACAGGCATGCAATGTGAAATAAGCACATCATAAAGAATGGGGTATCATCCCCTCAAGCATTTATCCATTGAGTTACAATTTGGCTATACTCTTTAAGTTATTTTAAAATGTACAGTTGTTACTATAATCACCCTGTTGTGCAATCAAATAGTAGATCTTACTATTCTAAGTAT
Organism: Homo sapiens; assembly: GCF_000001405.40. Lineage (NCBI taxonomy): Eukaryota > Metazoa > Chordata > Mammalia > Primates > Hominidae > Homo > Homo sapiens. Next base: position 99,340,831 of record NC_000023.11, read on the forward strand.
TCATTCTAACTATTTTTGCACACATTAAGCATCCCCACCTCCCCTCCAGCCACCCTCTTCCCCTCTGAGCCTCTGGTAACCATCCTTCTACTCTTTATATTCATGTGCTTAATTGTTTTGAATTTTAGATCAGACAAAAAAGTGAGAACATGTGATGTTTGTCTTTCTCTGCCTGGCTTATTTAACTTAACAGGATGATTTTCATTTCCATTCATGTTGTTGCAAATGACTGGATCTCATTATTTTTATGGCTGAGTAGTACTCCATTGTGTGTATGTACCACATTTTCTTTATCCATTCATATGTTGATGGACACTTAGATTGCTTCCAAATCTTGGCTATTGTGAATAGTGCTGCATTACATACGGGAGTGCAGATATCTCTTCAATATACTGATTTCCTTTCTTTTGGGTATAGACCAAGCAGTGGAATTCCTGCATTATATGGTAGCTCTATTTTTAGTTTTTTGAGGAACTTCCAAAATATTCTCCACATTGGTTGCACTAATTTACATTCCCACCAACAGTGTATGAGACTTCCTTTTTCCCCATATCCTTGCCAGCATATTTTATTAACTGTGGATATAATCCACTTTAACTGGGGTGAGAGGATATTTCATTGTCATTTTGATTTGCATTTCTCTGATGATCAGTGATGTTGAGCACCTTTTAATACGCCTGTTTCCCATTAGTGTGTCTTTTGAGAAGTGTCTAATTCAAATATTTTGTCCATTTTTAATAGATTATTTTCTGTTAGGCTTGTTTGAGCTCCTTACATGTTCTCGTTATTAATCCCGTGTCAAAAGGGGAGTTTGCAAATATTTTCTTCCAATCTTTAGGTTGTCTCTTCACTAAGTTGACTGAATCCTTTGCTGTGCAGAAGTTCTTAACTTGATGTGATCCCATTTGTACATTTTTGCTTTGCTTGCCTGTGCTTATGGGATATTGCTCAAGAAATGTTTGCCCAGGCCAATGTCCTGGAGAGTTCCCCCAATATTTTTGGTAGTAGTTTCATAGTTTGAGTTCTTAGATTTAAGTCTTTTATCCATTTTGAGTAGATTTTTGTACATGTTGCAAGATAAGGGTCTAGTTTTATTTTTTTGCATACAGATATCCACTTTTCACAGTATCATTTATTGAAGAGACTGACTTCCCCAGTGTATCTTCTTGGCAAGTTTTTTAAAAACGAGTTCACTCTAGATATGTGGGTTGTCTTCTGGGCTCTCTATTCTGTTTCACTGGTCTATGTGTCTGTTTTTATGCAAGTACCATGCTGTTTTGTTTACTACAGCTGTTAGTATAATACGAAGTCAGGTAATGTGATTCCTCCAGTTTTGTTCTTTTTGCTCAGGATAGCTTTGGTTATTCTGGGTCATTTATGGTTTCATACAAAATGTAGGATTGTTTTTTCTACTTCTGTGAAGAATGTCATTAGTATTTTCATAGGGATTGCATTGAATCTGTAGATTGTTTTGGGTAGCATCAACGTTTTACAATATTGATGTTTTCAGTTCATGAATCTAGAATAGTTTTCCATTCTTTGGTGTCGTCCTCAGTTTTTTTTCATCAGTGTTTCATAATTTTCATTACAGTGATCTTTCACTTCTTTGGTTAATTCGTAGGTATTTAATTTTATTTGTAGCTATTGTAAATTGAATTTTTAAAGTTTCTTTTTCAGATTGCTCACTGTTGGTGTGTAGAAATGCAACTGATTTTTGTATATTGATTTTGTATCCTGCAACTTTACTGAATTTGTTTATCAGTTCTAATTGTTTTCTGGTGGAGTCTTTAGCCTTTCCAAATATAAGATCACGTCATCTGAAAACAATGATAATTTGATATTTTTCTTTCCAACTTGGATTGCGTTTATATTTTCCTCTTGTCTAATTGCTCTATATAAGATTTCCAGTACTGTGTTGGTGGCAACAGTGGGCATCTTTGTCATGTTCCAGATCTTAGAGGAAGGTCTTTCACTTTTTTTCCATTCAGTATGATGCTAGCTGTGGATCTGTCATATATTGCATTTATTATGTTGAGATATGTTCATTCTATCCCCAGTTTCTTAAAGGTTTTTATCCTGAAGAGATGTTGAATTTTATCAAATGCTTATGCAGCATCAATTGAAATGATCATATGATTTTGTCCTTCATTCTGTTGATATGATGTATCACATTGATTGATTTGCATATGTTGAAACACTCTTGGTTTGCAGGAATAAATCTCACTTTGTCGTAACGAATGATCTTTTGAATATATTGTCATATTCAGTTTGTTAGTATTGTGTTGAGGATTACTGCATCAATATTCATCAGAAATATTGGCCTGTAGTATTCTTTTATTTATGTGTCTTTTGTTCTGGTATCAGGGTAATACTGGAATTGTTGAATGTGTTTAGAAGTATTTCCTCCTCCTATGTATTAGAATAGTTTTAGTAGGATCTTCTTTAAATGTTTGGTAGAATTTAGCAGTGATGCCATCAGGTCTCGGGCTATTCGTTACTGGGAGACATTTTATATTGGTTTTGATTTTGCTACTTGTTATTGGTCTGTTCATGTTTTGGATTTCTTCCTGATTTGATCTTGGGAGGTTGTTTATATCTAGAATTTTTTTCATTTTTTCTAGAATATCCAATTTATTGTCACATAGTTGCTCATAGTAGCCACTAATTATTTTTTGAATTTCTGCAGTATCAGTTGTAATGTCTCTTTTCATTTCTGATTTTATTTATTTGGGTCTTCTCTCTTTTTTTCTCAGTCTGGCTAAAAGTGTGTCAATTTTGTTTAACCTTTCTAAAAGCCAACTTTGTGTTTCATGATGATTTGCATTTTTAATTTTAATTTTATTTATTTCTGCTCTGATCTGCATTATTCCATTTCTTTACCAATTTTGGTTTTGATTTGATCTTTATTTTCTGGTTTTTTAAAAGATGCATTATTAGATTGTTTACGTTCTTCTCTTTTAATGTAGGCACTTATAGATGTAAACTTCCTTCTTAGTACGGCTTGTGCTGTATCTCATATATTTCGGTATATTGTGTTTCTATTATTATTTGGTTTAAGAAGTTTTTAATTCCCTTTTTTGTTTTCTTCATTGACCCAGTAGTCAAGCAGGCATATATTCTTTAGTTTTTCTATATTTGTATAGCTTCCAGTAAGCCTCTTATAGTTTTTGTTATTGATTACTAGTTTTATTTCATTGTGGTCAAACAGGGAAGATGCATGATATCCTTTCAATTTTTTTCAATGTCTTAAGATTTGTTTTATGATTTAACATGTGGTCTATCTGTGAGAATAATCAATGTGCTGAGGAAAAGCATATATATTCTGAAGCTCTTGGATAAAATGTTCTATAAATACCTATTAGATCCATCTGGTCTAGAGTTCAGATGAAGTCAGATGTTTCTTTGGTGATTTTCTGTGTGGAAGAGCTGTCCAATGCTGCAAGTGTGGTTTTGAAGTCTCTAGGTATTATTGTTTGGGGCCCTATATTTCTCTTCATCTATAATATCATTTTCTTTATATATCTGGATGCTCCAGTGTTGTGTGAATACATATTTAAAATTGTTATATTCTCTTGCTGTATTGACACCTTTATCATAATATAGTGGCCTTCTCTGTTTCTTCTGATAGTTTTTGTTTTGAAATCCATTTTGTCTGATATAAGTATTGCTACTCCAGCTCTTTTCTTTCCATTCCACAGAATGTCTTTTTTCATCCCCTTACTTTCAATCTATTTGTGTCTTGAAGAAACATACTCTTCAAGCATGTTCACTGTAGGCAACAGATCAATAGATCTTTTCATACATTCAGTCAGTCTATCTGTTGATTGAAATTTTTTATGGGTTACATTCAATGTTATTATTGATAAATGTGGACTTACTCCTGCCATTCTATTGTTTTTTACTTGTTTTGTTGTCTTCTCTTCTTTTTTTATTTTAGTACTGTCTTTTTCTAGTGAAGGTGATTTTCTCTGGTGATATGATTTAGTTTATTTCTTTGCATTTTTTTTGTGTCTATGTTTTTTGGTTGGAGTTTACTGTGAAGCTTATTAAGTCATTGAGACTTTTCCTCTTGATGAAGGCATTTTGTACTATAGCTTTTTCTCTTAACACTCTTTTTGCTGTAGTCCAAAGGTTTTGGTAAGTTGTATCTCTACATGTATTAATTTCCAAACTTTTAAAAATTTCTGTCTTAATTTTATTTTAAATCCAAGAGTTATTCAGAAGCAGGTTATTTAATTTTCAGGTTTTATGTGTTTTTGTGAGATATTATTGATATTGATTTCTATTTTTATTTCACTGTTGTCCAAGTGTGTGTGTGGTAAGATTTGGATTATTTTAAATTTATTGAGACTTGCTATATAGCCAAGCATGTGGTTCATCTTAGAATATTTTCTGTGTGTGGATGAGGAGAATGTATATTCTCTGGTTGTTGGGTGGAATACTCTGTAGATGACTATTACATCTAATTAGTGAACTGTTGAGTTAAAGTCCAGAATTTCTTTGTTTTCTGTGTCAATAATCTATCTCTTCTGTGGAGTATTGAGGTCTCCCACTATCATTGTGTATCTGTCTAAATCATTTTTAGGTCAAGGACTTGTTTTATTAATCTGGGTACTTCTATGTTGGGTGCATATATATTTAGCATAGTTAAGTCTTCTTGTTGAATTGAACACTTTATCATTATGTAATGCTCTTTGTTTTTCCTGATTATTGTTGTTTTAAAATGTGTGACATCTGATATAAGAATAGCAACTTTTGCACTGTTTTGTTTCCCATTTTCTTGGTAGATCTTTTTCTATCCCTTTACTTTAAGTCTGTGGGTGTCATTATATGTGAGATGCATCTCTTAAATACAGCAGACAGTTGAGTTGTCTTTTTATTCAACTTGCCACCGTTGTCTTTTAAGTGAGGAGTTTAGACCATTTATATTTAGTGTTGGTGTCTATATATGAGGTTTTGATCCTGTCATTATGTTATTGGTTGTTTGTTTTGTAGACTTGTTTATGTAATTACTCTATATTATTGGTGGACTATGTGCTTGAGTGTATTTTTGAGGCAGCACATTTCTATTTTTTGTTTCCATATTTAGCACTCTCTCAAGGACTTCTTGTAAAGGCAGGCTGGAGGGTAACAAGTTTCCATAGTACGTGCTTGTTTGAGAAAGATTTTCTTTCTCCTTCACATCTGAAGCTGAGTTTGGTGGGATATGTAATTCTTGGTTGGCATTTCTTTTAAGAATGCTGAAAATAGGCCTCCAATCTCTTTTGGCTTGTAAGTTTTATGCTGAGAGGTTTGCTGCCAACCTGATGGGGCTCCCTCTCTAGGTTACCTGACATTTTTCTTTAGCTTCCTTTTTTTTTTATTTTATTATACTTTAAGTTCTAGGGTACATGTGCACAACGTGCAGGTTTGTTACATATGTATACATGTGCCATGTTGGTGTGCTGCACCCATTAACTTGTCATTTACATTAGGTATATCTCCTAATGCTTTCCCTCCCCCCTTCCCCCACCCCACAACAGGCCCTGGTGTGTGATGTTCCACTTCCTGTGTCCAAGTGTTCTCATTGTTCAATTCCCACCTATGAGTGCGGTGTTGGTGGGACTGTAAACTAGTTCAACCATTGTGCAAGACAGTGTGGCGATTCCTCAAGGATCTAGAACTAGAATACCATTTGACCCAGCCATCCTATTACCGGGTATATACCCAAAGGATTATAAATCATGCTGCTATAAAGGCACATGCACACGTATGTTTATTGTGGCACAATTCACAATAGCAAAGACTTGGAACCAACCCAAATGTCCATCAATGATAGACTGGATTAAGAAAATGTGGCACATATACACCATAGAATACTATGCAGCCATAAAAAAGGATGAGTTCATGTCCTTTGTAGGGACATGGATGAAGCTGGAAACCATCATTCTCAGCAAACTATTGCAAGAACAAAAAACCAAACGCCGCATGTTCTCTTTAGCTTCCTTTAAGATTTATTTATTGTGCTTTGTTCTTGGTGAATCAGATGGCTATATGTCTTGGGGATGGTTGTCTTATGTAATGTCTTGCAGAGGTTCTCTTTATTTTTTAAATTTGTTTGTCCTCATCTCTAGCAAAATTGGGAAAATTTTCATGGACTATTTCCTCAAATATGTTTTCCAAGTTTCTTATTCTTTTTTCTTCTCTTTCAAGAATGCCAGCAAGTTGTAGATTTGGTCTCTTTACATACTCCCATATTTCTTGAAGGTTTCGTTTATTTTTTAAAATTATTTTTTCTTTTTTTTTGTCTGAGTTTATTCAAAGAATTGGTCTTCAAGCTCTGAGATTTTTCTTCTGCTTGACCTATTCTGCTATGGATGCTTGCAATTGTATTGTGAAATTTTTGAAGAGAATTTTTTAGTTCCAGAATTTCAATTTTATTTTTTCTTAAAATGACTATTTTAACTCGTGGATTGTTTTACTAAGCTTTTTTTTTTTTATTGGGTTCCATCTTTTTCCTGGCTCTTGATGATCTTCATTGCCATCCAGATTCAGAATCCTATGTCCATCATATCAGTTATCTCAATCTTGCTAAGAACCATTTCTGGGGGAATTTGTGTGCTTTTTGGAGGTAAGAGGACACACTGGCTTTTTGAGTTGCCAAAAATTCTTGTGTTAATTCTTTCTCATACATGAGGGCTTTTATTCCTTTAACTGTGGTGTAATTTGAGTATGATCAGTTGATTTCATTTTTGGGTGTTTTCAGAGGTCAGGATACTACAGAATCTTTGTTTCAGGCTGGATCTTTGCCTTAGTTTTTACAGATGCTGTATGCTGGTAAAATATTTTGGTGTTGTATTTTGGGCTGCAGTACAGTAGGTGAAGGTTAAGAGTCTTGACCAGGAGATAAACTCTTACTCAGATAGAGGACTCTTTTGTATTTTGGCATGGTTGGCAGTAGTGCTGCCTGGTGGTAGGGTGGGAGAGATGACTGCCTCATCAGGTTCACTTCTGAGACTTGGAGGAGTCCCCTTCAATCACTGGCTACATGCCTGTGTTTCTTTGTTAGATGTTCTTGTCCACTGGGCATGATCCCTCAGGCAGGGGTCATGATTGTCAGGCAGGACATATCCTTCTTGGACTGGCCTTGCAGAGGGAGGCACACCCCACTTCTCTGCCTGCCCAAGAACCTGGGCGTCTCACCCTTCTCAGTGTTCCAAGTGAGGGCTCCCACTTGCTTAGGTGCTGCCCAAGGCAGCAAGTCCCACTCAACTGAAAGCAGCAGGGGTAGGTGGAGTCACACATACTGCCATTTGAGTGCTTCCCAGGGGAAGACAGAGCTGCACCTGCGTGCAGTGCTCAGGCAAATGTGGGTCTGATGTGTTGGAATCTCTGCATCAAATGTCTGCATCCATAGCAGAATAGATCAAGCAGAAGAAAAATCTCAGAGCTTGAAGACTAGTCCAACTGGCGTGTCTTGCCCAGCTAGGAGGAGCAGGAGCAGTTGGATCACCCAGTTCACTGTCTGGGTGCTTCTCAGGAGAACACGGGGCTGGGCTCACCCACAGAATTCAGGCAGAAGCAGGTTTGCTATGCTTGGAGACCCAGCCGGTATGGTCCGCTCAGCTACAAGTGGTGGGGGTTGCTGGAGTCACCAGCTCCACATTCTGGGTGCTTCCTGGGGTGTGCCCACTTACAAAGTTCAGGCAGAATTGGGTCTGCCATGCCAAAAGACCCAGCAGGCATCACCTGTCTGGGTATAAGTGGCAAGGGTGGGTGGAGTCACCTAGCATGTCAACTAGATGTTTGGCAAAGTGGGGTGTAGCAATAGCAATCTTACTGCTCCCCAGCACCACAGCTGTGTCCTCTACTGGGTCTGTGGTACTGGCACCAGTCTCTTCTGGGATTCAAGGCTTGTAGAGGTCCCTGTGGACTTGAGTGTTGCCTCCACAAAAGCTCTGGGCAGCTATCTGTGTCAATTTAGAGGCCTCGGGGTATCCAGGGGATTTTCCTTTTCCCAGGCTTGCACAAGTAGCTCTGGGAAGTGGAATCCTCTAGGAGCTCTCACTCGCTCACACTTTCCCCATGTTGGGGAACTTTTGGCTCCATGCTGATTTCAGTTGTGCTGCTGCCCAGCTTTACTCCTCTCTGCTCTCTGTATCTCCTCGCTGCCTGGATGGATTCTGACATGGTTTCTTAGATGATTGACTTGCGGGATCAGTGTTCACTAGCTACTTTGTTTCCTCTTCATGAGAGTGGAACACATGAGCTGCTTATAGTCCACTATCTTGGCCCTCCTGACTCTTTAATAATAGCCATTTTGACTGGTGTAAGGTCATACTTTATTGTAGTCTTAATTTGTATTTCTATGACTAGTGATGTTGAGTATTATTTTGTGATCATTGGATGCTGATATGTCTTCTTTTGAGAAGTGCCTGTTCATGTTCTTTGCCCTTCTTTTAACAGGGTTATTTACTTTTGTCTTGTCAAGTTAAGTTCTTTATAGAACCTGAATATTAGTCCTTTTCTGGACGTATGATTTGCAAATATTTTTTCCCATACTATAGGTTGTCTTCTTACTTGTGATTGTCTATTTTGCTGTGCAGATGGTTTTTTATTTTAAGTCCTATTTGTCTATTTTTGTTTCTGTTACATTTGTTTTTTGGGTCTTAGTCATAAATTATTTAATAGGAAGACAGATAATATGATACCTTTAGCTTTATTATTTTGCTTAGAATTGTTTTGGCTATCCGGGCTCTTTATTGTTACCATACAAATTTTAGAATTAATTTTTCCTAATTCTGTGAAAAATTATATTGGTAATTTAATAGGAATTGTGTTGAATTTGCAGATTGCTTTGAGAAGTGTGGTTATTTTAATGATATTGGTTCTTTTTATCAAAGAACATGAGATTTTTTTCACTTGTTTGTTCCATCTACATTTTTTTTATCAGTGTTTTGTAATTCTCCTTGTAGAGCTCTTTCATCTCCTTGGTAAAATCTATTACTAGGTAGTTTTCGTGTGGCTATTGTTAATGAGTTGGAGCTCCTGATTTGTTTCTCAGATTGAGCATTGTTGGTGTGTAGAAATGCAACTGATTTTTGTGTGTTAGTTTTGTAAACTAAAACCTTACTGAAGTAGTTTATCAGGTCTACTAGTCTTTTGGAGGAACGTTTAGAATTTTCTAGTTATAGGATTGTCTTCAAAGAACAGAGATAATTCGACTTTCTCTTTTCCAATTTGGATGTCTTTTATTTCTTTCTCTTGCCTGATTGCTCTGGCTAGTACTTTCAGTATTGTGTTGAACAGGAGTGATGAGAGTGGGCATCCATGTCTTTTTCCATTTTTTTAGGGAAAATGTTTTTGACTTTTCCCCATTCAGCATGATGTTGGTTGCGGGTTTGTTATTTATGGCTCTTATTATTCTGAGGTATCTTTTTGAATGCCCCATTTGTTGAGGGTTTTTATCATGAAAAGATATTGGATTTTATTGAATGATTTTCCTGCGTCTATTGAGATAACCATGTGGTTTTTGTTTTTGTTCTCTTATGTACTGTGTTAGTCCGTTCTCACATTGCTGTAAAGAACTACCTGAGACTGGGTAATTTATAAAGAAAGAAGTTGATTTGGCTCACAATTCCACAGGCTATGTAGGAAGCATGGCTGGGGAGGCCTCAGGAAACATACAATTATGGCAGAAGGTGAAGAGGAAGGAGGTATGTCTTCTATGACAGGAGCAGGAGGAAGAGAGAGCAGGGGAATGTGCTACACACTTTTAAACAGCAGATTTTGTGGTAACTCACTCACTGTCATGAGAACAGCAAGGGGAAAATCTGCCCCCATGACCCAATCACCTCCTACTAGGCCCTTCTTCCAATATTGGAGATCACAATTCGACATGAGATTTGGGTGGGGACACAAATCCAAACCATATAATGTAGGGAATCACATTTATTGATTAATGTATGCTGAATCATTCTTGAATATCAGGAATAAAATCCACTAGATTATGATGAATTAACTTTTTGACACACTGCTGGATTAATTAGCTAGTATATTGTTGATAATTTTTCCATCTATGTTCATCAGGAATGTTAGACTCTTGTTTTCTTTTTTTGTTCTTGTTGTGTCCTTGCCAGATTTTCATATCAGAATGATACATGTTTTGTAGAATTAGTGAGGGAGAAATACATCCTCTTCAATTTTTTGGAATAGTTTTAGGAATACTGGTACCAGCTCTTTGTATGTCTGGTAGGGTTTGGCTGTGAATCGATCTGTTTTTTTTTTCTTTTTTTATTTGGTAGATTTTGTATTAATTTTATTTCATCACTAGTTATTGTTCTGTTCAGGATTTAATATTTTTCTTCTTCAAACTTGGGAGGTTCTGTTTATATAAATTTATTCATGTATTATAGGTTTTACAGTTTGTACACATATAGATGCTCACAGAGTCGAGGAAATTTTGTATTTTTGAGGTAAGAGTTGTAATGTCTTTATCATTTCTGATTGTGCTTATTTGAATCTTCTCTTTTTTTCTTGGTTAATCCAGCTAGTTGTCTACCAATTTTATTTATCCTTTTGAAGAATAAACTTTTCATTTTATTAATCCTTTGTATGACTTTTGGTCCCAAATTTATTTAGTTCTGCTCTGATCACATTACAGCTTTTCTCTGCTAGCTTTGAGTTTGGTTTGATCTTGTTTTCTAGTTTTTTAGGTATGACATTTTGTTGTTAATTTGAGACCTTTCTCTTTCTAATGGAACATTAGTTCTGTAAACTTTCCCTTAACACCTTTTTTGCTCTATCCCAGAGGTTTTCATTTGTAGTGCTTCTATTTAATTTGTTTAGAAATGTTTTGACTCCTACCTTAATTTTTATGAGTTTATTATAGTTAAATTCATTGAATTGAGCCCTTTACCATCATAAAATGCTCTTTGTCATTTTTTTACTGTGTTTTGATTTAAGGTCTGTTTTATATGATAAAAGAATATCAACCATTGCTTTTTTTGGTTTCTCATTTACATGATAGATCTTTCTCTACCTCTCTGCTTTGAGGCTGTGGGTGACATTACCTGTAAGATGGTCTCTTGAAGGCAATAGATTGTTGGGTGTTTTTTTTTTTAATTACAATTTGCCAATCTATGTCTTTTAAGTGGCACATTTAGGGCTGTTTATATTAAATGTTAATATTATTATGTGAGGGTTTATTTCTGCCACAGTTTTGTTAGCTTGTTGCTGTGTAGCCTCAATTGTGTAATTGCTACACAAGATCTGTGAACTTGTATTACTTGTGCTTTTATGGTAGCAAATGTTGTCTTTTTTTCATGTTTAAAATTTCTTTGAGCATTTCTTGTAGGACTGGTATGGTGGGAATGAATTCCCTTAGCTTTGCTTGTCTGGGAAAGACTTTATTTCACCATATGTTATGAAGATTAGTTTGGAAGTCTATAAAATTATTGCTTGGTATTTTTTCTTTAAAAAGGCTGAAAATAGGCCCCAATCTCTTCTGGACTGTTCAATTTCTGCTAATAATTCAATTTTTATTTTGATGGAATTTTTGTTTTAGTTAATTTAACCCTTTTTTTCTAGCTCTTTTGATCATTTTTCTTTCACATTGACCTTGGATAGTCTGAGGACTGTATGCCTTGGTGATGGCCATCTTGTATAGTATCGTGCAGATGTTCTCTGAATTTCTCGTATCTGGATGTTGACCTCTCTAATAAGATTAGAGTAAATTTCCTGGATTATTCTCTTTAATATGTTTTCCAGCTTGCTTATATTTTTTCTCTCTCAGCAATGCTAGTAATTCATAGGTTTGGTCACGTTACATAATCATATATTTTTCATGCTTTTTGGGGGTCTGGCTCTGTTTATTCAAAAGACTGGTCTTTGAACTCTGAAATTATTTCTTCTGTTTTGTCTAGTCTATTGTCAGGGCTTCCAGTTGTATTTTGAGATTCTTTTAGTGAATTTTTTAATTGCAGAAATTTTTTTTATTATAACTATTTCATCATTCATATCCTAAATTGCTTTTCTGTTTTTTTGTTTTAATTTTCAACTTTCTCTTGGATCTCATTGACTTTCCTTGCAATCTCTATTTTGAATTATTTACCTACCGTTTCGGATTTTTTATTTTGGTTAGAATCCATAGCCAGAGCACTAATATGATCTTTTGGGCTTGTCCAGACACTCAGTCGTTTTGTTCTGGCAGAGTTCTTTTACTGATTTCTTCTCATCTGAGAAGGATGTTACTTCTTTTGATTTTGCTATTGATTGGATTTGGTGTTTTAATTTTTTATTCTTTTTTCCCTAGAGGGTGTGACTGTGATGTATGTTGTGTTTGATCATTCAGCCTTGTTTCTGGGTGCTTTCTGGGAACCAAGGCTCTGTATGAATTCATTTGTTGTGGACAGCTGCTGTGCAGTGGCTTTCTCAGAGGTTGCTTGTTGTGGTAACATATTGGACATATGAGCCAGCACACTATATTTTGTGAGGCAGAGACTGCAGAGTTCTCAGAAAGCTTATCTCTTGCACTAGCACTATGTCCTTGTGGCAGCAGGATTTTGGTTTGGTGGTTCAGTTCAGACATCAGTCCATTAGCTGACACTTATGAGTAGAGCCAGCTCACACCCAGGCAGGCTGATTATGAATGGAAGCACCCATCCTGCAAGGGGGCAGATTGGTAGGTGAAGATCATGTTGAGGTTCACTGAAATCTCTGGGGAAGCAGCAGGTGTGTGCACCAAGTCTGTCCTCAGCAGTTAGGAATGTCATCTACTTCTCTATTGCAACCCTATCACAGAGGTCACGACCTCCAGTTGGAATAGACTTTGTCCTTTGGCTCCAAGCCACAATGTGGCTGCAAACCACAATAAGTCCTTCTGGTGGCTAATGCACTAATGGGTTTAGGGCAGAGCCTCTTTGCCCTGTCCAGATTTGACAATTCTGTTGTTTGTCTGCCTTCTGTTGACAAGATACTGGAATTCTGTGTAGGGAGGGAGAGTTGGGCCCTGCCCTTTATGCAAGCCCAGTAGGCACAGACACACTTTCAAGGTGGATGGATCCTTCACACACACACACACACACACACACACACAAAGTGTTTTCTGCAAGTGCATAAGCAGTGCCCCCCAGAGGGGGGTACCTCTGTTGCAATCACAACAGTAGACAGGGGAGCAGGATGACTCCCTTTCCATGTCTATTACTGGCCACCAGTGCCATCCCCTTCAGCATTTGGTGCCATGCCCATGTTTTCTTTGTCCCCAAGGGGGCTTTGGCAGGTTGTGTTCTCCCTCCCGTAGGGAAAGCTCACACTAAGAGTTAGACGTCTATGGGTCTTACAGCTCCCTAGGGATCCACTAATATCTTGTACTTATCTTGTACTTACCAAAGACAGAACGGGTGGTGGGGTATGTTTGCAGGGGATCTGGTAATGCAGTTTATGAAGGACAGAGAGTCCCTAGGTTGGGCAGTGGCCCACCCCAGGTACACAACCAGTATGGTGCCTACCATCTCACTTTAGGTGTGAGGGGAGTGTGGGCCTACCTGTGTGAGCTGGCCACCCAGTTCCCTGTGCCTCAGAAGTTTCCAAATTGCCACTGACAGTACTGCCCTAGGTCTTGAGGGCACGCAAGCTCCCCAATAGTTTGACAATCAGCAGACTCTTGCAGGGGTGATAAGATCAGAAAAGCACCCCCATCTACCTTTTCTGCAGGGCTCTGAGTTCCTCAGATGACCCATGAGAGTTTTAGAAGTATTTTTTAATCTTAAAAATATTTGAGTATTTTCCAGATTTTTGCTTAAATTCATTTCTAGTTTAAATCTCTTCTGGTCAAATAACATGCTATGAATGATTTTAGTTATTTTCCATTTACTAAGGTTTATTTTATGACCCAGAATATGGTATACCATCATTATGTTTTATGACCTCATATAAAGAACGTGAAATCTATTTTGGGGTGAAGTGTTCTATAAATGTCAATTCAGTCAAATTGGTTTAAAGTGCTGCTCATCAAACAAACCCAGAAGCTAGCAGAAGACAAAAAATAATCAATATCAGAATGGAGCTGAAGGAGACAGAGACACAAAAATCCCTTCAAAAAATCAACAAATCAAGGAGCTATTTTTTAAATTAATAAAATCAATAGATTGCTAGCTAGACTAATAAAGATGAAAAGAGAGAAGAATCAAATAGACACAATAAAAAACAATAAAGGAGAAATTACCACTGACCCCACAGAAATACAAACAGCCATCACAGAATACTATAAATACTTCTATGTTCCACAGGGGGGAATGTTATAGGAGTCATTGAGAAATTATTTTAGGCAGATAGAGAGGAAAAGGGGTCCTTGGGAACTTTTTGTTTATTTTAAAGCAGCTCCAGAAATGTTTCTTGTCTAGCAGGAAAGCCCCAACTCTTAGAGCCAGACTGCCAAGCTTTGATATGCAAATGCTGGCCATTAGAAACTGGGTCCACACAAACATGGCGATTCCCACCATCTTCTTCTTGCCCTTGCCCCCACATGTGCCTGGCAACATGGCTGCCCACACATATCCCCATGTGTATCAAACATCATGGTGCCCTATATTTGCATATCGAAAGGCTAGGGTGGGAGGGCCAGTTTTTTCACAGGCTACATAAATCAAGTGCCTGGTCAAACCAATCCTCTGACCCTTATGCAAATCAGACACCACCTCCACCAGACTCCTCATATAAGCAGCCACTTTTCCACTGCACACGAGGTTTCCTCACTTGGTTTGGAGCCCTTCTCCCTTTGTCTCTGTACAGGGGAGCTTCTTCCTTCTTTCTTGCCTATTAAACTCTCCACTCCTTAAAACAACAACAACAAAAAATTAAAAATAATCTGGAAAATCTAGAAGAAATGGATAAATTCCTGTACACATACACCCGCCTAAGACTGAACCAGAAAGAAGTTGAATCCTTGAATACACCAATAACAAATTCCAAAATTGAGGCAGCAATAAATAGCCTACCAACCAAGAAAAGACCAGGACAAGATGGATTTACAGCTAAATTCTACTACAGGTACAAAGAGGAGCTGGTACTGCTTTTTTCTGAAACTATTCCAAACAATTGAAAAGGAAGGACTCCTCCCTAACTCATTCTATGAGGCCAGCATCATCCTGATACCAAAACCTGGCAGAGACATAACAACAACAAAAAAGAAAACTTCAGGCCAATATCCCTGATTCACATCAGTGCAAAAATCCTCAATAAAATACTGGCAAACTGAATCCAGCGGCACATCAAAAAGCTTATCCACCATGATCAAGTGGATTTCATCGTCAGGATACAAGGCTGGTTAAACATATGCAAATCAATAAATGTAATTCATCACATAAACAGAACTAAATACAAAAGCCACATTATTACCTCAATAGACATAGAAAAATCCTGCAATAAAATTCAACATCCCTTCATATTAAAAACTCTCAGTAAACTAGGTATTGATGGAACATACCTTAAAATAATAAGAGCCTTTTATGACAAACCCACAGCCAATATCATACTTACTGGGAAAAAGCTGGAAGCATTTCCCTTGAAAACCAGCACAAGACAAGGATGCTCTCTCTTACCACTCCTATCAACGTAGCATTGGTCATTCTGGCCAGGGCAAACAGGCAAGATAAAGAAATAAAGCATATTCTAATAGGAAGAGTGAAAGTCAAACTGTCTCTTTTTGCATATAACATGAGTTTATATCTAGAAATCCCATCATCTCAGCCCAAAAGTTTCTTCAGCTGATAAGCAACTTCAGCAAAGTCTCGGAATACAATATCAATATGCAAAAATCGCAGCGTTCCTATAAGATACTTACAAATACAGCTAACAAGGGAAGTAAAGGACCACTTCAAGGAGAACTACAAACCACTCCTCAAGGAAATAAGAGGGAACACAAACAAATGGAAAATTATTCCATGCTCATGTATAGGAAGAATCAATATCATGAAAATGGCCATACTGCACAAAATAATTTATAGATTAAATGCCACTCCCATTAATTTACCATTGACATTCCTCAGAGAATTAGAAAAATCTACTTTAAAAGTCATATGGAACCCAAAAAGGGCTTGTATAGAAAAGAAAATCCCAAGCAAAAAGAACAAAGCTGGAGGCATTGTGCTACCCAACTTCAAACTATACTACAAGGCTACAGTAACCCAGACATGTTACTGGCACGAAAACAGACACATAGACCAATGGAACAGAAAACAGAACTCAGAAATAAGACTGCACATCTACATCCATCTGATCTTCGACAAATCAAAACAAGCAATGGGGGAAGGATTTTCTATTTAATAAATGGTGCTGGGAGAACTGGCTAGCCATATGCAGAAAATTGAAACTGGACCCCTTCCTTACACCTTATACAAAAATTAACTCAAGATGGATTAAAGACTTAAATGTAAAACTCAAAATAAAACCCCTAATAGAAAATCTAGGCAATACCATTCAGGATATAGGCACAGGCGAGGATTTTATGACAGAAATTTCAAAAGCAATTGCCAAAAAAGAAAAACTTGAAAAATGGGACCTAGTTAAGCTGAAGAGCTTCTGCACAGCAAAGGAAACTATCATCAGAGTGAACAGACAACCTAGAGAATGGGGGAAGATTTTTACAATTTATCCATATGACAAAGTTCCAATATCCAGAATCTGCAAAGAACTTTAACAAATTTACATTTAAAAAACCCCATTAAAAAGTGGGCAAAGAACATGAGTAGACTCTTGTCAAAGAAGACATTAATGTGGCCAACAAACATATGAGAAAAAGCTCAACTGCACTGTTAGAGAAATGCAAATCAAAACCACAATGAGATACCATCTCACATCAGTCAGAATGGTGATTATTAAAAATTCAAGAAACAACAGGTTCTGGTGAGGTTATGCAGAATGTAAATTCCCACCTTTTATACTGTTGGTGGGAATGTAAATTAGTTCAACCACTGTGGAAGACAGTGTGGTGATTCCTCAAAGTTCTAGAACCAGAAATACCATTTGACCCAGCAATCTTATTACTGGGTATATGTGCAAAGGAATAAATCATTCTGTTATAAAGATACATGCATGCATATGTCCATTTCAGCACTATTCACAATAGCAAAATCATGAAATCAACCCAAATACTCATCAATCATAGACTGGATAAAGAAAATGTGGTACATACACACTATAGAATACTACGCGGCCATAAAAAGGAATGAGATCATATCCTTTGCAAGGACATGGATGGAGCTGGTAGCCATTATTCTCAGCGAACTAACACAGGAATAGAAAACCAAACACCAAATATTCTCACTTATAAGTGGGAGATGAACAACGAGAACACATGGACACAAGGAGGGGAACAACGTGCACTAGGGACTGTTGGTTGGAGATCGGGGGAGGAAGACCATCAGGATAAATAGCTAATGCATGCTGGCCTTAATACGTAGGTGATGGGTTGATAGGTGCAACAAACTACCATGACACACATTTACCTGTGTAACAAACTTGCACATTCTGCACATGTATCCCAGAACTTAAAATAAAATAATATAAAATAAAATAGAAAGTGTTTCTCATGTTTTATATATCTTTCTTGATTTTCTGTCTACTTGTTTTTTTAATTACTGAAAGTTTTAACGTTTCCATTCCATATATGTTTTGATATTTTTATCTTTTCATTCAACATTTTCTTTTGCTTCGTGTACTTTTAAACTCCATATTTTTATGTGTATCGATAATTCATATTTTTTGCATCTTCTTGATAAACTGAACGACTTTATCATTGTGTAACATCCTTTTTTTATTCCTGATAATATATCTTCTGAAACCTATGTTTTTCGATATCAATAAATTCAACTGAATTTTCTTTGGATTAGAGTTTGTTTGCCAGAATATTTCATCCTTTTACTTTTATCCTAATTATGCTTTTGTTTTAAAGTCAATTTGTTGTAAACAGCATATTGTTGACTCTTGTCTGTTCAGTCTGGCAATCTCTGTATTTACCTAGTATACATAGGCCATTAATATTTAATATAACTGTAGATATGATTGGTTTAAAATTTGTCATTTTTCTAATCATTTTTTATTCTTTTTTCTTATTCTTTATATTAAGTCACTATTATAATTCAATTTTATCTCATTATATTTAATTTTATATCTTAAATGTTATTTATATCTTAAATGATATAAATTTTATATCTTAAATGTTGTTTAAGTTTAAAAATCTTTAAATTATTATTGGTTACTCTAAAGTTCCTGACATACATCTTTATTTAATCACAATCTACCTTCAAATAATGTACTGCTTTATATATAGTATCTGAAATTTGCAACAATACATGTAGTCCCTCTTTCTCCTTTCTATGTTTTGTGATTTTTTCTCATTTATTTTAATTTTACATTTTGTATAAACACACATTATATTGTCACTATTTTTGTGCTTAGTAATCAATTATCTTTAGAGTGATTAAAAGCAACTTAAAATTAATTTTATATTGACCTTAATATTTACCATTTCCAGCAGTCTTCATTTCTTTCTAAGGATCCAAGTGTCTTTCTGGTATTATATCTCCTTCGAATAACTTTATTTAACATCTTTTAAAGTGCAATTCTGTCTACAATGAGTGATTTTCGCTTTAGATTCCTTGAAAATGTCTATTTCTGCATTTTTGAAACATTTTTATTGAATACAGACTTGTTGGTTATTTTTCTCTTTGAGTATTGTAATGATACCACTCTTTTGACTGTTTTTTGTAGTTTATGACAAGAAAGAAACCTGATGTTATTCTTATATTTGTTCTTCTGTAGTGATGTGATCTCTCACCTTCTGATATCTCGAAAGCTTTTTTTTTTATTTTCAGCAGTTTAAATATTATGTATATCTGTGTATTTTTGCATGTGAGTGTGCATGTGTGTATGAGAAAGAAAGACAGGGTTTGTGTGGTTGGGGCATTTATTATGCTTGCTGTTATCTGACATTCTTGGAGTGGTATGTTTTTCATCACTTTTGGAAAGTTTTCAGTTGTAGTCTTCTCAAATATTTCTTCTGCTTAATTCTCTCTTTTTTCTTGGAATCCAATTACACATAACTTAATTGATATTGTCCTAATGTTTGATATCCTGGACGTCTTATTCCCTTTTGTGTGTTTTGCTATGGATAATTTCTATTGACCCATCTTAAAGTTTGGTGTTTCTTCTGCTTTATCAAGTTTATTGATAAGCCCGTCAAACATATGCTTTATCTTTAATATTATGTTTCTGTTTTAAGCATTTCCATTTGATTCCTTTTTCATATTTTACATCTCTTTGCTGAAATTGCCCATCTGTTTATGCATGCTGTAATTATTTTCCATATATAGCCTTCAACTTGTTAATCAGTTATTTTAAAAGTCTTCTCTTCTAATACCACCTTTTGAGCCAAATCAGTCTTATTGATAATTTTGTTTCTCATAATGTTTTTTCCTTATCATGTGACTCATTTTTTTATTAATGATGGACATTATGTATACAACAGTGAATTCAGAGGTAAATATTTCTTGTTCTTGGAAATTTGGACATTTCTTTTGCTTCTATTGTCGCTAAGTCTTTACTGTTATGTGATTGAATCAATCTAGTCAGGAGCTGAACTGCATTTCTGTTTTATTGTTTACCTGTGGTGCACTAAACTCTTTAAATGCCTCTAGTTTTGCATTGTGCTTAGGATAAAAAAATTGGTTACTTAAAATTTTTTCTCACTTTTCCATTTCCATCAACAGTTTTAGCCTTTACCTGTGAGCCAGAGCCTCAGAGAGCAGCAATCTCTCTGCACTCTTGCTTAATCCCCCAGAGGTAGTGTGTTACTGCATGTTATGCAGTGTTTGCTGGTGTATTGGGCAGAAGTTGTTGGAGGTTTCCCTGTTATCCTGGTTCATTGTCAGACCTACGCGGGCCTGTATCCCTGATTTTTGGGAGTGGTATTTTCTCAATGATACTTCGTATCTACAACAGTGAAACCCTGCCTTGTGTCTTTAACGGAGTTCTGTTTTTGTCTTTCCTTTAGTAAAAGTGGATGGGTAATGGTCTAAGCTCAGGATGATTTCCTGCACCTCTTTGCAGGGATAGAGAATTTTTATGTCTATTTTGTTTTCTTTTTTCCTTTATCCAGTAATAGAACTTCAAATGTGTCCTAGGGGAGACAGATTTTACTATCCTTTCTACAGTGACTTGAGACTTATGTTCTGTAGAAACATAGTGGATAAAGATCTAAGCAGGGTGTCTTGACTTTCCTCAACTGACACTGATATTTTCCTCCAGGCTTGTAGCAATGAGAGTAGTTCTGTCTATTATCCCACTCTAGGCCCCGTACTTTTCATGAGGGCACTGTAAGTTTCATGAATAACAGACAGGAAGTGGGTGCAAACTGCCCTACATCTCCAGCTTCCAGAATTTCTATACTGTAATACTAACCTACACTAAGCCTTTAGAAATTAGTGTAAAAGTATATTTTAAATATTCTCCCCTATTTCTATAGCAGTGCTATCTTTCTTCCATGCTCTGCTGCTGGTAAACAAATATGTGATTTTAGTATTTCCTGAAAGATACCTTTCTTTTCCTTAGGTTTACTTCAGTTTTTTGATGAGCTCAAGAAATGTTATTATTTTTTAGATTTTCTGTTTTATTTTGTGTTCTTTACTTTGGGAATGATTCTCCTTCCAACTTTCTATAAACAGGCAAAGCCAGAAATCCTAACTTCCATTTGTAAAGGATCACTATAGCTTCTGTGTTAAGAACAGACCAAAGGGCAGCAAGTGTGGAAGTAGATTTTGTAGTTTAAAATTTATTGTAGAAATATAGGTAATAAATTATGGTTATTTGACCAAAAATTGTAGCAACATAAGTAATAGAAATTCAACAAATTCTGAATGTATTTTAAAGACAGAGTCAAAATAATTTTCTCACTGATTAGATGGGAGGTATAAGAGAAAGGGTAATCAGGGATTCCTCTAAGAATTCCTTTTGAGCAAGTGGGAAAATAGGATTGACATTTTAAAAACTAGGTAAGTATATGAAAATAGTAGGTTTGAGGGAAACACTAGAAGCATTTTTTGGGGGGAGGAAACATGTTATGTTTAAGGTATCTATCAGGTATTCATGTGTGATATATGAGTCTAAAGATATAGAATTTTATCTTCAAATAATTATAGATTGGATTTATACATTTGATGATTATCAAAGTATGGAAAATATTTAAATCACTGAGACTGGATGAGATCCCCAAGGCAGTGTGTGGGTTTTAAGAAAATAAAATGTTCAAGGAGTGATACCAGGGTATTTTAACATGATGTTGGCAAGGAGGGGAAATCAGTAAAGGAAACTGAGCTAAAGATGACAGAAATGTAGAAAGAAAACCATAATGATAGTGAGGTTTTATGAATTACAAAAATGTTTCTGGAGAAGGGATGAATCAACTTTATCACACGCTGCTGATAGATTAAGATGAAGACTGAGGTCTGACCAATGTCCCTGATTAGGCAGTAGAGGATAAGATCTTATTCATAAGTTGAATATTTTACTTTTTATAAAAGTAGAGACATTTTATACATTGTGAAAGGTGGAAATACAGCAGATATAGTACAGTCATTTGGAGTAAATGAATAGTGGCAGTAGAACTGTGTGTGTGTGTGTGTTTATGTGTGTGGATTAGGAAACAAGTTCACCAGCAGGTGATAAATACTGGAAATGAAGATAAGAAAATTTATGGGGAGAGAAGAAAGTGTGAAACAGTCATCCAGGTGAGTGGAGGAGTGAACAAATTAGGGAACTGAAGTCAGATTGCCAAGCAGCACCAAGAGCTTTCATGAGGCTATTTTTTTAAGTCAGTTGACTGTCCTTGAGAAAACTGAAACATTCAAACACAAGTTTATGGATACATAGTTTTTCCTTTCTCAATGAAATAGCTCACAAATAGCAAATATTTTTAGCTATTCCTATAAGTAGTGGAGTCTATTTTCTACCCTTTGGATCTGTGCTGACCTTGTGACTCGCTTTCACCAATTGAATGAGAAAAAGATGAGATTATGCAAGGTCTCAAGAAGCTTGCAGTTTTCACTTTCACTCTGTTGGAACACTGTTGCCATGTGAAAATCATGGTAAGCCTCTTTTAGGATGAGTGACCATGTGAAGAGAGAGGCACACTTATCCAACAATATCAGTTATACCAGACTTTCCAGCCTCCCAGATAAGGCATCAATCCTATGTGTAAGACCAGTGGAGACCATAAGGGGCAGAGATAAGGTGATTTAGCTGAATACAGCTCAAATTGTCAACCTACAGAATTATGAGTAAATAAATTTTTGTTATTTTAAACTATAGTTTGTTTTTATTTATGCACCAGAAATGAAAAAGAAATACCCCCACCCAAACTATCCTTAGACACAGTAATTTAAGTGACTTCCTCTAAGTCAGTCCTGCATGATTGAGCAATCTATCATACTTGATACAAAGTGGTGATTAGCTTAGATATTATTTACTCAGGAGGCTTCTAATACCTCACCATGCTGATTTAGGTGGCTATGTTATGTGATCTTACAGGAATCTCTTCTCCCACATTCACATGACTTAGTTGTAATGACCGTTTACCTCTTTCTTTTGCAATAGACTGGAAACTCAATGACAGAAAGCATGAGTCTGTCTTGCTCATTACTATATCTGTCTCACAAACAGTGTATAGTATTTGTTGTAACAATGAAAGCTCATAGACATTTTCTGATAAAATAGAATAGAGCACTCTGTATAAAAGAAATGGGAGATGGCGCCAGATGACAGAATAGAATGCTGCACCAATCATCATCCCTGCAATGACATCAATTTAACAACTGTCTATACAGAAAAAGCACCCTCATAGGAACCAAAAATCAGGTGAGCCCTCGTAGTACCTGGTTTTAATTATGTATTCCTGAAAGAGGCACTGAAAACAGAAAAAAAAAACAGTCTTGAATTACTTATATCACCACCCCCTCCCCGCCCACACACACACACACACACACACACACACACACACACACACACAGTGGCATGCTGGTGCAGAGAGCCTCTCTGGGTGCGGGAGGAGGAAGAACATAGAAATTGTGAGACATTGAACTCAATGCTGTCATATCAGAACAGAAAGGAAAATTGGACCAAATGCAGCTGATGCCTGATCACAGAGGGAGCATTTAAAGCAGCCCTAGCCAGAGGGGAATCACCAATCACAGTGGACTGAACTTGAGTGCCTGCAAACCTCACCACAGAGGGCTACAGCACTCTGTGTCTCCAAGTAAACCTGAAAGGCAATCTGGGCCATAAAGTCTGCAAATCTTAGATGAGTCTTAGTGTGGAATTTGGCCCAGAGACGGTGGCATGGGTGGGGGCGCACATGACGTACTGAGAAACCAGCTGGAGCAGCCAAGGGAGTGCTGGCATCACCACTCCACTAACCCCGTAATTCAGAGCTCACAGCTCCAAAAGAGACCCCTTCTTTCTGCATAAAGGAGAGGGAAGCATGGAAAGAACTTTTTCTTACATCCAAGATACCAGCTCAGCCACAGCACAATAGGGGGCTGTTCAGTTGTGAGGCCCCTGTTCCAGGACCTAGCTCCCACATGAGATTTTTAGACACATTCTGAGCAGGAAGGGAACTCTGCCTTGAAGGGAATAACCTAGCATTTATCACCTGCTAACTCAGGAGTCCTTGGGTCCTGAACAATCAGCAGCGATGTCCAGGTACTACATCACGGGCCTTCAGTGAGCCTCAGACTTGCTGGATTAATGTGAGATTCAGAACATTGCCAGCTGCGGTGGCTACAGAGCAAAATTGTACCTGCTTGAGAAAAGCAGAGAGAAAAGTAAAGGGTACTTTGCCTTGCAACTCTGGTACCAGTATGGCCAGAGGAGGGTAGAGCAACAAGTAGGCTTTCAGGGTCCCTGATTTCAGGGCTTTACTCTTGGATGGCATCGCTCGACCTGCCTTGGGCCAGAGGGGAGCTCACATCCCTGAATGGCAAGCCCCAGGCCAGGCAGCATTTACCACAAGCTGACTTTAGAGCCCTTGGACCTTAGGAGAATATGGGCAGTAGTCTGGCAGAACTCCCCGTGGCCTATGGTGGCGGTGGCTATGGGATAAGTCTTCTCAGACTTTGAAAAGGGGAAGGAAGAGTTGGAAGGATTGCATCATGTAGTTTCAATGCCAACTCAGCCACAGAACAGTAAAACACCAGGTAGACTTCTAAGGTTTTTGACTCTAATTTCTGACCCCGGGTGGCACCTCTGAACCCAACTGTAACCTAGAACTCTTAATGCCCTGAAGAGAAGAACACAGGCCTGCCTGGCTTTGCCACCTGCTGATTGCAGAGCTGCAGGGCTTGAGCTAACATAGGCAGTAGCCAGGGAGTGGTTACAGCAGGCATTGGGCTAGACTCAATGCTGTGTTGGCTTTAGGTCTGGCTCAGTGCAGTCATAGTGGTGGTGGCCAGAGGAGTGTTTGTGTCACTTAACCCTTAGTCTTAGATGGCTCAGAACAGAAAGTGAGATACTTTAATTATTTGAAAAAAGTAAGGGGAAAAAAACAAGAGTCTCTGATCAGTATTCCAGATAATTCTCCTGGATATTGTCCAAGATTGTCAAGGTGGTACCTCTATGAATCTGAAAGAATCACAGCATTACTTGGCTTGGGGTGCCCCCTAAAGCAGATACACCTTAGATCGCCACACCCAAGTTCTTTCAAATATCTGGAAAGCCTTCCAGAAGGATGGGTACAAACAAGCCGACAGTGAAGATTACAATAAACAATTAACTCTTCAATGCCCAAACACATTATCCTGGATGGTGTTGCCGACGTCAACACCATCCAGGATAATGTGACTTCATCAAGTGAACTAAGCAAAGCACCAGGGACCAACCCTGGAGAAACAGAGATATATGACCTTTCAGATGGAGAATTCAAAATATCTGAATTGAGGAAGTTCAAAGAAATTCAAGATGACACAGAGAAGGAATTCAGAATTCTATCAGATAAATTTAATAAAAGATTGAAATAATTAAAAAGAATCAAGCAGAATTTCTGGAGCTGAAATATTTAACTGGCATAGTGAAGAATAGACTAGAGTCCTTTAGTAGGAGAACTGATTAAGCAGAGGAAAGAATTATTGAATTTAGAGACAGCTATTTCAAAATACAAATTCAGAGGAGACACAAGAAAAAATAATAAACAAATAATGAAGCATGCATATAGCATCTAGAAAACAGCTTCAAAAGGGCAAATCTAAGAGTTATTGGCCTTAAAGAGGAAGTGTAGAAAGAAACAGAGGTAGAAGGTTTATTCAGAGATAATAACAGAGAACTTCCTAAACCTAGAGAAAGATATCCATATCTGAATTCAAAAAAGGTATAGAACACCAAGCATATTTAACACAAAAAAGACTACCACAAGGCATTTAATAATTGAACTAAATGCCCACAAGAGAAAGCAGGAAAGATCTAAAATCAACACCATAACGCCAAATTTAAAGAACTAGAGAAGCAAGAGCGAACAAATTCAAAAGCTAACCGAAGACACGAAATAACTAAGATCAGAGCAGAACTGAAGGAGATAGAGACATGGAAAAACCTTCAAAAAATCAATGAATCCAGGAGCTGGTTTTTTGAAAAGATCAACAAAATAGATAGACCGCTAGCCAGACTAATAAAGAAGAAAAGAGAGAAGAATCAAATAGATGCAATAAAAAATGATAAATGAGATATCACCACTGATCCCACAGAAATACAAACTACAATCAGAGAATACTATAAATACCTCTACACAAATAAACTATAAAATATAGAAGAAATTGATAAATTCTTGGACACAGACACCCTCCCAAGTCTAAACCAGGAAGAAGTTGAATCCCTGAATAGATCAATAACAAGTTCTGAAATCAAGGCAGTAATTAATAGCCTCCAGTATTTTTCTAAGGTATGTTCAGTGCAAACTATTTCAAAATAAAGCAATTTATTAAAAAATTACCTACTATGAGAACTTAGTTAAATAAATTATGGTACATCTAAAGACTGAATATTTAGGAATTAGGGATAATGTGGCCAAAATTATATGAATCTATGGAAATGCTAAGGTTCTCAATGAAAAAACAGCATAATAATAAACACTATTTCTAAATTGTATCGCCTTTAGGAAAATGCTGAATCCTGTTTACTGGAGGACCTTTGCTTTGCTGAGCACCTTGATGGAAATGATCATGAAAACTGTGGTAGCAGGTAGCAGGTAAGACATAATTTAATTATTCTGCAAAGCACATGGTACAGCAGGTGAAATTATGTTGGGAAAATCCCGGAGGGGTAGAAATGAGCTAGTAAGGAAGTATAGGAAGAAAAATCATATATACCTGTTCTAAGCTTGACCAAGAAGAAACTTTAAAAAACAAAAACATATGAAACAAATTTTATATTGTTTTCTCTATGTAAGTGATCACTGGGTGTAGTAGTCAGGGACGCAGGGGAATTTAGGGATGTGATATAAATTCTCTCTCCTAGCTCCTCTACAAAATTTTTAATAAAGTTCACACTTCTTAACAAGGCTTTTATGCAAGTAAAGTCACTTGGTGAAAACTGAGACTGTACATAGGATGAATAAAGAAGAGTTGCCTATTGGGAATAAGAAATTATTTTTTTAAATATAATCCTCGTATTTAAAAAATGATATGTGAGAATTTTATATGTATATTCATGTGGGTTATGTGTATGTGTGTGTGTGTGTGTGTGTGTGTGTGTGTGTGGAGATAGATGG
Organism: Homo sapiens; assembly: GCF_000001405.40. Lineage (NCBI taxonomy): Eukaryota > Metazoa > Chordata > Mammalia > Primates > Hominidae > Homo > Homo sapiens. The sequence continues at coordinate 99,367,616 of NC_000023.11, forward strand.
GTGAGAGAGATTGAGATTGAGATTGGAAGTACATGCACAAAACATATTAAGAGTGATTACCTTTAAGGGGTAGGTTTATGTAATATTAATTTTTCCTTAGTTAATCTGCATATTCTACTGTTTGTGCAATGAAATATTTTTCTTTTAAATCAGAAAAAAATCCACAAATTGGCTAGAGGCATTATATTAATGTTAACATAAAAATGGCTTTCTTGTCTTTCTTTCTTCTGTATAAATACCTTCAGCATGCATATTAAAAACATTTAAAGAGCCATGGAACTAAGAGTGCATTAACTTCATCATGACATATTTTGAGCATTCTTATTCTTTTTCAGATATGGCAGTGTTTAAATCGTCCATGCTAAAATAACGTATTTTTCTTTAAACAGTAATTGACAAGAAATTTCTCTTAATTTTCCTAGCATAATTATGGTTAGATTGCAAAAAGATAAGACAGATATTTGCTTTTGCTATGGTTTGAAGGTGTTTTCTCCAAAATTCATGTTGAAATTTAATCCTCATTGTGGTAGTATTAAGAGGTGGTGTCTTTTTGAAAATGTTAACCATGAGGACTCTGCCATCATGAATGGATCAGTGCTTCATAAAAGGGCTGGTGGAAACTAGCTTAGTCGCTTTTTGTCCTTCCATTTCTTCTGCCATATGAGGACTGAGTGTTTGTCCCCTCTGGAGGCTGCAGCAACAAGGCAACATCTTGAAAGCAGAGAACTTTCTTCATCAGACACCAAACCTGCTGGCACATTGATCTCGGACTTTCTGGCCTCTGGAACTGTTAGAAACTAAATTTCTGTTCTTTATAAATTACCTAGTCTCAAGCATTTTGTTATAGGCATCATAAATGGACTAAGACAGCCTTCATCTGGGGCAAATAACCATTTGAATTCTCTCAAGTCTGGCATAGTAGAAATAAATACCACATAAGTAGAACCTCTAAAGGAGTGCTTCTCAATTATCTGCAATGAAAAAACAGGGTGTTTTTGTTGGCAACCTGTTGTCTAAAAGTACATTTGTAAAATGTAATAAAATGAATTATTGAAAAAATACTGACTTCTAGATCCTTTTGACATAACCCTAGAAAAAAAAAGAGCGAAAAGTCGCAAAAACATTCCAAATATAAACCCAAATATCTTAATAGATTGACCAGGTATAACATAATTTTGTCAAATGGCTATAATTTCTGAATACGCACTCTCAACTTCTGTACTCATCTCTTTGTAAACTAGCAATGATTTGTGAATCAACATGCGCTATAAATCACACTTTGAATAGTTCTGAAGCAGGTAGTAGAAAAAGTAGGTAAAGATAGGTGGGAAATTTCTTGTCCTGTTGTATTCATATTAGCTGGACTATAAACATATACAGTTGTAATCTCTGTATTTGAAAATTGATGTGGAAGAATCTGGGAATTGTAAGACCAAGAAAATATAATGAATGGGAAAAGAGCTTTCATAAATATATGTTACAACAATTAGGATTGTTAAACAGAAAAGAAAAAGAGAATTCTCCAAAAATATAAGGGTTTTTTTGCTTTACTTTTTTTGTAAAAATAAAATATAGATGCAGAATACTATATGAAACTAATTTATAGCTTACCTTATCATGAGGCAAACACCATTGTAAGCACTAGCCAGGTCAAACAATAGAACTTTTGTCAGCCACTCAAGAAGCCCCTTCAGGTATCTTATCCATATTATAACCCTCTCCTTTCTCCCTCCAAAAAGTAATCATTACCTTGACTTTTAGAAAAACATATTGCTTTCATTTTCTCACACTTACATCACTGAAGTTCCCCATCCATCCCTTTCTTTTCCTCATAATTTATCTGCTGAAAGACTTAGACCATTTAACCTGGATTTTGCTTTATTCAAAATTGTGAAACACTTCAAAAGTTTCCTCTAATCTTTGTGTTTTCTACAAATTGGCAGCTGGATTCACAGGTTTCATCACATTCAGATATGATCCCTTTGGCAAGGCTATAAATGGTCAATATAATACTCTTAACTAAGAAGCATAGAATGTTCAGTTTCATTATTTTATTCATTGATGGGTATAAAATGTTGATAATCTATGTTTTTAATTTATTAACTGGAATAGTTTCACACAGAGACATTTCCACTCATGTAATATTTGTTTTGACACAGATAATATATAAATGGAAAAAAAGTAATTATTGTTAAAAATTGATTTAACAAGTTTTCAAGATAATGAATTAGTTCCCTATCCACCTCAGGTAACATTTTTTTTCTTGAATTCATAATCCATAATTTGAAATTCTCGAACTAAATTTAAATTGAGGACTATGATTCTTAAACTCATTTTTTCTGCATTAAACCTCTAACTCCTTTCTTTCATATCAAGAATTCTGGGTCTTCAAGACACAATGGATAATATAAATATAATAACCTATTTTTGCTCATTTGCTTTATCCCACACTACTCATTAAGCTGTCTCATAATAACAATACTACTGCTACTACTATTAATTATGATTACTGAAAAATAAGAGATAAAAACCCATAAATGCAATCTGTAACATTCTTCTATTAAAGTTGTACTATAGCTATATTGTCAGAGCACACAGCGATATTGTACTACAATTGCTTCCTTTTAACTCTCATTTTGTCTTAATTTTTCATATGGGTATATATTTAGTTCTCACTACCAGTCTTTATGTTTCTATCTGTCTGGTTATTTTGATTGCCTGATACTTGTTCTCTTGTAAATTATTTAGGAAGAAGCCCTGGGAACAATATTTCCTAAGTTCTCTCTTACTGATAATTTGGAAGTTTACCTATGGGATTCAGGAAGACCCAAAAACTATGCTACCACCAGCACCACTATTTTCCCAGAATCTGATGCTTTGGTTTTTTCTAAGGGGTGTTGAACACTTTTTATTCTCCACAAAGGGCTAATTGCAAATTAAATTAAGGATGAAGGAATTCTGGATGACTTTCTTGAAAACTTTGAAGAGATAATAGAATAAATATTCTTCTGCCTGGTATAGTTAGCAGATTATCTGTATGAAAGCTATGGAAATGAACTAGCTAATCTCTTCAGATTTTAACTCTGGAATTCCAAGAAATAGAATTAAGGCCCCCATAAAAGAATAGTTCTAATTTACAACTGGGGTGTCTCTAAAGTTGTTTGACATTGAGATATATATATACTTTGAATGTATGTCTCCTCCAAATCTAATGTTGAAATGTGATTTCCAATGATGGTGGTGGGGACTAGTGGGAGATGTTTGGGTCATGGGAGCAGATCTTTCATAAATGGCTTGATGTTGTCCTCATGGTAATGAGTGAGTTCTCATCATGTGAGTTGACAAGAGATCTGGTTGTTTAAAAGAGCTTGGCACTTCCTCCCTCTCACTCTTTTCATCTCTCTCTTGCCGTGTGACACTGACTCCCCTTCCCTTCCACCAGTATTATAAGCTTCTTGAAGACTCACCTCAGGAAGAAGATTCCTGTACTATGCTTTATGTATAGCCTATAAAACCATGAGCCAAATAAACTTTTCTTTATTAATTACACAATCTTAGGTATTCCTTTATAGCAATGCAAACATACTAACACAGGTATGTTGGTTAGAATAGTGCCAGTGTGTCCGGAATTGGTGGGTTCTTGGTCTCACTGACTTCAACAATGAAGCCGCGGACCCTCGCGGTGAATGTTACAGTTCTTAAAGGCGGCGTGTCCGGAGTTTTTTCCTTCTGACCTTCAGCTGTGTTCGGAGTTTCTTCCTTCTGGTGGGTTTGTGGTCTCGCTGGATCAGGAGTGAAGCTGCAGACCTTCGTGGTGAGTGTTACAGCTCATAAAGGCAGCTCTTAAGGCGGCGCATCTGGAGTTGTTCGTTCCTCCCAGTGGGTTCGTGGTCTCACTGGCTTCAGGAGTGAAGCTGCAGACCTTTGCCGTGAGTGTTACAGCTCATAAAGGCAGTGTGGACCCAAAGAGTGAGCAGCAGCAAGATTTATTGCAAAGAGTGAAAGAACAAAGTTTCCACGGTGTGGAAGGTGACCGGAGGGGGTGCCACTGCTGGCTCAGGCAGCCTGCTTTTATTCTCTTATCTGGCCCCACCCACGCCCTGCTGATTAGTCCACTTTACAGAGAGCCCATTGGTCTGTTTTCACAGGGTACTGATTGGTGCATTTACAATCCCTGAGCTAGACACAAAAATTCTCCAAGTCCCCACTAGATTAGCTAGATACAGAGTGTCCACTGGTGTATTTACAAACCCTGAGCTAGACACAGAGTGCTGATTGGTGCATTTACAAACCTTGAGCTAGTTACAGAGTGCCGATTGGTGCATTCACAATCCCTTAGCTAGACATAAAGATTCTCCAAGTCCCCACTAGACTCAGGATCCCAGCTGGCTTCACTCAGTGGATCTCGCACTGGGCCGCAGGTGGAGCTGCCTGCCAGTCCCGCGCCGCGGCCCTGCACTCCTCAGCCCTTGGGCGGTCGATGGGACCGGGCGCAGTGGAGCAGGGGGCGGCGCTCGTCGGGGAGGCTCAGGCTGCGCAGGCGCCCACCGCGGGGAGGCGGGGCGGGGAGACTGAGGCATGGCGGGATGCAGGTCCCAAGCCCTTCCCCGCGGGGAGGCAGCTAAGGCCCGGCAAGAAATCGAGCACAGCAGCTGCTAGCGCAGGTGCTAAGCCCCTCACTGCCCGGGGCTTGCGGGCCGGCCTGCTGCTCCGAGTGCTGGGCCAGCCGAGCCCACGCCCCCCCGGAACTGGCGCTGGCCCGCAAGCGCCGCGCGCAGCCCCAGTTTCCGCCCGCGCCTCTCCCTCCACGCCTCCTCGCAAGCTGAGGGAGTCGGCTCCGGCCTTGGCCAGCCCAGAAAGGGGCTCCCACAGTGCAACGGTGGGCTGAAGGGCCAGAGTGGGCGCCAAGGGCGAGGAGGCGCCGAGAGCGAGTGGGGGCTGCCAGCACGGTGTCACCTCTCACCAGTAGTTGTGATTTTTGCTGTCACCCCCATGGATTATGAATTCACTTTGTCTGGGTAACAGTGGAAACCCTCGGAAGTTGTTTCCACTGTTTCATCTAAAAGAAGTCGCCAAAACGAAGTTTTCTCAGTGCCAAAGCATGGACTCAGGTGAGTTGTAGGAAGATGGAAATAAAATAAGTATGTTAAGAAGCTCTAGCGCTATATGCAACATTTCAGTCAGAAAGGTGAGAAAGTGAAAATAAATTTGGTTTTGCAGAAAGAAAATAGATTTACCTTTGCATTTTGTACCAAGGAAAACCAATTTAATATTGATACAATAGAAATATAAGTATGGAAGTAATACCCCTGCAATAATTCAGCTTTTGGTTTTATAAAAAGACATTTCCCTAGTTGCAATTATTTATTTATATGCCACCAATAAATTTGTTCTTATTATAATGTAGTCTGAAAATTAAGGGGTTATTTTTAAGACATTTCAAGGCTTAATGTTGCTATATTATGCACTTTGACATATTCTGCACAAGTAAGACCAAGTCTAAAAAATTGTGCTTTATCGGGGCTGCCTCTGTTTAAAAAGTTTATTAACAAACTGACACATTTCTAAAGAAAGAAAAGTGAAATGTCTAAGGGTCTGATAGTTTACATAAAGATAGTTGATATGGGGATTTTTAGCCTGAAGAAAAGTCTTAAAGAGATAATATTTTAAGCTACTAAAAAATATTTGAGGGATAAGATACAGGATTACTTACTCTGACTCCAGAAGGGAAAACTAGATCCAAAAGTGAAAGTATTATTGAAACAGATTTTTAGATCAATACATGGACAAACAGTAAAAAAAAAAATTACAAAAATTGGCTTTCTCAAAAAGTAGTGAGTTTCTTGACACTGAAAGTAATGTATCAGAGGATGGCTGAGTATGTTTGCATCTGTGAAAGATTTTATGGAACACTTGGAAAGGGAGGAAAGACAGTTATATCCCTGCTTTGAAAAGGAGACAAGAGTATGGTATACATGGTTTCAGACATACATTCTGAATCTAAAACGAAACACGTTAAACTAGACCACAAATAACTTTTTATAGTGAATTCCTGTTTGGCTTTGACTTTTCCCTGTCATTTGAGAATAATCAAGGTATGATAATATTTGCAACCCATCATTTCATTTCAAAACTTTGATTCATGGCGTGAGGCCTAATCTCAATGCAGTATCATCTTACTAAACGTTAGGACACTTATGTTGTTACATACAACCCAGAATTTTTTTAAATTTTAAGACATTAAGAAAAGTCTTTCATTAACTAATTTATTCTAAAATAATATATAAAATAGCAATGGAATAAATTCAACAAATGGAAGTTATTAATAGAGTACCTATAAGTAGTCCGCCATCAGTGAGATTTTTATGGAAATGAAATGGTCTGTATCTTGATTGCAGTTGTGGTTACAGAAATTTATTCATGCCTATTTCCTGGTTTCATTAGACGTTAACTATTGACATAAACTGGGTAAAGGGTACATGACACTTATCTGTACTTTCTTTGCAAATTCCCATGAGTCTATAAGTATTTCCAAATATAAAGTAAAGATGTTAACTATTGACGTAAACTGGGTAAAGGGTACATGACACTTATCTGTACTTTCTTTGCAAATTCCCATGAGTCTATAAGTATTTCCAAATATAAAGTTTGAAAATAAATAGTAATAAAATACGTTCCCAGGTGCTCACCATCTTGGTGTATTTCTCTCTATGTACTGCTTAATTCAGGGATTCTCAAGGATCCATTTAAACTCATAAAATTATTGAAGACCTCAAAGGGCTTCTGTTTCTCTCAGTTATGTCTATTGTTCTTTATCATACTAGAACTTAAACCTGAGGAAATTCTAAAATGTTTGCCTTTTTATATTTAAGAAGTATGTAATAGTGGTAATTTCAGAAAATCTAAATATTCCAGTAAGTCTGGGAGAAGGCAAAGTTGGAAATAGCAAGATTTGGGGCTTATGATCTTCTTGTTTATGTTTCAAGCCATTATTGCAACAAATATTATTCTCATTATTCTCTGTGATAATACATTTTTCACCCTAGTCTTCACCCTGGCCTTAAGGTATGATAAATCTCTCCCATTCTTACCCTCAAAACAAGCTTCTTATGGGGCAGTAAATCAAGAGAGGCTTTTTGAATTGTTTTGTTAAATAGTAAGTATGACTTGGGCATGATAATAAGCTTTGATAATAAAAACAAAGATTCAGTTGTTCAAGATGTACATGTTCTGGAGTTCTGCTGTGTAACATGTTGCCTATAGTTAACAATACTTTATTGTGGACTTAAGAGGGTAGGTCTCATGGTGTGTTCTTACCGCAATAAAAAAGAAAGAGGGATAAATTGTAGGTGTAAAAGACAGGGATACTTGATGGAGTGAGGCAAGAATAGTCAGGGAATGCTGGGGAAAATATTAACATGTGTAACTGTGTGTAGTTAGGAACATATGAGAGAGTAGGAGATAGAAGTGTGGATGAGAGGTAGATAGATACTTTGGGGAGGACAGGATGAAGCATTAATAAGTTATTATTTGTTATTTCTTATCATTAGTAACAACTCAGAAACACTATGTTTACATAATCCAACTGACTGTTATTAAAAGGTAACAAGTAATAAGTTCTTTATGTTTTATCATGTTCATGTTTAATTTGAGTATAATAAACCCATTATAGTTTAACTGAGATAATATTTTATAACTTTATTTTAGAAAATAAAAATGTAATGAATAATGTAGAATGCCTGGCTTACTGAAGACAGGTGGATTCTAAGATCTGATTCTACATTCAATTCACTGCATTGTGTTATGGTGGTTGAAGGATGTGAAGAAAATCTGCTTACATAGATATGTAGCTAGAAAAGAGAATCTTCATAGATTATCAGACTATGGGTATCATTCTGCAATACTAGACTGAAAGGCCACATGAGGAAGTTTTCTAAAGGCTAGTTACAATATGGAATAAAAAAAATCACATCAATAGACTTCTCATACTCTGCTTTATTCAAATCTATTCATCAATTTCATAGTTAATGGATCTTTTATCCATATACATATTTGTAACATCATGCATAGATAATGTGTACAATAACTTCTATTTAAAAATCATGTTCCTTGTAACTTTATTTGTGCTCAATAATTAAAGGCTTTACCTATAGTACCTTCCTTTGGAGAAAGCATTTTTTTGTTTTATCACTTGAAAATTAAAATTTCAATTTTTAAATTTTTTATGGTAATGGGGCATGTTTGGTATTAAGAATTAAATTCCAAGTCTGCCTGATTCGAGCAGATTGATGTATGAGTTCCCTAGGCCTGCCATAACAATGCATTTCTGATGTTTTAAGCCACCCATGACCACAAGCTGGGTTGCTTAAAACACCAGAAATGTATTGTCTCATATTTCTAGAGGCTAGAAGTCTAAAATCAAGGCATTGACAGGTTCCTGCTCTCTCTGAAACTCCTAGGAAAAGATCTTTCCTTGGTTCTTCTTAGCTTCTGGTGCAACAATCCTTGGTGTTCTTTGGCCGGTGGATGCATCATTCTCATCCCTGCCTTCATTTATGCATGGTGTTATCCCTCTCTGTCACTTCTACTTTCCTTATAAGGGCACCAATCATATTAAATTAAAGGATCACATTACTCCGTACTATCGCATCTTAACTAATTACATCTGCAATGACCATATTTCCAAATAAGATTACATTCTTACTTTCTAGAAAGGACATGATTTTCAGGGACTAACCAGACTCCGTACAGTCTTACCTTTGGACTCCCCCAAATTCAATCTGTCTCCTGTGCAAAATGCATTCATTTCATCCCAACATCCCCAAAAGTCTTAACCCATTTCACATTAACTCTAAGCCCACAATCTCATCTAAATGTCATCCAAATTAAGTATAGATAAGTCTCTGGGTGTGGTCCATCTATGGAAAAATGTATCTGTGTTCACAAATGTTATCTGCTTCCAAAATATAATGATGGGATAGGGAATAGACATTTCCAATCTGAAAGAGACAAAATTGGCGGAATAAAGAGATTACTAGTCTGAAGCAGTCTGCACCACAGAATGAAAAATTCCATTAGTTTTTAAGACCTGAGAACAATTATCTGTGGATCAATGCTCTGCCTGCTTCAGTCCATAATGGGAATGTTTCTGCCAAGATATTTGATTGGATCCGTAAGTCAGTTGCCTAATCTTTTTATCAAAAGCTTGTTCAGCCTCACTCTTGGCCCTGTTTCCAGAGCATAATATCTACATAGGCTGAGAATTTTCCAAATTATTCAAGTGTAGATTCCTTTATGATTAGCATTTTATTCCTCAATTTATCTCTTTCTGCTAGCATTTTACTGTAAGCAGCTGGGAGAAACCATGCTGTACCTTTCTTGCTGTGCCGGGAAATGTACTCAGCCAAATACACAAGTTCATTGCTTATAATTTCTAATTTCCACAGAACGATAGACTAATTCAGCCATGTTTTCTGCCACTTTCCTAACAATGATTACTTTTTTTCTCTGCTGTTTTCCATTTCTGCCTGAGGCCTTATCAGAAGTGTTGTTAATGTTCATATATCTAGCAAGATTCTGTTCATGACAAGATATGTATTTTCTAAGATGACCATAGCTTTCTTTACAGCTCACCTCACTTCTTTCCAGCCCTCCACAGAATCACCTTTCGCTTTCATATTTTAACCAAAAGTCTCCACAAGGCAATATAGGCTTTCTCTATCAAAACCCACAAACTTCTAGTCTCTATCCATTATCCGATTTCAAAGTAACATCCACATTTTTGGCATTTCTTATAGCAGCATCATACTACCCAGTACCAAAAGCTGTTGGTAGCTTGTGCTCTTTGATTGCTAAGTAACATTCCCTTGTATAATTTTACCACATTTTATTTATCTATTTACCAATTGATAAACATTTGAATTGTTTCCATTTTGTGACTGTTATGAATAAAGTTCCTAAAAACATTTGGATGTACATCTTAATGATATGCTTTCACTGGTCTTGGTAAACATCTACGAGTGGAATTGCCAGATTATATAGTGTGATGGTTAATTTTATGTGACAACTTGACTGGGCTAAGGGATATCCAGAAAGATGGTAAAACATGATTTTTTAGTGTGTCTGTTAGGTTGTTTCCAGGATAAATTAGCGTTTGAATCAGTAAACTGAGTAAAGAAGATTGCCCTCACCAATATGGGCAGATATCATCAAGTCAATTGAGGGCTCAAATAAAACAAAAAGACGAAGAACAAACTCTCTCTTTCTCTCTCTCTCTCTCTCTCTCTCTCGATCTCACTGAGCTAGAGCTGGGGCATCTATTTTCTCTTACCTTCAGACATCAGAGTTCCTGGTTTTCCAGCCTTCAAATTCCTGGACTTAACATCAGTGTGTCCTCCATGGTTCTCAGGACTTCAGACTCAGATTTGGAATACATCATCAGCTCCCCTGGTTCGCAGGTGTTTTGACTCAGTTTAAATTACACTACCGGGTTTTCTTGTTCTCCAGTTCACAGAGAGAAGAGAGTGGAACTTCTTAGCCTTTGTAATTACATAAACCTATTTCCATAATAAGTCTATATCTAATTATAGATAGATATATCCATTTGGTTCTATTTATCTGGAGAACACTAATACATATGGTAAGCGTATGGTTAATTTTTAATTATAATTTTAAATAACATTTTTAGATTCACAGTAAAATTGAGTGAAAGGTACACAGATTTCCCAAATACTCTTGGCTCCAAAACATGCATATCCTCCCCATACCTACATCCCCCACCAAAGTGGTACATTTGTTACAGTTGTTGAACCTGCATTGACACATCATTATCATTCAGATTCTATAATTTACATTAGGGTGCACTTTTGGTGTAGTACATTCTATGGGTTTGGAAAAATGTGTAATGATATGTATCCACAATTATGGTATTGTACAGAGTAGTTTGACTGCCTTAAAAATCTTTCTTCTGCCTACCTCTCCCTTCCTCTTCCCTATCCCCTGGTAACTACTGATCCTTTTACTGCCTCCATAGTTTTGCCTTTTCTATAATATCATATTGTTGGAATCATACAGTATGTAGTCTTTTCAGATTGGCTTCTTTTATTTAGTAACATGCATAAATTTTCTTCATGTCTTTTCATGGCTTCATATCCTATTTATTTTTTGCACTGAATAATATTCAATTGCTGCATGTACCACAGTTTATGTAATCATTTATCTACTGAAGGGCATATGAGTTGCTTTCAGCTTTAAACAATTATAAAGTTTCTATAAACATCTGTGTGCAGGTTTTTGTGTGGATATAAACTTTCAAATCCTTTGAGCAAATGCCAAGAAGTGTAGTTTATGGATTATGTGGTAAGAGGATGTTTAGGTGGAGAATATGCCAAACTGTCTCCCAAAGTGGCTGTACCACTTGCCATTCCAATCAGCAATGAATGAGAGTTTCTGTTGTTTTACAACCTCTCCAGTATTTGATATCAGCGTTCAGGAATTTGGGTATTCTAATAAGTGTGTAGTGGTATCTCATTGTTGTTTTAATTTGTATTTCCCTGATTACATATGATATGGAGCATCGTTTGATATGCTTATCTTTGATCTGTATATCTTCTTGTTTGAGGTGTCTGTTCAGAACTTTGATCCATTTTTCATTAGTGTGGTTTGTTTTCTTATACTTGAGTTTTAAGTGGTCTTTGTATATTTTAGGTAATAGTCTTTTATTAGATACATGTCTTGAAAATTATTTTTTCTAAGTCTGTGGCTTTTCTTTTAATCCCTTTGACAGATAATTTTGTGAAACAGAAGTTTTTAATTTTAATGAAGTCCAGTTTATCAATTTTTAATGAATCATGCCTTTGGTGTAATAGCTAAAAAGTCATTGCTAAATCCAAGGTCATCTACATTTTGTCTATGTTATCTTCCAGGAGTTTTATAGTTTTGTGTTTTACATCTAGTTCTGTGATTCATTCTGAGTTATTTTCTTGTGAAAGTTATAAAGTCTTTGTCTATATTTATCTTTTACATGTGGATGTCCAGTTGCTTCAACACCATTTGTTGAAAATATGACCTTTCCTTCATTGTATTGTCTTTGCTTCTTTTTCAAAGATCAGTTTACTGTAGTAGAATTTTTGAATTTACAACACAATATCATTTACATTAGCATTTCCCCCAAAGGAAATATTTATGAATAAATCCATCTATCTATCTATCTAGACTTGGAGATAGATATATATATATAGATATATATATATATATATATATATATATAAACATAAACATATATATACACACACGTGTGTGTACATGTGTCTGTGTGTGTGTGTGTGTGTGTGTTCGGAAAACTACAAAACTCTGATGAAAGAAATAAAAAACTAAATAAAAAATATTCCAGGTCCATAGATAAGAATACTCAGTATTGTTAAGATGTCATTTCTTCCCAACTTCATTTATGTATTCAGTAAAATCACAATAAAAATTTCAAATTGTTTTGTAGCTATCAACAAACTGATTCAAAAGTTTATGTAGAAAGGCAAAAGACCCACAACAGCCAACACAGTATTGGAGGAGAACAAAGTTGGAAGACTGACACTACCTGAGTTAAAGACTTACTACAAAGCTACAGTAATCAAGATAGTGTGGTACTGCTGAAAGAACAGACAAATAGATCTATGATTTCATCTACTTGGAACAGAGTAAAGAAATATGCACACATAAATAGAGTTAGTGGATGCATGGTTAACTATTTAAAAAATTGTAAAACTGTTTTAAATTAGCTTGAACATTTTTACTTCCCTCCAGAAATATGTTAGAGATACAGTAGGTCCACATCCTTGGTATTGTTAGTATTTTAAAATTTAGGTATTCTAGTGCTACTTAGTTTAATGTACTGTTATGCCCCACAGTACACTGGCATTTATGTTTCTAGGCTTTTATTAAGTCTATTACCTGAAGATAAGGGAGGCAAAGGAAGACCTTTGATAGGTCATACAGCATTCTTTTGTGTTTATAATTTTGCTATTTTTGTAGAGGAAAATATCTTAAAAACCTACGACAATCTACATGGATATTACTCTGACAACTCATATTAGTTATGTATGACTTTACCATTAAGGGCACCATTCAGTAAATTCTCAATTAAATCTCAGATTTAAAAATGCTCGACATTTAGGATTATTTTCTCTTATTGGATTCAGATAACAGTTGTATTGGATGTTTCATATCATATCCCTCTTGACATGAAAAAAAGTGGCAGGAGCATAAAACTATCTAAAATATTTGCTAAGGAAACATCTTTGTATACATCAGGCTTTACTACAAATTGCATTACAAGTAGTGATTTGTGGCTATTGGCATTCTTTAAAGCACCCGTATTTAAACTTCCCTTGTTGAGAAATGTAAGAAACCTTTATATTAGAGTTGCTTTAATGAGTTATGTTAAATGTATATTATACCTATCTATCCATCTAGATATAGATTGAAAGGTTTCCAAAATTTGCATTGCTCTGACAAGAACCAAAAAAGAAAAGCAGTGTATCCAATCTTCCAGAATGTGAGTTCTTAAAGAAAAAGGAATTCTGTTTACATGGAGCATAAGCCAGACTTAGACTGCTGAACCTCAGAGATACCAGGATACCAAACTGCAGTTCCTTTCACCAGTTTGCAACTTAAAAGGATTCCAACACTAAATGGTCTGAAGGCTCAAAGTAAGACACACACCTATTTGTGTTTAACACTCGATTTCCAGATAACAACTAAATGCATGATTTTACTCAATTAAATTAAAAGAAATACAGAATACTTTGTAGTGGCAAATTCTTCCCTCGAGTGCCATTTGTGATTATTGAAGCACTAATTTTGACTCATTTTCTTCAAATGACAATATTTAAATTAGTTTTTGTGCCAGAGGTGACCATCGTAAACAATAAAAAGGTAGAATATAAAATTATATTAATTCAATTTCTTTTAGCTTTGCAGAATGAAATTATGTATTCCAAGAGACATGGAAGAAAGAATCCACACTATTAAAATACATTCTAGCTCTTCAGGCCTAAACTTTAGATGTAAAACAGAGACGTAAATAGAGAGTCATTGCCACTGTGTCATCACTCATTTCCAATGCTAATCTGAATATTTACCATATAATCAGTTGGAGGCCTGTCATATCACCACTGAAAAGGTTGAAAAAAAGGTGTATGGATCTCAATATCCCTGTGATTAGTAGAATTCCATTATTTTAATATATCCCTGCATAAACCCAAGAAGAACTTACCTCAAGTTTGTGTCGGTCCAAAACTTACAATCAGTAATGCTGAATGCAAATCATTTACTAATTATGTACCACAAAATTTAAGACAGAGTTAGCTAGATAAGAAAGCTACTTCAAGGGCACTCATGGGACACTAGGGGAGCATTTAGAACAGTGTAGAATCAAGCAAATAAAAAGTTGATTTGTGAAAACATATGTAGATGGCTAACATCTGGCTCCCAAACTTGTGTATCCTCCTCACATATTTCTATGGAAATGAGTAGAAAGAGGTGTTTTCCTAGTTTGTGAGTTAAATGTGGATGTGCAGAGACAACAGAAGATTTTCTCCTTATGACTTAGTGATAAATGCAGAGGTAAAATTTTATGTTATTTATTTCTCAACTTGAGCCTCCACAACTAGGCTGAGTAGTGTTGATGTAATTAAGGACTCTGAAAACACCTGGTTTATTTGAATGATAGTATTTACATTAAAAGCATTTTGGATTCAATTTATAGTCTCTACATGTGCATCAATAAATTAAAAAAAGTATAAGGGGTGAATAGGAACATAACCTGAATCCTGTTAATCACAGTGACACTGGCTTACGTTAATTTTTTTTAAGCTTCGGTGTGCATACCTGGGTGAACTCCTAGAAGATCTCCAGCTAGTCTACAATAGAGCAGCCAATATGAAGAGCAATATGAGCCTTAGGAATCAAAGTACACCTGTACTCCATTTGCTCCATTGAATTTAATACAATTCATAGACTATGAAGAACTTTCTATGTTTACAGCAGAGTGCTGGATTTGGAGATGTATACAATGATCACTGAAACATAATGCTTCCTTCTACAGTAATATTGACTTTTGACTATGTTCAAGGTTTGAGACCTCCTTAAAATGGCATTCTTCTAAGATTTATTCCATTCTGGATCTTGTTTTCAAGCAGAAATATTCACTAAATTATTTCATTCATTCATTCATTCACTCCAAGTCACTTCTGTGGCACTCATCATGTTCCAGCATCCAGGCAATATGGTGGAGATAAAGAGATTAATAAGTCACAAACTGTGTCCTAAACAGGTTCAGAGTCTATTAGAGGAAGATAGATAATATAAAAATTAACCTTAATACAATGCATTAAATTTTAGAACACATATTAAACATATATGTAAATATTTGCTTCCATGTTTGACTAGAGGACATTTTACGTGTGACATCCTGATGATATAATAAGTAAATTAACTAGATTATTCAAAATGAATGTTATTTGCTTCTTATAAAATTGAATTCTGGAGTAAAAAGACTTAATACAACCTAATTTGAAAAATAGTCTGATATTTATTTAAAATAAATCCAGATAAAATTTGCAGCACTATTCTTAATTGCAAAGACATGGAATTGCAAAGACAAAGACAAGCCAGGCAGAGTGGTGAGGGGTGTGTGGGTGAGTGAGCATGGGATTTTGTGACTGCACACAGCCAGACACCCCTGCTGCTGTGGCAGGGTAGGCAGCTCTAGGCGCTTGCACAGGTGCTGACTCCCTGCAAGCCTGTGGCTAGGCCAGAAGTACTACACGTGGCTTATGCTGTGGGCACCCACATCTGGACAAGGATAACACAATGGTGCCCAGAAGCTTGAAGATGCCCTAAATGTCTATCAATGGTAGACTGGGTAAAGAAAATGTGGTACATATACACCATGAAATATTATGCAGCCATAAAAAAGAACAAGACCATGTCCTTTTCAGGAACATGGAGGCCATAATCCTTAGCAAACCGAAAAGGGAACAGAAAACCAAATACCACATGTTCTCACTTATAAGTGGGAGCTAAACGATGAGAATATATGGACATATAGAGGGGAAAAACACATACTGGGGCCTTTTGGAGGGTGGAGGATGGGAGGTGGGAGAGGATCAGGAACAATAACTAATGAGTGTCATGGGATCCTTGGGGTGTTGCTTTGTTAGTCAGAAACTTCTGGCCAGTGGTGCCTTTGGCCTGAGTACTATTCGCGTCCACTGGGCTTGGTCCGCTCACTTGGCCCCGCAGGCTGTGCTTGACTCATGCTATCAGCTTAGCTTCCACCCTTGCCAAGGGCAAGCCAGGCACAGAGTGGTGAGTGGTGTGTGGGTGAGCAAGCATGGGATTTCATGACTGCATACAGCCAGGCACTCTGGCTGCTGTGGCAGGGCAGGCAGCTCCAGGCACTTACACAGGTGTTGGCTCTGTGCAAGGCTATGGCTAGACCAGAAGTACCACACATGGCTTCTGCTGTGGGCACCCACATCTGGACAAGGATAACACGATGGTGCCCAAAAGCTTGAAGATGCAAGGAACCACAGAGCCCCAAAGAGGGTGTCACAGCCCTGGCTCAGGGACCCTCTAGGTCTGGGATCACCAAAGGGCTGCAGCTCTTCTGTCCATGTTACCCACAACATGGCAAGCAGGATGTGTGGCAGGGGGATGGGCATGCTTTAGCTCTGTTTGTGTTACAGCTCTTTTAGTCCCACCATTTGGTGGGTCCCGAATTCTTGTCCCACGTCCAGGAAGAATGAGGTATGTGGCCAACTGAAGGGTGAGCAAGGCCGAGAGGAGTTTCATTGAGCAACAGCGTAGCTCTCAGGAGACCCACAGTGGGTAGCTCCTTTCTGCAGGCAGGTTGTCTCGGTGAGTGTCCAGTTCTCACTGGAGAGATCTGCAGTGGGTAGCTCCTTTCTACAGCTCCTTTCTTCTGAATGTCTGTTCCATTATGGCTGAGTCCAGAGTTTTTATGGGCTCAGAACAGTGGAAGTGCATGCTGATTGATCCATAATGTGCGGGCTCAGAAAAAGCACCACAAGTTCTCACTCCAGGCAGTGGACTCCACTTGGAACTGGCAGCCCAACCCCCAGGCTTCAAGCCAACCTTAGCTTGAAGGTGGGGTATTACCAGAGACCTGCCCATTTCAGCCCAGGTACCTGTCTGCCTCCTGCCATCAACATTCCATTCATGGCGCCCAGGCTATTTGTGCTTAGTGGTGCCTGCAGGTTCAGGCTGAGCTGCTCTCAGCCCCACCAGCCTCCCTCTGTGCCAAAGTGGTGGTGGGCCGGTCTGTTGTGTCAGCACACCCCTAAGTGTGCACACACCTGGCCAGGTTGCTCTAGCACCCAGGCTCAGCTTCAACTTTTCTGCCAAATTTGAGTGGGCCCCACCAGCGGGAGCAGGGGGTACTTCCCAGACCCCCAAGAGCATAGGGATGCCTGGGACTGGAGCCACAGCTGGGCAGCTGCAGCAGTGCCTGGGAGCACAGGGCTCCTGCCCCTTTAAATCTGTAGAGAGTGGGGCTCCCACCAGTTATCAGCCCCCACTGGCTCCACAGAGCATGCAGCTCCAGCCATGCCTCCCCCACTGCAGCTGACATCCCCACAGCAGCTGCTACAGATGGGCAGCCACTGCCATCATGAGTACTAGGCTTAATACCTCGGTGATGAAATACTCTGTACAACAACCCCCCTGACACAAGTTTACCTATGTAACAAACCTACACATGTACCCTTGAACTTAAAAGTTAAAAAAAGTTATTAGAACAAATATAAAAACAATATTTATCATAACCATAGAAAAGCCAGAACTTTGCCGTAGATATTTCCCAAACAAATAAGTTGGAAAAGAAGCAAACAGACTTAGTACATTATAGTCTTCTTTAAAAATAATTTATACTTTTAAAATCTTTCAAACAAAGTAGCATGGAATATTTTATGGAATAAAATTAAGTAAGTAGAATAAAATCATCAAAGCGTTTTTGGGGGTTTTAGTATATATTTCTTTCCTTCAGGCTAATTCAATAAGGTTTTTATTCTTAGACAATTTCTACAGATTATCCCATAGTTTATCTGCTAAACTTCAGATTTTAACAAAGTCTTATATATTAAGAAGTCCAATCTAATTTGAATAAAAAACCTAAGTCTCACATTTAAACTGTATTTATACACAGCAAGATCTTGTCCTAAATCAGCAACTTAACGTGAAAAGAAGGAATGACCTGTGTCTAATCTTCCTGCTTTATTACTTCAACTACTTGATCTATTACTTCTGATTCCTTTAGATTTGGGTGGAAAAGAAGGAGAGGTGGAATTGATAAAAATTATATTCTGAGTTAATGTAATCTATATATTCTTTTTTTAAAAAAAGAAAAAAATGTTGTGAACTGATGTTGGTACCCTCTGTGGGATGGAAGCCCAAACTCTGGCTTTTTGTTCATGTAGCAATTTGGTGGATTCATTGGAGAAAGGCTGTAGGGACTTCCCACTGCCCTAAGTCTTTGAAAATGGAATGCATTCTCAGTGTACTGCTTCTCGGTCCCCCTTAGATCCTGTTTCTAATAATAACTCTGCACAGATGTATCTGTTGGGTTTATCATATTGTGACAAGTAGACTCCTTGGGGTTGAATGCTGATTAAGATGGTACATTTCTATGTACATATTTAGTAAACATTCTGGACCATGGGGAAGATGGGCCACTCCCTATTCAGTCCTTCCCCCAGCCCCTGAAAACCAATAATTTACTATCTGTCTCTGTGGATTTGCTTTTCCTGGATATTTCATATAAATGGAATCATATGTGGCCTTTTGTTTTTGGCTTCTTTCATTGAGTATGTTTACAGGGTTCATCCACATTGTAGCATGTATCAGAATTCCATTCTTTTATATTGCCAAACAGTATTCCATGTATAAAAAATACATTTTTTATATCCATTCATCAGTCTGTAAACATGTGAATTGCTCCTGCTTCTTGGCTATTATGAATAATGCTGTTAAAAATATTATCATACAAGTTTTTATGTGGAAACATGGTTTCAAAACTTTTGGAGAGAGATATATATATATGTGTATATATATATATGAAACATATACACACACGTATATATATATATATATATGTATATATATGAAACATGGTTTCAAAACTTTTGGATATATATATCCAAAATATATATATATATATATACACACACACACTTTTGGATATATATATATATACACACACACACACATGCATATATACATGTACGATTAGAATAAGAAGTAGTATTCTTGGGTCATTTGGTAAATCTATGTTTAACTTTTTGAGGACCTATCAAACTCTCTCCTGCGAGGGCTATATACCATTTTATATTCCCACCAGCAATGTATGAATGTTCCAATTTCTCCATAATTTCCAAGTGCTTGTTATTGTCTGTTTTTTTTTTCTGTTTTGTGTGTGTGTGTGTGTGTCTGTGTGTGTGATTTTAGCCATACTTGTTTGTTTATAGGATTTGTCCATTTCATCTAGGTTATCTAATATATTGATGCACAATTACTCATAGAATTCCCTTATGATCATTTTCTTTCCCTGTAAGGTAAGTTGTAATGTTCCTTGTTCATTCTTGATTGCAATAATTTGAGTTCTGTCTCTCTCTCTCTCTCTCTCTCCTCAGTTTACTTAGCGTTTTGTCAATTTTGTGGGCTTGGAAATGATTCTTTTGACATGATTTTGTTTTATAGTCTTTCTTAATTTTACCTATTCTTTCTAAATTTAATTTTTTATGTAATCTTTATTATTTTCTTTCATCTATTTGATTTCTGTTAATTCGCTCTTCTTTATCTAGTTTCATTAGGTGAAAGATTGTTATTAATTTGAGATAACTGTTTTTTAATATACCTGTTTACAACTAAAATTTTCTCAGCTGGGCACGGTGGCTCATGCCTGTAATCCCAATACTTTGGGAGGCCAAGGCAGGCGGATCACTAGGTCAACAAATTGACACCATCTTGGCCAACATAGTGAAACTCTGTCTCTACTAAAAAATACAAAACTATTAGCTGGGCATGGTGGCACGCACCTGTAGTGCCAGCTACTTGGGAGGCTGAGGCAGGAGAATCACTTGAACCTGAGAGGCGGAGGTTGCAGTGAGCCGAGATCACGCCACTGCACTCCAGCCTGACAACAGAGTGAGACTCCGTCTCAAAAAAAAAAAAAAAAAAAAATATATATATATATATATATATATATATGAGCACCATCTTTGCTGCATCTTGTACATCTCATATATGGTATTAGTACTTCCTTTTTCTGAAAGTATTCCATAATTTCTTTTGTGATTTCTTTTTTGACACACTAGGTGTGTAAGAGTGCATTCTATAATTTACACCCTCTTCAACATTTCCAAAATGTCTCTTTCTTATTGGTATCTGAATTGATTCCATTGTTCTGGAGATCATACTTTGTATTTTTTTAATTCTTTGGAGTGTATTTAGATGTTTTATAATCTAACATTTAGTCGATCTGGGAGAATGTTCTATGTGCATGTGAGGATAAGTGTTTTCTGCTGTTGTTGGGTAGGGTGTTTTGTAGATGTTTACAAGGTCTAGTTGATTACAGGGTTGTTCAAATATTTCATTTCTTTGTTGATCTTCTGCCTAATTGTTCTATCCATTATTGAAAATGGGATAATAAAATGTCCAAATACTATTTTTTTAATTTTTAATGTTTGTGGATGCATAGCAGGTGTATATATTTATGAGTTACATGAGATACTTTGATACAGACATCCAATGTGTAATAATCATATCAGGATAAATGGAATATCCATCATATCAGGCATTTATCCCTTGTATTACAATCTAAGTATACTTTTAGTTATTTTAAAATGCACAATTAAATCATTCTTGACTATAGTCATCCTGTTGTGCCATCAAATACCCAGCCTTATTTATTCTTTCTAACTAATTTTGTACCCATTAACAATCCCCACTTTCCTCCCAGTCCCCCACTATACTTCCCAGCCTCGGAAACCATACTTCAACTCTCCATGTCCGTGAATTCAATTGTTTTAGTTTTTAGCTCCTGCAAATAAGTAAGAACATGCAACATTAATCTTTCTGTGCCTGCCCTATTTAACTTAACGTGATAACCTCAAGTTCCATCCATGTTGTTGGAAATGAGAGGATCTCTTTCTTTTTAATGGCTGAATAGTACTCCATTCTGTATATGTACTGCATTTTCTTTATCTATTCATCTGTTGATGGACATTTAGGTTGCTTCCAAATCTTGGCTGTTGTGAATAGTACTGCATTAAACATGAGAGTGCAGATCTCTTCAATATACTGATTTCCATTCTTTGAAATATATATCTAGGAGTGGGATTGCTGGATTGTATGGTACCTCTATTTTTAGTTTTCTGAGGAAGCTCTAAACTATTCTCCATGGTGGCTGTACTAATTTATATTCCCAACAACAGTGTTCAAGGTTTCCCCTTTATCCACATCCTCACCAGCATTTGTTATTGTGTGACTTTTAGATAAAAGCATTTTAACTGGGGTAAGATGATATCTCATTGTAATTTTGATTTGCATTTCTCTTATAATTAATCATATTGAGCACCATTTCATATACCTGTTTGCCATTTGTGTGTTCTTTTGAGACATGTCTATTCAGATGTTGTGTTCATTTTTCAAGTCAGATTGTTAATTTTTTTTCCTAAAAAGTTGTTCGAGTTCCTAATATATTCTGCCTCCTAATCTCTTGTCAGGTGGGTGGTTTGCCAATTTCTTATTTTGTGGTTTGTCTCTTCACTTTGTCGATTGTTTCATTTGCTTTGCAGAAGCTTTCTAACTTGATGTAATTTCATTTGTCCATTTTTGTTTGATTACCTGTGCTTGTGGAATACTGCTCAAGAAATCTTTGCCTAGACCAATGTCCTGGTTGAGTTACCTCAATGTTTTCTTTTAGAAGTTTCTTAGTTTGAGGTTTTAGATTGAAGTTTTGAATCCATTTGGAATTGATTTTTGAATATGGTGAGAGATAGGGGTCTATTTTTCTTTTTCTGCATATGGATATCCCCTTATCCCAGCACCATTTATTGAAGAGACTGTTCTTTTCCCAGTGTATGTTCATGTCAACTTTGTCAAAAATGAATTCACTGTAGAGGTATGGGTTGATCTCTTGGTTCTCTAACATGTTTCACTGATGTATGTGTCTGTTTTTATGCCAGTACCATGCTGTTTTGGTTACTATAGCTTTGTGGTATAACTTAAAATCAAGTAATGTTCTTCTTCGAGTTTTGTTCTTTTCGCTCAGGATAGCTTTGGCTATTCTGGTTCTTTTGCAGTTCCATAATAATGTTAGGATTTTTTATTCTGTTTATGTGAAGAATGTCATTGGCATTTTATAGGTATTGCATTGAATCTCTAGATTGCTTTGGGTAGTATGGACATTTTAATAATATTGATTCTTCTAATCCATGAATATGGCATATTTTTTTTTTCAATTTTTTGTGTCCTCTTCAATTTCTTGCATCAATATTTTATGGTTCTCATTGTAGAGAACTTTCTCTTGTTTGGTTAATTCCTAGGTTTTTTTTTATTTGTAGCTATTATAAATGAGATTAATTTCTTAATTTATGTTTCAGAATGTTTGTTGTTGGTGCATAAAAATGCTACTGATTTTTTTTACGTTGATCTTGTATCCTGTCACTTTATTGAATTTGCTTATCAATTATCTAGTTTTTTCAGTAGAGTCTTTAAGTTTTTCCAAATATTAGACCATATCATCTGCAAACAAGGATAATTTAACTTTTTCCTTTTCAGTTTGAATGTCTTTTATTTCCTTCTCTTGTCAATTACTCTAGCTAGGACATCCAGTATTATGTTGAAAAATGGTGGTAAAAATGGGCATTCTTCTCAGGTTTCTCATATTAGAGGATAGGCTTTCAAATTTTTCCTATACTGTATGATACTGGCTATGGGTCTGTCATATGAGGCTTTTATTTTGCTGAAGTATGTTCTTTCTATACCCAATTTTTTGAGTTTCTTTTAATCTTGAAGGGATGTTAAATATTATCCAATGATTTTTCAGTAGGAATTAAAATTATCATATTGCTTTTTTGTTCATTCTGCTGATATGATGCGTCACATTAATTGATGTGCATATGTTGAAACATCCTTGCTTCCCAGTGATAATTCCCTCTTGGTAATGATAAGTTATCTTTTTAATATGTTTTTCAATGCAGTTTGCTGGTATTCTGTGGAGGATTTTTGCATCAATAGTCATCAGATATATTGGTCTGTATTTTTCTTTTTTTGATGTGTGTTTATATGGATTTGGTATCAGCATAATATTGGCCTCATAAAATAAGTGTGGATGTATTTCATCCTCCTCTTTTTTTTGTAGTCGTTTGAGTAAGATTGCTATTAGCTATTCTTTAAATTCTTAATATAATTCAGCAATAAAGCCATTGGGTCATGAGCCTTTTTTTTTTTTTAATTGGCAAACATTTTTATTATGGCTTTGATCGCATTACTTGTTATTACTCTGTTCACGTTTTAGATTTCCTCATGGTTCAATCTTGGTAGGTTGTATATGGCTAGAAATCTATTCATATCTTCTAGATTTTCCAATTTATTTGCATATGTATGCTCATAGTAGCCACTAATGGTCCTTTCAAATTTTACAGTATAAGTTAAAATGTATTCTTTTTCAACACTGATTTTATTTGTCTGGTTCTTCTCTATTTTTTTTGTTGTTCTGGCTTAAGACTTGTTCATTTTGTTCATGTTTTCAAAAAAACAACTTTTTGTTTCCTTGATCTTTTGTATTTTCTTTATTTCAAATTCATTTATTTCTACTCTGATATTTATTTGTTCTACTAATGTGGTGCTTGCTTTGCTCTTGATTTTCTAATTATTTCAAATGCATCATTAGCTTATTTATTTGAAATATTTTTTCTTTTTTGATATAGGTACTTATAGTTAGAAACATTCCTCTCAGTACTTCCTTTTCTGTATTTTTAGGTTTTAGTTTGTTGTGTTTTCATCATTATTTCTTTCAAAATATTTTTTCAGTTTTCTTCCTTATTTCTTCATTGACCCACTGGTTATTCAGGAGCATATTATTTAATTTTCATGTATCTGTATAGTTTCCAAAATTCCCCATTATTTTTTGTTTTATTCCATTGTAGTCACAGAAGATGCTTGATATTAGTTCAAAAATTTCTGAATGTTTTAAGACTTGTTTTGTGGCCTTTGTATGGTCTATCTTTGAGAATGATTGATATACTGAAGAGAAGAATGTGTATTGTGCATCTGTTGGATAAAATGTTCTCTAAATATATGCTAGGTCTATTTTTTTCTACAGTGCAGATTAAGTCTGATGATTTTTGTTGATTTTCTGTCTGGGAGATCTGCTTGATGCTGAGACTAGGGTGTCAAAGTCTCCAGCTCTTGTTTTGGGATCTATCTCTGTCTTTAGATCTAATAATATTTGCTTTATATATCTGGGTGCTCCAGCGATGAGTGCATATATACCTAAAATTGTTATATCCTCCTGCTGAATTGAACCTTTCATCATTTTCTAATGACCTTTTTGTGTATTTTCATATTTTGTCTTGAAATCTATTTTGTCTGATATAAGTATAGCTACTCCATCTCTTTGTGGGATTTTATTGCCATGGAATATATTTTTCTTTTATTTTCCACCTATGTGTATTTTTACAGGTGAAGTGTGCTTCTTGCAGGCAACAGATCATGCAGTCTTGTTTTTTCATCCATTCAGCCACTCTATGTCCTTTGATTGGAGAGTTTAGTCCGCTTATATTCAGTGTTATTTTTGATTAGTAGGGACTTAATTGTGCCATTTTGTTTGTTTTCTAGTTGTTTTGCTGTCTTCTGTTCCTTCTTTCTTTCCTTCCTATCTTCCTTTTAGTGATGTTGATTTTCTCTTGTATGCTTTAATTTCTTGCTTTTTATTTTCTGTGTATTTGTTGTATGCTTTTTTGATTTGAGGTTACCATGAGGCTTGCAAATACTGCCTGATAGCCCATTGTATAAACTGATGACAACATAATACTGATTGCATAAACAGACAAACATGTAAAAAAAACAAATACAAACTACACTTTACCTTCATACCCTACTTTTTTATTTTAGTTGTTTCTCTTTATGTCTTATTGTATTTTCTATGCCTTGAAAAGATGTTTTAGGTACTATTTTTGCTTGGTTCAATATTTAGTCTTTCTAATTGAGACAAGAGTAGTTTACGTACCATAATTAGAATGTTATATTATTCTGTGGTTTCTATATCCTTACTATTACCAGTAAATTTTGTACGTTTAAGTGATTTCTTCTTGCTCGTAAGCATCCTTTTCTTTCATATTGAATAACTTCCTTTAGCACTTCTTATAGGACTGGTGTAATGTTAATGTAATCCCTCAGCTTTTATTGTCTGAAAAGATCTTTATTTTTCCTTTATGCTTGGAGGATATTTTCATGAGATATACTATTCTAGGGTAATAGATTTTTCATTAAGCACTTTAAATATGTCATGACCCTCTCTCCTGGCCTATAAGGATTCCTCTGAGAAGTCTGCTACCAGATGTATTGGAGCTCCACTTTATGCTATTTTTTTCTCTTGGTGCTTTTAGAGTCCTGTCTTTATCCTCATTTTTTTGGGATTTTGATTATTGAATGCTTTGAGGTAGTTGTTTTTGGGTTAAATCTGCTTGGTGTTCTGTAACCTTGTATATTTGAATGTTGATATCTTTCTCTAGGTTTGGGAACTTCTCTAAAATTATTCCTTTTAACAAATAAACTTTCTTTCCCTATCTCCTTCTCTCCTTCCTCTTCAAGGCCAATAACTCTTAGAGATGGCCTTTCGAGGCTATTTTTTTAGATCTTGTAGGCATGCATCATTGCTTTTTATTCATTTTTCTTTTGTCTCCTCTATGTGTTTTCAAATAGCCTGTCATCAGGCTCACTAATTCTTTCTTCTGATTAATCAATTTTGCTATTAAGAAAATCCATTGTAGTCTTTAGCTTGTCAAATGCATTTTTCAATTTTATAATTTTAGTTTGATTCTTTTGAATTATTTCATTCCTTTTAAATATATATGACAGAATTCTGAATTTCTTCTCTGTTTAGTTTTGAATTTCTTTGCATTTCCTCAATATAGCTATTTTGAATTCTCTGTCTGAAAGGCCATACATCTGTTTTTTTCCAGGATTAGTCCCTGGTGCCTTATTTAGTTCATATGGTTAGGTCATGTTTTCTCATATTACCTTGATGCTTGTAGATGTCCGTTGGTGTCTAGGCATTGAAGAGTTAGGTATTTATTGTATTCTTCACAATCTGGGCTTGTTTTTACCTGTCTTCTTTGGGAAGGGTATTCAGGTATTTGAAGGGACTTGGGCCCCAAGGCCAATATTGCTGTGCTTTTTGCAGACTCGTAGAGGTATCATCTTGATGGTCTGGTATAAGATCTGGAAGAATTCTCTGGATTACCAGGCAGAGGTTCTTTTTTTATTTCCCCCTTACTTTCTCCCAAACAAACCGAGTCTCTCTGTGTTGGGTCACCTGAAACAGGGGCTTTGATGATGCAAGCCCCTCTGTGGCCACCACCACTGGGACTGTGCTGGGACAGACAGGACCTTGGGCTTTGCCTGAGATGCTTCCCTTCTGGAAAGCAAGTTCACCCAGGCCCCAGGCATTTCTAGAGATGCTGTCTGGGGGCCAGAATTTGGAGTAAAATCCTTAGAAATTTACCTGATATTCTACTCTGTTGCATCTAATCTGGCACTCAAACTAAAATATTGAGTCATTCCTGCTCTTCCATTCCCTTTCCACAAGCATAAGACCCTTTCCCTGTGGCCACTACCAACACCAGTTCACAGGGTGTTCTGCCAGCGAACCACCGATGTTCACCAAAAGCCTATGTGCTTTTTCATCAGCTTGTGATGAATGCTGCCTAACCTAGGACTCCCCCTTCAGGACAGTGGGTGTCTCTCTGTCCCAGGGAAGGTCCAGAAATGCTGTCCAAGAGCCTAGGCATGGACTTGAGGCCCCCTAGAGCCTCCTTATTGCTCTATCACACTGTGGCTGAGCTGGTATCTAAGGTGCAAGACAAAGTTCCTTTTACTTTTCTCTCTGCTTTTCTCAAATAGAAGTCTTCCATGATAGACACCACAGCTGGGAATGTGCTGGTTAACCCCTGAAGCCAGCATGTCTCAGACCTGAAGGCCCATGCTGTACTCCCTAGATACTGCTGCTGGTCATTCAAGGCATTTACGTCTATCAGTTTCCCTCTTACTGCTGCTTTCACTGAATCTCATAGATTTTGATATGTTGCGTTTTCATTATCAATTGTTTTGATAAATTCTTAAATTTCATTCTTAATTTCTTCATTGACCCACTGGTCATTCAGGAGAATATTGTTTAATTTTCATGACTTTGTATATTTTCTAAAATTCCTCTTGTTGTTGATTTGTAGTTTTATTTTATTGTGGTCAGAGATGATGCTTGATAGTATTTTAATTTTTTAAATCTTTTAAGACTTGTTTTGTGACCTAATGTATGGACGGTCCTTGAAAATCATCCTTGTACTGAGAAGAAAAAATGTGAGTTCTTCAGCTATTGGATGCAATGTTCTGTAAATATCTATTAAATCTATTTGTTCTAGTACAGATTATGTCCAATGTTTCTTTGTTGATTTTCTATCTGGAAGATCTGTCCAGTGCTGACAGTGGAGTCTTGAAGTCTCCAGGTATTATTGTATTGAGGTCTATCTCTCTATCTATATTAATATTGGATATATATATATTTGGAAGCTCCAGTGTTGGCTGCATATATGTTTTCAACTGTTATACCCTCTTGGTGAATTGACCCCTTTATCATTATATAGTGACCTTCTTTGTGTGTTCTTACAGGTTTTGTCTTGAAATCTATTTTATCTGATGTAAGTATAGCTACTCCTGCTTTTATTTTGTTTCCATTTTCATAACATATCTTTTTCCAGCCATTTATTTTCAGTCTATGTGTATCTTTATAGGTAAATTGTGCTTCTTGTAGGCAACAGGTTATTGGGTTTTGTTTTTTTCATTCATTCAGCCAGTCTATGTCTTCTGATTGAAGACTTTAGTTCATTTACATTCAGTGTTGTTATTGATAAGTAAGGACTTAACTCCTGCCATTTTGTTATTTGTTTTCTGGTTGGTTTGTAATTTTTATCTTCCTTCTTTACTTTTTTCCTATTTTTTAGTGAAGGTAATTTTATCTATTCATATAATTTAATTTCATGCTTTTTAACTTTTTGTATATTCATTGTACCTTTTTATTTAAGGTTACCATGAGGCTTGCAAATACTCTTATAACCCATTATTTTAAACTAATGACAACAGTGATTGCACAATGAAAAAACTAGTAAGTCAAATGAAAACTCTATTCTTTAACTTCATTCCCCTGCACAACTGTTTGTTTCTATTTATAACTTACTGTGCTATCTATATCTTGTAAAGTTGTTGTAGTTATAACTTTTGATTGGTTCCTTTTTTAGTCTTTCTACTTGAGTAGTTTGCACAATACAATTATGGTGTTCTACTATTGTGTGTTTTTCTGTATGCTTACTATCACCAGTGAGTTTACCTTCAAATGATTTCTTTTAATTAATGTCTATTCCTTTCAGATTGGATAACTTTCTTTAGCATTTCATGTGGAACATATATGTTGTTGATGAAATTCCTCCACTTTTGTTTTTCTGGAAAAGTATTTCCCCTTCATGCTTAAATGATATTTTCCCCAGATATACTACTCTAGGGTAATAGTTTTTTTCTTCAGCACTTTAAATATGTCATACCACTCTCTCCTGGCCTGTAAAATTTCCACCAAAAAATCTACTGCCAGATGTATTGGAGCTCCCTTTTATGCTATTTGTTTGTTTTCTCTTGCTGCTTTTAAGATTCTTTCATCATCCTTGACTTTTGCAGATTTGATTATTAAATGCCTTGAGTCAGTCATCGTTGAGTTAAGTCTGCTTGGTGTGCTATAAACATTTTGTACTTGAATTTTGATGCCTTTCTTTAGGTAAGTTCTCTGATTTTATCCTTTTGAATAAACTTTCTACTGCTATCTCTTTTTCTACCTCCTTTATAAGACTGATAATTCTTAGATTTGCCGTTTTCAGACTATTTTCTCAGTCTTGAATGAATACTTCATTGTTTTTTATTCTTTTGTCTCTTCTGTCTGTGTTTTCAAATAGCCTGTAATCAAGCTCACTAATTATTTCTTCTCCTTGATCAATTTTGCTATTAAGACACTGATGCATTCTTATGTCAATTGCATTTTCCATCTCTAGAATTTCACCTTGATTATTTTTTAATTATTTTGATCTCTTTGTTAAATTTATCAGATGGAATTCTAAATTCCTTCTCTGTGTGATCTTGAATTTCTTTGAGTTTCCACAAAGCAGCCATTTTGAATTGTCTGTCTCAAATGTGGTCTCAAATCTATCTCAGTCTCCAGGATTGGTCCCTGGTGCCCAATGTAGTTAGTTTGATGAAGTCATGCGTTGCTGTATGGTCTTCATATTTGTGATGTTTGTTAGTGTCTAGACATGGAAGAGCTATTCCAGTCTTCATAGTCTGCGTTTGTTTGTGCCCATCTTTTTTGGGAAGTCTTTCCAGGTATTCACAGAGACTTGGGCCTCAAACTGAATGATGCTGTGGTTCTGACATACTCTTAGAGGCACTACCTTAGTGGTCTTGGGTAAGATCCAGAAGAATTATCTATATTAATAAGCAGAGACTCTTGTTCTCTTCCCTTACTTTCTCCAAACTAATGGAGTCTCATTCTGTGTGCTGAGCCACGTGGAGCTTGGGTTCGGGTGTTGAAAGCACCCCTGTGGCCACCACTACTGGGGCTATTCTGGGTCAGACCTGAAGCCAGCATGGCACTGATTCTTACTTAAGGCCTACTATAACCACTCCCTGGCTACTGCCTATGCTTGCTCAAGGCTCTAGGGCTCAACAGTGAGAAGGTGAGGAAGCCAGTCAGATTTATGTCCTTCACTTCATGGTGGCAAGTTTTCCCTAGCCTTGGGTGGGTCCAGAGATGCTTCTTAGAGCCAGAGATTTGTGTTAAGAACCTTAGAAATCTAAGTATTCTATTCTATTGCACCTAAGCTGGCCCCTCAAACCACAAGACAAAGTTCATCCTACACCTCTCTGTCCTTTCTATGGGAAGAAGAACCTCTCCCATTGGCCACCACTGCCACCAGCCCATGGGGAGTTCTGCCAGGCCACTGCTGATGCTCACTTAAAACCAAGGGCTCTTCAGTCAGCTTGTGGTGAATCCTGCCAGGCCTGGTACTCACCCTATCAGGCAGTGGGCTCCCCTGTAGCCCAGGTCAGGTCCAGTAATTCTGTCCAAGAGCATAGACCTATACTTGGGGGGGACCCCAGGAACTTGCTTGGCTCGGCCCCCCTACTGTGGCTTAGCTGGTGCCTAAGGTGCAAGACAAAGTCCCCTTTACTTTTCACTCTGTTTTTCTCAAGCAGAAGGAGTCTGTCACTGTAGTCAACACAGCTGAGCATGTGCTCATTGACACTTTTAATCCAACATATCTTAGAGTCTCACCCAAGTCCCATGGCATACTACCTGCATATTGCTATTGCTTATTCAGGACCCAAGGGCTCTTTATTCAGAAGATGAAGAATCCTGCCAAAACTGGGTCCTTCCTTTCAAGGCACTGGGTTCCCTTTTGGCCCATGGTGTGTCTAGAAACTATCTGGGAACTAGCAGCTGGAATGGGAACCTCATGACTCTGTCCAGTGCCCTGTCCAACTGTGGCTGAGCTGGCTTCTGAGATGCAAAAACAGTCCTCTTTTCTTTTTTCACTACTCTCCTTAAGAAGAAAAAAGGCATTACTTTTGTTGCTGTGAGCTGTGCTGTCTGGGGTTGGGGGAGGGGTAGTGCAAGAACTCCCTTTGCCCTGCTAGCTTATGTCTCCCTAGGTCATGTGCCATTCGAATCCACTGGCACTACACCCAGCCTAGCACTACTAGTTGCCTAGGAATTGCAGTCTTTGTGTCCTAGACTGCCTTTCAAGTTTACCTAGAAGCCCAGAGCGCTTCAGCCCAGGGGGGCGGGGCCTGCTGAGAAACTCTAGTTCTCAATACTGGGATGAGTGATTCCTCTCTTGTTAGGGCTGGTCCAAATGTTTCCTCCATGCATGGGTGCTGGCTGAGCCCACCATGGCTTCATTCTCCACTGTGACAGGGCAGCACTGAGATCAATGTAAAGTGTCGCAGTCACTGTGTTCTCTCTTTTCAAATTGCACAGATTCTCTATTCCAGCTGCAGGACCTCTGCTGGACAATGGTAAGAGGTGGTGTTCGTGACTCAAGACCGTCTCTCTGACCTTCTTTAATGCCTCTTTTGTCAATATGAAATTAAACCCAGGTACTCTGTTTGCTCATCTGATTTTTCTTTCTTGTGATGGTGCTTTTCTGTGTGCAGAGAGTTGTTAAAATTTGGTGTTCCAGGAGCGGGTATGAATGTTGCAGGCTTCTATTCCACTGACACCATAATGGAGTGCTCCATTACCACATGGCATTGTTCAAAGTTCCAGCTTATCATTAGTTCTCTGACATCACTCTGGTGGAGGAAATGGTGGGGAAGTTTTCTCCTTACAGCAGGGCAAATGTCGAAGTCTAGGTTCTCCACTCTTTTTTTTTTTTTTTTTTTTTATGAAGTAGGAGTGAAACTTACTTTTCTGTGTTGTTTGACTATAGTAAGATTGTTATTGTCTCAAAGTTGTCTCTTATTAAGCTTCTTTTTTCTGGTCCTTTAGCTAGTAAGAACAAGCATTTGTTGGGATTTTTTTTTTTTTTTTTTGCCTGCACACACTGCTGTTCCTAAATTGTTGTATTCTTTAGAACCCAGTCTGGGATGTTCGGGGTAAAAAAAAGTGAGGTACATCACCATAGTGTTGTCTTTTGGACTCCTTGTATGCTAGCTGCTTTACATTCCTCTCTTACCCTTTAAAAATTGTCTCATGTTGTTTTATAAATATATTAATATTATCCAGGTTTTAGTAACTGTACATATTATGAGGAATAAATATTGTTTCTGGTCCATCTTTTCTACAACCAGTGCTCTCAAAATCTCCATTTTAAAAAAATGCAAGACTAAACTCAATCGCAACAAAGATTACTGTGTTTATTTAACATATTCTTCCTTTCATTTCCAAATATATGCACTAAAAAGTGTTGTATTCCTGAATAAACAAATTATCTCTGAGAAAAAGTTATCTTTAATCTACTATAGTAACACTTAGAAAATTGCTTGCCCAATTCATCAGATTGCTGCTGGAAAAACATTAATTTTCTTTTAAGCTTTCTAATTTACTCTTTAGAATTAACTTAGACTGTAAGACGCTCTGATTGAATAAAAATGAAAGTGATGTGGCTAAAGGTAAATTGTAAGTTTGCTCGCAGGCTAACTGTTCTGTGGCAATTTTTTTTTCTTGCTGTAGTTTATTTAAGAAGTGGGAAAAAGCTTAGGAAAAATTACTAAAATCAAGTTAAGTTCATACTGAAATATTTCAAAACAAGTCAGGAGATAGTGCTGGTTATTATTGTTGATATTAACTCCAAAATATTCAGCATGCAAAAAAAGTACAATGCAATGGATTCTAGCGTTAATTTTGACACTCACAAGCCACATGACTTTTATTTATGTAATTTTAAATTGGAGTAATGTGTGGCTGCTTCACAAAACTGTTGTGAAGAATGAGCAATATATATTTTAATCTCTCTGAATAGTAAAATTTCAACAGAAATGCAAATATGTATAAAATAAATATAACAATACTTTTTCAATCACAATTTCATCTTTGTTGTGTCCATCAGACCTACAATTAATACAATGTAAAAGAAAAATGGGCTCAATCATACTGCACACACCATTCTGCTATGTATTTTTTTAACTTACCAATGTGACCATATTTCCATTTCCTTCTTTCTCTCTCTCTCTATATATATATACACATACACACACACATACATATATACATACATACATACATGCACAGACACCATCACTGATAAATTATTAGTTATTGAGTTAATACCATATTGGTGGACTTTTAGGTTGTTTCTGTATTTTAATATCATAAACTACTACTTAATATTATTAAAGCCATACTCAGTTCCCTGAACCTAATAGTGTGTTTCCTAAAGACTAGCTGATGTTTAACTAGCTTATTCATATTAACAAAAGTTTCTCTAACTTTTCATGGTTTCATTATTTACCAGAATTACTTATTTGTAAAAAATTATCTTTTATTCTCAATTGCCACATAGAAGAGCATCCACTTCAAAAAAGGCCTTGGATGTCTCTATTTCCTCTACCATTCCAACTACTTTCTTTTGTATCTTCTGTTTATATGTAAACCTAAGTTGAAATTTTTGGAGGTTCAGGATGATCACTAATCAAATATTGTATGATTCTAACATGTCGTAGGTGTTCATTAATTTTCACTGAACAAAACTTGGCTATTATTTGAATGCCTAATGTATTTATAATACTATCCAAGTGATCTCAGTAAATACAGAGATCTAAAATTTACTCCACTCTCTTATCCCCACAGTACTAACATATTAGTTGAAATAATAGCTAATAGCTAACATTGAAAATCCACTATGTTTCTGTCACTGTTTTAAGTATTTTCTATACATTAACGATTTTAATATTCTCAACCATGCCATGAGGTAGAGTCTATTATTATTTTCATCTTATGAATGAAGACACCAAAGCACAGATAAATTAGGTGATATGACTGAGATCACACAGCTGGTGGATATCAGAGATAACATTTAGACCCATAAAATTTGACTTTAGAGCTTGTGTTTCTGTCTTTATTGTTTTTTTACTATGGTGCAAGATATGTGCACATAGATTAATCATTTACTGCCTTGATTTTGCTGTAAGTGTATTCAGAAAAGCATTTAACAAGCTTGAAAATGATAAGACTGAAAATGATTGAGAAATATGCTTGGGATGACAGTACAAAAGTTTGTTTTCTTTTTTTTTATTTTATTATTATTATACTTTAAGTTTTAGGGTACATGTGCACAATGTGCAGGTTAGTTACATACATATACATGTGCCATGCTGGTGTGCTGCACCCATTAACTCGTCATTTAGCATTAGGTATATCTCCTAATGCTATCACTCCCCCCTCCCCCCACCCCACAACAGTCCCCAGAGTGTGATGTTCCCCTTTCTGTGTCCATGTGTTCTCATTGTTCAATTCCCACCTATGAGTGAGAACATGCAGTGTTTGGTTTTTTGTCCTTGCGATAGTTTACTGAGAATGATGATTTCCAATTTCATCCATGTCCCCACAAAGGACATTAACTCATCATTTTTTATGGCTGCATAGTATTCCATGGTGTATATGTGCCACATTTTCTTAATCCAGTCTATCATTGTTGGACATTTGGGTTGGTTCCAAGTCTTTGCTATTGTGAATAATGCCGCAATAAACATACATGTGCATGTGTCTTTATAGCAGCATGATTTATAGTCCTTTGGGTATATACCCAGTAATGGGATGGCTGGGTCAAATGGTATTTCTAGTTCTAGATCCCTGAGGAATGGCCACACTGACTTCCACAATGGTTGAACTAGTTTACAGTCCCACCAACAGTGTAAAAGTGTTCCTGTTTCTCCACATCCTCTCCAGCACCTGTTGTTTCCTGACTTTTTAATGATTGCCATTCTAACTGGTGTGAGATGGTATCTCATTGTGGTTTTGATTTGCATTTCTCTGATGTCCAGTGATGGTGAGCATTTTTTCATGTGGTTTTTGGCTGCATAAAGACAAACCCACAGCCAATATCATACTGAATGGGCAAAAACTGGAAGCATTCCCTTTGAAAACTGGCACAAGACAGGGATGCCCTCTCTCACCACTCCTATTCAACATAGTGTTGGAAGTTCTGGCCAGGGCAATTAGGCAGGAGAAGGAAATAAAGGGTATTCAATTAGGAAAAGAAGAAGTCAAATTGTCCCTGTTTGCAGATGACATGAATTTATATCTAGAAAACCCCATTGTCTCAGCCCAAAATCTCCTTAAGCTGATAAGCAACTTCAGCAAAGTCTCAGGATACAAAATCAATGTGCAAAAATCACAAGCATTCTTATACACCAATAACAGACAAACAGAGAGCCAAATCATGAGTGAACTCCCATTCACAATTGCTTCAAAGAGAATAAAATACCTAGGAATCCAACTTACAAGGGATGTGAAGGACCTCTTCAAGGAGAACTACAAACCACTGCTCAATGAAATAAAAGAGGACACAAAGAAATGGAAGAACATTCCATGCTCATGGGTAGGAAGAATCAATATCGTGAAAATGGCCATACTGCCCAAGGTAATTTATAGATTCAATGCCATCCTTGTCAAGTTACCAATGACTTTTTTCACAGAATTGGAAAAAACTACTTTAAAGTTCATATGGAACCAAAAAAGAGCCCGCATCGCCAAGTCAATCCTAAGCCAAAAGAACAAAGCTGGAGGCATCATGCTACCTGACTTCAAACTATACTACAAGGCTACAGTAACCAAAACAGCATGGTACTGGTACCAAAACAGAGATATAGATCAATGGAACAGAACAGAGCCCTCAGAAATAACGCCGCATATCTACAACTATCTGATCTTTGACAAACCTGAGAAAAACAAGCAATGGGGAAAGGATTCCCTGTTTAATAAATGGTGCTGGGAAAACTGGCTAGCCATATGTAGAAAGCTGAAACTGGATCCCTTCCTTACACCTTATACAAAAATTAATTCAAGGTGGATTAAAGACTTAAACACTAGACCTAAAACCATAAAAACCCTAGAAGAAAACCTAGGCATTACCATTCAGGACTTAGGCATGGGCAAGGACTTCATGTCTAGAACATCAAAAGCAATGGCAACAAAAGCCAGAATTGACAAATGGGATCTAATTAAACTAAAGAGCTTCTGCACAGCAAAAGAAACTACCATCAGAGTGAACAGGCAACCTACAAAATGGGAGAAAATTTTTGCAACCTGCTAATCTGGCAAAGGGCTAATATCCAGAATCTACAATGAACTCAAACAAATTTACAAGAAAAAAACAAACAACCCCATCAAAAAGTGGGCGAAGGACATGGACAGACACTTCTCAAAAGTTTATTTTCTTAATGGCTTTTCAACCAGACTTACACTATATTCATTAAGAAATTTCTATCAACCAGAAGGTATGTTTTTCAAGATCTCTTTTTGCCCCCATCCTCTTAAATGTTTTTAATCAATCATAAAAAGAAGACAATACGTAGTTATCCAACCTGCTGATGGCACAAAACTAGAAGAAACAATAAACATACCAGTAATAAGAACCAAAATTGCAAATAATTGCAGTTTTATAATCTTAAAAATTTATAATTTATATGGCTTAGAATTTTATTTTTCAATTTGAAATTTCTAACATATCATTAAATATTCAGATTTCATCACTGAACATGTGTTTATTGTATGCATACATTAAAAAAAGTAAGAAGGTGCTTGACATCATTATTTATTTATTGAACAACAAAAAATATCTCAGAAGTCATATGTGTTAGTGCATTATTACACTGCTATAAAGAACTGCCCAATACAGGGTAATTTATAAAGAAAAGAGGTTTAATTGACTTGCAGTTTGGCATGGCTTGGGAGGCCTCAGGAAACTTAAAATGGCAGAAGGTGAAGGGGAAGCAAGGCACCTTCTTCACAAGGTGGCAGGAAGTAGAAGTGCCAAAGATGGTCAATCTACAAATGTAGGTGTACTTGTGTGAAAGCAGATCTATGAACAAACTGTAGCCATTCATTTAGGGACAATCCACTTAGAAATGAGAAGTGAAAATCCAATGCTTTCTACAGTGGTGAGTCTACCATACTAAAATTTCAGTTTATGTTTGTCTCTGATTTTAGTTTCCCTTCTACCACAGGGTAAATTCTATATTACTTATTATTTCTGTTTGCCCATAGTATCTGTGATCTCATGAACTTTTTAAGTGGTTGGTAACAAGATATGGAACAAGAACCATGGATAAAATTTTCAGAAATGCTCACTTTAATATGGGAAGTACCTCTTAGGCTGTACAAAGATGAAATTGACTGTCTCACAATGTGGTAAGTTCCTTATGACTGACAGGGTTCTAATGTAAATTGGATGACCAAATTTAAGAACATTTGTAGAAATTACATAATCACTAAATTGATTTTTTAAACTATATGACTATATGGCTTTTTAAAAATGTGTATAAATTTGAGGAATATAGGTGCAGTTTTGTTACATGGATATAGCATAGTGGTGAAGTCTGAGCTTTTAGTGTAACCATCACCTGAATAATATACATTTTACCCCATAAGTAATTTCTCATCCCTAAATCCCCTTCCACCCTCTCAACCCTCCAAGTCTCTAATATCCATTGTTCCACACTCTGTGTCCATGTGTACACACTATTTAGCTCCCACTTATAAGTGAGAATGTGAAGTATTTGACTGTCTGTTTCTGAGTATTTTCATTCAATATAATGGCCTCAAATTCCATCCATGTTGATGCAAAAGTCATAATTTCATTATTTTTATGGCTGAATAGTATTCTAATACTATATATATGTGTAATGTAGAGTGTACAGATACTATACTGTAGTGTGTATATAGTATATACTGTATCTATATACCATACTATATATACTATACTGTACATAGTATACATAGTGCGTATATATATACATATATACACACACACACTATACTATAGTATATATATACCATTTGTGGTATATATGTGATATGGTTTGACTGTGTCCCCATGCAAATCTCATATTAAATTGTAATTCCCACGGTCCCTACATGTCATGAGTGGGATCCTGTGGGAGGTAATTCAGTCATGGGGGGTGTTTCTCCCATGTTGTTCTCATGATAGTGAGTAAGAGTTCATGAGATATGATGGTTTTATAAGGGGCTTCCCCCTTTGCTCAGCTCTTATTCTTCTCCTTTCTGCCACCATGTGAACAAGGGCATGTTTGCTTCCCCTCTGCCATTATTGTAAACTTCTTGAGGGCTCCCCAGTCATGCTGAACTGTGAGTAAATTAAACCTTTTTTCTTTATAATTGCCCAGTCTCAGGCAGTTCTTTGTAGTAGCATGAGAATTAACTAATACGGTAAATTAGTACAATACAGGGTGAGGTGCTGCTATAAAGATACTTAAACATGTGGAAGTAACTTTGGAACTGGGTAATAGGTAGAGGTTGGAACAGTTTGGAGGGCTCAGAAGAAGATGGGAAAATGTAGGAAAGTTTGGAACATCCTAGAGATTTGTAGGGCTCAAAAGACAGAAAGGTGGGAATTTTTTTAACTTCCTAGAGACTTGTTGAATGGCTTTGACCAAAATGCTGACAGTGATATGGACAATGAAGTCCAGCCCGGAGTGGTCTCAGATGAAGATCAGAAACTTTGTGGGAACTTGAGTAAAGGTCGCTCTTGCTATGCTTTAGTGAAGAGACCAGTGACTTTTTGCCCCTGCACTTGAGATCTGTGGAACTTTGAGAGATATAATTTAGGGTAGCTGGTGGAAGAAATTTCTTAAGCAGCAAAGCATTCAAGAGGTGACAGAGTGTAAAGGTTTAAAAAATTTGCAGCCTGATGATGCAGTAGAAAAGAAAACCTATTTTCTGGGCAGAAATTGAAGCCTGTTGCAGAAAGTTGCATAAGTAATGAGGATCCAAATGCTGACTGACAAGACAATGGGCACAATGCCTCCAGGGTGTGTCAGAGACCTTCATGGCAGCCCTTACCATCACAGGCCAGGAGGCCTAGGAGGGAAAAAAATGGTTTCCTGGGCCAGGTACCCCTGCTCTGTGCAGCCTCAGGACTTGGTGCCCTGCATCCCAGCTGCTACAGACCTGGCTAAAAGGGGCCAATGTACAGCTCATGCTGTTGCTTCAGAGGGTGCAAGCCGTCAGCCTTGGCAGCTTCCAAGTAGTGTTGAGCCTGTGTGTGCACAGAAGTCAAGAATTGAGGTTTGGGAACCTCCGCCTAGATTTTAGAGGAGATGGAAATGCCTGGATTTCCAGGCAAAGGTGTGCTGCAGTGGTGGAGCCCTCATGGAGAACATCGGCTAGGGCAATGCAGAAGGGAAATGTGGGAATGGAACTCCCACACTGAGTCCCCAGTGGGCACTGCCTAGTGGAGCTGTGAGAAGAGGGCCACTGTCCTTCAGACCCCAGAATGGTAGATTCACCGACAGCTTTCACCATGAGCCTGGAAAAGCTGCAGACACTCAATGCCAGCCTATGAAAAGAGCCAGGAGGTGGACTGTCCCCTACAAAGCCACAGGCAGGGAGCTGCCCAAAGTCATGGGAGCCCATCTCTTGCAGCAGTGTGACCTGGATGTGAGACATGGAGTCAAAGGAGATCATTTTGGAACTTTAAGGTTTAATGAGTGACCTATTGGATTTCAGACTTGCATGAGGCCTGTAGCCCATTCATTTTGGCCAATTTCTTCCATTTGGAATGGCTGTATTTACCCAATGCATGTACCCCACTGCATCTAGGAAGTAACTAACTTGCTTTTGATTTTACAGGCTCATAGGTGGAAGGGACTTGCCTTGTTTCAGATGAGACTTTGGACTTGGACTTTTGAGTTAATGCTGGAATGAGTTAAGACTTTGCAGGACTGTTGGAAGGACATGAATGTGTTTTGAAATGTGAAGACATGAGATTTAGGAATGGCCACAGAGGAATTATATGGTTTGGCTGTGTCCCTACACAAATCTCATCTTGAATTGTAGTTCCCATAATCCCCACCTGTCATGGAATGAACCTGGTGAGAGGTAGTTGAATCATGGGTGGGGTTTCCCCCATGCTATTTTCATGATAGTAAGTAAGTTCTCACGGGATCTGATGGTTTTATAAGGGGTTTACCCCTTCACTCAGCTCTCATTCTTCTCGTTGCCACCATGTGAAGAAGAACATGTTTGCTTCCCCTTCTGCCATGTTTGTGAGTTTCCCGAGGCCTCCCCAGCCCTGCAGAACTGTGAGACAATTAAACCTCTTTTCTTTATAAATTACTAGTCTTGGACAGTTCTTCATAGCGACATGAGAAGGGAATAATACAATATGTTTAATATTAGGTAGGTGCAAATTTATTGTGGTTTTTGCCATTAAAAGTAACATATATATAGTATACATATAATAGTATATATATATTATATGTACTATA
Source organism: Homo sapiens (assembly GCF_000001405.40). Lineage (NCBI taxonomy): Eukaryota > Metazoa > Chordata > Mammalia > Primates > Hominidae > Homo > Homo sapiens. The sequence goes on from NC_000023.11 coordinate 99,407,960, forward strand.
TATAGCACATATAGTATATATATTTTATATACTATATTATAGTAAACAACAAGAAAAATAATTATTTGGAAAATCATAAATTTTGTTTACTTGGAAATTGGATCTTTATCACAATCTGTTCTTTTTTTCGCTAAGAGTTCATGATAAAAAGTAAATAGTAAATGCTGTGCTGAAAAAAATCTCCATGTATGTAATGTGAATTAATGGGGAAAAATGTCATGAAAAATACTCTCATTGATACAACTTATAAAACTAAGAAATGTTGATATTACTATTTGGAAAATGTGTGATCATCGTAAATTATTAAAAATAAAATATTGTTACAAGAACATAAAATAGTTCGATTGTCACCCTAGATGATAGTGTTTTATCACCACCCTATCATAATGCAATATGAGTCTACAATGTTAGAAATGGGTCTCATGGAAAGGATATGAAATTTACCTATTGCTTTTAGAGTCCTTCTGAAAGCCCACTTCAAACATTATCCAGTAGTCTTAATAAACATTTTGAGATTCAAGATAATCTCCTCCCCCTCACCCCAGGGGAAAAAAGATTTTTCTTTTGGCTCCTTAATTCACCTTTGACAAAAATGTTTGAAAATTCCGTCGATCCTACTGGGGACCTTAGCCTTTTAAATAAATCTCTAAGCTACCTTTTCCACCTAGCTCAAACTTTCATTTCAGAGCACATTTTTCTTGATGGCCCATTCATTGAGTTAAATTTACAAGAAATCAATTACAGAATCAAGGAAAGCTTCTTTCCATGCACTTATACAAAAGTTGACTAGAGTCACTCTGCTAGTAATCAAAGAACTATTGGTAGTGTACTTCATCCTTTAAGTACTTTCCAATATTCCTGATCCAGAAAAATGCATTCCTTCACCCCTGATTGCATTATTCTAGTGCTACTTTGTCTCTTTTCTCTAAGTTTACAACTTTTTGTTGTTGTTATGTTTTTTCTAGATTTTCTTCTTCATGCACCAAATTCTTTTCTTAATCACATTTCTACCCACTATCATATTAAAATAAATCTATGTAACATTATCTGTTACAATTTTTTGTACAATTAAAATAGAGTTTTCATTCTTTTCAAATCTAAAAAAAGCTCACTCTGTGTACACACACACACACACACACACATATATAAAATGAGCATTGTATCACATTTAGAGTTTCTATATCATTTTAGATGAATTCATTCATAATTAATTTTATTTGGTTTACTTGTCAAATACTAAGTTTAAAAACTCCTCTGCATAGCATTTAACACTTATAAGACTTTGTAGTCAAGATGCTCACAACAAGAGAAACATAACCAAGTAAGTTCTAACAACTATAAAATACTGCTTTATCAAGATTTATTTCTGTACTAGTAAACTTTGTTTGCCACTTTCAACTATACCAAATAGCTTTTGGAAGAAGTATATTTATCTGAAGCTATCTAATAAAAAAAATCAAATTGTCAAATAGAGTTTGAACAGCTAATCTTTTTAATTTCCTTAACTTTTGTCATTTATTTTATACATTGAATATAACCTCTACCCTCCAATATACAGTTGTCTTCTAAATATTGCCATTTGAAAGCCTCACACCACTCTCAAACTTAAAATATATAAAATTAAGCAACCCAAATGTCCAATGATGGAAATTGGATAAACAAAATATAGTATATCCATAGAATGGAGTATTATTTAGCCTTAAAAACGTAGAAAATCTTGTCACATCATGCTACAACATGGATGAAACTTGAAGACATTTATGCTAAGTAAAATAAGCTAGTCACAATAAGACAAATACCGTACGATTTCACTTACTTGAGGTATCTAAAAGAGTCAAATTCATAGAAACAGAAAGTGGAATAGTGATTATCAGGGGCTAAGGGAAGCAGAAAATGGGGAACTGTTGCTAAATGTGTATAGCGTTTCAGTTTTGCAAGACCAAAATTTCTGAGAACTTGGTTGTACAACAATATTAATATGCTTAACACTGCTGCAGTGTACATTCAAAAGTGGTTAAAATTATAAATTTTATTACATTTTTAAACTAAAATTCTGACAATTACATATGAGAAAAATTATATATTAAAAATAATATATGGATATTAAAATAAAATTTATATTCTTCAGTCAAATCTTTTTTTTCCCAGTCTTCATCTAATGGGCATACCTGAGTTGAACAAGCTAGAATCATGAGTCACACTTGATAAATATCTCCCTTTCATTTCTCACCACCAATTTAGCACCAATTCCTGCCTAATTTTCCTTCAAAATATTTCTTGAACATGTTCATTTACTTTGAGTTATACTGCTCCAAACTTTATGCAAACCATTATTATTATTCTGTGTGCAGTCTCCTAATCTGTCTTCTAACACTAGATTTTTCTCCGCTCCGAAACGTTATTCTCACAGCATTCAATATATTAAAAACAGTGATTAATTGGGATATGTCTTGTCATTGAATAAATTATCCTATGGTTTCCCTTTGCTCATTTAAAGTCTTACGGTCTTCAGGTCTGTACACCAGACTAATCACATGTTATTCTCACCCTCACTCTTCGCATTTCTGCCAGACTGCTCTTTCACTTCTTCCAAGATGTCACATTTTCTCAATCTCAAGGATTTTATTCCTGATGTTTCCTCTACACTAGACTACTCTGGAAAAAAAATATATACTCATTTTTTCTGATCTCATCTTATGTAACTTCCTCAGATGCATTTCATTTATCCACTAAAAATTGTAGCTCTTGTTTTAATGTAGCATACACAAGTAAAAGTACACAAAGTATAAGTGAAAAGCTCAACAAGCTTTTCAACTATGAAAACAACCATATTAACCACCAAGTCAAAAAACAGAAGGTCTCTTTTGTTTTCCTAGAAACAAACTCCTGCCTTAACAGTATAAATTAGTTTTGCCTGCATTTTAATTTTGTGTAAATGGAAGATTTCTATGTGTACCCTTGCACATAGATTGTACTTAATATTAAGTTTATGAGATGCATACATGTCGTTTTTCTGGTTGTTGTTTCTTTTCATTGCTGTAAAGATTTTTAGCCTATGAATAAACCAAAATATGTTACTCCATTCTACTGTAGATAGACATGTACACTGTTTCCAGATATCCTTATCAAGTATAATGCTGCTACAAATATTTTTAACATTGTTATGTGTTTTTTTGTGCTCAACTGCAGAAATTTCTGTTGAATATGTGCTGAGGAGTAAAATTACTAGGTCACAGAATATGGTGGTGTTAATTTTAATAATACTGACAGTTTTCTTAAATGTTTTACCAATTTATACTCCGACAAGTATTATATAAGAGTTACAGTTGCTTCATATCCTCACAACACTTGATATTTATAGTGTTTTTCATTTTTGCAATTCTGTTGCATAAGTAGTTAAAATTTAAATTTTCCTAATAATTAGTAACATTGAACACCTTTTTATGTGCATATTGATTATTAGGATGCACTTTTCCTGAAGGGCCTATTAAAGTCATTTGCCCATCTTTAAATTGGTGTTTTCTGTTTTTTTTCAAAGTTTCTTTTTCTTACTGATTTTGAGGAGTTGTTTATATATTCTGGATATATTAGTATGCTTAACACTACTGAAGTGCACATTCAAAAGTGGTTAAGATGGTAAATTTTTATTACATTTTTAAACTAAAATTCTAAAAATTACATATATTAAAATAATATATAAATATTAAAATGAAATTTGTATTCTTCACTCAAATCCTTTTTTCCCAGTCTTTCTCATGCAGTGCGTATAACTGAGGTGAACAAGCTAGAATCACATGAGTCACACTTGATAAATATCTGCCCTTCAGTTCTCACAACCAATTTAGCACCGATTCCTGCCTAATTCTGTATATATGTGCTTTGTTGTGTGTATGTATAAAAAAAATCTTGTCAAACAATATGATTGGAATTTTTACTCTCTGAATGATATCTTTTTTTTTTTTTTTTTTGAGACAGAGTCTCGCTCTGTCACCCAGGCTGGAATGCAATGGCACTATCTTGGCTCACTGCAACCTCCCTCTCCCGGCTCCCAGGTTCAAGTGATTCTCCTGCCTCAGCCTCCCGAGTAGCTGGGATTGCAGGTGTCCACCACTATGCCCGGTTAATTTTTGTATTTTTAGTAGACACAGGGTTTCACCATGTTGGCCAGGCTGGTCTCAAACTCTTGACCTCAGGTGATCCACTTGCCTCGGCCTCCCAAAGTGCTAGGATTACAGGCATGAGCCACCGCGCCTGGCCTCTGAGTGATATCTTTTGATAAACAAAGATTTTTAATTTAAATATGGTCCAATTTATATTTTTCTCTCTGTGGTTAGCATATTTGGTGTCCTTTTTGACAATTTTTGCCTAACTCCAATGTGTGTATATTCTATTTTGTAACAACCTAATTGTTTTAGGCTTACATTTAAATTTGCAATATATTTCATATGTGGTCTTGTACATGAGAATAAGTAGCCTCAAGATTATCTTTTTTAAAAAATGATATCCAATTTGATACAGCACAGTGTATTCAGAAAAGCATTTATTCTCTACACCAGAGCAGTGTTATTTATTTTTGTCATGAATGGGTTGACTGATATAGGTGTAGGTGTATTCATGAATTCTATATTCTGGCCCTTCAGTCTATTAGTATATCCTTGCACCAACAAACATACTTATCAATTGTATAATATTAAAAATAAATGATATATAGAAGTTCATATTGTCCAACTTTGTTCTTCTTAACCAAGATTGCCTTGATAATTGTTGGGCCATTTTTTTGTTTATTTTAAAAAGCTCTAATTTTCTGCAATAAAACATATTACTACTTTTTAAGCTTCTTTTAAAACTTCATTATTAAGTATGGTGTTTACTGTTGGGTTATGTAGATAATCCTTATTGGATTAAAGAAGTTTCCACTTCTTCCTAAGTGTATTTTTTGTGTTGCTATGATTATGTATTATTTTTAGAAATTCTTTTTTTTTTCTGTTGGGTTGGTGGCAATGTGCCCTTTGTTATTGCTGAATGTGTTTATTTGCATCTCCTTTTTTTAATTTATTGGCCTAGCAAGTGGTCTATCAATCTCATTTATTCTTTCAAAAACACTTTTTAGTTTTGTTGGTCTTTTCTATGGTTTTTCACACCTCAGTTTTACTCAGTTCAGCTCTAATTTTGTTTTTTTTTTTTCTTCTGCTAGCTTTGGTAGAGCATTTCTGCTTCCTCTAGGTGTGATGCTGGGTTGTTAATATGAGATTTTTCTAACTTTTTGATGTGGTTATTTAGCACTATACATTTTTAACACTGCTTTAGCTGTGTCCCAGAGATTCTGGTATCTTTGTTTTCACTAGTTTCAAAGAATTTCTTGATTTCTGCCTTAATTTTATTGTTTACAAAAATCTTACTCAGGAGCAGGTTGTTTAATTTTCATGTAACTGTGTAGTTTGAGAGATCTTCTTAGTATTGATTTCTATTTTTATTGCACTGTGGTCTAAAAATGTGGTTTGTATGATTTCAGTTTATATGAACTTGTTGAGAATTGTTTCATGGCCAGGCGTGTGGTTGATTTTAAAGTATGTGCCACTTGCTGATGAGAAGAACGTATATTTTGTTGTTGGGTGTAGCGTTCTGTGGTTGTCTGTTAGGTCCATTTGGTCAAGTGTTGAGTTTAGGTCCCAATATCTTTGTTAATTTTCTGCCTCAATAATCTAATACTGGTAGTGGGGTGTTGAAGTCTCCCACTGTTATTGTGTGATTATCTAAGTCTCTTTGTAGGTCTCTAAGAACTTATTTTTATAAATCTAGGTGCTCTAGTATTGAGTGTGTATATATTTAGGATAGATAAGGCTTCTTGTTGAGGAAGACTTTGTCTATTTAACCCTTTATCATTATGTAATGCCCTTCTTTGTCTTTTTTTCATCATTGTTGGTTCAAAGTCTGTTTTGTCTGAAATTGAAATAGCAACCTCTGCTTTTTTTTATTTTCCATTTGCATTGTAAATTATACTCCATCCCTTTACTTTGAGCCTATGAGTCATCACGCGAGATGGGTCTCCTGAAGACCATTGTGTCTTGATTCTTTATGCAATTTGCCACGCCGTGCCTTTCAAGTGGGGTGTTTAGCATGTTTACATTTAAAGTTAATATTGATACGTTAAAATCTGATCCTGTCATCATGTTGTTAGCTGGTTGTTATGCAGACTTGATTGGGTGGTTGTTTTATAGTGTCAAGGACTTATGTTCTTATGTGTGCTTTTGTGGTGTTCAGTAAGTCTTTCATTTCCATGTTTAGCACACTCTTAAGGACCTCTTGTAAATCAGGTCTGGTGGTATTGAATTCCCTTAGCGTATGCTTTCCTGAAAAGCATTTTATTTCTCTTTCACATATGAAGCATAGTTTCGCTAGATACAAATTCTTGGTTGGAATTTCGTTCTTTTAAGGATTTTGAATATAGGCCCCCTATCTTTTCTGACTTTTAGGGTTTCTGCTGAAGGGTCCACCATAAGCCTAATGAGGTTCCCTTTGTAGCTGTCTGGCCCTTTCTAGCTGCCTTTAATATTTTTTTCTTTCATGTTGACCTTGGAGAATCTGATGACAATTTGTCATGCAGAGGAATGTCTTGTATAGTATCTCATAGGGATTCTCTGAATTTCCTGAATTTGAATGTCATTCTCTTGAGTGAAGCGGGGGAAATTTTCAAGGATAATATCTTCAATATGTTTTCCATGTTACTTGCTCTCTCTCCCTCTCTTTCAAGGACACCAATGAGTTGTAGGTTTGGTCTTGTTAAATAATCCTATATTTCTCAAGATTTTGTTTAGTTTTTATTTCTTTTTTTTTTCTTTATTTTTGTCTGACTGAGTTGATTTAAAGAACCATTCTTCGTTCTCTGAGATTTCTTTCCTCAACTTGGTCTATTCTGCTGTTAATACTTCTGATTGTATACATGTATACATGAAATTCATGTAGTGATTTTTTTTTTCAGTTCTATCAGATCAGCTTTGGTTATTTCTTAAAATGACTATTTCATCCTTGAGCTCCTGTATCATTTTATTGGATTCGTTAGATTTCTTGTTTTCAGTTTTGACTTTCTCCTGAATCTTGAAAATCTTCCTTGCAGTCCAGATTCTAATTTCTATGTCTGTCATTTCAGCCATTTTAGCCTGGGTAAACACCATTGCTGGGGAGCTAGTACAGTCATTTGGAGTTAAGAAGCAAACTGGTTTTTTGAGAAACCAGAGTTTTTGCACTGGTTCTTTCTCATCTGTGTGGGCTATTGTTCCTTTAATCTTTGAAGTTGCTGTCCAGCATATGGGGCTTTTTTCTTTTATATCCTTTGATGCCCTTGGGAGTTTGATTGTGGTATCAGCTGGGCTCAGTTGACTGCTTTTGTTTCTCAGTGATTTCAGGGGGCCAACCCACAGCTCAGTACCCCTGGACTGTGTGCTCCAACATTTGAGGAGTGGTACTAGGCCTGGAGCTTTGTTTTCTGGTCCCTCAAAGTTAAGCACCTGCTGTGCTGAAGGGGCTGAGGTGTTCCCAGTTCCCTGACAACAACAGTACAAAGAGTGCCAGCAAAAACACTTCATTGAGGAGGTGGCAGAAGTGCCCATATCCTTGTGTGCACCAGTAGCAGTGGTGTAGCAGGGTTAGCATGTGCTGGAGGGGGCGGGGCAATGGTGATAAGGTCTGCATGCATGTGTGCCAGTGGCAACAGAGTGGTGAAGTCCCTGTGTGCACATGTGCCAACATACTGGTGGAGTGAGGCTGTGGGTGAGTGTGCCCTCACAAAGCAGTGGGAGAGGCTGCAGTTGGATGCCCATTGGCAGGGTCTCATCTGTTGAAGATCTCTGATGGTTAGGTGGAGTCTTCTGGTGAAAAACTATGGTGGCAGCCACCATATAGTGCTCCAGTTAGGCATCTGAGGCTGTCCTACAAGAGGGCACAGCCAAGCAAGGAACATGGGAGAGGCCAGGAGACCTGACATCACTCAGATAAGACTGCCCTGCTGCTGGACAGGACCACTCTGCTCTGTTCAGGTCCAACAGTCAACAAAGGCCAAAGCTACCTAGAGGAGCATGATGGGCCTTTGGAAATGGGCATCCCTGGCCATGCTTCACTTCAGCTGCAGCAGCAGCCTGCAGTCTTGTCTCTGCTATCTCTCCAAGCAACTCTCCCTGTAAACTCAAAAGTCTGTAGGGATTGAGGGGTCTACTGAAGTTAGCATTCTGGAAGTCTGTGGTGACAGTGGACCACTCCTCACTGATCAACTCACCACTTCCCCAGGAGCAACTGGTGGCCAGGAATGAATACTGGTGCTCATCAGTCCCATGCAGGGTTCACAGCTTCCTCTTCCTTTATTCTGTAATCCGAATCTTTCCTCCATCCACTCTCAGTGCCTTCCTTCCAAAGGTCAGCTTAGAGTGTGCCAGTTTTCTTGATGGTCTGGTCTCTCAGTGGGAGATGCCCCTTGTGACTTCGTCTAGTCAGCCGTCAGAGACTATTAAGAACATCTCTATGTACACAAACTAGAAAACCTAAAGGAAATGGATAAATTCCTGGAAACATAAAACCTCCTAAGATTGAACAAAGAAGAAATTGAAACCCTGAAAAGACCAATAACAAGTTCTGAAATTGAGTCAATAATAAAAAGCCTACCAACCAGAAAATCCTTGGACCAGACAGACTCACAGCCAAATTGTCTACCAGCTGTATAAAGAAGAGCTGGTACCAATCTTACTGAAGCTATTTAAAAAAAAATGTGAAGGAGAAATTCTTCTCTAATTCATCCTGTGTGGCTAGCATCTTTCTGATACCAAAACCTGGCAGAGACACAATGAAAAAAGAAAAATTTAAGCCAATACCCCTGATGAACATAGGGGCAAAAATTTACAACAGAATACTAGCAAACCAAATCCAGCAGCACATCCAAAAGCTAATTTAGCACAATCAAGTAGACTCTATTCCTAGTATTCAAGGTTGATTAAACATACACAAATCAATAAATGTGATTTATCAAATAAACAGAACTAAAACCAAAAACCACATGTTAATATCAATAGATGCAGAAAAGGCTTTTGATAAAATTCAACATCCTTTATGTTAAAACCCATCAACAAACTAGACATTGAAAAAAAACATCCCTCGAAAGAGGACAAACACACAGCCAACAAGCATATGAAAAAATGCTCAACATCATTAACCATTAGAGAAATGCAAATCAAAACCATTATGATACACTAACTCATACCAATTTGAATGACTATAATTAAAAGTCAAAAAGTATCAGATAATTGCAAGGGTGTGGAGAAAAGGGAATGCTTATACACTACTGGTGGGAATGTAAATTATTTCAGTCACTGTGGAAAGCAGTTTAGAGCGTTCTCAGAGAACTTAAAACAGAGCAACGATTCAACCCAGCAGTCCAATCACTGAGTTAATACCCAAATGAATATAAATCATTGCATCATAAAGACACATGCACTTGTATGTTCATTGCAGCACTATTCACAACAGCAAATACATGGCATCAGTCTAGCTGTCTATCAATAGTGTACCGAATAAAAATACATTGAACGTGTGCACCATGGAATACTACACAGCCATAAGAAGAAAGAAATTGCGTTCTTAGCAGAAAGATGAATGGAGCTAGAGTCCATTTTCCTAAGCAAATTAACACAGAAATGGAAAAGCAAATACCACATGTTCTTATTTATAAGTGGGAGCTAAACGTTGAGTACTGATGGACACAAAGATAGGAACCATAGACAATGGGGATTATTTGAGGATGGAGGATGGGAGAAGGGTGAGGATCAAAAAGCTATCTATCAGGTACTGTGTTTATTACCTGGGTGATGAAATAATCTGTACTTCAGACCTCAGCATCGTGGAATATCCCCATGTAACAATCCTGCAAATGGACCCCCTGAACCTAAAATAAAAGTTGGAAATAATTTTTTTTTGCTGTATCTATCAAAACAGATATGTGATTTTCTACTTTTAAAAATGTGATGAATTGTATTGGTTGATTTTAAATCATTTTTGCATTATTTGGATAAACTCAGTTGCTCATGTTGTGTTATTTATTTGTGTATCACAGAATTTTTCAAAGGTTTACCATTCATATTTATTAGATATATATTTTCTAGAATTCCTATTTCTCAGGTTTTGAGATCAAGGTCATATTGCCCCATAAGTGAAATGAGAATTATTCAGTGTTCTGTATTTATCATGTTCTTTGGAAATTTTGTAAAACATTAGTATAATTTTTTGACTAGAAGTTTTGCAAAAACTCATCATTGAAACTACTTAAGACTGGAATTTTTTTTTTCCAAAGGCTCTTAATGGCAGAGTTAATTCATTTAACAGACATGAAGTACTTACGTTTTCTATTTCTTATAGTTCAGTAAATTGTTTAGGTGCTTAGTCAACTAAATTATTAAAATTATTAGCATAAAATGTTCATATTGTCTTTTTTTGTATGTGTAGGGCAAATCCCATTTTATTCCTGATATTCATAATTTTTATTTTCTCTCTTTCTTGATTTATCTGCCAGAGTTTTCTCAATTTTATAAGTAATGCAAGATGGCCATTGCTTTTCTCATTTTTTCTATATATATATACTAGTAGGTTAGTTACCCTAACATATTTTTTCTCCTTCATGAATATGTTGGTTGGGTGTCCTTCTGTCTTTGCATCCATTAGGCTTAGTCCAGTCTGCAAGTTAGCGTTGGATTTTCTCCAGGTTTCTCTCATTTTCCTTCAACTAGCAAACATTCTGTGCATGTTCTACTTGTGTCAGATCGCAAAAGCGCAAGTGGGGAAGGAGAAAAGTCTAATGTTTTCTTAAGACTTAGATTTGGATAAAACACAAAATCATTTCAAACCACATTCTCTTGGCTAAAGCAAGTCATAAGGCCAAGCAAAAATTCATGTGGTGAGGAAGTAATCTTTGCCTGTGGTGGAAGACAGTGTAAAGTCACAAAGCAAGTGATAGGCATGTCCAATTCTATTAACTGAGAAAGAGAAGAGTTGGCAGCAACCATCCAATTCATTGCCTTATTCTTGTCAAAGAATTAAATTTTGGCTTTAGTTATTTTCTTTATTAAACATTTGTATTTTATCTTATATATTTTTGTTGTTATATTTATTTATACCTTCTATTTTTTATGGACTAGTTATTTGTAGTTTTTGTCTCGATTGTATTGTTGTAAGCTTAGATTATTTGATTTTTCCTGCTTTTGTATCAAATATGTGTACAAAGGAAATAAAATTCCCTCGAAATGATTAACTGTATCCTATAACTTTTAATATATTGTATTTTTATTCTTATTCAGTTAAAATTATTTTCTAATTTATCTTGAAGTTTTTAATTGGCCTATATTTAATCATTTGAGGGGGAATGTATAGCTCAAATTCAAAAAATAGGCAATTATACTGTCTTATGGGGATTCTGACAATTACTAAATACCTATTTTAATTTTGCATTGTGTAACTGAGGAAATAACCACAGGATGTGTTTGAGTACCAACTGGACCCACTTTTCATGGATGTGAGATAAAATTCCATTGATCATCTGACCTCCATAAGCTCCTACTCTGACTGGTAGGCCATAATGATGTTTGGAGTCCCCAGGTATTATTTCAGAGTCAGAGTTTAGTAGTCTCTACAAGGTATGATTATTTCCTCTTCTCCAATGCACAGTTAGCTTGGTAAAAGGCCAAAAGTCCCCTTGAGGAAGGCTGGAAGAAAGATTGATAGTATAAAGTTTTTGTAGTATATCAAGGTCTTCTTCAAGGAGACACAGCCTTCCCTTCATTCAAGGGGTCTGAATCTATAAAGAGGCTCAAGTATGGGAATTGATTGAGAGGCCATTCTCTTTGTTTTTATGATTTAGGTTAAACTTTTATTCATTTCACCTATAGCTTTTCTGCTTATCAAATAAGAATTTAATAGGCTTCCTATACAATTTATCTTTGGAAACACCAAGGTCAATTAGCCAATGCCATAGTTTTATAAGAGTCAGTTTTTTCTGATTGCTGCTTTGACTCTGCTATTCATTACAGTAAGCATGCCCACCTTGCCTTTGGTACTTAAGTGTTGACACTTGGCCCATGCCACTTGGGGTCCTTTCAGTGTCACTGCATATAGGTTTTCTAGTTCAGTGGAGGTAGTTCCCACTATAAGATCTTACCTACAGAGAACAATCATGGAGCTCTTCATGGATGCTGGCTCTCTCCTCACAATTTATTTCCTCAGTATTGGTGAAAGATACGCTTTCTTGACATAAATGCATACATAAATATCTTCATCAGTGGTATTCATTTTTTATGTGGATTTAAAATACCCTGGTGTAATTTGCTTTCAGCATTTTACTATTTCTTGTAATGTGAGCCTGCTTGCAACACATTTTCAGTTTTTGTTTATTTTGAAATATCTTTATTTCTCCTTCATTTTTGTGTAAGAGTTTTGGTGGATATAAGATTCTTGGTTGACGGTTGTTTTTAATTTTGCCATCTTAAATATGTCATTTCACTGTCTTCTGAACTCCATTGTTTTTCATAGAACGTCAGCTAAGATTTTATTAGAGTTATCTTGTACTCAATGAGTTTTGTTTCTCCTACTGCTTTCAAAATGTTTTCTTTGTCTTTCAACATTTGACTATGCTGTGTTGTGTTATGGATCTCCTTGTGTTTATACTACTTGAGGCTTAGTTTGGCTTCTTGGACATAAGTACTAATGTTTTATATTAAATTTGTGAAATTTTTAGTCATTTGTTATTTAAATATACTTCCCAATTCTTTCTGTCTCTCCTTTCTTTCTGGTATTTTCATTATGTATACATTGGTTTATTTATCGCTGTTCCACATTTCTGAGGTGCTGTTTATGTTTCCTTATTTTTTTCTCTCTCCTTCAGACAGCATAATTTCTATTGATGTGTATTCAAGTTGGCTGATTCCTTTTTCTGCCAGCTCAAATCTATTGTGGAACTACTCTATTAAATTTTCTATATTGATTGTTGTACTTTTTAGCTCCAGCATTGTCATTTGATTCCTTTTTGTAATTTCTATGACTTTATTGATGTTCTCTACTTCATAAGAAATTGTCATCATACCTCCTTTTTAATTCTTTCAGCATGACTGTGTTGGGCTATTTCAGTGAAATCTATTTCTCTCACAGTATCAAGTCTCTGATGCTGCTCCTTACAGGCCACAGCCTTGTGCATTCATATAATCTCTGAAAATCAGATATTACTGGTTTTAGATGGGCTCTTTTTAACTGCTATTTCCTTGACCATTTTAAGTTTTCAGCTATCTGCTCTATTAGAATCATATGTATCTGTTAGCTTTATCTTGTTGGTAGGTAAATTGCTCTATTGCTTTCAACCTTTGAATTTTTGCCCTTTGAAATAAATTGCTCCATAGTCCATTAAATTTTGGTCTTCTGACAGGGGCAGGTTGTTGTCAGTCTTTAAGGCTTGCCCTGACCCTACCCTGGACAAAAATTCTGAGCTATTTAGCTGGAGGTGGAGGAGGGAGAATGAAGAACTCAGTCTTCATGGCTGCCCCACTCAGATCCTACCTATGTAGCTGAATCTGTGTATGTGTATGTGCTTATGGGCAGTGAAAATTGAGCCAGCTGGTTGCTACCACTGCTTTTGTATAAAACTTCTGCAGCCCCAAGCCAGGAATAATAAAAATCTTTCAATGTTGACCAGCTTCTAAAGATACCAGGGATAGACCTTTCAACCAGTAAGCTAGGGATGTAGTAGTTGCCACTCAGCTGTTAAGCCCATTGGAGCAGCTTTCCCACAACGCAGAGCTATGCCATAAAGGAATATTGCAGTTTTTATCATTTGCCCCATGTGGATTGCCATTACATAATGGGAATGGAAAACAGGTACCACCTGGCTCTTACTACTTGCTCAATATAAGCTATCCACAGCATAGTGCTGTGGAAAATGGGATCTGTTTATTTTAACTGGCTGAGAAACCTCCCAGAATAACTCTTCCAGCATAATGAGCTGTGAAAGTTGGGAAACTATCTCTTAGCTGTAGCTGCTGATCTCACTATAACAGTTTTTTCTTTTCTTTTCTTTTTTTTTTAAACAAGACAGAGCTGTGAGGTAATGTGTAGAGTTCTTGGCTTGAATCCCATTGCTCCTAAATGTTTTTGTTTTCTAAAGGTTTTGTTGAAGAAATGGTTCTCAATTTGTTTTAAGCCCTTTGATCAATGTCTAAAGATTTTGAACAATTACATTTAACAATTTTGATCAATTTAATAGAGTATATCTAGCAGAAAGTTTCTCTGAGTTACTTATACTGCCATTCTGGAAAATCCTCTCCTCCAAATATATTTTAAACTGTATTATGTTCACAGTCAATATTAAGTACATACATTTACATAGTCATCATTCATATATTTACCCTTTTCATTGCTCTTCATTTCTTACTTCAGTGCCACAGTTGTCTCTTGGATCATTTTTGTTCTGAAAAATTGTATTTAGTGCAGTCTTGCTAATGAAAAATTATTTAGTGTTCATCTGAAAATAGCTATTTTCTTTCATTTTAAGATAATATTTTAGCTCAGTGTAGAATGCTAAATTGATTATTGCCTTTCCGCATTTAAAGATGTTCATGTCATCTACCTTTTATTTGTTAAAAATTCAGCTGTAAGTTTTCTCTGACTGCATATATGATTTTCTCTCACTTTTTAAAACAGTCTTGCCATAATATATCTTTGAGTATTTTTATTTGTATTATTTTTATGTCTCAAAAATTTTATTAAATCTATGGGATAATATCTCTCATCAATTTTGGAGAAAATCTTGGACATTTGTTCATCAGATAATATTTCTGCATTACTGTCTGCCTGCTCTGTCTCTGTGATTCTACCTCCATAAAATACAGACCTTTAAATGAATCCCTTCTTTTTTTTACATTCTTTTCTGTGCACAAAATAGTATTTTGCACTAATCTCTGTGTTTTATACAGAAAATACTAATTTCTACACAGAAAAGAGTGTAAAAATGGGATTCATTTAAAACACTTCCAATTAGTGTTTATCACAACCTTCTGCAGTATCCAATCAGTAGCTAACCCATCTAACCAATTTATTTCAGGTATTGTACTTTTCAGTTTTGTAATTATTCCATTGACCATTTACTCTTATTTCATAGATTCCAAATTTCTCATGGAATCATGGAATTATTTATATTTAAATTATATTTTGTCCAACTTCTTCTTTCATTTGTGCAACAGATTAGTTATAATTATTTAAAGTTCTTTATAAATAACTTTTACATCTGCATCACCTACAGGCCCATTTTATTATCAGTTTCCTATTGGTTTCTGGTCATGTGGTCCTGTGTTTGGGTGTACCTAGTAAATTTTGATTTAATGATAGAAAATATTATTTGCCTCTGTTGAATGTTCAACTCTTTTTTTTTTTTTTTTACCAGATGAATACAGTAGTGGCTAATCAACTTCATACTTCTTTAATTTGCTTATTTTAGGCTAGTTTGCAGCCTTGGCCAGACTTAGTCTAACTCTTGTTTATATCTGTTCCTCCAGGGTCTTCAGTTAAAATCCTGATGTATTTTTCCTTACTCATTTTTCTGAACTCTAACCTTTTTCTCACAAAACAGCAAGAAAACATAACTCTTTATGTCTGAATTTTTCCCCTTAGGTTTTTAGCTTCCAAGCCCATGTAGAAACTTTATGTAGCAAATGTTCTGTGGCTAAAACTAGTTGTTAACCTTGAGGACACCCAGCTCTGCCAAAACTCCTGCCAAATTTGTTGTCACCTTGTAGTAGCACTCCATCAGACTCATTGCTGAATTCATAGTCTTTGGCCTCCTTTCTGTGCCCAAATTCGCTAAATACTGCTGAAAGTCTGATAACTGTTCTGAGATGATTCTCTCTTCGAAGTCTCAGCTGCTCTGGTTCTCCTTGTCTCAGCAGTTCAATGTTGCCTTCGATTAGATAATTTCTGTAATTTATTCACTGAAGGAACACTGATCTATCACCATATACTCCATGTTCCATGAACACCTAATTTAATTTAGGTCTGCCTTGTTACTCCTCTCATATCATATTATTTAAACCTTTACAGCGTGTAGCACAATACACAATTGTGTATTTATTTGTTGCCACTGATCTTGTATCTGCTTTCCCCACTTGACTATAAGAGTTCCCTCCCTCCATTATATCTTTATCACCTATCACAGTTTCTGAAATACAGAAGGAGCCCAGTACATAATTATTCAATGTAATAATTAAACATTTCTTTATTTGATTTATATGAATCTATTTTTACAGACATTTTAACTCCTGGAAATATAAAATATTTTTATAATTATTTTATGCATAGAATTATTCTAGTACCAGAGGTGTTGTTATTTTCCAGACCACAAAATCTAAACTTGTACTTACGATGAAAGGACCACATTTAATTATTTATCTTTCTTAATGCCACTACAAGCCAAAGACAGCATAATAGCCCACTCTTTGAGAAATATACTGTGAGTGGCTTAAAAAGAGTTAGGCTTTGGTGGTTGTGCATACAATTTAAAAAGGAGGCACCATATTCCTGTAGCTACTGAATGACTAACCAACCTCTTTTTATGGTTTGTCCAACATGTTTTTACTGTAAGTGCTGGAGGTGTAGATAAGAGCTATGGCAACTGCTTCAACTGTAGTGGGATAAACATGTACACATACACTTCCTCTAGTGCAAAATAATAGCACAAGGAATAATTTGAAAGAGTTTGCAGAAATGCACTATAATTTGTCTAAGTGAGTGTGTGTGTGTATATTTTAAACTCTCCTAGTTAAAATGAATGTTGAATATATCCATGCTTTTATTAATCATTGCTAGTCACAATTCTAATTACAATAAATAACTTAATGTTGGCAATGTAGTTATAATTATTCTTAAAGAGTAAATGGTTCAACATGCATATGTGAAAGACATTATACTTTTCAGAACACCAGGGTAATTTGGTCAATAATGACCTCAGTGCACTCCATAATGCTTTAGAGGACTGAAAACAACAAATTGTGTCCCTAGTGTACTTTCTGTATACTAACGGCATAATATGCCCACAGAAACCCCTGGACAGCACTCGAATAGGTATCTGAGAGACATGAACAATCTTTTAAGCCTTGAGGAAATAAATTCTAATGAATTTGTCCTATTTAAACCAAAACTTAATGACTTCAACATCTACTTCATATATGAAATAGCACGTGACTAGAATTGGTCTTACCATTGTGAATTATACATTTCTTATTAGAAATGCTGATAAACATTACTTTGTGTTAGAAAATAATGGTTTGTGTAGATTTATGTCTTGCTCATTCTATCTTTAAAACATGTAATTGGGCCAGGCATGATGGCTCACACCTATAATCCTAGAACTTTGGGAGGCCAAGGTGGAAGAATCATTTGAGCACAGGAATTCAAGACCAGCCTGGGAAACAGTGAGACCTCATCTCTACAAAAAATGAACAAAATTACCTGAGCATGGTGGCATACACCATGGGTGGGAGGATAGATTGGGACTGGGAGGTTGAGGCTGCAGTGAGCTGTGATTGAACCTCTGCACTCCAACCTGGCCGATAGAGCAAGAAACTGTCTCAAAAATAAATAAAATAAAAATAAACAATAAAAATGTAATTGGAGTAGAGGATTTTTAAATTTATAAAATTATAACTCTGCTCCAATTTATATGTTTGTGGGGAATAGACATAATCTCATAGAGAATATACATTTTCTTTCGATTGTCATAGAAAAAAAGTTTTAATCTATTTACTGATGTAGCCGGAGATTCTCAAATTCAGAAAAGCATGGAACTTTTCACCAGTGAATGAAAAATTGCAAGGGAAGTTACATTTTATGACACCTGGGGAGAAAAGAGTTGTTTAATATATAAATTGCTTCTACTCATCTCTGTTGCTATGCCACTGGTGTGTTAATATTCATTTGTTTCTCCAGGTTTATCATAAGAAAATAACAATTTTAGGGGAAAATTTAATAACCTGGGACTAGAGGTTGTTCCTCAATTTAAGGTGCTAATAAAATTATGTATTAAGCAAATTAAATGGATATTATGCAGATTTTCAAGTAGTGAGTTTTAGATGTCAAATCATTTTTCATGTTATTTTTAAGTCAAAATTGCCCCCAACAAACCCTGTTATGGTCAAAATAGAGTGGCCCATTCCTCTCAGGTACTCATTATTACAACAAAGAAACCTCAGTCATAATACAATAAATGAGCATTTAAAAAAATACTCTAACAGACATAAAAACTAAGTTGGGTTACCTAGTGACCTCGTGACTTGAGCAACATGGCAATAATCTCCCAGGGTTTTCTTTTTTGCCTCCTGTATGTCCTGAACATAGTGCTGCAAAAGCTTCCAAGCTAGACCCATCAACAGGCATACACTAAAGAAGCTTCAAGAAAAGCCTGTTCTTGTCCCTAGCCTAGAGACTTGGAAAAGAGTAGTTTAACTACAGAAAACATTTTTGACAAACTTACTCTGTTTCAATGAAACGCCAACAGAAACTTGGCCCCATTCCCACAGTTTTAAAAAAGGGGCTGATTGAGGAGCTAATCTGCCATTACACTCCATGGAAGCAAGTTTTGGATTCTCATTCTCCTGCATGTTAGTGTCAGTGGGGCATACAAGAAACTCTGCTTTCCCCACTGGATTGTGTCAAGAGGGCTAAATTGGGAGCCAGTTTTTCACCCATTCCTCTTTGGAAGCAGAAAATCTGATTCCCTTGCTGGGGTAGAATCAGTGAAGCTGAATGGGAACTGATCCTTTGCTCACCCAAAGGAAGTAAGTGCTGCTTGATTTTTCTGACTGAATAGTGCCAGTGGAGTCCAGCATCAATCTCAGCCCTCATTCTCACTGATCAGTAAAGAGAGGTTAAGAAGGCAGGGTGAAGCAGGGCTGGTATTCAGTCTACTTCATCCCCATCCTGGTGTCATTGGGTCTGGCTGAGGAGCTGTGCTTCCACCCCTGTGTGGTGTAAATGAGACTGAATAAGGTGATTGTGAATTGGAGGTAGTCAGCACTCTACTTTCTTCCTGGTGTCAGCAGGGCCCAGTGGAAGAACATCTTCAACCATCTGGCAGCAGTAATGCTGAAAGAAGTAGTTTGATGCAGGACTTGTGCCAGTGGGGAGCTGAACTTCCATAATCACTTAGTATCAGTGAGGCAGAATACGGTGATGCAAGGTCAGGATAGTCAGGACTCTGCTTCTCCACCTTCTCTCAGTTCATATAGTCAGGTAGGGACCTAACTTCTAAACCCATATGGCATCAGTGAGTTGGAATGTGGTTGTGAAAAGTAGGGCTACTTGGCATTCGTTTCCCCCACCCTCCAAGATTGTTACTAGGGCCAGGTGAAGAACTCATCCGTTATTCCCAACCTGCAACAACACACACACACACACATATATATATAATATATATGTAACATATGTAATATATATGTAAGCCTTATATATATATATGTAAGCCTACATATATATACACCTACATATGTACATGTGTATATATATACATATATATACACCTACGTATGTACATATATATATACATATATACACCTATGTATGTACATATATACATATATATACACACCTACGTATGTACATATATATACATATATATACACCTACGTATGTACATATATATACATATATATACACCTACGTATGTACATATATATACATATATATACACCTACGTATGTACATATATATACATATATATACACCTACGTATGTACATATATATACATATATATACACCTACGTATGTACATATATATACATATACATATATATGTGTGTGTGTGTATATATATATATATACATATATATATGTAAGCCTTCCATTTCTCTCTCAGGTCAACCATGGAGCTAATTATACACCTATATCCCTCAGAGGGAATGAGAAAATGTGAAGTGGTAGTCTTACTTTTACTGGGAGGGTTTCAGGGTGGTGAAGAAATGTGCTTAATTTCTACCACCACTCCATCAGTCTGCAATGAGGCGGTGTGAACCAGCACTCTAGTTTTTCTGGGCTGTATCAGCAGAACCTAGATAAAAGTTGAACATGCATACACACACACACACACACACACACACACATACATCTGTCCCTTGTACTACAGGTCAACAGAACAGCCTGCTAAAAAATATTAAATATGACCACTGTCTTATAAGATATTATACAAAATTTCCAGGATATAAGCATAATCACTTATTTTACCAAAACCATGCAGATCACAATATGAGTGAGAAAAGACAATAGACAGATACCAATGCAGAAGTTAATCAGACGTTGGCATTATCTGAGAAAGATTTTTAAATCAATCATCATGAAAACTCTTCAGTAAACACCTGTAAATCCTTTTTAAACAAATAAAATAAAAATAATGGAAAATATCAGCAAAAATTTATTAAAATGATCCATTTTATATTCCAGCACAAAATGAAGTGATCCAATTTACTCAATTCTGTCCTTACCACAACTAAATATGATGAAAATAACTTAACATACCATTATAAACTAACTATAAAAGATGAAAAAGGATGGACTGGCTAAAGAACTCAGGAGTTAAGTAACAACACTATGGTAAATTCTTGTGTTTTATCTACTTTTTATTTTCCATAAGTGCTATACTGGGGACACAAAGATCCTTTTAACCAGTAACCACAAGGCATAGATTTGAAAAAGCAGAAAAGAAGAAATGTTTTTCACATTTGATCTCATTGGGCATATTATCATGTAAGGGAAAGCCTAGAGAAGACAAGAAATACAAACCCAAACCCAATGGTATCAATGACTTATCTGCACACAGCAATATCACTACCAAAATACATCAGAGTTACCCAATTTCCACCTCACAGTAGTCAACAGTAGAAGCACAGTCTACCATAACAACATTATTAGCAGAGTCTGCCAGAGCAAAACCAATCTTTTCTTCACATTAATCACTTGTAATGGTTCTTATCTACGTATAAGAGCATCACTAAAACAGCCTAGAGGATCAATCCCTTCTCTGTCACCTGGAAGTGGTGAGTATGATCTGCATGCAGCAGTGGCAGTAACAGAATCAAACCAAACCAAACAAAACAAGTCATTCTCTGCCCTACACACAATGATAGCCACAGAAGTATTTGAAGAAATTGTAGCTGAAATTTTCCTACATTTGCTGAAAGTCCCAGTCTGCTCATAGCGTCATCACCAGCAGATCCCATCGTCCAACCCATTCTTCATCCCACAGACACTGACAGCAGGTGTAATCTACTCACAGTGGCTAAGTCACTAGACCCCAAGATGGTTACCAGAACTATATATACTAAACTTGGAAAGAGTGACTTATTGATACAACAAAAAGTTTAAATAGTAAGAAGTCTCCTAACATAATATTCAAAATGTCCCAGATACAATAAAAAAATCTATAGCAAAATAGTAGATTAGAAGATACCAACCCTTGCCTGCCAACAAAAATTTAGACAGCTATCCACAAATGAAAATATAATTGGCAGGGCTCAAGGGTCTAATTAAAAATCAAACCAGTAGAGGAACAAATGGAAAATAACACACAGAAAGCATCACCGAGGAGACTGGCATAACTAGAATGTCTAAAAATGTCTAGAAACAAAGAAGAGTGAGGAAAATCAGATTCAGCCACACAACAGATATCACTGTGGTTTCTAGTAGCATACTCTGACTCCAGCAGCTTTTGTTTTGGGGAACCTCAAGAGCCCCTGATGGCAGCCACAGACTGTCCACAGTTTTTATGATAGTGGTCCCCTTAGTTTTTGCCAGTGATGACCCCAGTGGCCTTCTCAGCAGAGAACTCTGGAAGATTGTACCACTGAAGTGACTAACAGTCATTGCCACTGTGGACCCTCTAGAGAGAAAGATGCTTCTGTGTTCCTCCAAGGAGTTCTGTTGTGCCACCATAGAACTAGGGCCTCTGCCCCTTCAACCTCATGCATGATCTAAACCTCTGAGCTTCAGTCATTCTACATGTTCTCATGCTACAGATCCCAGCTCCAAGGGAACACGGAATATGCCCATGCTCCAGACTCTGTCTGTACCACTGCTTTGTGAACACTCACACCTCAGATATTGGAGCCACTGCCACAGCATGCTACCTGAGTCCCAGAACTAGATTTATAATCTCTGCATGTGCCCGTATTCCACATACTGCCTCTGTCACTACTCCACTAGTGTCTGCACATCGATATTGGAACAACCACCTCAGCAGAAGCACCTGTGCTGCAGAACAAATAATCACTGTAGCTTTGTTCATGGCCATACTCTGAACACCACCTCCATGGTTGCTTTGACTGTACTTTGCATACCATTATTAATGCTGCAGTAGTGGTGCCTGTGCCACAGGCACTGCTGACACTGCCACCCCAGACCCCAGAGCTATGGCCTCACAATGCATGCACATTCTCCAGACCCTGTCTCTATGGTCACTCCACAAGTACTATGCATCAGACATTGGTACTATCATCACCACAAACACACCTATGCGCCACACTTGGTACCAGGTGGGATTCCCTTGGCCATGACTTACCTGTGAGAGAAAAAAAGATCAGGAGGACCTCATTAGCCTTTACAACTGAAGACTCACTACCACAGCAGACACCCACAGGTTTGGCTGCTGAGAAGTTCTATCATCTTTGCTGAGGCTAACTTCAGCTGACAAAGCTCTATGGAGAATATATAGCTATACCTTCACCAGAGCCAGAACCACCACACTCCACCTGGCTGGCACCCTTGTGTCCGCCCACAGAAGATCTTTTCTTGCCAAAAACAGTCTGCAAAGTCTAAAAGAGGTAACTGCTCTTCATCAAATATGCAGTTATCAACATAAGTTAATAATAAACACAGACACATAAAATCAAGAAACATGACATTATCAAAGAAACACAGTAATTTTCCAGTAACTGACTCAAAAGAAACAGATCTATGAATCACCTGACAATTAGTTCAAAATAATTGTTTTGAGGATGATCAATGAGTGATAAGATAAAACAGACAGCTCAAAGAAACCGCACAAAATAAAAAATGAGAAGTTTGATAATGAGATAAAAGTTATAGAAAAGAACCAAATAGAAATTTTCAAGCTGAAGAATATATATAAAATATAAAATGAAAAATGCAATAGAGAGCATCGACAGAACAGTTGATTGAGCAGAAGAAATAATCTGTGAACTTGAAGACAAGTTATTTGAAAATATCCAGACAGAGAAGAAAAAATAGAAAATTGATGGAGAGTCTATGGGTGATATGGTTTGGATCTGTGTACTCATCCAAATCTCATGTAGAACTGTTATCCACAATGCTGGAGGTGGGGCTTGGTGGGAGGTGATTAGATCATGGGGGCAATTTCTAATGGTTTAGCACCATCCCCCTAGCGTTGCTCTTGTGATTGAATTGAGTTCTCATGAGATATTGTTGCTTAATAGTGTGCAGCATCTCCCCCATTTCTCTCTTCCCCTTGCACCAGTCATGTGAGATACCTGGTTTCCACTTTGCCTTCCACCATGATTGTAAGTTTCCTGAGGCCTCCACTGCCATGTTTCCTAAACAGCCTGTAGAACCGTGAGCCAATTAAACTTTTTTTCTTTATAAATGACTCAGTCTCAGGTAATTTTTTGTAGCAGTGCAAGAACGGACTAATATAGAAAATTGGTACTGAGGCATAGGGCACTGATATAAAGATACCGGAAAATGTGGAAGTGCTTTGGAGCTGGGTATCGGGCAGAAGTTGGAAGATTGTGGAGGGCTCAGATGAAGACAGGAAAATGAGGGAAAATGTGGAACTGCCTAGAGATTCGTTAAATTGTTATGACCAATATGCTGGTAGTGATATGGACAGTGAAGGCCAGGCTGAAGAGGTCTCAGATGGAAATGAGGAACTTATTGGGAACTGAAGCAAAGGTTAGTTTTGCTCCTGAGAAAAGCAGTTGGCTGCATTGTGCCACTTCCCTAGGGATCTGTAGACCTTTGAACTTGAGAATGATAATTTAGAGTATCTGGTGGAAAAAATTTCTAAGTAACAAAGCATTTAAGAATTGGCTTGGCTGCCTCTAAAATCCTATGCTCATGTGTGAGCAAAGAAATTACCTGAAACTGGAAATTATATTTTAAAGGAAAGCAGAGGGTAAAAGTTTGGAAAATTTGCAGCCTGGCCATGTGGTAGAGAAGAAAAGCCCATTTTCTGAAGAGAAATTCACACAAGCTGCAGAAATTTGCCTAAGTTAAGAGGAACCACGTACCAATAGTGAAGACGTGGGAAAAAGGCCTTCAAGGCATTTCAGAGATATTCCGGGTAGCTCCTCCCATCACAGGCTCAGAGGCCTACAAGGTTTCATGGGCCAGGCCCAGGACCCCACTGCAGTGAGCAGCGGAGGGAGACTGCTCCCTGCTTCCCAGTTATTCCAGCTACAGCCCAGGATAAAAGGGGCCCAGGTACAGCTCGGGCCCCTGCTTCAGAGGGTGCAGGTTGTAAACTTTGGTGGCTTCCATGGGGTGTTAAGCTTGCAGGTGAACAGAATGCAACACCTGAGGCTTGGGAGCCTCCACCTGCATTTCAGAGGATGTATGGAAAAGCTGGGATGTCTAGATAGAAGGCTGCTGCAAGAGCATAACCCTCATAAAGAACCTCTACAAGTGCAGTATATAAGGAAAATGTGGGGTTGGAGACCCCAAAAAGAGTCCTCACTGGGGCACTGCCTACTGTAGTTGTGAGAAGAGGGCCATTGTCCTCCAGACTCCGGAATGGTTGAATCAAGGTCAGCTTGCACCCTGCACCTAAAAAAGCGACAGGCACCCAACACCAGCCATCGAAGCAGCCATGGGGGCCAAGCCCTGCAGAGCCACAGGAGCAGAGCTGCCCAAGGATTTGGGAGACTACTTGTTACATCATTGTGCCCTGGATGTGAGACATGAAGTCAAAGAAGATTATTTTAGAGCTTTATAATTTAATGACTGCCCTGCTGGGTTTTAGACTTGCATAGGGCTTATAACCAATTTATTATGGCCAATTTCGCCTTTTTGGAATGGGAACATTTACTGAATGCCTGTATCCCCATTGTACCTTGAAAGTAAGAACTTTTTTTTAAATTATTTTACAGGCTCATAGGTGCAAGGGATTTGACCACTCTCAGATGAGACTTGGACTTTGGAGTTTTGAGTTAATGCTGGAATGAGTTAGGACTTTGAGAGACCGTTGGGAAGACATGTTTATATTTTGAAATGTGAGAAGGACATGAGATTTGGGAGGCGCCAGGGACAGAATGCTATGCTTTGGATCTGTGTCCCCACCCAAATCTCATGTTGAAATGTAATCCCCAGTGCTGGAGGTGGGGCCTGGTGGGAGGTGATTGGATTATGAGAACAGTTCCTAATGGTTTAACACCATCCACCTGATGCTGTCCTTGAGACAAAGTTCTCATGAAATCTAGTTGTTTAAAAGTGCATAGCATCTCCACCAACTTTTTTCCTCTATGTGAAGATGCCTGCTCCCACTTTGCCTTTCACCATGAGTAAAAGCTCCCTGAGGCCTCCGCAGCCATAATTCCTGTACAGCCTTTGGAACCATAAGCCAATTAAACCTCTTTTCGTTACAACTAACCCAGTCTGAAGTATTTATTTATAGCAGTGCAAGAATGAACTAATACAATGGAATTTTGGGGACATGATCAAGAGAGCTAAGATTTGCATTATGAGTCTTGAAAGAAAAGTGAGAGAGAAAAAGACAGTGTGTTAGTTTTCACAGTGCTATAAAGAACTACCTAAGACTGAGTAATTTATGGTGAAAAGAGGTTTAATTGGCTCACAGTTCTGCAGGCTTAACAAGAATCATAACTGGGAGGCCTCGGAAGACTTACAATCATGACAGAAGGTGAAGGGGAAGCAAGCACTTTCTTCTCATGGTGGCAGGGGAGACAGAACGAGTGTGGGGGTGGAGGGAGTGCCACAGACTGAAACCATCAGACCTTGTGAGAACACACTCGCTATCACGAGAACAGCATGAGGAAAATCCACCCCCATGATCCAATAACCTCTCACCAGCTGTCTTCCTCAACACTGGGAATTACAATTCAACATGAGATTTGAATGGGGACATAGACCCAAACCATATCAGAGAGAAAGCTTATTAAAAATGGATGAAAAGATGAAAACACCTCAAATCTGGGGAAGGATCTGAACATTGAGTCACAGAAAGCTCAAAATTTTATAATCTTGTTCAACCCAAAGAAGGCTACACCATCAATAATCAATAATAAAGAGAAAATCTTTAAAGCAGCAGCCAAAAAAAATCACTACATACAAGGGAATCATCATAAAACTGTGAATATATTTCTTCACAGAAACTTTGCAAGTCAAGAGACAGGGAGATGATATATTCAAAGTGCTGAAAGAAAAGAACTTTTAAACAGAATGTTTTTTCCTGGAAAAGCTGCCATTCAGAAATTAAAGAGATATAAACAGTTTACTTTACCAGACAAACAAAATGTGAGAGAGATCATCACCACTGAATCTGCTTTACATGAAATGCTAAGGGGAGCTCTTCGAGATGAAACCAAAGGATGCTAATTAGTAACATAAAAACATATGAAAGTATAAAACTTACTGGTAAAAGTAATTATATTAAAATTGAGAGTATGCTAATGCTTTAATGGTGGTTTCTAAATCACTTGTAAGTTTTGTATAAAGGTTAAAAGAAAAATTTTAAGAAAAACTATACCTACAATAATTTGGTAGTAAATACATTATGTAAAAAAGATGTAAAATTTACCTCAAAACATAGAGGGAAGGATGTAAAAGTGTAGAGTTTGTATATGATGGAGGTTATTAATATAAGAGGTTTTATGTAAGCCTTATGATAACCACAAAGCAAAAACCTATAGGAGATACACAAAAGACAAAGAGAAGGGAATCAAAGCATGCTACCACAGAAAATCATCAAGTCACATAGAAAGACAACAGGAGAGGAAGAAAGAAATAACAGGTATACAAAATAGCCAGAATACAATTAAGAAAATGTAAGTTCTTACCCAGTGATACCACCATAAATATAAATGAATTAAATTCTCCAATACAAAGACCATATAGTGGCTGATTAAAGAAAAAGAAGAAGAAAAGAAGACCTAACTCTATGTTTCCTACAAGAGCCAAAGAACGCAAAGTTGTGGGAACTGAAAACGAAACATTTTCTAATGTGTCACTAGGGGTAATAGTGAATGGTAACACTGTTATTTCCACCCCTTGATTCCTAGACCCGTAAGTACCAGCTATTGGTGAAATAGCATCACATATTGGACACTGATTCAGAGGACATACAGCCTTCTGGAGAAACTTGGCCCAGATTTCTAGATATTTCTATCTAGCTGACCCCATAACTGAACCCCTAGGAGGCATTCCACCATTCTGTCCAGCCACCTCCTTCAGAGTGGTGGGAATCATGGTGAGACAAGTGAATATCACGAGCATGGGACAACTCCAAACTTCTCTGGCTGTGAAGTGAGTTCCTTGATCAGAAGGATTGCTATGTGGAATATTATGATGTTGGATAAGGCATCCTGTAACTTCAAGGATGGTAATTTTGGCAGAAACATTGTGTATGAGGAAAGCAAATTTGTATCCAGAGTAAGTGTCTATTCAAGTAAATACAAAATAATGCCCTTTCCATGATGGAAGTGATCTAATGAAATCATCCTGCCATCAGGTACTCCAGGAACTAGTGCCATATTGGGGGCAAATGGCCACTAAACAGTAGCCATAGCCAGTTTGGCCTTCATGAGTAGAAATCCATTTTCCTGAACCCATGCATAACCTACGTCCCTATTACCATGAGCATGTAGTTCATGAACTAATTGGGTGATGACCAGAGCGGCTGGAGTAAAACAGGTCATCCTATTTACTTGGTTATTAAAATCATAATGGCTGATGTTAGCCTTTGGTTAGCATTTGCATGAGACACAAATATATTTACCTTTTTTTCCCACCATTCAGAGAGATAGATCCACAAATTCGTTACCAATATTCCAATCATTTTCCTTCCAAGTCCCTGACTGTCCAGCTAAACCACTGGCTAGAACCCAATATATCTATCAATATATAATTACAGATCTGATCATTTATCCTTCCAATAAAAGTGAAAAAACAGATGGACTGCTAGCTATTTTCCCACTGGAAGGATTTTCCTTCATCAATATTTTTTGGGGATGTCCTATAGAGGGCTATAGTGTTGCAGATATCCACCTTTGTGTAAAAACCTACGTATCATGCAAAACGATCTGGAAACCAGGCTGGGGTCTTCTTTTCCTTTGTCAACTGATTATAGGGAACTCCCCATGGGACCATAGATGCAGGATGAAAGAGAGAATGCAGTGTAACATGAATGTGAACCATGGGACACTTCACAAAATTTACTTGTGCCTTCAAGGCATGTTCAGGCCTGATTATGTGTATACCACTTAACATTTGATGACAGTACTTTTCTGTACATTTCCAACTTTATAGCCTGGTAGGTTAGATAACACCCAGTTCATGATGAGGAGCTCAGGTCATATGCAACTTGATGTCCCATGGTTAAGTATTTAGTCTTTATTAAGGCCCAGTAGCAGAGCTGATTTTTTTTTTCCGTTTTTATAATTACTTTTATTTTGTATTGACTGGGTAAGTATGCAGGGATGTTACCTGGATACACTGCATGATGCTGAGGTTTGGGATATTACTGATCTCATAACCAAGGTACTGAGCATAGTACTCAATAGTAAGTTTTTCAAAGCTTGTCTCCCTCCTCCTTCCGCCATCTAGTACTCCCCAGTTTCTATTGTTGCCATCTTTATGTCTATGAGTACCCAATGTTTAGCTCCCACTTATAAGTGAGGACATGATGCACTTGGTTTTCTGTTCCTGCATTAGTTCACTTAGGATGATGGTCTCCAGCTGTATCCATATTGCCACAAAGAACATTCTTTTCTTATGGCTGTGTAGTATTCCACGGTGTATATACACCACATTTTCTTTATCCAATCCAACACTGATGGGCATTTACGATGAATCTATGTCTTTGCTATTGTGAATAGTCCCACATTAAACATGCAAATGCATGTGTCTTTTGAGAAAAATGATTTATTTTTCTTTGGATATACACCCACTAATGGGACTGCTGAATCAAATGGTAGTTCTAGTTTAAATTATTTGAGAAATGTTCAAACTGCTTTCCACAGTGGCTGAACTAATTTTCATTCCTACCAACAGTGTATAAGCATTCTTTTTTGCTCTGCAGCTTTGCGAGAATCTCGTTTTTTTTTTTTTTTACTTTTTAATAATAGCTATTCTAACTGGTTGAGATAGTATTTCACTATGGTTTGATTTGCATTCCTCTAATTATTAGTGATGTGGAGCATTTTTAATATGTTTATTGGCCGCTTGTATGTCTAGAAAAATCAGACTGTTTAAAGTCAAAGTGAAAGAACAAATTCTAAAATCAGCAAGAGACTAATATCTAGTTACCAATAAGAGAAAGACATTCAGACTAACAGTGGAATTCTCATCAGAAACCTTATAGGTCAGAAAAGAATGGAATGACATATTCAAAGTGCAAAACAAAACAAAACAAAAAATGTCAGCCAAAAATTCTACATCCAGTAAGGTTAACCTTCAAGAAGGAAGGGTAAATAAAGTCTTTCCCAGACAAGAAACTGCTGAGGAAATTTGCCACCAGTGGACAGCACCTACAAGAAATGCTCAAAGGATTTCTAAACATGGAAATGAGTGGATGACATTCACCATCATTAAAAAAAACACAAAAGTATAAAACTTTATAATAAAGCAATCTCCCAAAGGAGGAAGAGAAAGGAATCAAACGGAACCACTACAGAATTCCACCAAACCACAAAGACAGACAGAAAATGACAAAAACAAAAAATGTACAAAACAATAATATGACAGAAACAATACCTTACAAATTAATATCAACCTTGAATGTAAATAAAATAAATTATCCACTTACGGCCGGGTGCAGTGGCTCACGCCTGTAATCCCAGCACTTTGGGAGTCTGAGGTGGGTGGATCATGAGGTCAGGAGATTGAGACCATCCTGGCTAATACGGTGAAACCCCGTCTTTCTTTACTAAAAATATAAAAAATTACCCAACCATGGTGGCAGGTACCTGTAATCCCAGCTGCTCGGGAGGCTGAGGCAGGAGAATGGTGTGAACCCAGGAGGTGGAGCTTGCAGTGAGCTGAGATCATGCCACTGCCCTCCAGCCTGGGTGACAGTGTGAGACTCCATCAAAAAAAAAAAAAAATTATCCACTTAAAAGATATTGAATGGCTGAATGAATAAAATATACGATCTGGCTAAATGCGTTGGCTCATGCCGTTAATTGCAATATATTGAGAGGTCAAGGCAGGATCACTTGATGCCAAAAGTTTGAGACCAGCATGGGCAAAATAGCGAGAATCTATTTCTACAAAAAAAAAAAAAAAAAAAAAAGTTTAGCCAGAGGTAGTGGTATGCACCTGTACTCCTACATAATTGAGAGGCTGAGGCAGGAGGACCACTTGCATCCAGGAGTTCAATGCTGCAGTGAGGCACGATCACAACATTGCACTCCAGCCTTGGTGACAGAACAAGATTTTGTCTCTGAAACAAAAAATGTTATCATATTCTGCCAACAAACTCACCTTGCCTATAAGGACACATAGAGAGTGAAAACAAAGAAGTGGAAAAATATATTCCATGCAAACCAAAACCAGAAGTGAACAAGGGCAGCTATATTTACATGAGATAAAACAAACTTTAAGTCAAAATTATTTTTAAAAAGACAATGAAGCTCATTATATAATGATAAGGGAAACAATTCAGCAAGAGGATATAACCATTCTAAATATATATGAACCCAACACTGAAGCACCCAGATTCATTAAAAAAAAATTACTAGACTGACAAAAAGAGCTAAATGGCAATACAATAATATTAGGCATTCAGCTCACTGATGACAGCATTAGACAGATTACGTAAACCGAAAATTGACAAAGAAACGTTGGAAGTAAATTGGACTTTAGACCAAATGGATCTAACATACATTACAGAGCATTATACCTAACAACTGCCAAATATACATTATTTTCATCAGCACATGCAGTGTTCTCCAAGATAAACCATATGTTAAGCTACAAAACAAGTCTTAACAAATTAAAAAAAATTAAAATCATACCAAGTATCTTCTCAGCCCACAGAAGAATAAAACAAGAAATCGATACCAACAGCAAATTCAGAAACTATACAAATACATGGAAATTAAAAGACATGCTGCTATACGACTGTGGAGTAAATGAAACTAATAAGACAGAATTATAATTTGTTTAAAGAAATGAAAAAGAAAACACAACATACCAAAACCTGTGGGATACAGCAAAAGCAGTACTAAAGGGGAAGTTTATAACATTAAATGCCTGCATCAAAAAGGTAGAAAGATAAAAATTAACTGTCTAACAATGCACCTCAAGGAACTAGAAAAAACAAAAGCAAAGCAAACACAAAGCTAGCAGACAAAAATAACAAAGATGACAGCAGAACTAAATGAAATTGAGATTAAAAAAATAAGTGTGATGGAAAATTGTTTTTTCAAATAGATTAACAAAATTGATAAACTGCTAGCTAATTCATCAAGAAAAGAGGAAAGAACCAAATAAAATCAGAAATAAAAACAGAGATATTACAACTATACCACAGAAATGCTAAAGATCACTAGAGACTATTATAAGCTACTATATGCTCACGAACTAGAAAAACTAAAGTGGGCAAATTCCTGGAAACATACAGCCTGCCAAGATTGAACCAGGAAGAAATAGAAAACCTAGACCGACCTATAATTATTACTGAGATTGAAGTAGTAACAAAAAATTTCCCAAAGCAGAAAAACCCAAGATCTGATGGATTCACAAATTCTACCAAAAATAAAAGGAAGTACTAATACCATTCCTCCTGAAATTGTTCCAAAGAATCTAGAAGGAGGGAATTCTTCCTAACTCTTTCTATGAGTACATTATTAAGGACACAACAACAACAATAAAAAAAACCTGCAGATCAAATCCCTGATGAACGTAGATGCAAAATTCCTCAACAAAATACTAACCAACGGAATCCAACAGCTCATCAAAATGATAATACACCATGATCAAGTGAGTTTTACTCCAGGGTTGCAAGGATGGTTTAACATATGCAGATCTATAAATGTGATATATCACATAAACAGAATTAAGGACAAAAAAATATGATTTTCTCTATAGCTGCAGAAAAAGTACTTGATAAAATGCAGCATCCCTTTACGATAAAAAAATTCTCAACAAACTAGGTATAGAAGGAACATACACCAAAATAATTAAGGCCATATATGACAACTGCACAGCCAACATCATACTGTTTATCTAAACTGAAATAGACAAAGTGGGACTTGATTAAACTTAAAACCTTTTGTACATCAAAAGAAATAATCAACAGAATGAACAGTCAACCTGCAGGATGGAAGAAAATATTTGCAAATGATTCATTCAATGAGGGACTAATACCCAGAATTTACAAGGAACTCAACAATGACAGCAAGAACAACAAACACAAATTTCCATTAAAAGTGGGCAAAAGACAAATAGATATTTTTCAAAAATAGACACACAAATAGCCAACAGGCATATGAACAAAGCTCAACATTATTTGCATTTCTCTGATGATACCACAATGAGGTATCTTCTACCCAGTCATAATGCCTATTATTAAAAAGACAAACGTTAAATACTGGTGAGGATCTGGAGAAAAGGGAACCCTATACTCTGTTGGTGAGAATGTACGTTAGTGCAGCCTCTATGGAAAAAAGTATAGAGATTTCTCAGAGAACTAAAAGTAGAGCAACTATCTGATCCAGCAATCCCAATATTGGGTATCTTCCCAAAGGGAAAAAAAAGCAACTTATCAAAAAGGTACTTGTACTCATATGTTTATTACAGCACTATTCACAATCACAAAAATGTGCAACCAACCTAAGTATCCATAAATGGATGACTGAATAAAGAAAATGTGGTATATACACACAATGTAATACCATGCGTATTTAAGTGAGTAATTTAAGTAAGATAAATTACTCTACCTGATGCTGATTATTTTTATGTAGTAAGAGTAACCAACTCAGTGTGGCACTAGTGGATAGACAGGCACATAATTCAATAAAACAGAAAAGATAACCCAGAAATACAAAACCATCCTAATATGCCCAACTAAAGCCATAACAAAGAAAGAAATTATGGGAGTATTTTTATAGCAACATGGATAGAACTGAAGGTCATTATCTTAAGTGAAAAAATACAGACACAGAAAGTTAAATATTATATATTTTCATTCGTAAGTGGTTGCTAAAAAAAAGTATATACATGGATGTGGACAGTGCAGACAGACAATGGAAACTCAGAAGGTTGAGGCAGTGGAAGGGAATGATGATGAGATTACTTAACGGGTACATTGTAGATTATTTGGGCGATGGATACCATAAAGCTCTGACTTGACCACTGCATAATCTATGCATGTTGAAAAATTGCACTTAGACCCCATACATTTTTACAAAGAAAAGTAAAAGAAATAGACCAATTACTTAGAAATTGCACTATGCCAAAACTCAACCAAGATGAAATAGTGTGAATAGTCAGTCCCATAATCATTAAATAAATGGAATTTCTAATAAAGAAGCTTCCAAAAAGAAATCTCCAAGACTAGATGGTTTCCCCAAAGAACTCTACCAAACATTTAAGGAGTAATTAACACCAATAGTACACAATTGTTCTAATCAGCTCTTATTCACCCCACTGGTGAAAGATGCTTCTCCCCATACTCCAAAATAAAAAGAAAGCCGAATGCTTGACAATTTATGATGGATAGATGAAATTAGTAGCACTTTATTAGTGACATAAATTCAAATATTTGGGAAGGACACTGACCATGCA
The DNA here is from genome assembly GCF_000001405.40 of Homo sapiens. Lineage (NCBI taxonomy): Eukaryota > Metazoa > Chordata > Mammalia > Primates > Hominidae > Homo > Homo sapiens. The sequence continues at coordinate 99,442,011 of NC_000023.11, forward strand.
TGGAAAGCCACAAAAGTGTTGTGTTCAGAAATAGAATGAATCAGCTAGGGATGTGGAAGTCAGGCTTTATAGTAAGAATATGGTGAGGTGATCCCTGTTTCTCTCAGTAACATGTGATTTGGTTGTTTGAATAATTTCAAGAGTTGGCAGGAAGGTGAAACTGATAGGATTGAACTCTAGGCAGTTAAGAGTTGATCTTACTGATAGAGGAACTAGCCAAGTGGGGAAATTTTCCCTCTGGGTGGAGGTCTATATGGTGAGAGAAGGAAAATTCATGGTTAGGGCATCAAGTCCTTATGAGGCTCTAAGTTGTAAATACAGCACTTGGAATTTTACAGTTTACAACATAACAGCCTCTTCCATAAAACAGGTGAGGCGGTAACACTATTTAACTCATTTTATCAAGACAGTATTATCCTGATACAAAAGCCAGACAAAGTCAATAACAAAAATAAAAACCATAAACCAATGTCTTTCATGAACTCATGCACAAAATGTAATTACAATATATAAGAAAACAAATTCAACAATGTATAATAAGAAATATGTAGTATGACTGAGTCGGATTTATTTCAAGTATGCAAAAGTGTTTCATCATTCAAAAATCAATTTAAATAATCATGTCAGCAGATTGAAGGAGAAAGATCATATAATTTTATCAAGTGATGCAAAAATGGGATTGGACAAAATCTAGCACCTACTGATAAAATATAAAACCCTCTCAAAAATTGGAATAGAGGGGAACTTCCTGAACTTGATGAAGAACATCTTAAAAACCTTACAGTCAGCATCCTACTTAACAATGAAAAACTGAATGTGTTTCCCCTAGATCAGGAACAATGAAAAGCTGTTTGCTCTTACCACTTCTAGTCAACATTTTACTGGAGGTTCTATCTAGGGCAATTAGTCCAGAAAGCAAATAAATGGTAATCACATTTTGGAGGAAAAAATAAATATGTTCCTATTTGTATATACATGATTTTCTCTGAAGAAAATCCCCAAAAGTCAACAACATAACATCTAGAGCTAATGAATTTATCAAGATCACAGAATTTATGATCAACACACAAACCTCAATCTCATTTCTATATACTAATTACCACATGGAAACTTAAATTTCAAAATCAAAACAATTTATAATTACTCCAAAAAAACTGAAGTACTTAAATATAAACTTAACTAAGTAAGTGCAGGATCTGTATGCTAATAATTACAAAATGCTGAATTTTAAAAATCAGCAAACACCTAAATAAATGGAGAAACATCCTCGTGAATTGAAAGACTCAACATGGTAAAAATGTGGAAGCCTCTCCAAATTAATCCATAGGTTTAATTATTAATAACTCCTATCAAAATACCAGAAAGGCTTTTTATGGCTTACAAGGCTTATTTTAAAATGGCAAGGCACAAGACCTAAAATAGCTTAAAAAACTTGAAAAAACAAAAATTAAGTGAGATAAATTACTCTACCTGATACTAATGATTTTTATGTAGTTAAAGTAACCAAGTCAGTGTGGCAGTAGTGGTAGATAGGCACATAATTCAATAAAACAGAAAAGGTAACCCAGAAATACAAAACCATCCTAATATGCCCAACTGAGAGGAGTGCTAAAGCAATTCAATAGTAAAAGGATATCCTTTTCAACAATTAGTACTAGAGCAACGAAGCACCTAAGGGCAAACAACTACAACAATAACAAAAGCGATACCAAACCAACAAACAAAATACCCTTTTCCTATACCTCACACCTCATACAAAAATTTACTTGAAATGGATCATGAACTTGACACCAAAAATATAATCCACAGGAAAAAAAATAACAGAACTAGGCCTCATCAATTTTTTTGAATTTTCTACAAAAGACCTTGTTAAGAATATGGAAAGACAAGCTACAGAATGGAAGTAGAAACCACATATCCTATAATGGAATAATATATTGAATACATGAAGAACTTTCAAAGCTAAACAGTAAAAAAACAAAACAAAACAAAATACAATTATAAATGGACAAAAGACATGAACAGACATTTCACTGTAGAGTATATACAGATGAAAAATAAGCACATGGGGAGATAATCAACTTCATTAGCCATTAGGAAAATGAAAATTAAAATGATAATTAGTTATCACTGCAGACCTGTGAGAATGGTTAAAATAAAAATAAAGTAACATCATCAAATTCTGGCAAGGGTGCAGTAAAATAGAATGTCTCACACATTGCTAGTGGGCATTTTAAATGATTAAGTCACTATGGAAAACAGTTTGGCAGTTTGTTGCAAAACAAAACACGCAACTACCACATGACCAAGCAATTTCACCTTTGGAGAAATTGCCCAAGAAATGAAAATTCATGGAAAATGTGTGTATTCAATGTTTGTAGGAACTTTACTTATAATAACCAAAAACTGAGGATAACCCAAATGTCCTTCAATAAATGGTTAAATAAACCAGTGTACCATAAACTCAACAAAAAAGGAATGAATTGTTGATACTTATGGTAACTTGGATGAATCTCCAAGGAATTATGCTGAGTGAAATAAGCCAATTACAAAAGGTTATCTATTGTAGAATTTCATGTATATAACATTCTGGACATGATGAAATTATACAAATAGAGAAAAGATAAGTACTTTTCAATGGGTCAGTGCCAATGGGTGGTAGTAATGGTAATACATGTGGCTAGAAAAGAGAAAGATATCATTTTGGTGTTGGAACTTTTCTGTACTAATGTCAATAACATGGTTCTGATATTGACCTATAGATTTGCAAGATGCTACCATTGTGGAAACTTTTGGAAAGGGAATAACGGAACTTTGTGTTATTTCTTAAAACTGCATGCAAATTTTACGTTATCTCAAGATAAAATGTTTAATTTTTAAAAAGTGCTTCACCTGCTATTAATATTACTATATTTTTTGAAAGTAAAAGAATGCATAGCTTTTATTCAATGAGTTATCTGCCTCTTGGTGTTCAGGTTTGGGCTGGAAGATTTTGCCCTTTGTGATAATGTTCTCTTCTATATACTGATACGCTTAACTAGCATGCAGCTAATTAAGTTTGCAAGCACAAATATATCTCAATTTCCCAAGCACTTCATAATACTCCCAGATACATGCTCAAAATTTTATGTTTTGTTAGGATTATTCTTAATGCATATATTCATCTGCAGTTGTTAGATGGTGCACTTTAAAGAAAGCTTATTAGCTCAAACCTTGTGCTTGGAAAATATAAATTTGAGTAACATGAACCATGATAAAGAAACCATCAGGAAATTGTGAGGTAGCAGTTATTTTGCATAAAAGAACAGGCCAGAACACATGTATTATCTGTTTTACGCTGCAGCAAGCAAACCCAGTTTGTGCAACTTCCACCTGCTGCAGCATTGTTATTCTATAGCTATACTGTTTCTCTCTTTTTTTAATCTTTTTTGCATAATTATCACCAAGTATCCTGCATCCTATCTCTTTGCTCTTTCTTGCATGCAGAACATGTTTCCTGCAATCTGTTCTCTTTTCCCTGAATGTCTTCTTAAAGAAATCAGTTTACATTGACACTGAGTAGACAGTAGAAGAGTCCTGCTGGGTGCCCTCACCATAACCTGATTTCCTTCCTATTTGTTCCATGGGAAATGATTACCTGCAGTGTTTAAACACACTTTTAGACTGCTGATTCAGAACTAAGCAACTTAAAAAGCATATAGAAATGGGATTTGCAGGATCATTTGGAATGTTAGAGCTTTTGCTCAAAGCATTTTTGAACAGCAGTAGTAGTTATTTTTACATAGTGACAGTCAAGTTTGGGATGCAGAAATTCAATTCCATTGTCCTACTCATGGTATGCCATGCATGACTCCTACATGTCATGTCCCATCATGATGACATGTGCAATTATTTTTAAATGTTCTTATTTGTACAATATGATTCTCATAGTTTCCAAAAAATACATTTTATTTCCAAAGGAATTTCTAACTAATTTTACAAATACTTCAGTAGGCTCTGAAGAGCTCTTGAGGTTGTTATTAAGCTTGGAATTATTTGGAGATGTGGTGTGATTCAAGCCTATAGTTCTCATTGTCAGTTATCTCTTTGCAAAAAGAAATACCAGGGCTTCAGTCATGCTCCCGAAGTTGAGGTAATCACTGAAAAAAAAAATTAAAAGAAGGTAATTGGTCCCTTCAGTGCAAAGCTCAAGTGAAAATCCAAGAACAGAATTAATCATAAACACAATAAAATCCTGAAGTAAGAGAGCTCATATGGTTGTTTCCCATTCAAGATCTACTAGTCTGAAAGTAACGTAGATTCTTTTCCAGGCAAGGTTGTCAATGTAGCAATTCTAAGCACTACTAAGGTCATACATATTTTTAAAGTCTTTGAGATGTTAATACATTTTGAATAACAGTACTTTATCAGATATGTCTTTTGCAAATATTTTCTCCCAGTCTGTGGCCTGTCTTCTCTGATTCCCAACAAATCACTTTTGAGGCTCAACGATAAGAAAATTAACAACCTGATTTTTTAAATGGGCAAAAGACCTATACAGGCACCTCACCAAAGAAATACAGATAGCAAGTAAACTGTGTTAACCTGTTCCTATTACTATAACAAAAAGTACCTTAGACTGAGTAATTTATAAACAGAATTTTATTGCTCACAGTTTGAAGGCTGGGATGTCTAAGATCAAGGCACTGGCAGATTTAGTGTCTGCTAAGGGCTCACTCCTCGTCACTTTCTGTGTGTTTTTACATAGCAAAAGGGATGAATGCTGTGCCCTCGCATGGCAGAAGGGGCAAGCATGCTCCCTTTAACCTCTTTATAAGGTCACTAAACCCATTAATATAGATGGAGCCTTCATGACTTATTCACTTCCCAGAAGGCCTCACTTCTTTATACTATAACGTTGAGGATTAAGATATAACATATGAATGCTGTGGGAACATCACCATTCAGACCACAGAATAAGCATCTGAAAAGGTTCTCAGTATAATATGTGATTAGGGAATTGCAAATTAATAAAACAATTCAATACCACTAAGCAGCTATTAGGATAGCAAAAATCCAAAATACTGATAACACCAAATACTGGAAAGGATGTGGAACAACGGGACCTCTAACTCATTGTTGGTGGGAATGCAAAGTAGTAAAGCCATTTTGGAAGACAGCTTGCCAGTTTCTTATAAAACTAAACACACTTTTACTATATGATACAATAATTGTGCTTTTTGGACTTATTCTAATGAATTGAAAAATTATATTGATACAAAAGCTTAAATTTATAACTGCCAAAACTTGGAAATAGTGAAGATGTTCTTCAATAGGGGAGTAGAGAAAATATTATTCAGCTCTAAAAATAAATTAATTATCAAGCTGTCAGAGAAGTTTGAACAAGAATGACTCCATCTTGAATAGGGGCTGGGTAAAATAAGGCTGAGATCTACTGGGCTGCATTTTCAGGAGGTTAAGGCATTCTTAGTCACAAGATACAGGTCACAAAGACCTTGCTGATAAAACAGCATGCAGTAAAGAAGCTGGCAAAATCCCACCAAAAGCAAGGTGGCAATGAAAGTGACCTCTGGTCCTCCTCACTGCTCATTATATGCTAATTATAATGCATTAGCATGCTAAAAGACACACCCACCAGCACCATGACAGTTTACAAATGCCATGGCAATGTCAGGAAGTTACCCTATATGTTCTAAAAAGGGTAGAAACCCTTAGTTCTGGGAATTTCTCACTCCTTTCCCTGAAAACTCATGAATAATCCACCCCTTATTTAGCATATAATCAAGAAATAACCATAAAAATAGCTAACCAGCAGCCCTTGAGGCTGTTTTGCTTATGGAATAGCCTTCCTTTTATTCCTTTACTTTCTTAATAAACTGGTTTTCACTTTACGGATTCACCTCGAATTCTTTCTTGTGCAAGATCCAAGAACCCTCTCTTGGGGTCTGGATCAGGACCCTTATCCGGTAGCAAAGCCATGAAAAGACATAGAGGAAACAAATACATACTAATATGTGAAAGAAGGCCATTTTAAAAGTCTGCATACCATTAATATATGAATCCAACTGTATGGCGTTCTGGAAAAAGCAAAACTATGAAGGCAGCAAAAAGACCAGTAGTTTCCAGGGGTTAAGAGGGAATAAGGGATAAATATATGGAGTACAGAGGACTTTTAGGGCACTGAAATTATTCTGTATGATACTGCAATGGTGGATACATGTCATTATACATTTGTCAAAACCCATAGAGTTTATAACAAGAGTGAATTATAATGTAAACTATGATCATTAAGTGATGACAACGTGTCAGTGTGGGTTCATCCATTGTAACATATATTACACTGTGATGCAAGATGTACATAGTAGGGGAGGTTGTATGTGGGGAGACGGGATTTATGAAAACTCTCTGTACTTTCTGCCCAGTTTTGCTGTGAACCTAAAACTACTTTAGAAAATACATTTTATTAATTTAAAAATAATAATAAAAATACAAATAAAATGTCTTTGGTCAAAAAAAGTGATAGATTTCTAGGCCATATAGCCACACAAATAGCTTACAGTTTCAGCTACTGAAAGATTAAATTTCCAGTTGATTACATTTGATCTAGCAGTCTCACTACTGGGTATCTACCTAAAGGAAAAAATATCATTGTACCAAAACAATACCGGCACTCATATGTTTATCACGGCACTATTCATGATGGCAAGCATATGGAATCAACGCATGTGTCCATCAATAAATAACTGAATAAAGAAAGCATGGTGTATATGCAAAATGGAATACTACTCAACCACAAAAAATAATGAAATCATGTTTTTTGCAGCAGCATGGTTGGAACTGGAGGCCATTATTTTAAGTGAAACAACTCAGAAACAGAAATAAAAATAGTGCATCTTCTCATTTATAAGTGAGAGCCAAATAATTTGTAACATGGACATAGAGTGTGGAATGACAAAGACAATGAAAATTTGGAAGGGGGGCTTCCAGGGGTGTGCATAATAAGAAATTACTTAATGGTCACAATATACATTATTCAGGTAATGAATAACTCTAAAAGCCCTGACTTCACTGCCATTCAATATATCTATATAACAAAGTTATACTTGTATCCCATAAATTTATACAGAGGAGGAAAAGGAAATATTGTAGATGATTTTCTCAGACCATAAGCAGTAGTCATTTTTTTCTAGGATGATGATTATGGACTAAACATTTTTTCTTCTAGAAATTTAAGGACTTATTTTTTGAGACAGGGTCTTGCTATGTTGCCCTGTTTCATATTGAACACCTAGACTCAAGCAATCCTTCCTCCTTGGCTTTCTGAGTAGCTAGAATTACATGCACATGCCACCATTTCTAGCTTCAATCTAAGAAACTTTTATCACAAAGACTGATAGAAATAGAATGCCATTAGCCTATTTATTTTCCCTACATAACATAGTCTTAATTATTTTAGTTTTATAGTAAGTTTTAATTACTGGTAGGGCAAAACATGCATATTTTCTTTATAAGAATTTATTATTTTGGCTATTTGTATGACCATATACATTGGAATCATCTTGCCAATTTTTAAAATCTGTACCTTTGGGAATTTATTCTAATAGTAATAAATCTGTAGACCGATTTGGGTAGAATTGATATCTTTACAATATTAATTATTTCCATTAGCGAACAAGGTGTATATGTACAGTTATTCTAAACTTAGTCTTCTGTAGATAGCACCTACTTGAATCAGGTTTTTCAAATTTATTTCACCAATCTTTGCCTCTCATTTTGTGAGTTTAATTAATTTTAAACTCACAAAAGTTTAAGTAATTTAATTACTGATTATGAAGAACTTACTTTTTAATTTGTTTTCCCTTGTATTTTTATTTTTCAATATTTCTTTTTCTGGCATTGCCTTCCGTTGTGTTTAGTGGATTTTTTGTTGTAACTTGTTTTCATTCCCTTCACATTTTTGTGTGTATATTGTATATACACTTTCTTTATGGTTATGATAGGGATTACATATAACAACCTAAAGTTATAAAAAATCTATTTTAAGTTGATATAAATTTAAACTCAATTGCATACTAAATCTCTATTTCTTTCCAGATGTATTCTCACTTTATCTTATTGATGTCACCAACAACATTTTTATATATTATGTCTCCATTAACATATATTTATGATTATTTTATGAATTTATCTTTTAAATAATATGGAAAAAGTCAAGTTGCAAAGCAAAATTACAAATAATACTGGGGTTTAAATTTGTTCATGTATTAACATTTACCAAAGATCTTTATATTTTCATATGGCTTTGAGTTGTCTAGTTTCTTTTTATTTCATCTTGATGGACTCCCTGTAATATTTCTTTAGGGTAGGTCTAGTGGTAATAAACTTCGTAAGCTTTTGTTTATCTATGAATGTCTTTGTACTTTCCTCATTTTTGAAAAACAGTTTTGTCAGATATAGAAATCTCTGATGATAGTTTTTTGTTTCTTTGTTTGTTTTTTAAGCGCATCAATTGCCTTCTTGCCCCCATGGTTTCTTCTGGGAAAACCCACCGTTAATCTTATTGAGGATCTCTCGTAAGTGACAAGTTGTTTTTCTCTTGCTGTTTTCAAGATTCTTTCTTGTCTTTAGCTTTTGACAGTTTGATTATTATGTGTCTGAGTGTGCATCTTTTCGGGTTATCCTACTGGTAGTTTTTGAGCTTCTTGTATTTGTATACTCATGTTTTTCATCAAATTTTGACGTTTTCAGCCTTTATTTTTAAAAATCAATTTCTGTGTCGCCTTTCTCTAATTTCCTCTTTCTCTGGATTTCCCATGATGCATATATTAATCATCTTGATGGCGTTTCAGTCCCTTAAGCTCTGATACCTTTTCTTTATTTTTTTTTGTTCCTTAGACTCAATAATTTCATTTGACCTGTCTTCAAGTTTGCTAATTCTTTCTTCTGCCCATTTGAATCTGTTGTTAAACACCTCTAATATTTTTAAAATTCTGTTATGCTATTTATTCAGCTCCAGAAGTTTCATCTAGTACCTTTTAATAAATAATTCCCATCTCTTGGTTTACATTATTATTTTGTTCATTTATCGTTTTCTTTATTTCCTTTAACTTTTTGTCCATTTCCATGGCTTTATATAGTTCTTTGTGCATATTTTAGATATGTGTTTTAAATTATCATAAGTTTGATACCTGTACTTTTTCAGATAATATTTCTGACAATTTATTTTCTTCCTTTGAATTGGACACTTTTTCCTGTTTCTTTGTACGCCCGTTAATTTTTTTTGTCTTCGTTGTTGTTAACAATTGGACATTGAAAAAAAACAACTTCCTTTCTCAGTTTTTGAAGACTTGTTCTGTGCTTCACGAATTAACTGGGTGTAGTATGATCCTTGGCATCAGTCAGGTGTGAAAGCTTAAGTCTTCTCAGAACTTTCCTGAGCATGTATTTTGCCTAAGCCTGTGTATGTCTTTTTCTTTTTATTTCACCTGTAGATATGGTTGCTTTGTAATGTTTTAATTTCCCAAGGAGTCTAATTCTAGCTTTTTTGGATTCCTTAGGAGGTTTACTGTAGATCTCCACCTGCAATCCCTTGCCCCAGAAATTTGAAGGACTTATGCTCTATGCAGTTTTATGAGTATTGCTTGCTGCTTCTCTCTATCTGAGATCTCAGTTAGGCAGACCAGAAACTAGTCCATCAGACATCCCTCATAAATAAAGTCTGCTCTGCTCCCTACTGCTTGATGGAGTTAATTTGGAACTGAGATTTAGCTTCCTATTGAACAAGACTGTTTCATGCTATGGGGGGTGTGGGGTATGGGTGAGTAAAAATGCCATAAACTTTTCTACCATTTTGAATGTAGCTTTTTCTTATTTGGGCATTTGCTGGTTTGCTGTAAATGTTTAACTTCCCAGAGGTTTAGCATAAGACTATTTTATCTAATCTGTCTTCCTTTTTAAACATGTTTGTGGAGGAAGAAGGGCCAGGAGCTTCCTAGTCCACCATTTTCTGCTATCACTGTTGCCTCTCAGCTTTAATTTTGGCAGACCACAAATGTATAGTTAGATTCAATTATCAAACTCACATAAATGCTAGCTTGTGTTTGAGAACCCTCAGGAGATTTTGTTCCCCTTTCCACAAAGAGCCAAGTGTAAGATATGCAGGTGGTTCAGACTATTTTCCTCAGTTGGAAATGTATTTTTTTCTTATTAAATCAAACTCTAAGTGTGTGGCCTTTAGATACAGCTGCTTCATGTGGAGCCCTCAATTCAACTTCCCACCCTACTTGGGCCCTGGGCTCTGTCTCTTCTCCTCTACTTCTAACCCATTAAAACCAGGGTTTGATACATGATACCAAAACAACTCTGGATCTCAATGTACCTTTTGCATTTCATACTTTCTTGTTATTTTTTCCCCACTAATAATGCTCCTTATTTTCCTGATATTTCTATATTTAACTTTTAAAATATGTTTTATCAGTATTTTAGTTGATTGGTAAAAGGATGTATTTTGCAAAACCTGTAGTATATCATATTGCCACATGTCTAATTCCTTCATAATTCACTTTCATCATTTGCTCTTTACAGGCTATTGACCACAGATATGTTGATCTTATCTTCTGTAGTTATTCTCTAGAAAACATATTAATTTACACAGTATCAAGTACTAGATCTTTGGTAATGAACTTTTCTACATTTTGGTACTCAAGATATAGGTTCTAAAATTTTTAATTTGTGAAAATGTTGAAATTATAGAAGTTTATAAAATGTTTAAAAATAAAATGTTTAATTTCTTGACTGTCAAACACCTTATTTTGGACTTTTAGCCACTGTTCAATTGGGCTTACCAAATTTCTTTTCCTTTGGATATTTTATTTCTTGGGATATTAAGATAATTATGGAGCTACAGGGTTGGGTATGAATAAAGAAATATTTGATATACAATTGCAAATAAAATGGAACAGAAAAGAACCTATAAGATAAAAGAGGCTAAATGCTGGGTAGATTACAGGACATAAGTCCTAGAGATAAATATTAATGTATAAGTAAATAGGAGAAAGGAGATGAAAATGAGAGTACAAACAGAAAACAGCAGAAAATAGCACTAGATAGTGTTGATGAAGGGAGGGATAGATGTGAGTGTTGTAGAATAGGTCTGGGTCTTCTGGATACAAGTAAAAAAGCAGGTTTGTCTTAAATATCCTCTCTCTCAAATTCATCCTCTTTCTTGTGATAGCATCTTTCCAGAAAAGAAAATGAAAATGGTATTAGTCAGTTGTGGAACTTGTGAGGTTTCTTAAACTAATAATGAAAACTCAATGCACAAATTTCATAAACTTATACATATCAATTTCCTTATTCTTAGGTATGGGGTGGATACTATATTGTAAATATCACATCTATTACTTTTTGTCTCTGGCTTAACCTGAGCCATGAAATGCAAGAAAAGTAGAAAATGAAAATAAAACTATATTACCCATAAAGATATTGCCTTTGACACATTTTCACATTCCATTAACTATATATCACTTTTTATGTTAATTAGACCTTTATTAATCAGTATTATGACTTTTCATGGGTTTTCTGTGTAGCACAATTTGGGACATTTTGAATTTGCTATATGTACCAGGTCTTTTCTTTCTACAGTTACTAAAGCACTGACCATAGTTCAGTTTTATAAGAAGTTACAAATGGTTGAATACCTTTTAAAGGAAAGCACATTTATAGAATGAAACATAGCTTTTGAAAAACTCAGCTTTATTTTCAAAAGCTTTTTTAAAAATGAATGATTTTTTTGCCCAAAATGAAATCAATAGCTTCATGAAAGAGTGCGATTTGAAAGATATCAAAGTACAAACTGATTCTGTGACACCACCTGTTCTAGATTTTGAGTTACAGGTAATAGTGTACATTTTTAAAAAACTCAGTAATCACCCTTTTATTGTTTCAACTTTGTCTCCTCTTGTCATTTTGTCTTTATTCATTTATCATGCTTCTGTTATAAAAAATTTTCTGACAGTTTACCACTTTCATCAAATATATGGTATGTGATATGAAAGTTCAAGTAAGGCACTTTGGTCATTTAAATTTTCTAGCTCTGAGTAATACTTGGAAAATAAATAATATTGACAAAATTTATTTCACTTTTAGGATACTAACTTTAAACTCATGAGGTATTTATAACTTGAAAATAGGTAAGTAAACCTCTTTTAACAGAGAGTATGAAGCACAGCTCCAAAGTGTATAATGCCAAAAAAGTTAAGGAAGACAATAATCTGTGACATCTTGTGATAACTGACAAAATCATATTGATCAAATAAAGTCAAATGGTTGATCAGTTTTCTGTAGTGTAACAAAGAAAATTTTCTAGCTGTATGACCATTAGGTGTTTGAAGACACATTTTTAAAATATTTCAGTTTAAAAGTATCTTATCTTATGCAATATCTAACTATTGTTTTTGCCCAACATCCTTCTTCCATTAAAACAAGCACCTAATATTTTCTTTGAGGAATATCCTCTTTTTCATACTTTCATGTGGTCTGTGTAGAACTGAGAATACCTAAAACCACTTGGTTTAGATCCTGATTAGCCTAAGCCATGTCTTTGTTCTCGGTGTTTGTTTTAAAAATGGGTATTTGACCTGCTGTAGCCAATAATATGCAATCAAGTTTTTTGATGATATCTCTGGTACAGAGGCTGTTGTTCTTTTTTTTTTTGGAGACAGAGTCTTGCTCTCTTACCCAGGCTGGAGTGCAGTGGCACAGTCTCGGCTCACTGCAACCTCCGTCCCCTCCCAGGTTCAAGCAATTCTCATGCCTCAGACTCTCAAGCAGCTGGGATTACAGATTACAAGCTCCCACCACCACGCCCGGTTAATGTTTGTATTTTTAGTAGAGACACGGTTTCACCATGTTGCCCAGGTTGGTCTCGAACTCCTGGCCTCAAGTGATCCACCTGCCTTGGCCTCCCAAAGTGCTGGGATTACAGGCGTGAGCCACTGTGCCCGGCTGAGGCTGTTATTCTTTTTGCCTGGACAGAAACTTGAGATAACATAGAGACAGTAGAGAGCTGCTACTACCTTCTGACTTCATACAGCTTGAGTTTAAAGCCAATCCAACCAAAGAAGAGTCAATCACAAAGATTAACTGAGTCTTGATGACATCACTTAACCCCAAATACAGCTGTTCCTGAAGTCAGTTCTGCCCCCCAGACTTTTCAGTTGTCAAACAATCCACATATTTATTTTAATATTTTTTTCTTAATACACTGTGTGTAGATTTTTTTGAATCTTAAAATTTTTCTAACAGAAAAACCTTACTGGCAGTTATTGAAGGGTTATATATAAATTAACATGTAAGATTCAATTCACAAACTTCCCCAAAGTTGGAACATGTTACCATATTTTCCAGGTCCTCTTAAAGTCTAGAGCTTTTCAGTATACTTGGCCTGTGTAGAGGAAAGTGTTAGCAATTCCTATAGGATATAAAATGATACTTGAATAAATGTCAGGACAAGAAATGTACAGCTAAAGACAGGTTTGTGAATAAATACATACATGTGATACAAATGTATCTAATTACGATGTATCTCAATTGGTAACAAATCGTCTTGAATGGAATTGGCAAAGACTAATGATAGGACACTTATTTTTGGTCACATTCTTTGGTATCATTTACATATTTAAAGAGCATGTACCTGTGTATAAAAGAGTAAAATCCTTAGAAAAGAATAAATGTAATTTGTATTATATTTTTAAAAGTCTAGGGCTTTAATAAATGTTACTTTGGAGAAGAACTGAGCAGAAGCGTGGTTAATATATTTAAATTTTTAGTAAATATATTAACCATGTGGACTCTTTGAAAGTGGTATTTACTTGGTAATCTCTTTGCATCTCTACTGCCTAGTATAGCACAATAAGTATTTACTGCATTAAATTTCAATGACTTAAGATATAACTTTCATGATAGTAAATTCTAGATTTCATCCTCAATATTTGTTTCAATATGAACAATTAATAATAATAAAAGCTACTATGTATCAAGTGCTTGTTATATGCCATGCAACCCATTAAGTAGTAAACACAAAATTAAGTCATTTGAGACCACATAATTATAAAATGAATATTGTAATATCTGCTTTACAGATGTGGTAACTGGTGTTCAGTAATTTTAAATAATTTGTTTCAGATAACATAGCTGGTAAGTAGCAGACCAGGATTTGTTTTTTTTTGTCTGACCCCATGCCAAAGCCTTTAACAACTATACCACCTGGCTCCAAAGTCTTAAGCAGTTGTCAAATTGTCTTTATACCAAATGGCAAAAGCAAAGCAAGCAAAACCAAAACACTTATGGACCCAAGAAGATAATTAGAAAGATAGATAATAAGGATGGACCAGAATATCCAGGGAAGATTGTAAAGGGGAAATATTTTTACTAAAGAAAAAATCATGAGTATACAATATGAGAAACCAAATATAACTCAAATCAGATTTGTTGTGTTGCCTTCTGGAATACAAAATATTACATAGACAATATCTTGGATTACATATAAGGACATAAAATACCTCAATTTCAGAATTAGATGTTAAAATAAAATTTAAAGTAAAATAGTCATGACTCTCATAAAACACAACAGATTTTACTCAAGAGTTACCTAGGGATATAACACATTTTGGTGACATATGTTAGGCTGTGTACACTGAACCAACATTTACAATAAAATACAACTCTCTTAAAAATAGGCTGTGCCAGATTCCCCCATGAGACTTCTAAAGATTCTGTTATTGAATTTGCATAATTGCTTGACAATATTTTTAAATTAAAAAAAAAACAAGACTTTAAAAATGTGATTTTCAACTGGGTCATTGCAAATCTGCATGACAGCAAAGACCGGATTGATAGTCTCAATGATTTTTACAAACTGATTAAAGTCATAGTAATGTCAGATACTAGAAAATGTTGACCTCAATAATTAATTTCTCCAATATGTTTTGCTTCTTGGAAATGAAGGTAGAATCATTTGGATGCAGTTAGTTTGCTGCTTCAAAATCTGGGTCTGTATCCTCTTGTGACAATTCTCCTCTTTGTTGAACCAATTCCTCTTAATGTAACTTCTCTGATCCTTCAAGGAGTGATCTATGTTTAAGAATATACTTTGGAAATAAAGTTGAAAATGATTGAGATCATATATCAGTATTCAATAGAGAAACGCTATATAAAAATATTTCCATCAGTAATTCAGATTTGACCATTGTCGTATTATTTAGTGAACTGAGTTTGATTTATTGACCAAGAAGAAACAACCCATATCAGGATGAGCTGTGTGTACTTGGGGATACAGGAAGAGAATGTGGATCCAATTTGTTTTAAGTTTTACATGAAAATAAAGATCTACTAGACTATTAGACAATGGCCAATATCCTATGCGCTATGAAACCTGAGTTAGGAAATCATATCTGTCTTCTGGGATATATTCAACAATGTCAACTATAAGCCAATTCCAATTGCAAAACCAAGGTTCATTCAAATCAATACTACCATGATAATCATTCAGGGAAAGATTGAGATCTTTTTATAACCACAATGTAGAGAAAATAGAATGATTATCCATAAACAATATGGTCATAATTATACATCAAAAAATGCTGGAATATAATTTGAAATGATGCAGCATTTTTTCTGGACGTCCTGAGGAGTTAAAACTTCTAAATGATACGGATAAGGATACACAGAGAAGCAAGCCAAATTTAGGTGAGTGTGGAGTCATGGAAGCCAAATGAAGAGAGTATTTCAAGAAGGTAAAGCAAGTTGAGGATTGATTATTTTTCCTTGGTTTTGAGACAATGGAGTTTGTAGATGTTTTCAGCAAGAGCAGTTTCGTGAAGCAATGAGGGGATCTGAAAATCAGATTAGAATTCTTTTCCTCATGAGAGAGATAGGAAAATGGAGGCAAAGAGTGGTCAAATCCCTTGCTCAAGTATAAGTGGTAGATTCAAGAATTTTTTTTTTTTTTTTGAGACAGAGTCTCGCTCTGTTGCCCAGGCTGGAGTGCAGTGGCGTGATCTCAGCTCACTGCAAGCTCTGCCACCCGGGTTCACGCCATGCTCCTGCCTCAGCCTCCCGAGTAGCTGGGACTACAGGCGGCTGCCACCACGCCCGGCTAATTTATTTTTATTTATTTTTACTTTTAGTAGAGACGGGATTTCACCAAGATTCAGATTTCAAAACCATTTCCTTTCTGTACTTTTTTATCATCTAATTCCTATTGGAAACATTAAAGAGCACACTTAGCACATTGATTTCACATGCTAATAAATTAAATTTGAGAATTAGGACACATACCGTTCACTCAACATGTGCCTTTTTTTATTTAACAAGTGTGATTTTCTTTTCTACAAGCTTTGCACTGTAAAGGGGGAAATAGCATGTATTCCTACCTTACCATCATCCAGTAAATCTAGTCACAAAGGAATTGTTAGAATACACATCGAATGACTTGATGAACTATTGGTACAGTGTCCATGAAAATTCCTGAATCTAAGGTTCTCAGAGAGCAGAAGGTGGTGGTTTTTTTCTTTCCTGTTTTGTTATTGCAACAATATATTCTTAAAAAGATACTTAAATATCAGGATGAGACACTTGAGATCAACATGAGTTGCTGATGCAATCAATATGGCACAGTGAAAATAAATATTTTCTCTGAATTCAGAATTAATGAGGCGGCAGGCTCTTGGAAAAACTGTAATTTCTTATTTAAAACTGAGGAAAGCTGCCATATGAAATATTACTGTAAGTCTGACCCAGGATATGCTACAGGGTAAATCAGCATCTCAGAAGCAGTGAAGCTTTAAACAGGTCTCAAGATGGGTCTGAAAACAGGTAATGTAAGGTACATGATACAAAGGTGTTTTGACAACATGATAGATAAGGGCCCCAGAGGGGGAAAAAGGTATAGATAAAGTGAACCCCAAAGTTGCACATTTTAGATTACTGCAGACTTGAAATATCATCTAAATCAAGAGGTGATGATGGAGCCTGAGAACTGCTGCTAACACTTGCTGTGGATTAGGATCCCATTTGGCAGGGCCAGGACCAGGGTCAGTCAGATACAACTCTCAGCAAGCTGCTCCTGTGAAATAAGTGGGTGACAGTAACATCTGGACACAACTTGGAGAAAATCCATTTGTTAGAAATAAAAGGTTATTTATAGGTGTATTGCTTTTATTGGTTTATTTGTTTGGTGTGTTTCCCCTCAGATATACCAAGCTTCATGATAATAAATGATTATTTTATTTGGAAAACAAAACACAGGAAAGCAAGTAAAAAGTAAGCAAATACCCAAATCAGTTGCATGTGTAACTGCTAAATTGAATTTTAAAAGTAGCCTTTAATGATGTTTCTGACCGTAGAAAATATATAGTTTTTGGCACAGCATGGGAATGCTGCTGGCAGTGAAAAATTATAAAAGATTTGACTGACATCTTCAAAGTTCCAAAGGGTGGTAATAAAATATTGTCAGGCTTTCCTTTTAGTTCTGTGAAGTAAGTAACATGAAAAGCAAAGTGTCATTTGAAATTAATGGCTGACATATTTGGATATAATAAAAATATTACAGTTGCTATCGTCAATGTAAAGCAGGCTGTAGGACTGATGAAGGTCACAGAGGCCAATTCTGTAGTCAGTTCTGAAAAGGGCCTCATAATTTTATGACCACTAATAATGTTTGTGGATTTCACACAAGCTAAGCTAATGAAATGGGTAGTCAAAACCATGCTGCAGTGTTCAGAATAGTCATCTCCCATATGTCAAAGAAATAATTTCATTTTCACCTTGTTCCATTAACTCAGACAAAAAGATTATTTTCTCCATATGGGAGATTCTAGCCTAGGCACTGTGTTGTGTAGTCATGATTTCATTAACAGCATTAATAAAGATACTTCACATTTATATATCAATTAACCCTTTTGAAAATAATTTCTATCAAAGTATTCACTTACTCCTCAAAATACCCTAAAGTAATAATCCCATGGCATATTATTTTTACTTTTTGTTTGTTCTTATCAAGAGTATAATCCAGGCTAGACGTTTCCTATAACTCAGCTAAATTCTTTCACCATCAATGACAGGGTTAAGGAGGCCAATTAATTTTCTTGCTCTGGATCTCAGTTTTCACATCAATAAAATATAGAAGACGATCCTTCAACTCTAATGTTACATAAAGCTGTGAGTCTACGTTACTATCAAGGCCAACCTCATTTTAATATTAAATGTCTGAAAGTTTTTTCCAGTCTGAAAGTTTAATAATCTTCTACTGTATGTGTAATGTTGAGCAAAACATATACAGACTAAGGAGTTGATGTGCTCACTTTCTCTCTAATGTGTTTTACTCACCAATCTCTCAGGCAACAGACTGCCAATATTGCAGGAATTTCAAATCCTTATCTGTTTTCTTTTCTTTTACTTAATGTTATTCTTTGAAAAAAGAAAATCTTAAATAGAAAGCTGATATACTAATACCATGTTCACATTTCATGATACCATGAACTTAGGTGTATAAATATGCAACGTATTTTTTAGATAAAAATTAATTTCCATTGGAGCCTCTATTTTGTCTGAAGCAGAAAAAATAATCAAGTTACTTCCAGACAAATTCAGTCTCTTTCATAATTTTTCTCAGATATTTTAATTGAAATGTGATCAAATTCATGATATTCCTCGTACCTGTCTCTTCTTCCTGTGATATATTTTAAGCTTACAAGAGTGCTTACACAAATGCCACATTGCCATCATTATGATGGGGCATCTCACTCTTGATCTTGATTTGTCTTGGTATTCAGAAATGCAAATAATTCTAATACTAGGCTACATTCCCATGCTTGATGACATTATTTTGATATAATAGTATATAGTAGTACCCTTATCTGACTCCCTGCTGGATTATTCACTCTTGAATTCTGCTGTAGCCTTCTCTCATACCATTCAAGAGTATATGAATATTCTCATACCGTTCATAACAAGAGCCCCTGTTAGCAGGCTTTCTTGACTCTTTGGCTAATTTTCACACCAAATTTCTGTGGACCATGGGAAAATGTTTGTATTCTTTCTAGCCACTCCAGAGCTTTAGGAAATCTGAGAGTCTCTTTCTTGTACTCTAATTGTTAGACATCATACTATCAGTTCTTATAACGTGGTGTGAAAGGATAATTTTCCATGAAGCTTGCAGGTTTCACCAGAGAAAGAGGTTCAATTTTTTTTTTCTCCTGGAGAAATATAAAGTTAAAGGGGGTTATTTTCCTTACTTTCTTAGAACTTAGACGGTTTTACATCGTTTCTTTGTTATTCTCCAAGTTCTTATTGCTCTTTTTTAGTGCAAGGAATTCATTTGTCCTCTTCCTGTGACAGGAAAAATTGCTAGCCAAGCATTTTTCCACATCTAAGGTTTATGCTGGGATCTGCGGCCTTGGATGCTCAACGTTAGTAATATGCATATTTTTTTCACATTTCAGCTGTGGCCTCATTTTTTCAGGACAATGAAGGCCAAGTTGAGTTTCAGTGAGGATGAGAGTGAGGCAGAGGGCATCAAGAGAAGTAGGAAGGATGCCAAATCAAAGAAGCTAGTAGGAAGAGTGACAACAGAAAAGAACCAACCACAGAGGCTGCTGATTTACATGTTATTGAAATACTTTGAAACACAATGATTAATTAAAATGTTTCTTCTGAACAAAGAGCTAAAGAACTCAACCAATGTCTTCACTCCATCTTCTAAAAAATAACCAGAAAAGGAAAAGGAAAAAGAAGTAATTAGACCATCCATGCCTACCTCATAGGCTAGTGAAAGAAGAACACAACTAATACATGTAAAGTACTACTATAATCAAGAGAAATATATATGTACATATAATAATATTTTATTACCACCCTTTGCAACTTTGAAGATGTCAATCAAATCTTTTATAATTTTTCACTATATATATAGCTCTCTCTCTATATATAATATAAATGTCTAGCCTGGATTATACTCTTGATAAGAACAAACAAAAAGTAAAAATAATATGCCATGGGATTATTACTTTGGGGTATTTTGAAAAGTAAGTGAATACTTTGATATATATATATATAGAGAGAGAGAGAGAGATAGAGAGAGAGAGAAATTATCTTTTATTTATTTTTGTTCCTTGCACTCCACGTAGTACTTTCATGGTCTGTGCACTTCAATAACAAATATTTTCCCCTATAAAGTGCTACTTACAATGAAGTTGCTAGGTGCTTCTAGAATGCTCACAACTGTCATTGTCACTACTTACTATGTATGCCCTAATAATCATACTTCATATATACCACCTCGATAAAGCCTCATGTCCCAAACTTTTTTCCCCTTTCTCCAGGAATTTGACCTCTGCTGCTCCATTTCTAATAATACCTGTTATCTTAACTATGATCATCTAGAGACAATGATCCAACATAGTTTAGTAATTTTACTCCTTCAAATTTAACTCTAATTTTTGAAATTTAAATATTGTGGAAAGTATATGACAAAGTTAGTGGTGGAAGTAGGAGTAGGAGGAGCAGAGTAGATGTAGAGAGAAAAGACCTTTTATTATCTTAAAAATCACACCAAATTTTTTTCAGTGGAGCTCAGCCTTTTAATACTGAATAATATTTTGAGCTAGAAAGCAGGTAATGTTAGCAATCTTGAATATTCATCAAAGGGCTAACAAGTGATTAAGAAGCCTGTGTGTGTGTGTGTGTGTGTGTGTACATATTTTATACAGATAGTGGCAATTGGTGGAATACAAATATGAGTTTTCTTTTTTCCATCAAAATTTGATCTTTCTCAATTCAGACAAAATTCTACCGACATTTAACAGAACACAGAAAACCAGCTACAAGACCTGCAAATAATGAATTAAAGGATAGTATTACTGAGCTATAAAGTACAAAGCATTTTGGAACAAGTCAGTGTTTTGTTATTGGAGTTATTTCTTGCCTCTGTTGTTGTTTCAAGCCCATACACAGATTAGCCTACAATTTCCTATTGCTTTATACTTTAGACGGACTGAAGAATTATTCAATGGAGACATAGGCCTTTGACCGCATTCTTGGCTGGCTCCATATTCAATCAGCTTTGCCATGCTTTTTCAAAAGCAGATTTAGAGTTGAGACAGATATAAAATACCTTTTGTGGTGGAGAGTTAAAAAATATGTAGTCAAAATCTTTCCTAGTCCTTCCTCCACACATAAACATAAAACCCTCATTCTCTATTTAGAAACCAGCATGTCAGGATCCAAGCAGAAAAATCAGTAAAAATTATCACAATTGAAAAAATGTTCTGATCTGCAACAGCAGCTGGGGGTGGGTATTAGAATTGTGTGTGATTCAGATGCTATATAGATGATGAATATGGATGAAGTTACACAACTTGATGGGGTGAAGAGATTGGTTGAGCTCTTTGTTCAGAGAAGCATTTCAATAAATTTCTGAATGTATTTCAAGGTTACTCTCACCATTTTGTGTTTTCTAAATATGAGTTATTTGGGGGTGGATGTCAGAAGTTATGGATACCAAACCAAGTCTTTTTCTGAAAAGACTTTAGTTGCCAGTAATGAAGACTGGAGTTCCTTTGCATGTCACTGGAATTGAAAACGAGGATCACATTCTGTGAAGTTGTAGCTATGGATACTTAAACCCACTGTTATGATTGATTTGATGAAGCAAAGATTTTTATAAAATTCTTGACTTTATTGTTAGAAACTGATAATGTCGTTATAAAAAAACCAAAGCACAAATAATTGTGACTCCTCCTTCCATAAGGATGCATATTACAGAAAAATGGAAAGAAAATGTTGCCTTTGTCTAACAAAATGGTCATATACTCAAAGTTTGGCATAGTGCTTTCGTATACAAAGGAATGATATGACTCAATTTACATAAAGTAATATGATTCAACATGATTTAATAAAATAAGGCAGAATTTCATTTCTGTTTTATAAAGGGAAGTGACTAAAGATTTAATATCTGATCCTTTATTTTGAAAATGTACAAAACCTACAGCCACATTCCTTCTGGGTTAACTGTGTGAAGAGATTCTCAGCATACTTGAATTAGGCGTGACACAAGTCACTGAAAAAGCTGAGTAGGAATTAATAAATGAAAATATGGTCTTTTGGTTTTTCAAGGTCACTAAATCAAATCTCAGCCAAGGTAGTAGGGGCTGTGGGTCATTACCATTCTGAGACTGCTAAGGAGCTAAGTGAATGAATCAGTGATCTGTCTTCTACTTCTAGTGAACTGTGTCAAATGTCCCCCAAAGCACCAACACAATTATCATTAATTAAAGAACTGACTAATAGTCTTAGAGAAATGGTCAATGCCATTGTTAACAGGGAGGCCAATCTAATAAAAGTCAAATTGTACTTCTTAACTACATAATTGTTTCCTTTAGTACCAAGTTGTAACAGTTTTGCTCGAAAAAGGAAAAGTCATAGGATAGATATATTTTTAAGTTTATGAGGAACCTCCATACTGTTTTACATAATGGATGTACCAATTTACATTCCTGCCAACTGTGTACAAGGCTTCCATTTTCCCCACATCCTTGCCAACACTTGTTGTCTTTAATCTTTTTTATCCTAATCTGTGAGGTGATATATCATGTGTTTTTGATTTGCATTTTCCTAATGATTATGAAGCTAAGAATTTTTTCATATATCTGTTAACCCTTTGTATGTATTCTATGAAAAAATTATGTCTTTGGGACCTTTGTTCATGTTTGAATTGGGTTATTTTTATGTACTTATTTACTTATTTATGTATATTTACTATTGAATTGTATGAGTTCCTTATCAGATATATGGTTTACAAATATTTTCTCCCAATCAGTAGCTCGCCTTTTCATTTTGTTGATTGTTTCCTTTGCTGTGCATAGGTTACTAAGTTTGATGTAGTTCCACTTGTTTATTTTTGCTTTTACTGACTGTGTTTTAATTCAAAAAAAACCATTAAAAAAAAACCATTCTAAAGAGCAGTATTCAAAAAAAAACCATTCTAAAGAGCAGTGTCAAGTAGCACTTTTCCTGAGCTTTAATCTAGCAGATTAATGGTTTCTGAATTTACATTTAATTTTTAATCCATTTTAATTGATTTTTGCATGTGATATAAGGGTCAAATTTTATTCTTTTTTATGTGGGTATTCAGTTTTTGAAACATCATTTATTGAAGAGACTCTTGTATTTTCTTGGCACCCTTGTTGAAAATTAGTTGACAATATATGTATAGGTTTTTTTCTGGGCCTTTTATTCTATTAGTCTATGTGTCTGTTTTTTATAACAGTACCGTACTATTTTGATTACTATAGCTTTGTAGTATAAACTGAAATCAGGAAATGTGATGTTTCCAAATTTGTTCTTCTTTCTCAAGATTGTTTTGGCTATTCTGAATCTTCTAGGCCTGCACATGAATTTTTGATTGTTTTATTCTCTTACCATGAAAAATTCCATTGGAATTTTGATAGAAATTTTATTGAATCTGTAAATCACTTCAAATACTATGGATATTTTAAAGATATTAATTCTTCCAGTGTATGAACATGGGATAGCTTTCTATTGTTTTCTACAATTTCTTTTATCAATATTTTATAGTTTTCAGTGTGCAGATTTTTACTTCCTTGGTTATTTCTAATTATTCTAATCTTTTTGATGCTATTGTAAATGAGATTGTTTTCTTGATTTCCTTTTCAGATAGTTTAATGTGATCCAGCAGTCCCTCATTATATATATGGGAAATAAAATAAGTATCTCAAAGACACATATGAACTTTCATGTTTATTGCAACGTCATTGATAATATCCAAGTTATAAAAACAACCTAAGTATTAACATATGAAATAATTAGATATTATTTAACCTTAAAATAGAAGACAACGCTGCCATTTGCAGCAACAGGGATGAATCTGAAGAGCATAATGCTAATTGAAATAAGCCAAATATGAAAAAAATATCCTACGTGGTCCACTTATACATGGAATCTAAAAAAGTTGAATTTATATAAGCAGAGAGTAGAACGGTGTTTAACAGGAATGGGACTGGGTGGGGAAAGTGGAGAGATGTTGATCAAAGGATACAAAGTTTCAATTATGTAGGATAAATACATTCTAGAAATATGATGTACAGCATGGTGAATATAGTTAGTAATACCTGTCTAACAGTTAAGTTATGGGATACCATCCAATTTAGCAATTAACATTACATTAGTTTTGTAAGCCTTACATCTTAAGTTTTACTGCAGTAGTAACATTGCAAACTCTCATGATTTAAAGAAAATTGTAGAATATTTGATCGCAACTTGGATATATAAATTCTCTGAGGTAAATTCAGAAAGACTTTTACAGGTGCTGTATTGCATCTAAGGAGCGAGTTGAAAAGTTTAAAAACTGGACTCAGGCAGTCAATTGTGTTTTGACTAAACAATCAAACAGCTGGTTTGATATTTTCATAAAATTTATGAATATCTTTATTTTGTCAGGGATTACAAACTGGCAAATTATTCTGCAGAAGTTGTGTGCATGTGAGACAAAGAGGGGAATGTGAGGAAGGAGGGAGAAAAGAGACAGAGTTAGGCAACATGGTATTTCTGAAATAAACATTTTAATCTGGAAATTTTTACATGTACAGTAATGTTGCAATTATATAACCGACACTTTCTGTACCTTCACCCAGTTTCCCATTTCTTAACATTTTACAAACCCATGATTTATCAAAACTGAGAAGTTAACATTGGTACATTACAATTATTCAAAGCGCATACTTTATTCAGTTTATTTTGTTTCTACCTAATGCCTTTTTCTGTTCCCATATACCATCCAGTACACCACATTTTACTTGGTCATCGTATCTTCTTAATTTTTGATCTCTGACAGTTTTCTTACACCTTTCCTTGGTTTTCATGTCCTTCATAGTTTTGAAGAACACTAATGTTTTGTTGAATTCTCCATGATTTAGGTTAGTTTTATGGGGTTATGGGTTTTGGGGAAGAATACCACACAGGCGAAGTGTCCTTCTCATCCTAGCTTATTTAGTGGTAGCCAGATATCATAAATTTTCACTGGTGATATTAATCTTGAGCATTTGGCTAAGTCATATTTCTCCATGGGAAAGTTACTATTTTTGCATTTTCTGTAATCTATTCTTTGGAAGCAGGTCACTAATTTCTGTCCACCCTCTAGCAGGAATGGTAGTATGGGAGAGAGTTTAGGCTCTACCTTCTTAAGAAGGTATCTGCACACATTATTTGAAATTATTCTGTAAGAAAGATGACTCTTTCTCATGTTTTATTCATTAATTTATATCAGTATGGAGCTCTGTATATTTATTTTGTGCTTTGGGCTATATTCCAATACTAATTTATTTTGTTGCTAAAATTATTCCAGATTTGACCATTGAGAACTCTTTCAGGTTGCTTCCTATGTCTCTTTGACATATCTCATAGTTTCAGTTTTTGAAGACTTTCCTGTTTTTGAATGGCATAAGATTCTCATAAATAAATTACCTGCCATTTGTGGAAGGATTTTGGTTCCTCTTTTTAGAAAGTGGCATTTAGAAACCAAGATCTGGGCATGAGTATGCCTACTGCCGCCAGGAGTGTAATATTTTATAAATGTTTTTATTTAAAGTTCATTAAATGTATTATGGAGACTTTTAATGCCAAAATCCCTACGAGACTTTACTGGATTCTTACTTGATAATTTTACACATTTTTAATATTGTCTTTTGCTATAAAGAAATTTTCATATAGTAAAATCTATCATCTTTTCTTGCTCCTTCCACTCTGTATATTTTCCCTGGAAATGCTTCTGAACTCCCAAGGTTATTGAACATATTTCTTTACATTTTCTTAATAATATGTTGATGCTTTGTTATTTGATACATAAGTAATTGGGCATGCTATGTCTTCTTGGTTGATCAGAACTTCTAAAAATCTAAAATATTTTTCATTTAATTTAATGTTTTTCTTCTTTGGATTTTACCTGAACTAATAGAAATATAGTGTCTGTTTCCTTTTCCTGAGTATGTTTTAGATGTGCTTGTCTTTATTTTAATTCTTCATACCTTTTAGGTGTGACCTTTTCCAAGAAGATTTTAAAGAAACAGTGTGCATAGGTTTTCTTCCAAGATGGCGGATTAGGGGCTTTCAGTGTGCCTCTGCCGCTTGGATATAGTAAAATTATAAATAAAGATAAACTCTGTGAGATTTAATTCAAGATGGAAAACAGGAATCCACCAGAATAGTGAAGGACATCCCAGATCCCAAGGAGGAAAGAGTGGGCAAGTGTCCCTTATGATGGCATTTGGCTGATAAAACCGAATGAAGCCTCAGAATGGGAGGCAGGCAGTCTCCCTCTGTGACTCACCTTGTAAATGAAGATCCAAGCAATCCAAGCCAAAGGAGAGAACTCTGTTACTCCCAAAACTTGGAGATAACCTAGGGAAAGGTTTGGAGATGCTGAGAGGAAAAGACACCAGAGGAAGCTTTAGGCATTTTCCCGGGTTGGGGAGGGAGAGCAGGATGTCCTTTTTAATCTGGGTGCATGCAGAGTTAGTTATTCTTTGGTGACTTGGCAGTGGCGGCGATGCAGGCATTTTAGTCTTGGGTCAGAGATAGGAGCACCTGCTCTGGAGTGGGGCAGGAGCCTTCACAGCCAGAATTGAAGGGGTAAGTATGGAAAACACCCAGCTATAGGCATTGGAAGTATGCTCTCCCCTGTTGCAGGTCTGGGGCAGGAGAAGAGCTGCTGCAGCCACAGCTTCTCCTGGGCAACAAGACTTGCAGTCAGGGCCAGCTTGGTGACCTGCAATGGGTCTGTGTCTGACATTGCAGGGCATCATAGCCTGCTCCCTCCCCAGAGATTATGGTGCAGAGGAGCCCTTTCTGTTCCACACCCTGGCAGATATCCAGATATTCGGAGCACCCACTTGCATAAATCAGCAGTCTGAGTTGCCCTATCCTCCCTGTGCAAAGATCATAAACCAGGGCGACCCTCTGCTCCATGCCCAGGCAGATATCCAGGCATTCAGAATGTCCACTCTCCTGGATTGACAGCCTGAGCCCTCCCTCCTTTCCTGTGTATAGATCAGATGCAGTGGGGTCCTCTCAACTCTATGCTAAGGCAGATTTCCAGGCATTTGGAGCGCCCACTCTCCTGGATCAGGAGCCTGAGCTGCCCCACCCTTCCTGTGCATAGATAGTGGTGCAAGGGGGGGTCGGGGGGCGTCCCCATGCCAGGCAGATATCTAGGCATTCAGAGAACCTGTTCAGCTAGACCAGTAGCCTAAGTTTCCTATCCCTGCTATGTGTAGATGTCATTTCAACGGGGCTGTCTCCACTTCATGCCCAGGAAGCTCTCTAGGCAGTCTGAGCACCCTCTTGTGTGGATAAACAGCCTGAAACACCCGAACCTCCTGTGCAGAGATAGTGATGCAGTAAGACACTTTCTGCTGTATACTCAGGCAGATCCCCAGGCATCTGGAGCCCATTTTCCTGGATTAAGAGTTTAGGTATCCCCCTGCCCTCACCATGCAGAAAACTTGAAACGAAAGAGGTTCCACAGCTCCGTAACTAGTCACACCTCTGGGCACTAGGGGGCCACCCACTAGGCCCCTGCCTTGGCAGTGATGCTTGTACCTGCCACTGGATGATCTGTAGGCAAGACTGACTGCTTTGACCCTACCCATCTTGGTTTCCCCCTATGGAGCTGAGCAGAGAGCTTATACCACTGTGCATTCTATAGATAAGCCCATTGCTTGTGGCAGACAAGACCCTCTTCCAGTAAACAAGGATCATGTATAAACCCATCCACATTGGCTGCAGCTAGCTTTGTGGTAGAATCATAAAGCCCAATATTAAACCATCCAAGTGCATAAGGCTATAGTAGCAAAAGAAAAAGAGCCTACTCAACATTTCCTACAGCCACAACTCTTATGGAGGGGGCAAAGGTTATGACATTATAATAATAATAATAATAATATAGTGGGGAAAGAAAGAAAAAAATCCTATTTGCATGAAATTAATTACTCAGGAGGCTTAGGTGGGACAGTCATTTTAACCCCTGGAGGCAGAGGTTGCAGTGAGTCAAGATTGTGCCACTGTACCCCAGCCTGAGTGACAGAGTGAGACTTCATCTCAAAAAAAAAAAAAAAAAAAAAAAAAGAAAGAAAGAAACTGGTCAGAACTCCTGGAATAAGAAAATACCTAATGGTTTGCAAAATTAAATTAAAATCTTTGTTAATATACTAGACCAAGAAGAAAAAAGCATTTGAGAGTTTAAAGACAAGTCTTTTGAACTAACTCAGCTAGACCAAAATGAAGCAAAAAGAATTTTAAAAAAGAAGGTCATCAAGAATTACGGGATTAAGTAAAGACATCAAACCTACACATTATTGGCATTCTTGAGAGATGAGAAAAATAAACAAGTTGGAAAACATATTTAAGAGAATATGCCAAGAAAATTTTTCTAATCTTACTAGAGAAATGGAGATCCAGATACAAGAAATCCAGAGAACACCTGTGAGATGCTACACAAAACAAACATCACCAAGAAATATAATAACCAGACTGTCTAAGGTCAAAGCTAACAACAACAAAAACAGTATTTAAGGCAACTAGAGGAAAAGGTCAAATCACATACAAAGCGAACCCCATCAGGCTAACAGCGGACTTCTCAGAAGAAACCTTACAAGCCACGAGAGATTACGGGCCTACTTTGAGCATTGTTAAAGAAAAGAATTCCAACCCAGAACTTCATATCCTGCCAAATTACGCTACCTGCTACCACAAAAACATACTTAAATACACAGTCCACAGACCCTATAAAGCAACTATACAATAAAACTATAAAGCAACCGGCTAAAAATTTCACAATAAGATCAAAACCTCACATATGACTATCAACCTTAAATGTAAACAGTCTAAATGCTCCATGTAAAAAGCACAAATTGGCAAGTTGAATAAAAACTATAAGACCCATCTATCTGTTGTCTTCAAGAGAGCCATCTCACATATAACACCCATATGCTTAAAATAAAGGGTAGGGGAAAGATCTATCATGCAAATGGAGCACAAAAGAGACCAGGCATTGCTATTACATCACATGAAAAGGATTTTAAACAAACAAGAGTAAAAAATAAATAAAGAAGAACACTACATAAATGATAAAGTTTCAATTCAACAAAAAGATTTAACCTAAATATATACACACCCAACATTGGAGTACCCGCATTCATAAAATGAGTACTTCTAGACCTATGAAAAAACTTAAACAGCCACACAGTAATAGTAGGGGATGGTAATGGTCCACAGTGTTAGATTATTGAGGCAGAAAGCTATCAAATAAATTTTGAACTTAAATTTGACACTTGACCAATTGGACCTAATAGACATGTACTGAATACTCCACCCATCAGCCACAGAATGTACGTTCTTCTCATCTGCACATGGAACATGTGCTAAGATCAACCATATGCTTGGCCATAAAGCAAATTTTAATAAATGCAAAAACAATGAAATTGTACCAGCCATACTCTCAGACCATCATGGAATAAAAATATAAATCAATACCAACAAAATCCCTCAAAATGACAAAATTACATGGAAATTAAACAACTTATTCCTAAATGACTTCAGGTAAACAAAAAAAAATAAAGAATTTTAAAAAATCATTGAAATAAATGAAAAGAAAGAACACAACATACAAAAATCTCTGGGATGAAGCAAAAGCAGTGTTAAGCAGAAAATTTATAGCTCTAAATGCCTACCTCAAAAAGTTAGAAATATCTCAAACCAACAATCTAACATTATACCTAGAGGAACTAGAAAAACAAGTACAAACTAAAACAAAAGCTAGTGGAAGAAAAGACATAACTATAAGCAGAGCAGAACTGAATTGAGACCCATAAATCCACACAAAGGATCAGTGAAACTAAAAGTCTGTTCTTTGAAAGGATGAACGACATTGATAGGCTACCAGCTAAATTAACAAAGAAAAGAAGAGAGAAGATCCAACTAAAAAGCACATATGATAAAGGTGACATTACAGCCAATCCCACAGAAATGCAAAAGATTTTCAGAGAATATTACGAACACCTCTATGCACACACACTAGAAAATCTAGAAGAAATGGATAAATTCCTGGAAACAGACAATCTCTCAAGATTGAATGAGGAAAAAATTGAAACCCTGAATAGGCCCTATCAACTTCTGAAATTGAATGAGTCACAAAAAAGTCTACCAACCAAATGATGGCCTGGACCAGTTGAATTCACAGTTGAGTTCTACCAGACATACAGAGAAGAACAAGTACCAATCATACTGAAACTATTCCCAAAAATCAAGGAGGAGGGACTCCTACCTAACTCATTCTATGAAGTCATGACCTTAATATCAAAACATGTCAAGGACACAACACAAAAAGAAAACTACCGGCCAATATCCCTGATGAAGATACATGCAGAAATCATCAACAAAATATTAGCAAACTGAATCCAGCAGCACATTAAAAAGTTAATTCACCATGATCAAGTAGGCTTCATACTTAGGATGCAATGTTGGTTCAACATACTTTTCTTTCTTTCTTTCTTCTGAAACTCCTATTAGATTATTTTAGAGCTGATTCTCCTATGCCATATACCTCATATTTTATATTTTGTTATATTTTCACTTTTTAAATATTGTATGATATTTATAGAGTATCTTAGCTTTATTTTAAGTGCCATATATATATGTATAATTTAGACCATGTTAGATTCTTTATTTTGTAAATTTTATTATTTCTATTTCAAATACTTTTTCTAATCCTTCCTTTTTCATAGTATCCTGTCATTTTTTATGAATACACTATCCTCTTGAGTATCCTAGATTTCAATAGACACATTTACTTGTCTTTTCAGTATTTCTAAAATTAATATGCACTTTGCTATGAACTGAATTGTTTACACCAAAACTTATATTTTGAAGCCCCAGCCCTCAATGAGATTGTATTTGGAGATAGGGCCTATAAAAGGCCTCCAGAACTGTAAGAAAATAAATTTTTGTTGTTTAAGGTACCCAGTTTATGTGTTATTTTAGCCCAAGCTAACTGATATGTACCTTTAAACAAATTTGTAAATATTTTTCCTTAAAAAACTGATTTAAAAATATATCTTAGAATGAACATTTTTTGGAATTGAGGAAATACATTATTTGTCCTTATAAAAATTAGCTTATGTTCCTTGATGTTTTCCTCTTCATTTTTTCAAAAGTATTTTTTCTACTTGAAATATTGGTTCTTCCATTCAGTGCTGTTGGTTTTCATCAAAAGTTTAGCAGTTTTTTTTTTTTACTTTTATATCTATAAAATGGAGGACTACATTATTCAGTGTAAGTTTCTGTTGTCAGTCTTGGTGGTTACTTTTCCAACAGACCTGCATAGACAGACTTTACATTAGTAAATCTATAAGGGACAAAAATTAGTAGAAGTCTCATTTCTCATCAGGCTGTGAGAGCAGAGGAGTACCAGCATACTTGCAGATGCCCAGCTGAAAGAAGACATCTATCCATTTATGCTACAAAGAATCCTAAGAATCAATGTAGTACCTTCACCCTTCTTCAGCCACTTGTCTAATTTCTTGCTATTGCCAATATGTCTCTTGTATTTATCACTACCTTTTACTTCCTCTGCCACTCTGTGAGTTCTGTTTTATGTTTTCCCTTGCATACTACAATTTGGGTCATACCATCTACCCATTTGAATTCTTTCAGTGACTTCTCATTATTGCTCTTAAAAAAATCAGAAGTTCTTAACAATATGCAAAGTCCTGTGTGGTATAATTCTCATTGGACTTCATTTCTATACTGTTCCTTTTGCTGTCTTTATTGCAGCCATATTAGCTGATATGGTTTGGCTCTGTGTTCCTAACCAAATCTCATCTTGAATTGTAATCCCCACACATCAGAGGAGGGGCCTGGTGGGAGGTGTTTGAATCATGGGGGCAAACTTCCCCCTCATTATTCTTACGATAGTGAGTGAGTGCTCATGAGATCTGGTTGCTTAAAAGTATGTAGCACTCCCCCCTTTGCTCTCTTTCTCTCTTGCTCCATCATTGTGAAGATGTGCGTGCTTCCCCTTCACCTTCTGCCATGACTGTAAGTTTCCTGAGGCCTCTCAGTCATGCTTCCTGTTAAGCCTGTGGAACAGTCAGTCAATTAAACCTATTTTATTTATAAATTACGCATTCTCAGGTAGTTCTTTATAGCAACATGAGAATTGAATAATACAGAAAACTGGTCCCAGGAATGGGACATTTCTGTAAAGATACCTGAAAATGTGGAAGTGACTTTGGAACTAGGTAATGGGCAGAGGTTGGAACAGTTTGGAGGGCTCAGAAAAAGACAGGAAGATGAGAGAAAGTTTGGAACTTCCTAGAGACTTGTGAAATAGTTTTGACCAAAATGCTGATAGTGATATGGACAATGAAGTACAGGCTGAGGTGCTCTCAGATGGAGATGAGAAACTTATTAGGAACTGGACTAAAAGTCACTCTTGCTATGCTTTAGCAAAGACACTGCTGGCATTTTGCTCTGGCTCTAGGGATCTGTGGAACTTTGAACTTGAGAGGGATGATTTAGGGTATCTGGTGAAAGAAATTTCTAAATATGACCTGGCTGCCGCTAATAGCATACAGTCATATGCATTCACAAAGAGATGGTCTAAAATAGGAACTTATGTTTAAAAGGGAAACAGAGCATAAAAGTTTGGAAAATTTGCAGCCTGACCATGTGGTAGAAAAGAAAAAACAATTTTCTGGGGAGAAATTCAAGCCAGCTGCAAAAAATTTCATAAGTAATGAGGAGCCGAATGTTAATAGCCAAGACAATGGGGAAGATGTTTCCAGGGCATTACAGAGATCTTCGTGACAGTGCCTCACATCACAGGCCCAGAAGCCTACAAGAGAAAAATGGTTTCATGGCCAGGCCAGGGCCCCACTGCTCTGTGCAGTCTTCAGTCATGATTGTAAGTTTCCTGAGGCCTCCCAGTCATGCTTTTTGTTAAGCATGCAGAACTGTGGGTCAAGTAAACCTCTTTTCTTTATAAATTACCCACTCTCAGATAGTTTTTTATAGCCGTATGAGAATGGATTAATGCACTAGCCTACTTGCCAATTTTTGGACCAGCCATGTGTTCTGCCATCAGTTTTTAACACATTGTCTCCTTTAACATCCATGTGATTTCATCTTTGCCTTTACTCACCTTTACAATCTCAGGTAAAACATTACTTCCTCAGAAAATACTTTTTTCAATGTTATGAAGAAGTAAAATTATTTTCTTTTGTTCTCTCTTAACCCATGCATCTCGATGTCAGAAGTATGTATGGTTATTTGATTAATGTCTTTCTTCCCCACAAACATTAAATTTTGTAAGGACAGGAACTGTGTTTGGTTTCACTCACAATTTTATCTGTGGTATCTAGCACAAAACTTTTATATACTAGGTAATCATTATATATTTGATAAAATAACATAAATTAATATGTAAATTAAGCACTTTAGTATATTTCACCTCTGAATTGGATTAACATTAATTTTGGTTTCTTTTTTGTTTTCTCTACTTATCTTTTGATGATACTTCAAGTCTCTTGAATTTTGCTCCTCTTGTTTTTGTGGCCTGATCTTTACAGGATCTTATAGTTCCTCTATTATGAAATATTGATTCCTAAGTTTTCAGCAGCCTACTTTTAAACATGTTTGGATTACAGATTCTTCCACTATGCTTTTTACTTTCCTAAATCTAATTTTGGGTTAGAAATTTTTCTTTACTTGTAGAATTATAAAGGACAATAATTTATCCTGTCGTGATCATAATAATTCTATGGGTTACAGACAAGAACCTAGTTTAGTTCTCATAAACTGAAGAATAAGAGCTTCAAATGGCAGATATTAAAAGAGTGGGTATGCAGTTTTGAAGCATGGATCATGCCAGGCATCTGTACTCATCAATGGGGGCACTACTACTGGGCAATTAGTGAAGGCAAAAGCGGTATGAGAGCACTGAAAAGCGTGGAAGTAATGTAAACATAAATGCTCCAGATTGCATAAAAATATACAAGGATGCCAAAGCCAAAATCTGCCTGTTGCACAATTTACCCCATTGCTAGCTAACAGATAGGATATATTATATTTAACATATTCTTGAAGCATAGTGGCTCAAGAAATGAACATGATGTAATCATTAGTAATTTTAGCACTTAGTACTAAATAACTGGAAATCATCATGCTTCTATTAACAATGGCAAACTTGATCCAACTGTATAATTAAAAATACTACTAGGTTATCAAAAGTGTGTAGTTATGATAGTGAGGTCCAACGAATTAACCATAAGCAAAATGACTTAAAGCCTTATATCTAGTCTGTTAGGAAAACACTATTTAATGTTACCTGTCATACCTGACATGTATTCTTTATTTTGTATTTCATACACTGTAGTAAGTGATAGATACTTTTGACACTCCTGCTGCCCACATTAGTCTTAACAGCTCAGCTGTTGAAGTTGTCTTATAGCCTAAGCATCCTTAATTTCAACATGTTCATTCTCCCCATCTTTTTTTTTTACAAGTTTAATAAAACACATTTTTAATTAGCAATGCACTAATGAATAAATATAAACAGATCTATGGCCCAGTACACAACCATGATGAAGCCTATAAGGTTGAATATAAAAATGTGAATCTTCATATAGAAGACAAATACTATGAATTAAATATATATCAAGTACTCACTGCAAATAACATTATCAAAATTTAAGTAAAACAAAGTTATTTCTCAAAAAATGATTTCAGAGATATCATTTAGTAGTTGATTTTCATCAATGTTAATTATTTCTTTAGTTGGGAGAAAGTTATTTTTAAAACTTGTGAACATAGAGAATAACTGTAGGTTATTGAGTAAGGAGCCATTAGCCAATAACTACCACTACTCAATACATGAAGTAAATTGCACCAATAACAGAATAAATTGATGTCAGGGTATTTTTGGTTTGTATAACATGCACAAAACATAAAGTTGGAATGTTTGTGTTAAAGTCTTGATTCTGTGACTATTTAGCCAAGCGATTTGGAGAAATGAACTTTCTCTTTTTTGGGGGGGGGTCTCAATAACTTTAAACATTTGTTTTCAGTTTTCTTAAGGTATAATTGACAAATAAGATTGTTTCTATTTAAAGTGTACAATGTGAAAATGTGATATACATATAAAAATAAGTCAAAATCATAGAAACAGAGATGAGAATGGTGGTTGCAAAGGGTGAAGGTAGGGAAAATGAGGAAATGTTTGTCAAAAATTACAAACTATTAGTTATAAGATGAATAAGTTCTGAAGATAGAATAAACTTTGTCTCTATTAACCTTAATTATCCTATTTGTCTAATAAAACAGATACCATTCTCAAAAGGTTTTTGTGAGAGAGAATTTAATTCAAGAACAAGTAATTAGTGTTTGAAAACTACAAGGCAATAAGCTATTTTCCCATTTTACTTTCTATTCTTTCAGAAAATATTTCCATTTTCATTCTTTAAGCATTTAGACTTACAGGTTTCAAGCATGGAAATTTATCCAAAGTGACTATGATATTATTTGTAACTGTGGCTGCTCTTCAGAATAATAAACTCCATGCATTTTTTTATTTTATTGATTTTAACTTATTTTATTGAAATGATTGTTAATGTTTACTTTTTAAATTCATTTCTTATAATTATTTTTATTTATAAGTTACATAATAATGGGACATATTTATGGAATATAGTGTAATATTTTAATGCACATACACATTGTATAATGATCAAACTGGGGTAATTACCATATTCATCATGTTAAACTTTTATCATTTCTTTGTGGTGACAACATTCAAAACTCTTTCTTTTAGCTATCTTGAAATATATACTACATTACTATTTGCTATAGTTACCTGTGTAATAAAACAGCAAACACCAGAACTTATTTTTCCTGTCTTACTGTAACTTTGTGTCCATCCATTGACCAACCTCTTCCCATTCCTGCTTGTCCAAGTTTCTCCAGCCTCTGGTAACCACTATTCAATTATCTACTTCTATGAAATAAACTTTTTAGATTCCACACATAAGTGAGACCATGCAGTGTTTGTCTTTCTGCTACTGGCTTATTTCACTTCACATACTGTCCTCCAGATTCATCCATGTTGCCGCAAATGACAGAATTTCATTCAGTTTTATAGATGAATAGTATTCCATTGTGAGATATATATAAAATATATTATATATATTATATATAATATATAATATAGTATAATATATAATATATATTATATAATACAATATATAATATATATTATAATTATATATATTTTAATTATATATACTTTTAATTAATAATATATAATATATGTATATATAAAATATATATTATATATAAATATACATAATATATAATATATATTAATGTATATATTTTAATTAATTATATATATAATATATTTATATATGAATAAATAATATATAATATATATACGATATATAATGTATATTATATAGTATGAAATATATATAATACAAAATATAATATATTATATAATATAAAATATAATATATTATATAATATAAAATATAATATATTATATAATATAAAATATAATATATTATATAATATGATATATAATATATTATATAATATGATATATTATTTATTATTAATATAAAATATATATTATTAATATAAAATATATTATATATTTATATATTATATATAATTAATATATATTATATATATTATATATCATAAAATATATAATAATAATGTATATATAATATATATAATATATAATATATATAATATATAATATATATAATATATAATATATTATATTTAATATAATAATATATTTTATATATATAACATTTTCTTTATCCATTTATCTGTAGATGGGCATTTAGGTCAATTCCATATCTTAGCTATGGTGAATAGTACTCCAATAAACATGGGAGCACAGATGTCTCTCTGACTTACTGATTTTATTTCCTTTGGGTATGCATGCAACCAGAGCTATTAAGCAAGATAAAGATATAAAAGGGCATCATATGGGAAAAGATAAAGTCAAATTGTCCCTATTTAGAAACGATATGATTATATATATTGAGAACCCTAAAGACTCCACCAAAAACCTGTTAAAACTAATAAATATATTTAGTAAAGTTGAAAGATACGAAATCAACACAGAAGTACCAGTAGCATTTTTATGTTCCAAGAGCAAACTATCTGAAAAACAGATCAAAAAAGCAATCTCATTTCCAACAGCTACAAAAAAATGCCTAAAAATAAACTTAACTAAGGAGGTAAAATATCTCTATAAAAAAACTGTACATCATTGATGAAAGAAATTGAAAAAGACACAAGTAAATGGTAAAAATGTTCCATACTCATGAATTGGAATAATTAATATTTTTAAGATGTCTGTATTTCCAAAAGCAAGCTAAGATTCAATGCAATCCCTATGAAAATATCAATGACATTCTCCACAGAAATAGGGAACACAATTCTAAAATTCATATGGAAATGTGAAAGACCCCATATAGCCAAAGCAATCTTAAACACAAAGAAAAAAGCTGGTGGCATCACATTACCTATTTTTAATGTATACTATAAAGCTATAGTAACCAAAACACCATGATAATGGCATAAAAACAGACATATAGACCAATGGAGGAGAAAATAGAAACCAGAAAAAAATCCACACACTTACAACTAACTGATTTTTGACAAAGGGAACAAGAATACACACTGGAGATTTTTAAAAAGTCACTACCAAAAAATGGTGCTAAAGAAAATGGATATCCATATGCATGAGAATGCAACTAGATCCCTAGGTCTCACCAGATACAAAAAACAACTGTAAATGGATCAAGGACTTATATGTGACACCTGAAACTCTGAATGTCAGACGAAAACATAACAGAGACACTTAATCAAATTGAACTTGGTATAAAGGTTTAAAATAAGACCCCAAAGCACATACAACAAAAACGAAAGTAGTGCAATGGAATTACATCAAACTAAAAAGCTTCTACACAGCTAAGGAAACAATCAATACAGTGAAGAGACAAACTTCAGTGAGAAAAAGTATTGGCAGACTATGCATCTGGCAAGGGGATAATATCCAAAATATATAAGGAGCCCAAACAACTCAATAGGAAAAATATAATCCCATTTTTAAAATGGGCAAAAGAGCCTAATTCCTCTAATGATGATGTAAAAATGGCTAACATATATATTTAAAAATGTTCAACATCACTAATCGTCAAACACAAATCCAAACCATAGTAAGTTAGAATGACTGTTACTGAAAAAAACAAAAAATGCTAGCAAGCATGAGGAGACGAGGGAACTCATACGCTGTTGGTGGAAATGTAAATGTCTACAGACATAATGGAAAAAAATTATAGCGTCTCCTCAAAAAGTTAAAAATAGAGCTCCCATTTGAAATAATTTTAGACATTCAGGAAAGTTGCCAAGATAGTACATGAAGTCCCCGTATACTTTTCATCCAACTCCCTCTAACATTAGCATCTTACATATCCACAGTACAATTATCAAAATAAAGAAATTTGCAAAATACTATTAAGGAAATGTCAGATTGGATTCAGGTATCACCAGTTTTCCCCCAAATTTTCTGTTTGTTTGTTTGTTGTTTTCTGTTACAGGGTCCAATCCAGGATCCTGTATTGCTTTCTGTGGTAATATATTCTTAATCTCCTGCAATCTGTGATAGATTTTCAGGTTTCTGCTGTCTTTCATGATCTTGATGTTTTTAAGAGCACTGGTCAGTTGTGTTGTAGAATGTCCTTTAATTTGAGTTTGCCTGATATTTTCATGTGATTAGATTGACGTCATTCATTATGGGGAAAATACCAAAGAGGTCTTGTGCCCTTCTCAGTATATCATACATTATACCAATATGTCTTATTACTAGTAATGTTAACCTTAGTTAAAATAGTGTCAGCCAAAGTTATCCACTGAAAAGTTTCTACTTTCCAATGTGTAATTAATAAATAGTTTGGGGCAGATAATTTGAGTGTATGCCAAAATTATTCTATCTAAACTTTTGCCTATTAATTTTAGCATTTATCAGTGGATCTTTCATGCAGCAATTATTACTCTAGTGTACTAATGGTGATTTTATTTTTTCTTTCCTTCTACATTTAATTAATTGATATTCTTCCGTAAGAGTTTTCATACTTTCTCCATTTATCAACTATTTATTCAATAAATATATCAGCGTGAATCATAAATACATATTTCATTATTTGGGTTATATTTTATTGACGTTATTATTTACTGTGTTGATCAGATTGTTCCAGGTTCTGCCCTTGGGTGATCTTTTGAGTAGGCTCCTATGTCATTTTGACATGCCCCCATCTGTTTTATGCCCTAACACTTTCTTACTTTCTGGCACCACAGGGTGTCCCATGTTTACCTTGTATTTCCCATACCCCAGTCCTGTGAATAAACAGTTCTCCAGAGAGTGCTGTTTTCCTTTACTGGAGAATGGCATTTAGAAGCTAGAAGCTGAGTGCTAGGTGTGCTCATTGTTACTAGGGTATTCACAGGTTATAGGCTCTCTTAGCAAGCAGAACTAATGTGTATACTAAGCCAAGTATGCATACATATTTATACTAATTTCTATATTTATATTTTAAAAATATGATTTGATACTGATATATCCATCTTAAATTTCAGCACACCAGAGTTTCTTCTATCTGCCCTCTTGTTTATTTGTAATTTTCTTCTCTAACAGTGAGAAACCTGGCTCTCATTATTTTCAGTGTACTTACTTACTTCTTCAACCTTAGTTGAACCCTACCAGTGTACTTACTTGTTAAACCCTAGTGTACTTTTTTTTTTTTTTTGATACAGGTAAGGAGTTTGAGAATTGCCCATCCCTACTCCTATGAGACACAAATTTACCTACTATAGTAGAGTGTTTGTGTGCAGTTTTTCTTGTCTTTAATCTTACAGTATCAGGGCAAAATGTTGTTCCAAAGTGATTTAGTTCATTTTTTTACTCCTTATTCCCTTCAGTAGGATAATGCCACAAATGTTTATTATGGTTAGATTTATTTGAAATAGTCTGCATTTATCTTGAGTTATGCTGATATCCTAATTTAGGTGTTTAAAATTGCATTTAGCAAAATTTATTATCTGTAAGGTACAGTTATATGGAATCTAACAAATGCATAGAGCCATACTTCCATGGTACCAAGCAGAACAGTTTCATCACTCAAAAATTCCTCATTAACTGCTTCTTTGTAGTCAATTTCTCTTCCCCATTGATATCTGGCAAACAGTGTCCTGTTCCATATCCTTATATTTTGCCTTTTTTAAGAATGCCATATAAGTAGAATGATACAACGTGTATCATTTATGTTTTTTTTTTTGCTTAGAAAAATGCATTTAAGATTCATTTATGTTCAATGAATCCATGGTTTATTTCTTTTCACAACATACTACTTAGCAAATTAGTATGTATGATGGTTTGCTTATTCATTCATCTGTTTTTTCAAAAAAGAGTTGTTTCCTGTTCTTTTTTTTTTTTACTATTGTTAATGAAACTGCTGTGAACATTAGCATACAGGTTTTTAGTGTGAGCATAGTTTTCAGTTTACCTGGTTAACACTTAAGAGTGGGATTGCTGTGACTCCTGGTAACTTTCTAAGAGATTGACAAACTATTTCTCCAAGTGGTTGTACCATTTTTGTACTACTACCAGCAAGGAAGAGTTCCAGTTATTCCCATCCTCCCTTGGTATTACCAGTTTTTATCTGTCTCAATAGACATTTAG
Source organism: Homo sapiens (assembly GCF_000001405.40). NCBI lineage: Eukaryota > Metazoa > Chordata > Mammalia > Primates > Hominidae > Homo > Homo sapiens. The sequence continues at coordinate 99,482,893 of NC_000023.11, forward strand.
TGCTATCTTACTCCAGTTTTACTTTGCATTTCCTCAGTAACTAATAATGTTGAACATATTTTCCTATATTTATTTGCCACTCATATGCTTTCCTTGATAAAACATCTATTTAAATATTTTCAAATTGGGTTGTTTCCTTTCTTGTAGAGTTATAAGAGTTGTTCACATATTCTGGATACAAGTTCTTTTTCAGAAATGAGATTTGCAAATACTTCTACAAGTCAGTGTTTTAGATTTTTATTCTTCTAATAGTGTCTTTCCAGAAAAAAATTTTAATTTTGATGAAATTCAATTTGTCTGTTTTGTAATGAATTGAACTTTTGCTGTCATGTCTAAAAGTTATTTGCTAAAACAAGGTCATGGAAATTTTCTCCCATGTTTTCTTCTAGAAAGTTTGTAAGTTCATGTTTTATATTTATGTCTGTGATACATTTTGAATATGTTTTATATACAATATAGTATCTGGCATGTGTTTAGCTTCATTATTTTGTGTATGGACATCCAAGTAATGGTCCCACTACCACCTGTCGAAAAGATTAACCATTCTCCATTGAATTCTCTTTGCAATTGCTTTCATCAAAAGTAACTTGTTTATATTTGTGTGAATCTACTTCTGAAAGCTTTATGCTGCTGTTAGTCTCTTCCATATTTCTATCCTTTTGCCCATAGCAGATTTTCATGATTATTGTAGTTTTAGAGAAAAAACTTGCAATCAGGTATGCAAGTCCTCTAACTCTGCTCCTTTTCAAAATTGTTTTGGCTCTTCTAATTTCTTTACCTTTCCATACACATTTTAGAATCAGGTTTTTGATATGCACAAAAACATGCTGGGATTTTGATTTTGATTGCATTGAATTTAGCAATATATCATGGAGAAGTGACATATTAATTATATTGAGTCTTACATTTATGCATCTGAAATAGGTGCACAATAATTTTGGTTTTTAATGATTTCCTTCATCAGTGTTTTGTGGTTCCCAGCAAACAGATCATGCACACATTTTGCTACATTTGTATCCCAGTATTTTAATTTTCATGCTATTGCAAATGGCATTCTTATTTAAAGTTGATTACAAGTACATATAATTTAACATTTATTTTCTGTATTGATAGTGCATTCTGAAAAGACTGAACTCTGTAGTTCTAGGAACATCTTTGCTGATTCTTGGGAATTTTCTATGAAGACAATTATGTCATCTGTGAATACAGTTTACTTCCTTCCTTTCCCATTGGTGTGCCTTGTATTACTTTTTGTTGCCTATTTCACTGGCAAAAATATCGAGTATGTATTGAATAGGAGTAATAAGATAGAAGAAACTTTCCTATTTCCTGCCATAAGAGTACAACATTCTGTCTTTCAACAGTAAGTATGAAGTTAGCTGTAGGCTTTGAGTAGTTTGTAGATACCTCTTATCATGTTAAAAAAAAGTTCTCTTCTATCCTAGCTTTTGAGTTTTTTTTTCCAATTATTATAAATGGATGTTAAATTTATGCTTTCTCTGCATCTAATGAGATGATCACATTATTTTCTTCAATTCGTTAACCTAGTAAATGATATTAATTTTCAAATGTTGAACCAACTTCTCATCCTTTAGATGAATCTGACTTAGTCTGATATTTTATCCTATTATATATTGCTGAATTTAATTTACTAATATATTGCTGAGGATTTTCTGTCTAGTTTGAGATATTGATTTTTAGTTTTCTATTCTTGTATTGTCTTTGTCTGTACCCAGTACTATGATCACCTTCTAAAATTAGTTGAGAAGTATTCCCTTTTCCTGTGAGAGATTATCTGGTACTTGTTTGGTAGAATTTGAAAGTGAAACTACATGGACCTGGACTTTTGTTTGTGGAATATTTTCAACCAGATTCAATTTCATATGTATATTCATAGTTTTTTTCTTGAGTGAGATTTTGGTAGTTTGTTTTTCAAGGAATTAATCAATTTAATTTAAATTGTCAAATTTAAGGTCATAGAGTAGTGTTCCCTTAATATTTTATAAATTAATGGTTAGTAGTGAAGTCTTTTCTTACATACCTGACATTGGTAATATGTATCTACTTATTTTTTCTTGCTCATTCTGATTAGAGGTTTATGAGTTTTATTAATCGTTTCAAAGGGCTACATTTGACTTCATTGGTTTTCTGTTTTTGTGTTTTTAATTTCATTGTTTATTTTGTTGCTTATTTTTCTTATTTTCTTTCTTCTATTTCCTTTTATGTAATTGACTCTTTTTTTTTCTAGTTTCTTACGGTGGAAGTTTAGAAATCTGATTTTATGTCTTTCCACTTTTCTAATGTAAGCATTTTATCTTGTAAATTTCCCTTTAAGGATTGCTTTAAATGTACCCTGAAAATTTGATATATTGTATTTTCATTTTAATTCAGTCCAAAATATTTATTTAACTTTGCTCTTGAAACTTCCATTTTGACACCTGTGTTATTTGGAAGAATGTTTTCTTAAATTCGAAATAATTGTAAATTTTCCTGATATCTTTATACTATTTATTTCTGTAAAGTTGTGTTATGATTCAAAATTATACATTTAAGGACTTGTGAAGGACTCATTTTCTTTTTTTTTCTTCTTTTTATTTATTTATTTATTATTATACTTTAAGTTTTAGGGTACATGTGCACATTGTGCAGGTTAGTTACATACGTATACATGTGCCATGCTGGTGTGCTGCACCCACTAACTCGTCATCTAGCATTAGGTATATCTCCCAATGCTATCCCTCCCCCCTCCCCCCACCCCACAACAGTCCCCAGAGTGTGATGTTCCTTTTCCTGTGTCCATGTGATCTCATTGTTCAATTCCCACCTATGAGTGAGAATATGCGGTGTTTGGTTTTTTGTTCTTGTGATAGTTTACTGAGAATGATGATTTCCAATTTCATCCATGTCCCTACAAAGGACATGAACTCATCATTTTTTATGGCTGCATAGTATTCCATGGTGTATATGTGCCACATTTTCTTAATCCAGTCTATCATTGTTGGACATTTGGGTTGGTTCCAAGTCTTTGCTATTGTGAATAATGCCGCAATAAACATACGTGTGCATGTGTCTTTATAGCAGCATGATTTATAGTCCTTTGGGTATATACCCAAATCATGAGTGAACTCCCATTCACAATTGCTTCAAAGAGAATAAAATACCTAGGAATCCAACTTACATGGGATGTGAAGGACCTCTTCAAGGAGAACTACAAACCGCTGCTCAAGGAAATAAAAGAGGATACAAACAAATGGAAGAACATTCCATGCTCATGGGTAGGAAGAATCAATATCGTGAAAATGGCCATACTGCCCAAGGTAATTTACAGATTCAATGCCATCCCCATCAAGCTACCAATGCCTTTCTTCACAGAATTGGAAAAAACTACTTTAAAGTTCATATGGAACCAAAAAAGAGCCCACATCGCCAAGTCAATCCTAAGCCAAAAGAACAAAGCTGGAGGCATCACACTACCTGACTTCAAACTATACTACAAGGCTACAGTAACCAAAACAGCATGGTCCTGGTACCAAAACAGAGATATAGATCAATGGAACAGAACAGAGCCCTCAGAAATAACACTGCATATCTACAACTATCTGATCTTTCACAAACCTGAGAAAAACAAGCAATGGGTGCTGTTTTTAATAAATTTAATAAGTGGTGCTGGGAAAACTGGCTAGCCATATGTAGAAAGCTGAAACTGGATCCCTTCCTTACACCTTATACAAAAATCAATTCAAGATGGATTAAAGACTTAAAACGTTAGACCTAAAACCATAAAAACCCTAGAAGAAAACCTAGGCATTACCATTCAGGACCTAGGCATGGGCAAGGACTTCATGTCTAAAACACCAAAAGCAATGGCAACAAAAGCCAACATTGACAAATGGGATCTAATTAAACTAAAGAGCTTCTGCACAGCAAAAGAAACTACCATCAGAGTGAACAGGCAACCTACAAAATGGGAGAAAATTTTCGCAACCTACTCATCTGACAAAGGGCTAATATCCAGAATCTACAATGAACTCAAACAAATTTACAAGAAAAAAACAAACAACCCCATCAAAAAGTGGGCAAAGGACATGAACAGACACTTCTCAAAAGAAGACATTTATGCAGCCAAAAAACACATGAAAAAATGCTCACCATCACTGGCCATCAGAGAAATGCAAATCAAAACCACAATGAGATACCATCTCACACCAGTTAGAATGGCAATCATTAAAAAGTCAGGAAACAACAGGTGCTGGAGAGGATGTGGAGAAATAGGAACACTTTTACACTGTTGGTGGGACTGTAAACTAGTTCAACCATTGTGGAAGTCAGTGTGGCGATTCCTCAGGGATCTAGAACTAGAAATACCATTTGACCCAGCCATCTCATTTTCTTAAATTATAAATTTTATCACTTATGTTATAAATTTTCTGATGATAAAACATTTTTTCAAGAAAATGTGAGTCCTTAAATGTATAATTTTGGATCATAACAGAACTATAAAGAAATCAATAGTATGAAGATACCAGGAAAATTGACAATCATTTTGAATTTAAGAAAATATTCTTCCAAATAACACATCTGTCAAAATGGAAATTTCAAGGCCAAGTTAAACAAATATTTTGAATTGAATTAAAATGAAAATGCAATATATCAAATATTTATTTATAATTTTATAAAGGTAAAATAATTTTTACCTTTATCTTGGTGACCGTTTCCTGTCCACTAAAGAAGAATGTTATTCTGCTCTTGTTGCATGGATGGATTTCTAAATATCTACTAGGTAAAGTTGGTGGATAGTGTTGTTGTTCAAGTCATCTGTATTCTTACTGATTTTCTGCCTTCTTTTCTGTCAGTTTTTGAGGAAGGAGCATTAAACTGTCAACTCTATTCGTGAATTTGTTTGTTTCACCTTTGAGTTCAATTAACCTTTGACCTATGTGTTTTGAAGCTCTTTTGTTAGCTGGACAAACATTCAGGATTATTATGTTTACTTTGAGAATTGTCCCTTTATTATAATATAATGTTCCTCTTTATTCCAGCAAATATTTATTCCTGTTAAGTCTAACTTACCTGATGTTAACACAGCTATTTTATCTTTCTGTTAGTGTTTATGATATCTTTGTTTATCATTTAACTTACTTATAACTTTTTATGTCTTTCTCTTTGTTGTAGAGAGCATATTGTTGAGTCATGGTTATTGTATTAAATTTGACATTTTACGTCTTTTAACTCATGGTCTTAGAGCATTCACATTTATAGTGATTGAGATTGTTAAATTTCACCAGTTTAGGTTTTCCTATATATTCCATGTGTTTATTGTTTTTTTATTTTCCTGTCTCAGGTTAATTGATAATTAGTAGGATTACATTTTATCTCTCTATTAATTAACTATACCTCCTCTTACAATTCTATTCACGATTGCAATGCAGATTACTTTCAATTACTCAGTCTACATCCAAATAATATTTTAACACTTCCTGTATAATAAAAGAATCTTAAAACATTATATTTCCCAATCTTCTTTCCCAACCTGAATACTATTAATATTATACTTCTATTTTCACACACACACACACACACACACACACACACACACACACAAACATAATACATTGCTACTGTTTTTGCTTTAGGCAGTTACATTTTAGAGCAGTTAAAGTTAGAAAAATATTATTTTACCATTATTTTTTCCATTTCCAGTTCACTTTATTTCTTTTTGTACAATGAAATTTCGGTATGGTATCTTTTCTGCCTGAAGAATTTCTATTAACATTTTTTATAGAGTAAATCTACTGCAAATATATTCCCCAAATTTTTGTTGGTTTGATCTTTATACCTGTATGTAATGTTTGTTTGCTCCTGTATGTGATATTTCTTTTTTGTCTGGCTGCTTTAGCAATTGTCTCTACAGTTTTTAAGCAGTTTGAGTATGATATGACTAGCGATGTGTGTGTGGGTGTGTGTGTGTGTGTGTGTGTGTGTTGCTATTTATACTGCTTGGTATTTTATGAATTTCTTGGATATGTGGTTTGGTGTTCGTCATTTACAAACCTATCACCCATTACATAATTCTTCAAATGCTTCTTTTGTTTCTTTTTCTCTATCTCTCTCTCTCTTTCTGGACCCTCCTTCTAGGACCCCAGTTGCCCTTATATTAGACATTTGTTTATTGTTTCACAGTTATTGGATAATCTGGCTTTCATTTTTTTAATATTTTCTCCTCTGAGTTTCAGTGTTGATTACTTCTATAGATGTATACTCAAGTTCACTAATTCTTTCCTTAGCGAGTATTGAGCTTACTAATGCATTTCTAGAAATCGTTGTTTTCTAATTGTTTAATTTTTTTATTTTTATTTTTATTATTAAGGGTACATAATATTTATACATATTTATTGGGTACGTAATTAGGGTATCCATCACTTAAAGCCTTTATCATTCCTTTGTCTTCAGAACATTCCAATTCCACTCTTAGTTATTTTAAAATATACAACAAATTATTAACTATAGTGCCCTTATTGTGCTACCAAGTGTTGGATCTTATTTATTATATCTTACTGTATTTCTGTACCCATTAACCATCCCAATTTTATCCCCCCATCCCTGCCACCCTTCCCAACCTCTAGCAGCCATCATTCCACCCTCTATCTTTATGAATTCAGTTTCTTTAAGCTCCTACCTATGAGTGAGAACATACTATACAACCTTTTTATTTCTGTGCCTGGCTTATTTCCCTTAACATAATGTCCACCAGTTCCATCTATTTTGTTGTAAATGACAGGATTTTATTTCATTTTTATGGCTGAATAATATTCCATTGTGTGTATGTACCACGTGTTCCTTACCCATTCATCTGCTGATGGAAACTTATGTTGCTTCCATATCTCAGCTGTTGTGAATAGTGCTGCAAGAAGCATGAGAGTGCAGATGTCACTTTTATAAAATGGCTTTCTTTCTTTTGAATATATATCCAGTAGTGGAACTGCTAGATCCCTTGGTAGTTCTAGCTTTAGGTTTTTGAGAAACCTCCATATAGTTTTCCACAGTGGCTGTACTAATTCACATTCCCCTCATCAGCATAAGAGGGTTCTCTTTACTCTACATTCTCCCTAGCATCTGTTATTCCCAGTCTTTTCAATAAAAGCCATTTTAATTTGGGTGAGGTAATATCACATTGTAGTTTCAATTTGTCTTTCTCTGATGAATAGTGATGTTGAGCATTTTATAGACCTGTTGACCATTTGTATATCTTCTTTTGAGAAATGTTTATTGAGATATTTGCACATTTTAAATAAGATTATTTGCTTTTTATTAAGTTGCCTGAGTTCATTTTATATTCTGGTTACTAATCCCTTATCAGATGTGTAGTGTGCAAATGTTTTCTTCCATTCTGTGGTTTATCTCTTCACATTGTTTATTGTTTACTTTGCTATTCAGAAGCTTTTTAGCTTGATGTGAAATAAAATTATTCTTTATCAAAGTCTTTTTAAATAATATTTCCATTTGATTGTTTAGTGATAGCCTACATTTATAATAAGAGTTTGTTTGGCAGTGGATTTTGTTTTCCAATGTCAGCTCTACCCTTAGCCTTAAGTCTTTCCTTTGCATTGTTCTCTGTTGTTTTGAGTATCCCTCAGTTTTAGGCTGGTACTTTGTCCTTAGAACTCATGGAGACCACTGTCAGTGCTGTTTCTCTTCTTGCATAGTTCTGAACATAGAATTTATTTCTGTCCCACTTTAATGCCCAACTGACCTGCCCCTTCCTACAGCTGTAATCAGATTTTACAAGTACTCTAAATATGACAGTGTTCGTTGTCCCTCCTACCACAAATTTAAGTTATTGTTTGATGGAGTAAATAAGGAAGAGGAGACCAGATGAAGTTTTTTGCCCATCCTACTGTATCTACTGTTCCCATCCTTCATTTATGAATATGAGGGAGACTTTCTCAAGACTTCTCCAAGCTCTCTGTGATCACAAAGTGGGATCTTAGAAGAAAAAGCAAGAAAGAGGATGTAGACGTCCTATGTACATGCAACCACCAGGGACTTAACCCTCTATCACGAATATGCAGTTTACTGACCTTCACCAATTTGCCAATCACCCTAGCTGAACTCCTCTTATTGATGTCCAGTTGCATCTTACCCATACAATCCAGGGCTCAAGTTTCAATCCTCCCAGTAAGTGTCTGTCTCTCCCAAGATTCTAGTCATTTTCTCATTTTGAGATGTCAGTACTATGATGGGTTCTAGAAAAGTTATGAACTTGCTCTTGGTCCAGCACTTTTTAGAGTTGTAAGATCTGGAGAAATGCTCTTTCCAACTTTCTTCATTTCCAAGTAAAACCAGAATTGTCATTCTAATCATTTTTATTCTTACATTTCAAAACATCAAGATTTGAAAGTTCAATCAGATGTGATTAGGCTTATCCTTATGCTCAAATACTTCTTCTTGTTTCTCAGGGAGCAGCTATCAATAAGACTTATATATATGTTTTCTCTGTGAATGTCACCATCGATTCAGACAGCAGCAACCTCAAAAACAAAACAATATTTTCATTTCCATGTAAGTGCCCATATTCCCAAATTTATTTATGTTTCAACATTTAAAAAAGAAAATATGCCATATGTATATTGTGTATCCTAAAATATATTTTTTCAATTTTTATCTCAATTATGACCATATTGGAAATTGAATATAAATGCAAATAAGGTTACTACAGTCTCAAATGTTAGTTTGATAAAGGTTGCTTATAATGTCATAATTTTAGTGCTGTCTACAAAACAAAACAAAAACCCAGTTTTATTTCTTCATGTTACTAGCAAGTGTGTGCATCCTGATTTCTTGATTTTGTTAATAAATCTACAGAAAAAAATAGAGGCTGTAAAATCAGACAATTACTAGTTGTGCAGTCTTAGGCAACTACTTTAAGTATTCTCTTCCTTAGTTGTTATATTACTTACAGTAGTTCCAACTTAGCATGGGTTGCAGTAACAGGTAAATGGTTATGCTCAAAATAACATGGAATCAAGCTTTTCTTTTCTTAGCAGTGCACCAAGAACACTGTCGAGTTACACAGATACCAAGTTCTCAATTCAATAGATGTGTTTTGAAGCTGGCTCATACTGGCTCATGAGATCTGATTTTTAAACTTTCAGAAATTTTGCAAGTTGGTTTTTACATCATTCGTAGCTTGAAATTGTCTTCACAGTGGCATTATTTATATTAGAAAATGCTACAAATTAGAGCTCCTTTTCCACTGTTAGAGAGCTGCTTTACCAGGATATCACTGCATATGCCTGGGCAACTCAATCATATGACACCCAGAAGGCCTCAGATGGATTAAAAATTCTGAACTCTGCATGTAACAGCTTATTTATGATCAGAAAATGGATCAGTTGGTTAATGAGTAAAAAAAATCATAGGTCATTAGTCCATGTAATTCACAGAATAATAGCAATGTATGTAGATGTATGACAAGATAATGCAGTATGGATTTTTATTCTCTGATGTTACTAAGCAACTCCAGGAAAACAAACATTTACAAGTAATAAAAGAAGCATTGAACAATTGACCAAACTACCTTATTTATGTAAATTAACTAAAAACCTGAGATGTGCAAAATAAGGGAGCAATTAAAAATGTAGAATAATATGAAATGTTAGTTGTTTAACTTTTCTGTCAGAGATAATTTAACGGTTTTAATTCTTAAGAATTTTATTAAATTTCAGGGAAATAACAACATTGTCTCTCTCTTAAAAGAAAGAAAGAAGTGTTGCTGTGATGTAAATTTAACACCATGCTCATTATAAAAATTTTGGAACAGAAAGAGAAGCAGAAAGAAAATAAATCATTCAGTCTTCACCCACAAAGACAACCACTGTGACTATTTCAAATTGTTTCCTTCCAAATTTTGCTCTAGGTTTCGTCTTTCTTTTTAAACTTTTATTTCTTTTTATGCATTATATTTGTGTTTAATATACTTATGGTCATATGACATATTTCATAACACACTTATGTAAGACATATGCCCTTATGTATGATAGTTTTAGATTCATTCACATTATAAATGTAGATTATTAGTGCAGAAAACAAAGAAAAGTACATTAAATAGAAGTATATTTAAAAAGAAAAAATACAACTTAAATTATGTCAATTACATTACAAAGATTTTGGGATAATGCACCAAAACGTTAATAGTGTTTATATTTGGGTGGCGATTATTTTTATCTTTAAAAAATGCATATCATAAAAATGCATTAACATAATTAAGACTAAATCGTACATACAAATATTTAAGTATGGTAAACATGAACATTTACAAGTATTTGATAAAAAAATTGTAAGAAGAGGTTTGTTACAAATAGGAAATTATTTGCTTTGTTTAATTAAATAAAACATCATGTAATGTAATTTATAAAATGCCAAAAACACAACTATTTTTAATTGATACATTATATTTTACATATTTATGGAGTACATGTGATATTTTGCTCCATGCACAGAATGTGTAATGATCAATTCAGAGTATTTAGGGTATCCATTACCTCGAGTGTTTATCATTTCTATGTGTTGAGAACATTTCAAGTCTTCTCTTCTAGCTATTTTGAAATATACAATACATCGTTGTTAACTACAGGCACCCTACTCTGCTATGAAATATTGGAACTTATTTCTTCTGTCTGACTATAAGTTGCCCATTAATCTCTCTTCCCCACTGCCCCCACCACCACACACACACCTTCCCTAGCCTCTGGTATTTATCACTCTATTCTCTACCTCCATTGGATCAAAGTTTTTAGCTCCGGTGAGTGATAATATAAAACACTTAACTTTCTGTGTCTGGCTTATTTTACTTAACATACTGACCTCCAGTTACATCCATGTTGCTACTAATGACAGAATTTCATTTTTTATGGCCATATAGTACTTTATTGTCTATATATACCACATTTTATTTATCTATTCATCCTTTGATGGACACTTAGGTTTCATGTCTTTACTACTGTAAATAGTGTGGCAATAATTATGTAGGTATAGGTATCCCTTTTATATACTGATTTTCTTTTCTTTAGATAAACACCCATTATTGGGGTTGCTGTAGAGTACGGTAGTTCTATTTCTAGCTTTTTGAGAAATCTGCATACTGTTTTTCATTGTGGCTGTACTAATTTAAATTCCCACGAATAGTATATATGATGCTCCTTTTCTCTTCATCTTTACCAATGTCTCTTAATTTTTGTCTATGTAGTAATAGCCATTCTAACTGGGGTAAGATAATATCTCATTGTGGTTTTAATTTGTATTTGATTAGTCAGGCTGAGCATTTTTTCAATATACTTGTTGGCCATTTGTATATTTTTGAGAAATTTTGATTTATGCACTGTCTTCACTTTTTAATGGGATTATTAGTTTATTAACTTTTGGGTTATTTGAGATTCTTGCATATTCTGGATATTAGTCACTAGTTAGATCAATAGTATATAAATATTTTCTCCCTTTCAAAAGATTTTCTCTTTAATTTATTGATTGTTTCCTTGGCTGTATAGAAGCTTTTTAGTTTAATATACTTCCATTTTTTTAATTTCGCTTTTGTTTCTTGTGCTTTTCAGTCGTTAGCCATAAAATATTTGCCTTGACAAAATTCCTAAAGTGATTTTCCTATGTTTTCTTTTACTAGTTTAATAGTTTTAAGTCTTACATTTAAGTTTTTAATCCATCTTGAGTTGATGTTTGCATATAGTAAGAGATAGCAGTCCAGTTTCGTTTTTCTGCATATGGACATACACTTTTTCAGCATAATTTATTGAATAGGGTGTCTTTTCTTCAATGTATGATTGTGGTACTTTTGTCAAAAATCAGTTGGCGGTAAATATGTAGATTTCTTTCTGAGTTATTTATTCTGTTCCATTGACTTATGTATCTGTATTTATAGTAATACCATGTTGCTTTGGTGAAATGGTTACTGTATTGTTACGCAATTTTGCTCTTGTGTTGTACTAAAAATTTTTTAATTTTTTTAACAAAGTGCATTCAAAGTGTAGTAATCATTGTTAACAAATATTAGAGCAGAGTACTACTTATTGCTTTCAAATTTCAAAGCATGTGAAGAGATTCTAAATGTGTTTGGATGAATATTTTAGTTAAAATAACTCACATTCCAAGAAAATACAAAATCAATTTAGACTACAGATGAATCCTACAAATTTTAAATGTCCATGCCAAATTTAAAGCAAAAGTTACTCCACTCTTTTCGCAATTTTGTGGCCATCTAAACATTATGCTGCACATTCTAGTTTTCTTGGTCACCTTCTGTGGTAGGCAGAATTGTAAGATGGCCCTAAAAATTCTCAGCATCTGGCATACACACATCTTCTCCTTGTTGTTCAGTAAAACACTAATCTAAGTACTATTGTGAAGAGATTTTGTAGATGTTATTAAGAACACAAATCAGTTGATTTTAAGATAGGGAGATTATCCAAGTGGGCCTAACCTAATAACATCAGCACCTTAAAGACGGAGTGTTCTACAGCTAGTGATGGGAAAGCAAGACTCCAGTTGATGACAAAAGAGGATGCACTCTTGTCTTCTGGGAGTAAAGCAAACATCCATTTTGCTACCTGCTTATGAAGGCCACATGACAAGGAACCATAAGTGTGCTATAGAAGCCTAGAGTAGTCCCTACTGACAGCTAGAAAGAAAACAGATCCTCAGTCCTTGTACCACAAAGAACAGAATTCTGCCAATAGTGAGCTTGAGAGAGGACTCTGAGTCAAGATAAGAACTGCAGCCCCAGCTGATACTTTGGTTTTAGCCTGGTGAGACCTTAAGAAGAAAATCCACCCATTCCAAAACCTCAGGCCTACAGAAATTAAGATAAAAGACGTATGTAGTTTTAAGCTGCTAAGTTCGTGGTATTTTTTTACACAGCAATAAATAACTAGTACACACTCTAAAATGTAAGGCATTCTAGCTATTTATCCTCTCACATATCCTTCTCTCTTGCTCCATGATTTCATATCCTGATCAAGATTCATAATCCTTCCTTCCCTTCCAGAACTTTACACTGTGTAAAGTTGATAGTCATCTCTGTTTTAAATATATTCACTGATTGCTTTTTCTGTATCTTTACCTTGACTGAAACCGGCTCTTCTCCATGGGCAAGTTTTGCCTATAACCTTTTCAAAGCGAGGGTATTCATTCTATCATACACTACGAACCTCAGGGTCAGTTGAGAATAATGGTAATAATAGAGAACATTTGCTGAATATTCGTGTGGCAGGTACTGTGTGCCACAAATGGGTGCCTTTACACACATCCTTTGCTTTACAAAACAAAAAAATTATGCGTAAGGATGTGTGCCAGCAAATGATACCTACTTCATAGCACTCTCTCCTTCCTTCTTTATGAACTGAACTTCAATGTTGTTCGAAGAACTAACTTCCCAACTAGGAACTGCATTTCCCAGCCCACCTTGCAGATAGATAGCTATGTAACAGAGTTCTGGTCAATGAGATGTAAAAAAAAGAAAAAATGGTTTGGACTTCCTGGACAGCTCTTTAGAAACAAAAAGAATTCAGTTGGCACGAAGTTTTGCTGTTTGTTCTTTCTTGCCAGCTTAAGCCTAGTTGCGTTGCCTTTTGGGCAGGAGGTTTGGAAGGAAAGAGTCACCTGGCAACTCTGAAGACTAGATTCACTTTAAAAGATAGGTGGTGAACCCCAAAAACAGATGGAGATTGAGAACACCACCGCCAGAGTCACAAGAACAGCAATAGGGAACTGGTGCTCAACCAATAGAAACCGTGTCCATCGGCTGGGCATGGTAGCTTAACGCTTGAAATCCCAACACTTTTAGGAGGCCAAGGCTAGTGAATTGCTTGAGCCCAGGAGTTTGAGATCAGCCTGGGCAACATAGCAAAACCACATCTTTACAAGAAAAAAAAATAGCTGGACATGATGGCATGTGCCTGTCTTTTCAGCTATTTGGGAAGCTGAGGCAGGAGGATTGCTTGAGCCCAGGAGGTGGAGGTTGCAGTGAGCCGAGATTGTGCCACTGCACTATAGCCTTGGCCACAGAGTGAGAACCTGTCTCAAAAGAACAACAACAACAACAAAATACACTCCTGATCCAGTCACCTTTCACCAGGTTCCATCTCCAGCACTAGAGGCTACATTTCAACAAGAGAGTTGGGTGCGAACACAGATCCAAACCTTATCAGCAGGCCGCCATCTTTTATCGCCCTGTAGCACTCGCCACTGTTGCCCTGAGACTCCAGCCTCCCAAAGAGCTGAAACGACAGGCACATGCCATCATGTCCAGCTATTTTTTTTTCTTGTAAATATGAGGTTTTGCTATGTTGCCCAGGCTGATCTCAAACTCCTGTGTAGATCCCAAGTACTGTGTAGCTATTCAACAGAAAGCTGACCAGACTGTTTTCCATGAAGATTTCTGTTCCTGCTTCTCCCCACTGAGCAGGGCCTCCCAACATGGGACTCCAGCTCAACTACCCTGCCCCTGCCTGAACACTTCAGTTGGAAGTGGCTTTGCATTTCTCTGAGGAGGAAATCTTAGAAACAAACCACAGGCCAGCAGCCATTGCAGCTGCAGTGGTACCATCCTAATTGTCCTTGGGCTAGGGAAAAAAACAAAGGACCTGGTTGCTGTGCTGGCACCTCCAGCACACTGCAGCCACCATACAGAGAGGAGTCCAGTCTCTTTTCCCTGTAACTCTTCATCCCCCAATCTTCACAAAGCGAGGCCCCTGGCTCGTAATGTTGGAACAGCTGCCCCACCCCTACTTGAGCATACCCACTGGTAGTGGCTCCCGGAGGCAACTGAAAGCCCCTCTGCCATTGCCAGAGCAGTGGATCTATCCCTGCTGCCCTCAGTCTGGGAGAGAAACAAAGAGCTTGGAGGCGTCACACACACTTCTAGCACACCACAGTCACCATATAGAGAGGTGCCCAGTCTTTCCTGGCTGTGAGCCCTGAACTCCCTGCTCTTCACCAGACAGAGCCCCAAACCTGAGCCAGAGAGTGCAGTACCCCATACTATGGCTGAACATTCCCATTAGCAGTGGATCCGCATTTCTTTGAGGTGGAGCTCCCAGAGGCAACCAAAAATCTCTCTGCCACTGCTCTTCCAATTGTTCTACCCTTGCCGCCCTTGAACTGTGGAAGGAGCAAAGACCCTGAGTGCTTTAACCACACCTCTAGCAAGCTGCAGTTGCCCTAAGGAAAACAGGCCAGTCTGTCTCCCTCATCATCTCCTTGCCCTCCCTGCTCACCACCAGGTAGGGCCCCTGTGGCTTGGGCACACAACAGAACCACCCTAGTCTGAGATAATTGCACTGATTGATAGTGGCTCTGCATCTCTTTGGGGTGGAGCCCCAAGTGACAAGTAAAAGGCCCTTTGCCACAACCACTGCCATGATCTCTTCCTCTGCTGCCCCCAAGCTGTGGAGGGAGCATAAAGCCTGAGCTCACCCCAGAGCTGTGGTGTGCAGCCTATGAGTGCCAAGCCAAGATCTATAGCTAGTACTAGAGCGGGAGAGGAGCCCACATTTTCAGACCACTGAGAGGGTGCCTGATTGCAATGTTGAGGAAATACAGAGGAGTCATGTGGCTGAGCAAAAGCTTACCTACTGACCATAACACTTAAATGCCATCTACTGGATAATAGCCCAAACTTCAACACCAAAAAATACTTTGCTAGCATACTCCCTTGTGGAACCAAGAACAAGAACTCATCTACAAATAAAGACCTTACACAAAGCCTCAGATCTCTGAAAACATTCAGAAAAGAAGTCTACTGACTGTACTCAAATTACATTAAAGTTAAAGGAACATCAGCCCACACAGATGAGAAAACACCAACAGAAGAACTCTGGCAGCTCAAAAGCTAGAGTGTCTTCTTTCTTCCAAATGACTGTATGACTTCTCCAGAAAGCATTCTTAACTGAGCTGAAATGGCTGAAATAAAACATAAATCAAATTTATGATATGGATAGGAATGAAATCTCTGAGGTTCAGCACAAAGTCAAAACCCAATCCAAGGAATCTAAGAATTACAATAAAACAATACAGGAGACGATAGACAACATGCCCATTAGGAGAAAGAATCACGCTCCTCTGATAGAACTAAACAACACACTACAAGAATTTCATAATGCAATCATTAAGTATTAACAGCAGAATAGAACCAGCTGAGGAATAAATCTCAGACGTCCAATACTGACTCTCTTAACTCACTCAGACCAAAAAATTGAAAAAGCATAAAAATAATAACTGGGAGAAAACAAGCAACTTGGAAAACATATTTCAGGATACCATTCATAAAAATGTCCTTAACCTCACTAGAGATTCTAACATTCAAATTCCAGAAATGCATAACCCCAGTGAGATACTACACAGGAAGACCTTCCCCAAGACACACAATTATCAGATTCTTCAATGTGGAAATGAAACAAAAAATGTTAAAGGCAGATAGAAGGAGCAGATCACCTACAACGGGGACCCCATCAGGCTAACAGTGGACCATCCAGCAGAAACCCTACAGGCCAGAAGAGATTGAGGGCCTATATTCAGTATTCTTTTCTGTCTTTCTTTCTTTTTTGTTTTTGAAACAGAGTCTCGCTTTGTCACCCAGGCTGGAGTGCAGTGGTGCAATCTTGGGTCACTGCAACCTCTGCCTCCCGAGTAGCTGGGACTACAGGTATGTGCCACCAGGCCCAGCTAATTTTTTTTGTATTTTTAGTAGAGATGGAGTTTCGCCATGTTGGCCAGGCTGGTCTCGATCACCTGATTTCAGGTGATCTGTCCGCCTTGGCCTCCCAAAGTGCTGGGATTACAGGTCTGAGCCACTACACCTGGCCTCAGCATTCTTAAAGAAAATAATTTTCAACCAAGATTTTCATATCCGGCAGAACTAAGCTTCATAAGTGAACAAGAAATAAGGTCTTTTCAGACAAGCAAGTGCTGAGGGAATTTGTTACCACCAGACCTACCTTGCAAGAGGCCCTGAAGGAAATGCTAAATATGGAAAGTAAAGACACTTACTAACCACTACTGAACATACTTAAGTAAGCAGACCATTGACATTATGAAACAACCACTCAAACAAGTCTGCATAATAACCAGCCAACAGCATGATGACAGGATCAAACCTGCACATATGAATATCAACCTTGAATACAAACAGAATGATTGTCCCAATTAAAAGGCTCAGAGTGGCAAGCTGCATAAAGAAGCAAGACTCAACTGTCTTCAAGGAACCCAGATCACGTGCTATAACACTCATAGACTCAAAATAAAGGGACAGAAAAAGACCTGCCAAGCAAATGGAAAACAGAAAAAGCAGGGGGTGCTATCCAAATTTCAGGCACAACAGACTTTAAGCCAACACAGATCAAACAATACAAAGAAAGGCATTACATAATAGTAAAAGGTTCAATTAAACTATCCTAAATATATATGCACCCAACACAGGAGCACCCAGAGTCATAAAACAGGTTCCTAGAGACCTAAGAGGAGACTTTGATAACCACACAATAAGAATGGGAGACTTAAATACTCCACTGACAATATTAGACAGATTATTGAGGCAGAAAAGAACAAAGAGAGTCAGGATCTGAAGTCAGCACTGTATCAAACGGGCTTGATAGATATCTACAGAACTCTCTACCCCAAGACAACAAAATATACATTCTTTTTATCACCACATGGCACAGACTCTAAAGTCAACCTACAATTCAAACTATACTATAAGGATACAGTAACCCAAACAGCATGGTATTGGTACAAAAACAGACACATAGACCAATTGAAAAGAATAGAGGGCCCAGAAATAATTCCAGGCACCCACAACCCTCTAATCTTCAACAAAGTCTACAAAAATAAGCAATGGGGGAATGACTAGCTACTCAAAAATAATGCTGGTATAACTGGCTAGCCATATACAGAAGATTGAACCTAGACTCCTTCTTTACACCATATTCAAAAATGAATTCAAGATTAAATGTAAAACCTGAAACTATAAAAATCCTGGAAGATAACCTAGGAAATATCATTGTGGACATAGGCCTTGGTAAAAATTTTACGATGAAGATGCCAAAAGCAATTGCAACAAAAACAAAACGCGACAAGTGTCAACTAATTAAAGAGCTTCTGCACAGCCAAAGTAATGTCAACAGAGTAAATAGACAACCTACAGAATGGGAGAAAACATTTGCAAAGTATGCATCCAACAAAGGTCTAATATTCAGAAATTTTCAGGAACTTAAGCAAATTTATAATTAAAAACCCAACAGCCCCATTAAAAAGTAGACAAAGCGCATTAACAGACACTTTTCAAAAGAAGACATACATGCAGCCCACAAGCATATGAAAAAATGCACAAAATCACTGATCATTAGAGAAATGCAAATCAAAACCATAAGGATATACCAGCCCATATAATAAGAATGGCTATTATTTAAAAGTCAAAAATTACAGATGCTGGCAAGGTTGTGGAGAAAAAGGAATGCCTATACACAGCAAGTAGTAATTTAAATTAGTTCAGCCATTGTGAAAAGCAGTGTGGTAATTCCACAAAGAAATTAAAACAGAATTACTGTGTGACTCTGTAATCCCATCACTGAGTATGTACCGAAAGGAATATAAGTCATTTTCCCATAAAAACTCATGCATGTGTATGTTCATTGCAGCAGTATTCACAATAGCAAAGACAAGAAATCCACCTACATGTTAATCAATGATAGACTAGATAAAGAAAATATGGTACATATACACAATGGAATACTACACAGTCATAAAAACATGAGATTATGTCTTTTTCAGCCGCATGAATGGAACTGAAGACTATTATCCTAAGCAAACTAATGCAGGAAGAGAAAACCAAATATTGCACGCTCTTACTTATAAATGAGAGCTAAACAATGAGTAAACATGGACACAAAGGGGAAAAACAGACATTGGGGCTGACTTGAAGGCAGAGGATGGGAGGAGGCAGAAGTTCAAAAAACTACCTATCAGAGTGACTATAGTTAAAAATAATTGTACATTTTAAAATACTTAAAGAGTGTAATTGGATTGTTTGTAACTCAAACGATAAATGTTTGAGAGGATGGATGTATAAAAAATAACCTATCTGTTGAGTACTATGCTTATTACCTGTGTGACGAAACAATCTATGCACCAAACCCCACAACACGCACTTTATCTGTATAACAAACCATCACATGTACCTCTGAACCTAAAATAAAAGTTATAGAAAAGATGAATAACAAACTAAACACTAATCGGGCTATGTTTCTTTAAATTAGGTTTTGCATTACATATAGCTAGTCCTATTTTAACCTAATATTGTATACTTTACATTAATTAAATAAATACAACAACAGGGTAAGGTGAGTAAAATTATTATCCCCATTTTAGAAACGAAGAAACAGAGGCACAGTGAATATATGTAAATTTTCCAAGGTTACACAGGTATGGAGGGAGCCACCATTTGATCCTAGGCAATTTGGCATTAGATTCGACATTCTTAACTCCAATGCTGTACTGTCCAGTTCCATCTTAACACTTCCAAATCTATAGTTTTCCACCAACACATAAAATTTCTACTCTTTTGAGGTTTATGCCATAAGGCTGGCTGTATTAACCAACAAATAACCACTTTACTGTCATATACACAGCTTCTGATAATTTATCCACAATTATTGAAGCCTTTGCTTTTTTTTTTTTTTTTTTTTTTTTTTTTTTGAGATGGAGTCTGGCTCTGTCACCTAGGCTGGAGTGCAGTGGCTCGATCTTGGCTCACTGCAACCTCCACCTCCTGGGTTCAAGCAGTTCTCCTGCCTCAGCCTCCCAAGTAGCTGGGACTACAGGCACGTGCCACCACGCCCGGTTAATTTTTGTATTTTCAGTAGAGATGGGGTTTCGCCATATTGGCCAGGCTGGTCTTGAACTCCTGACCTCAGGTGATCCACCCACCTCGGCCTCCCAAAATACTGGGATTACAGGCGTGAGCCACTGTGCCTGGCCGCCATGTTTTATAATCTTTATCTCCAAGCCAGGTTTTGCATTGTTTCCTTGAAATCTTCATCTTCAAACAACTTCACTACACTATTTTAGCCATACACTCTCCAAACCCAGTGGATATACTGTGCACCTAACCGGCTTCATTAATGGCATTGCTTCTGAAATTTTAGACTCAGATGTTCTATTGTGTCATCACAATGCTCTACTCATATATTTTATCATTCAGTCACTTTCGTTACACCTGTTCCTTTAATCCAGGTCACTCAAATCCTCTACATTCCTCCCATCTGTTGACCATCCATTCTCTTTTATTTTCATATTCCATCAAGATTATTTTCAATTCAACTCCTGAAATCTCAGTGCCTACCTCCAGGCTGCTTATCAGGAATAGAGAAGATTGCATAACTATGAAGGTTAGAACCATTATAAACCCATAGACAACAAACTTATCTTGGACTTTCCCTTCCTTATAATGACTCATTCAAAGTATTTTGTTTCTCCAAATTCCAACCTTTTAATTACCTTATGGCTTTCAACACATACCTTTTTATTTGTTTCAGAGAGAAAATTGAATATGCAAAACAAGAATTTCCTTAATTTTCTTAAACCAAAGCTATTGATGTGTACCATTTTGAAATGGTTCATGCACCATCTCAGCTCTTTGCCGTGCTAGAGGAATTTAACTGTATCCCTAAAAATATTCTCCACCTACATGCCCTCACAAGTTTTCTCATTCTCTGAGGTAATGGAATTGTAGTTTAACTCCCTGTGCCCTCTTTGAATTTTATTAAAGTTGTATTACACTAAGGAAATACACTTCCTTGTTTATAGTATAAATGTGGGGTCATCACCTTATTCTACTGTAATTTTTTTCTTTTATTGTTGGTTTCTTTTTGCAAAATTCAGAGGTTAGATGTTGAATGCACATTCCTATATTTCTGTCTTCTCTAAATGTCCCAGCTCTTTTAAACTTTTAATTAGGAAAGCTTTTTTTTCATGATTACAATTGTGATAAAACATTCCCATTTTTCTTGTACTGAATCTCATTCTTTTTCTTCCATATTAACATTCCACTAATATCATATGTATTTATTTATTATTAAAGACTGAATTCTTGAGCTTCTCAAATTAAGTCTCAATATCATTGATTTAATTTTCTACACAATTATAACTTTTAAGGCCTTCAATACACATCTTAGTATTCATTTAGTTTTCTTAAATTCCTTCTTATTTTCATCTTAGTCAGTTGTCTATTCATCTTAGATTTTTCTTTCCATTTAGCTTTCTACTCCCTTTTCAGGGGCCTTGAATGTATTTTATTTTGATGGAGACTGTAACATTCTTCTACTTTTTTTCTGGTTCTTAAATTTAAGAAGTTATTTACAAAACTCATTTTTTACCCTTTAAGTCCTTAGAAAAGTAAATATTTTTTTCATAGGTTTCATGTTGTTTTGGTATTGTTGTTATGCTGTTTTCTTCTCAACTCATTCCCAAATAAAACTACTATTATATAGTCCTAATACTGGACATTACTTGGTTGCACACTCATTTTGCTTAGGAGTAGGAAAATACCTTTTTTAGATCTGTATTAGGAAATAAGTTAGATGTGCCCAACTTCTCATGTAATTTTTAGTCATTCATCTAGGATTGATATATTGTACTGAAAAAAAAATTTCTGCCTCCGTTGACTGGGTCTCTGATACCCTAAAAATTAACTCTAATCAAAAATACTGTCCCCAGTACACATCTTTCTTCTGGCTTTTCTTGTCATTGTATCTTTTCCACACCACACCTCCAACATGGGTTGGCATATATCATCTGAGAATCTAAGATGCAAGATGCCTGATTACTTTCTCCCTTTACTAACAGCTCAATTGTTTTACTTCAGTCAATGAATTTTGATGGCAGATTCATGGGAAACAAAAATGTGGCTTCTTCAAAGACAGTATGCATCAAAGTTATGGTGTGTTATTGATACAGACCTAATGTAGCTAACAGAACGATTTTTCTAAAATATTGCTTTCACCATATTGTACCCTATTCAAATACTTACAAGATAAAAATCTAATTCTCTTGGTTTGACATTCACAGGTCACCTGAATAAGAACAATTCATATCCATCTCAGCACTTTTACTTGTACTGCTCCTCTCCTTTCTCTCTGCCTACCCTTGCATTTTCAAGTCAAGCAACAAAGCCTATCGTTGTTGGAAGGACTCTGTCTTTGAAAAGCCTAACACTTAATTTCCACACTCTATGCTTTGTAATCAGTAAGCTCCAGGAAAGCGGGTACTGTGCATAACTTGTTCTTTTTTTCTTTTGATGCTGTTTTATTTTCCAAAGCCTAAAAAGCCATGTCTTACACTCATTTCTATCTTAAAGACGTGCCATAATGTTATTCTTATACGGAGTTGTCAACAAATGCTTGTTAACTATATGGATAGTTATTGATCGATTGAATGAATGCCTCTGTCATAGAATCTGAAGACTTTTCACATTATGTATTTATGAGAAGTAACCTATACCTAACCTCCTTCTTCATTCACCTATAAAGATAGATTAATATCGTTAGTCAAGTGGCATTTTTTCTATAATTAAAATAACATTTCAGTAAAGATAAATTTATAATTATATGCTCCTATTGGAATTGATAAGTAGTACTTTAGTATTGGAAATGTGAAAACAAAAGGGAAAACGTTTCAATTTGTATGAAGAAAATATGTATGGTATATTACATACTTAAGAAATATATCTGAAAATTTCTCAAGTAAAAGGATCAGTTTTGTTGATGCTTTCTATTTTAGAATAGTTAAAAAAACTGTAATATATTTTATAAAGTGTGCTCTGAAGTGTTGCCCAAATCTGATACTTGCTACTAACAGAGTATGTGACCTCAGGCAAGTCAGAGAACTTCTACAAGTTCAGTTTTATTATTTATAAAGTGCATGTACTGGCCAACCTCACAGGGTTTTATGAGGATCAATTGAAATAATAAATGCAAAATAACTTTGTTAAGTATTGTTTAAATATGAGAGGATATTAACATTCCCAATAAATGGCCAAAAAGAAATCTACTCAGTAAACTACAATGAAAAGATCTGAAAAGAGATGTGAGATCAAATGTTATGTCATACCTTTTTAAAATCTTGAATGGCAAGAGACAAGAAGTCTATTAATTTAGAGTTGCCAGATAAAATACAGTATGCCCAATTAAATTTAAATATCAGATAAACAAAACGTATGTGTTTCA
Source organism: Homo sapiens (assembly GCF_000001405.40). Classification (NCBI taxonomy): domain Eukaryota; kingdom Metazoa; phylum Chordata; class Mammalia; order Primates; family Hominidae; genus Homo; species Homo sapiens. Next base: position 99,506,175 of record NC_000023.11, read on the forward strand.
GTATAAGTAAATTATACATATGGGCTCTTGCCTCCAAAGCATATTAAAGACACTGCTAAATATTTGTCAATTAGGAATGTGATTACTATGGAATAATAACAAACTAGTTATCTTTTCCTACCACTTGTTACTGATGTTGAAGAAGGAACATAAAAGGAGATTGAATATAAGTTAAAGATTGAGGAAATAATATGTTTTTCAGCTTAAGTGCAGCAAATGTTGGTGTTCCATTATTTTATTTTAATTTGTGTGAATTCATAGAACATCAAACATATCTATGTTCAAGTAGGAGAACATAATCACTTGTCAAAGTTTAATATAAGTGATTTCTCCTTCATTCCCTCTTTTAGATTTTCCAATATGGCATATGTAATTGTAAGTAATCACTGCATGTCTATGGTGGTTTTATAGTACCTTAGAACTAAGAATGGTCCTGAGAGTACTTGAATTATTCTAAAAGAACTGATATAATCCTAATAAACTTAGTGAAAGAAAGAGAACAAACGATTGATAACAAATGGACAAAACAGACTGACGTTAAAAACAAAGTCACACCAATTAATTTAGTTTATCAATTATAAATTATTGTGTTAGAATAAAAGACATAAAAAACATTAGGGCAATATGGGGGAAATTTTTTGTTCATGTGAAGGTATTAAGTAAATTTTCACCTTCCATTACTGCCATCTTCTTAACTCATAAATTTCATTTTAAAATTCTTTCTGCCAAGCCAGCCAATATCTTGTCTAAAATGATATGCTTCTTTTCTTATGTGCACTTCCTTTATGAGAGTTCATCTTAAGGCACAGTTTTAAAAGAAATATGTATTTGACAAATCTAAAAGCTTGACTGTCAACTTAAAATTCACTTCTCTCTTCGAAAGCTAAAACATGAATGAAAGAAAGAAGTTAACATCCCAAGGTCTTAATTTTCTGTATAAAATTTATAAATTACTTAAAGGCTAAAGATTCTATGTGTCTACAAGGATTATTATTTACTTTCCAAATGGATTACAAAACCCTTGGAAGGTTGTTCTCTAGGCCTCATATATATATTCAATCCAGGAAGATAGTGCAACTTTGAGTTAACCATGTTAAGTCTATATACATCTGCTTCTGTATCCCACAGGAGAAAATTTCTAAACCACTCCATATAGATTTAATTTCATGAATGATGGTTTCTTCCACTATTTATTGTCTCCATTCTTACTGCCTATAAATTCTTTGGTAAGTTAATTAAGATCTCTTAGTCTGCATTCCCACAAGTAAAATGGGACCCCCGAATGACTCAGTATCTCCATGACCCAACTTCATATTCCCTCAGGAGAAAAGGTCATTGACTCTGGTCTAAGCAATGTAGTACTAATTTCTTCAGCATAGTGCCAGGTAGGTTTGTGGAGAAAGTTATCAAACATTCAGAAGATTTGACTCAAATATCTCAATCTTAGTGGCTTCTCAAAGCATGCCCCAGTGCACACATCTTTTTCAGATCGTCCTTGTTCTTCTAAGTGGAATGTTTTCACTAAGTGCATTTGTGTAGGGCACTCTTTTAATGATTGATGCATGAAATAAAAATATTTGATTACTATATTAACATTGTAATGAATACCCCCACTTTCACATAAACAATATTATGTAATATACATATATACAATAGATATACTGTACATATGGAATTGCAATAAACATTTTCTCTTTATGTTCTTTAAGAACTGAAAATGTGAATATTCAGAAAAACCTTGGGAGTAGCCCACAGAAAGATTGAATATGTTAAGAATCTAATCTCATATGTCCATGTGCTATTATAGATGCATTCACTTACTCATGCATAAATAAAAGCAGAATTTTCTATGTGCAGAACCCACTGCATTTTTTTGAGTTTAAGTAATTGAAAAATAAAGTCAACATTTCATACAAAGCATCTCTTTCCAAGAGCTGAATATTATGTATTTTGAATTGCCTTTTATATTTTGTTAAATCAGTGATTTTAAATGAAGATAACCTCATAACTTTTATTATCCAGTTAACCACATTGTAGGCTATTAAAATCAAATATGTAGATATTCAAATGCACACAGGATGGCACATACTTTCTCTGTGCAGGAGACAGATGGCTTTTATTAATATTAAAAGTGATTAACATGTCAAGTAAATTAGCAAACTTTCAGCAGCATTTTTATTTCTTTAGCTTATTATTCTATTCTCTCTTAGAAGTACTGACCTGGAGCAACTTCCTTATCTTCTTGTCTATTCTGGAGTAGTGAGCCTTTGTTTACAAGCCAATACAAATGGTTCTATTTATAAAGTCAGGTGTCAATCATTTCAGGTCACATACACTTTCCTATACTCAGGAAAGTTTGGCCACCTGAGTTTTGTTTGTTTCTAACTAAAGATGAATTTAACATTTATAAACATACAGTCAATACCTTCACACAATATATTCATATTATTTTGCCCCATTCTGTACCTATAATCAATCATTCCAGTCACAAACATAAGAAAAAATCACCAGTGACTATTAAAGTTTGAAATATTTATTCTGTGTAAGACACTGTACTAGGCATTTTGGGACCTGCAAAGATAAAGTAAATATTTTCTACCTTCTTAAAGACACACAGATAGTGTATAACTGGTAGGAGTCTGGATTCCCAAGAGAAAGAAGAGTTTGCTTCTAATAAAGAAAATTCTTGGCTTAATTGAATTTTTAAAATAATGATAAGATATGTCAAAAATGCATAAACTAGATAATCAGATATAAAGTATCCAATTTTACATCACCCATATTAAACAGATGTTTTACTTTTTTTGTTTCGGGTCTATCTGAAGATATGTAAGTCATTACAGGTGGACTAATGCCCTTTTGTGTTACTGATTCCAAATCATTCCTTTAGAAGTAATCATGAAACTTAAGGTGATGTGATCTTCCTGTTCACATTTTTATAATTTTCTACATAAATATGAATTCATAAACAGTATATGTATATTCATGATTGGTATATACAACCACAATATTTACATAACTAATCATATTTATTTTCATAATTTGATGTTTTACTCAATTTTTTTTTTTTAGATTTGGGGGTAAAAGTGTAGTTGTATTACATGGATATGTTGCCTAGTAGTGAATTCTGACCTTTCAGTGTATGTCATCTGAATATTATTCATTGTTCCAAATGGATAATATTTTATCTATCACTTCCACCACCACCGTCCCATCTTTTGGTGTCTCTAATGACTATTATTCCACTCTGTTATGTCCATGTGTACTCATTATTCAGCTTTCACTTGTAAGTGAGAACATGCAGTTTTGACATCCTGTTTCTAAGTTATTTCTTTTAAGATAATGGCCCCCAGTTCCACCGCTGTTGCTGAAAAAGACATAATTTCATTATTTTTTATAGTTGAGTAGTGTTCCATAGTGTGTGTGTGTGTGTGTGTGTATACACACCTGACATTTTTAATCCAGTCATCTGTTGATGGATCCTTAGGTTGAGTCCATGACTATGTTATTGTGAAGAGTGCTATAATAAACATACTAATGCAGATGTCTTTTTGATATAATGTCTTCTTTTCCATGAGTAGATACCCAGTAATTGAATTGCTGAACTGAATGGTAGTTCTATTTTTAGTTATTTGAGAAATATCCATACTGTTTTCCATAGAAGTTGTACTAATTTACATTCCCACCAACAGTGTATAAGCATTCCCTCTTCTCCATATTCTTCCCAACTTCTGTTATTTTTTTTACTTTTTTACAATAGCAATTCTGACTGGTGTAAGATGGTATCTCATCATGGTTTTAATTTGCATTTCTCCGATGATTAAGGATGTTGAGCACTTTTTTTTAAATTTACTTTAAGTTCTGGGATACATTTTCAGGTTTGTAACATAGGTATACATGTGCTATGGTAGTTTGCTGTACCTATCCATCCATCATCAAGGTTTTAAGCCCCACATGCATTAAGTATTTGTCCTAATGCCCTCCCTCCGCATGCCCCCCAACCCCTGACAGGCCCCAGTGTGTGATGTTCACCTCCCTGTGTCCAAGTGTTCTCATTGTTCAACTCCCACTTATGAGTGAGAACATGCAGTGTTTGGTTTTCTGTTCCCGTGTTAGTTTGCTGAGAATGATGGTTTCCAGCTTCATCCATGTCCCTGCAAAGGACAGAAACACATTGTTCTTTGGCTGCATAGTATTCCATGGTGTATATGTGCCACATTTTCTTTATCCAGTCTATCACTGATGGGCATTTGGGTTGGTTCCAAGTCTTTGCTATTGTAAATAGTGCTGCAATAAACATACGTGTGCATGTGTCTTTATAGTAGAATGATTTATAATCCTCTGGGTATGTACCCAGTAATGAACTTGCTGGGTTAAATGGTATTTCTGCTTCTAGATCCTTGAGGAATCGTCACACTGTCTTCCACAATGGTTGAAATAATTTACACTCCCACCAACAGTGTAAAAGAGTTCCTAATTCTCCACAGCTTCACCAGCATCTGTGGTTTCCTGACTTTTTAATGATCACCATTCTAACTGGCATGAGATATCTCATTGTAGTTTTGATTTGCATTTCTCCAATGATCAGTGATGATGAGCTTTTTTTCATATGTCTGTGGGCTGCATAAATGTCTTTTTTGGAGAAGTGTCTGTTCATATTCCTTCCCCCACTTTTTGATGGGGTTGTTTGTTTTTACTTGTAAATTTGTTTAAATTCCTTATAGATTTTCGATATTAGACCCTTGTCAGATAGATAGATTACAAAAATTTTCTCCCATTCTGAAGGTTGACTGTTCACTTTGATGATAGTTTCCTTTGCTGTGCAGAAGCTCTTTAGTTTAATTAGATCCCGTTTGTCAATTTTGGCTTTTGTTGCAATTGCATTTGGTGTTTTAGTCATTAAGTCTTTGCCCATTCATATGCCCTCAATGGTATTGCCTAGGTTTTCTAATAGGGTTTTTATGGTTTGGGGTTTTACATTTAAGTGTTCAATCCATCTTAATTTTTGTATAAGGTGTAAGGAAAGGGTGGAGTTTCTGTTTTCTGCATATGGCTAGCTAGTTTTCCCAGCACCATTTATTAAATAGGGAATCTTTTCCCTATTGCTTGTTTTTGTCAAGTTTGTCAAAGATCAGATGGTTGCAGATGTGTGGTGTTATTTCTGAGGCCTCTATTCTGTTCCATCGGTCTATATATCTGTTTTGGTACCAATACCGTGCTGTTTCGGTTACTGTAGCTTTGTTGTATAGTTTGAAGCCAGGTGGCATGATGCCTCCAGCTTTGTTATTTTTGCTTAGGATTGCTTGGCTATATGGGCTCTTCCTGGGTTCCATATGAAATTTAAAGTGGTTCTTTCTAATTTTTTGAAGAAAGCCAACGGTAGCCTGATGGAAATAGCATTGAATCTATAAATTACTTTGGGCAGTATGGCCATTTTCATAATATTGAGCCTTTCTATCCATGAACATGGAATTTTTTTTCCATTCGTTTGTGTCCTTTCTTATTTCCTTGAGCAGTGGTTTGTAGTTCTCCTTGAAGAGGTCCTTCACATCCCTTGTAAGTTGGATTCCTAAGTATTTTATTCTCTTTGTAGCAATTGTGAATGGGAGTTCACTCATGATTTGACTCTCTGCTTGTCTATTTCAGGTGTATAGAAATGCTTGCGATTTTTGCACATTGATTTTGGTTCCTGAGACTTTGCTGAAGTTGCTTATCAGCTTAAGGAGTTTTTGGGCTGAGATGATGGGGTTTTCTAAATATACAATCATGTCATCTGCAAACAGAAACAATTTGACTTCCTCTCTTCCTATTTGAATACCTTTTATTTCTTTCTCTTGTCTGATAGCCCTGGCCAGAACTTCCAATATTACGTTGAATAGGAATGGTGTGAGAGGGCATCCTTGTCTTGTGCTGGTTTTCAAAGGGAATGCTTCCAGCTTTTGCCCATTCAGTATGATACTGGCTCTGGATTTGTCATAAATAGCTCTTATTATTTTGAGATATGTTCCATCAATACCTAGTTTATGGAGAGTTTTTTGCATGAAAGGGTGTTGCATTTTATCGAAGGCATTTTCTGCATCTATTGAGATAATCATGTGTTTTTTGTCATTTGTCCTGTTTATGTGATGCACTACATTTATTAATTTGTGTATGTTGAAGCAACCTTGCATCCCAGGGCTAAAGCCAACTTGATTGTGGAGGATAAGCTTTTTGATGTGCTGTTGGATTCAGTTTGCCAGTATTTTGTTGAGTATTTTTGCATCAATATTCATCTGGAATATTGGCCTGAAGTTTTCTTTTTTTGTAGTGTCTTTGCCAGGTTTAGGTATCTGGATGATGCTGGTCTCATAAAACGAGTTAGGGAGGAGTCCTTCTTTTGCATTGTTTGGAATAGTGTCAGAAGGGATGGTACCAGCTCCTCTTTGTACCTCTGGAAGAATTCGGCTGTGAATCTGTCTGGCCCTGAGCTTTTTTTGGTTGGTAGGCTATTAATTACTGCCTCAATTTCAGAACTTTTTATTGGTCTATTCAGGGATTTGACTTCTTACTGGATTAGTCTTGGGATGGTATATGTGTCCAGAAATAACACAGGAATAACTTCTAGGTTTTCTAGTTTATTTGTGTAGAAGTGTTTATAGTATTCTCTAGTGGTAGTTTGTATTTCTGTGGGATAAATGGTGATATCCCCTTTATCATTTTTTATTGTCTCTATTTAATTCTTCTCTCTTTTCTTCTTTATCAGTCTGGCTAGTGGTCTATTTTGTTAATCTTTAAAAAAAAAACAGCTCCTGGATTCATTGAGTTTTTTATTTTTTTGTGTGTATCTCCTTCAGTTCTGCTCTGATCTTAGTTATTTCTTGTCCTCTGCTAGCTTTTGAAATTGTTTGCTCTTGCTTCTGTAGTTCTTTTAATTGTGATGTTAGGGTGTCAATTTTAGATCTCTTCAGCTTTCTGATGTGGGCATTTAGTGCTAAAAATTTCCCTCTTAACACTGCTTAAGCTGTGTCCAGAGATTCTGGTATGTTATCTCTTTGTTCTCTTTGGTTTCAAAGAACTTATTTATTTCTGCCTTAATTTCTCTATTTACCCGGCAGTCATTCAGGAGCACATTGTTCAGTTTCCATGTAATTGTGCAGTTTTGAGTGAATTTCTTAATCTTGAGTTCTAATTTGACTGCACTGTGGTCTGAGATAAGGTTTTTTATTAAGTCTGTTCTTTTGCATTCGCTGAGGAGTGTTTTAGTTACAATTATATGGTCGATTTTAGAATAAGTGCTATGTGGTGTAGAGAAGAATGTATATTCTGTTGATTTGGAGTAGAGAGCTCTGTAGATGTCTATTATGTCTGCTTGGTCTGGAGCTGAGTTCAAGTACTAAATATCCTTGTTAATTTTCTATCTCATAGATCTGTCTACTATTGACAGTGGGGTGTTAAAGTCTCCCACTATTATTGTGTGGGAGTCCAAGTCTCTTTGTAGCTCTGAGAACTTGTTTTATGAATCTGGGTGCTCTTGTATGGATTGCATATATATTTAGTTAGTTCGTCTTGCTGCATTGATCCCTTTATGATTATGTAATGCCTTCTTTGTCTTTTTTGATCTTTGTTGGTTTAAAGTCTGTTTTATCAGAGACTAGGATTGCAAACCCTGCTTTTTTCTGCTTTCCATTTACTTGGTAAATATTCCTTCATCCTTTTATTTTGAGCCTATGTGTGTCTTTGCACATGAGATGAGTTTCCTGAATACAGCACACCAATGGGTCTTGACTCTTTATCCAAATTGCCAGTCTGTGTCTTTTAATTGGGGGCATTTAGCCCATTTGCATTTAACGTTAATATTGTTATGTGTAAATTTGATCTTGTCATGATGATGCTAGCTAGTTATTTTGCACATTAGTTGATGCAGTTTCTTCATAGTGTTGTTGGTCTTTATATTTTGGTATGTTTTTACAGGGGCTGGTACCAGATTTTTCCTTCCATATTTAGTGCTTCCTTCAGGAGCTCTTGCTGCCAGCACAGCAGTCTGAAGTGGACCTGGGACAATTGAGCTTGGTCGGGGGAAGGGCATCCAACATTGCTGAGGCTTCAGTAGGCGGTTTTCCCCTGACAGTCTTAAGGAGCGGGGGAAATTCGGACTGGGTGGAACTCACCACAGTGCAGCAAAGTGGCTGTGGCCAGACTGCCTTTCTAGATTCCTCCTCACTGGGCAGGGCATCTCTGAAAGAAAGGCAGCAGCCCCAGCCAGGGGGCTTATAGATAAAACTCCCAACATCCTGGGACAGAGCACCTGGGGGAAGGGGAGGCAGTGGGCACAGCTTCAGTGGACTTAAACATTCCTGCCTGCCATCTCTGAAGAGAGCAGCGAATCCAGACAAGGAGGATTCTTCCAGCACAGTGCTCGAGCTCTGCTAAAGGACAGACTGCCTCCTCAAGTGAGTCCCTGACCGCCATGCCTCCTGACTGGGAGAGACTTCCCAGCAGGGGTCAACAGACACCTCATACAGGGGAGCTCTGGTTGGCATCAGACTGGTGCCCTTCTGGGATAAAGCTTCTAGAGGAAGGTGCAGGCAGCAATCTTTGCTGTTCTGCAGCCTCTGCTGGTGATACCCAGGCAAACAGAGTCTGGAGTGGACCTCCAGCAAACTCCAGCAGACCTGCCATAAGAGAGGACTGACTGTTAGAAGAAAAAATAACAAACAGAAAGCAATAACATCAGCTTCAACAAAAAGGACACCCACACAAAAACCCCATCCACAGGTCATCAGCCTCAAAGATCAAAGGTAGATAAATCCACGAAGATGAGGAAAAAACAGCACAAAAATCCCGAAAAATTTCAAAAACCAGAATGCCTCTTCTCCAAGTGATTGTAACTCCTCTCCAAGGGCACAAAACTGGATTGAGAATGAGTTTGACGAATTGACAGAAGTAGGCTTCAGAAGGTGGATAATAACACTCCTCTGAGATAAAGGAGCATGTTCTAACCCAATGCAAGGAAATTAAGAACCTTTATAAAAGGTTACAAGAACTGCTAACTAGAATAACCAGTTTAGAGAAGAACATAGATGATCTGATAGAGCTGAAAAACACAGCACGAGAACTTCATGAAGCATACACAAGTATCAATAGCAGAATCGATCAAGTGGAAGAAAGTGTATCAGAGATTGAAGATCAACTTGCTGAAATAAGTTGTGAAGACAAGATTAGAGATAAAAGAATGAAAAGGAATGAACAAAACCTCCAAGAAATATGGGACAATGTGAAAAGACCAAACCTACGATTGACTGGGGTCCCTGAAGGTGACAGCGAGAATGGAACCAAGTTGCAGAAGACACACCAGGATATTATCCAGGAGAACTTCCCAACATAGCAATACTGGCCAACATTCAAATTCAGGAAATACAGAGAACACCACTAAGATGCTCCTCGAGAAGAGCAACACCAAGACACATACTCGTCAGATTTTCCAAGGTTAAAACTAAGGAAAAAATGTTAAGGGCAGCCAGAGAGAAAGGTCAGGTTACCTACAAAGGGAATGCCCATCAGAATAGCAGATCTCTCTGCAGAAACACTACAAGCCAGAAGAGAGTGGGGTCAATATTCAACACTCTTAATAAAAAAAAGAATTTTCAACCCGGAATTTCATAACCAGCCAAACTAAGCTTCATAAGCGAAGGAGAAATAAAATTCTTTCCAGACAAGCAAATGTTGAGGGATTTTGTCACCACCAGGCCTGTCTTACAAGAGCTCCTGAAGGAAGCATTAAATATGGAAAGGAAATTCCAGTACCAGCCCCTGCAAAAACACACCAAAATATGAAGACTAACAACACTTTGAAGAAACTGCATCAACTAATGTGCAAAATAACCAGCTAGCGTCATGATGACAGGATCAAATTCACACAGATTTAGTTGTGTTTTATTTATTTCACTTATCTGATTTATCTGGCTAGAATTTCAGGTACTATGTGAATAGGAGTGGTGAAAGTGAGCATCCTTGTCTTATTGATGAATAGTTTGATTCCATTATTGTTCAAGAACAACATTCTGTATGGTTTCAATACTTTTAAATTTAAGTGTTTTTTTTATTTCAATTATTTGAAGTTTAAGACTTTTTTTTTTTTGGTAATTACTCAGACTATGGTCTATTGGGGTGAATGTCCCATGGACATTTGATATATATTCTGCTATTGTTGGGTGGAATGCTCAATGTGATTTTGTTTATATGTTCTATATGCTTTCTGACATTTTTGTGTAATAGTTCTATCAATTACCAAGAAAATAATGTTGTAGACGTAAACATAATTGTGAATTCAGCTTTTACCTTTCAGCTCTATCAGCTTTCGCTTCATGTATGTTAAAGCTCCATTGTTTGGCACACACACACATTTAGGTTTTGTTTAACTTCTTGATGTATTGATCTTCTTATCATAACTGAATATACCTCTTTGTCTCTATTAATTTTCTGTGATTTAATATTCCTGTTATACATATTAATGTAGTCAGTTCTGTTGTCATTTGATAAATGTGTCCATGGTATATAATTTTTAATCATTTTACTTTTAATTGCTCAATGTCATTCTATTTGGAGTGAGTTTCTTCTAGACACCATAAGTTTGGGCTATGTTGTTTTTATTCTCTCTAAAAATCCAGTTTGGTTTTTTATTTTTGGTATAGACCATTTGCATGTTAAATAATTATTGATATGTTAGGCTTAATTATATTATTTTATTATTAATTTTCTGTTTGTTTCCTGTTCCTTTCTTTTTTCTCTTGCTTATCTGTGAGTTTCATGAACGTATTTTTAGGATTCCATCTTGATATATTTATAGTATTTTTGAGTATATCCCTTTGTCTACTTTTCTTAATGGTTGTTCTGTGTATTAGAAAATACATATATAAACGTAGTGGACTGAATATTTGTATCCCTCTAAAATTCATATATTAAAATCTTAACCCAAAAATGATAGTATTAAGAGTTTGAACTTTAGGTATTAATTATCTCATGAGGGTTCCATCCTTATTAATGGGATTAAATTGAATTAGTAATAAAATATCTACAACCAAAAAAAAATAGCCCAGGACTAGATATATTCATAGGCAAATTCTACAAGACATACAAAGAGCTACTACCCATCTTCCTGAAACTATTCCAAAAATTTGAGAAGGGACTCCTCCCTAACTCATTCTACAATTCCAGCATCACTCTGATACAAAAACTTGGCAAGGTACAACAAAGAAAACTACAGGCCAATATCTCTCATGAATATAGACACAAAAATTATTGACAAGGTACTAGTAAAATAAATCAAATAGCACATTGAAAAGTTAATTTACCATGATCAAGTAGGCTTCATACCTGTCATGCAATCTTGGTTCACCATGCTCAAATCAATAAATGAGATTCACCACAGGAACAGAATTAAAAAGCCAAACAATATGATTACCTCAAAAGACAGAGAGAAAGCTTTCAATAGAATCTAACATCCCTTCATGATTAAAACCCTAAAATAATCCTAGGCATCAAAAGAACATACTTCAAAATAGTAAGAACCATCTATTACAAACCCACAGCAAACCTTATATTGGAAAGGCAAAAGTTGAAAACATTCCCCTTGGTAACTGGAACAAGACAACTATGCCTACTCTCACCACTCCTGTTTAACATAGTACTGGAAGTACTAGCCAGAACAGTCTCTCAAGAGAAAGAAATAAAAGGCATGCAAACATGAAAAAAGAGTCAAACTATGTTTTCATGGATGATATGATTTTATTCCCCCAGTATTCTGAAAGCTCTGCCAAATGGCTCCTGGAACTGATAAATGTCTTCAGTAAAATTTCAGAATACAAATCATACTAAAATGTGTAGCAATTGTATACAGAAATAACATTCAAGCTGAGTGCCAAGTCACGAATGCAAACCCATTCGTAATAGCCACACAAAATATAAAATACCCAGGAATACATCTAACCAAGGAGGTGTAAAATCTCTACAAGAAGAACCAAGAAACACTGCTCAAAGAAATCAGAAATGACACAAATGGAAAACATCCATGCACATGGATTAGAAGAATCAATATTATTAAAATGCCCATAATGCCAAAAGCAATCTATAGATTCAATGCAATTCCTATCAAGAACCAACATCATTTTTCCTAGAACTAGAAATAACTATTCTAACATTCAAATTTTAGAGTATTTCATAATTTGAATATTTTATATTTCATAATTAGAATATTTCATGATTAGAATATTCATAATTTGAATAGCCAAAGTAATTCTAAGCAAAAAGAACAAAGCCAGAGATATCACATTACCTGACTTCGAACTATACACCAAGACTACAGTACCATAACAGCATGGTACTCATACAGAAACAGACACATAGAACAGAGGAACAGAATAGTAAACCCAGAAATAAAGCCACACACAACCATCTGATCTTCAACAAAGTCAATAAAAACAAGTAAATGAGAAAGGATTCCTGATCTGATAAATGCTGTTGATGTATCTAGCTAGCCATATGTAGATTAATGAAACTGGACACCTACCTTCCGCCATATACAAAAATTAACTCAATGTGTATTAGATATATAAATGTAAGACCTCAAACTATGAAAATCCTAGAAGAAAACCTAGAAGAAAATTCTGGACATAAGAGTTGGGAAAGAGTATTAAGACCTCAAAAGCAATTGCAATAAAAACAAAAATTCACAAGTGGAAACTAATTATACTAAAGAGATTTTGCACAGCAAAATAATCAACAGATTAAATAGACAACATACAGAATGGGGGAAAGTATTCAAAACTATACATATGGCAATGGTCTACTATCCAGAATCTATAAGGAACTTAATTTGATAAGCAAAAAACAACCCCATTAAAAAGTGGGAAAAGGAAACCAAGAGACGTGTCGCAAAAGAAAACTTGAGTGGCCAATAAACATATGAACAAATTGCCAATTGTCAATTATTAAAATTTCAAAAAACAACAGATTCTCACGAGGCTGTGCAGAAAAGAGAATGCTCATTACACTGTTGGTGGAAATGTAATTTAGTTCAGCCACTGTGTAAAGAAGTTGGGAGATTTCTCAAAGAATTAAAAAGGAACTACCATTAGACCTGACAATTCTAGTAATGGGTATATACCCAAAGAAAAATAAATAATTCTACCAAAATGACACATTCACTCATATGTACATTGCAGCACTAATCACAATAGCAAAGATATGGAATCAACCTAGGTGTCCATCAACAGTGAATTGGATAACTTTTGTATTGTTGATTTTAGTTTTGTTGTTTCAAGATAGTAGATTGGAATTATTGTTAGCATGCTTCTTGCACTTGGAAAGAAAAATAGTGTGTAGAGATTCATGCTGTGAACTTTTTTTTCCAAGAAGGAACATGGATACTTAGGAAAACTGAAAGAAACCACAGACCCTTTGAAAGAAGTGACAGGCTACATACACCATGACCCATGCTGGAAAACTGTGAGTCCCCAGAGTATGACAGGGAGAGGGTTTCCCTCTGTGTTATAAACTCACACTGGGGAATCTGCAATCCAGGCCATGGTGGAATGCCTTAACTACCTACCACTGGAGCTGAGTTAGTGGGCAGCGGGAAAAATATGTAAAGCAGTGGCATCGGGATGTGCTTTACATGCACTTCCAGACTCCAGTAGGGATGTAGGAAAGCCATTTGTGATTCTACCTCACAGGGGACCTCACAGAGATTAGCTGCTAACTCAAGCAGTGGTCACAGGTTGAGAGAAGTTTCTTATTGATATTCGTAATACAATCTTCAGTGGTGACAACCTCCCTTGGCCAGAACTAAGGACTGAATGAGAAGTGTGCTATAATCACAGGCACAGGAGCTGGGCACCGGTGCTTCATTGGTAGACCTTGAGGGGCATGGCCTGAAAGCTATGGTTTCTGTCTCAGTGGGGGAAGGCTTACAGCCTGTGGAAGTTTGGAGTTCTGAGTGCAGGCTGGCTGGAACCCAGCTAACTGCTCCTAGTAAGTTTGAGACCTGCCTAGCCAAGTTCATGGGAGTTAGGTGGGACTTACTGCCACCTGCTACCCTCTGCTGCCTATGCAGACTCTTATGTGCAGCAGAATCATCTACAATCCTACCTGGAACATTACTCTAGCATTGAGAGAACAGACCTTCGATTCTCATTGGAGCTGCTGTTCGTGCCCACATGTGGGTAGCCAGAGCATGTACTCACCTGACCCAGCCCACATCTGGCTTTACCCCTTCACCCTGCTCAGTAGCTTAACAGAAAAGTCAGGGACTTTTGGAATTTCCATGGCCCTGTCCACTGCCTGAAACACCAGAATACCTCCCCTGAATAACATAAGGCAAGCACAAAACTCACCATTATCACCACAGCAAGCGCTCATTTGCAAGTGCCACCTCTCAGCTGGAGGACAACAGGCACAGTCCATTACAACATCTGCAGGCACAATAACACAGTGCCCAGAAAAGATAAATCTTTTGTGTGACCTCAGTTATTACCATTGCCTGCATCACCCTGGCTAACCAGGAGGTTTTGAGTCAGTCCTCTTGACAAATGCAGTACTACTACAGCTGGCATTTTAGAAAGTCAACAAACCTTATAACCAAGGAAATGTCACAGAGTATACATCACTCCCTTGCCACTTCCATCAGAGTTGGTGCTGGTACCTGCTGCTGGGAGACTAGAGAACTAGTCACATAACTGCATCCCTTGCATATGTTCTCCAGCACCAGCATGGTGTGTGGCAGCCTTACTGGGCAACTAGACCCAGAGTATCAGCAGGATTCACAACAGTCTGGCCCTCAGGAAGGGGAAAGGGGGAGTACATCAAGGGAGCACCCTGTGGGACAAAAGAATCCAGAGTGCAGGGCATAAGTACCAGGACTTTCTGCTTGTGAGAAGTCTCTTTCAGCACAGGCACAGGTTCAGAATGGAAAGGCTGAGGCTATAGCCCAACAATCAGGCCACCCTGGTGCTAGAGAAGGGTCTTGGAGAAAGGAACTTCCCCTCACTCACCAGTGCAGACAAGGTGGGGCTTCTCCCATGAGAGGTCAGCATGAGGGAACCCTTAGACAGCCTTTCTGGAACACTTCAGGGTGACTGCATCCCCACAGAAGGGCCTTTCAGGTTCAGTCTTGCATGAGGTATAGAGTCACAGTCCCTCTCTACATGGAACATCAGCATTCCTGCAGATGAAGAGGTTGCCTGCCTGAATAGCTGAAACACTGGGTCAGGAGCGTGACTGGTAGGTGGATTGATTTCCTGCTGGTCTGCTAGGGGAGCTGAGGTAGCTTCCTCCTGCCCCCCTGAAAAGACTTCAGTGTGTTTCACTGAGAGCTTCCTCAGCCACCTCTATCAATGCTGGAACCTCTGCCCACTATTCGGGTACAGTATTTACCCACATGCTTTGGCCACAGATGGTTTTTACCCACAGATATTTCCTACTAGCCTGAAGCCTGAACTGTTTAACACAGTGAATAAAATACTGAGAGAGAAAATAAATAAATAAATACACATGGCTAGAAAACAAAATAAACTTTAGGAGACCACTGCCATTCCAGAGCCACAGGAAACAGTAAAACTGTTCACACACTAAGCACATTGCTACTGCAACCAGCACCCGAGAAAGTCGTCATACAAAGACTCTCTATAATCAAGACACTCAAATAAATTCATCACCACTCAAAGCACCCAGAGCCAAGTTAAGTTACAATGAACAATAAACATTAAACACGTGTCCTCAAAAAGTAGAAAAAGAAATACAAATAAAAGTAGAATCAAATATAAAATAAAAATAATTGGAAGAAATAGTCTTCCTAAATGAAAATAAACCAGAAAAATAATTCAAGCAATATGATAAAAACAGAGTCTGAGAACACCACCAGAAGATCACACTAGCTCTCCAGCAATTGTTTCAAACCAAAATGAAATATTTTAAATCCCAGATAAAGAATTCAAAGGGTTGTTTATGAAGTTACTCAAGAAAACACAAGAGAAGTGAAAGTGAACATGAATTAAGAATTTAGGATATGAATAAAACATTTTCTAAGGTGATAGATATTTTAATGAAAATTCAATCACAATTTCTGGAAATGAAAGACACACTTAGGGAATTACAATATGCAGTGAACAGTTTTAACAATAGACTAGTCCCACTATAAGAAATAATTTCAGTTCTCAAAGACAAGGCTTTTGAGTTAACCCAATCAGACAAAAATAAAGAAAACAGAATTAAAAGAAATGAAAAATGTCTCCAAGAAATATGGTATTATAAAATGGCCAAGCCTAAAAATCACTGGTGTTCCTGAGGGAGAAGAAAAGGCAAAAAGTTTTGAAAACTTATTTGAGGAAATAATTGAATAAAACTTCCCTGACCTTGCTAGACATTAATACATCCAAACACAAGAAGCTCAAAGAACTACTTGGAGATTCATGGCAAAAATAATGACATCATCAAGACATATAATCATCAGGCTATCTAAAGGTAACATGTAGGAAAAAATTCTAAGAGCAATGAGACAAAAGCATGAGGTAACCTATAAAGGAAAACATTAAACTTCTCAGCAGAAACCTTAGAAACCAACAATATTTAGTCTCCTTAAATGGAATAAATATTAATAATAATTTCTATCCAGCAAAACTGAGTTTCATAAATGTAGGAGAAATAGTCTTTTTCAGACAGACAAATGCTGAGGGAATTTGTCACTACCAGACCATCTCTACAAGAAATGTTTAAGTGAGTTATAAATATTGAAACAAAAGGTTGATATGCAGTAGAAAGAAACTCTTGAAAGCAAAAAATTTACAGGGCCTATAAAACAATAACATAATGTGGAAAACAAAGTAGGCAATAATCAACATGATGACTGGAACATTATGTGACATCTCAATATTAATATTGAAGTAAGTGGTCTTAATGCTCCACACTTAAAAGATACAGATTGGCAGAATGAATACAAAATTACAACCAAATATCTGCTGTCTTCAAGAGACATCCCTATCATGTAAGGATTCTTATAGACTCTAAGAGGTAGAAAAAGATATTCCATGCAAATGGAAACCAAAAGTCAGAAGGAGTAGCAACTCTTATATTAGAGAAAACAAACTGTAAACAACAACACTTAAAAAGAGAAAGAAGGCCATTATATCATGATAAAAAGTTTAACAAGAAGGTATAACAATTTAAAATACATACATCCCTAATTTTGGAGCCCTCATATTTATAAAACAGTTATTACTAGACCTACTAAAATAGACAGCAAAAACACTAATAGTTGGAGATTTCAACAGTCCATACATAGCACTAGACAGATTATCAAGGGAGAAAATAAAAAAAGAGACACTGGACTTAAGCTGCACTCTAGAACAAATGGACCTAATGTATATTTACAGAACATTCTACCTAAGAACTGCAGAATAAACGTTCTTTTCCTCAGCACATGGACCATTCTCCAAAATAGACCATATGAAAAACCACCAAAAAGTCTCAATAAATTTTAAATAGTCAAAATCATATGCAGTATCTTTTTATATCACAGTGGACTAAAACTATAAATCATTTTCAAAAGTAACCATGAAAACTATGTATATACATGGAAATTAAACAATCTGGTCCTGAGTAATTTGGGGGTTAAAAATGAAATCACAATGGAAGTTTAAAAATTATTTGTAATGAATGATAACAGTGACACAAGTTATCAAAAACTCTGGGATACAGCAAAAGCAATGCTATGATTAATGTTTATACTGATAAATATATACACCAAAAAGTCTGAAAGATCACATATTGACAACCTACCATCATACCTCGAGGAACTAGAAAAATAATGGCAAATCAAACCCAAAGCTAGTAGAAGAAAAGAAATAACAAAACTCTGAGAAGAACTAAATGAAATTGAAATAGAAAATAGAAATTATCAATGAAATGAAAAGTCGGTTCCTTGAAAAGACAAAAAATTGATAGACCATTAACTACATTAACCAGAAAAGTAGAGAAATGATTCAAATAATCTCAGTTAGAAATAAAAATGGAGACATTACAACTGAAAGCACAGAAATAAAAAAGATAATCGGAAACTACTATAAATACCTCTATGCAGGAAAACTAGAAAATTTAGAGAAATGGGTAAATTCTAGGAAACATTAAATCCTCTTAGTTGAATCAGGAAGAAACAAAAACCCTGGGCAGACTAATAAGCAGTGAGTTTAAGTCAGTAATAATAATAATAGTAATAATTTACCACCACCACCAACAACAAAAAAGCCCAGGATCAGACAGATTCAAAGTCAAATTCTGTGAGACATTCAAACAACAATTGGAACCAATCCTACTGAAACAATTTCAAAATATCTAGGAGGAGGGAATCCTTAACTGATTCTATGAATCCAGTAACACCTTGACAAAAAATAGAAAAGAACATTAAAAATTAAAACTACATACCAATATCACTGATGAAAATAGATGCAAAATTCCTCAAAAATATACTAGCAAACTGAATCAAACAGCACATTAAAAGACAATTCCCCGTGATCAAGTGGGTTTCATCCCAGGTATGCAGGGATGGTTAAACATATGCAAGTCAATATACATTATTCATCACATAAACATAATTATAAACAAAAATCATATGATCATTTCAATAGATGCAGAAAAATCATTTGAAAAAATCCACCAACGCTTTATGATAAAAATCCTCAACAACCTAACTATAGAAGGAACATACATGAAAGTAATAAAAGACATATAGGACAAACCCACAGCCAACATTATACTGATTGAGAAAGAGTTGAAAGCATTCTCCCTAAGAACTGGAGCAAGACAAAGATGCCCACTTTCACCACTTCTATTAAACATAATACTGGAAGCTCTACCCAGAGCAATTAGGCAAAAGACATGAATAAAGGGCACCCAGATGGGAAAAAAGGAAGTCAGACTATTTCCATTTGCCAATGATAAAATCTTATACCTAACAAACCCTAAATGCTACTCCAAAAGACTCCCACATCTGATAAGTGAACCCAGTAAAGTCTCAGGTTATAAAATCATTGTACACAAATCAGTAGTACTGATATACACCAACAATGACCAAGCTAAGAATAAAATCCAGAATAAAATCCAATTTCTTTTACAGTAGCTGAAAAATAAAATAAAATATCTAGAAATATATGTAACCAAGAAGGTGAAAGATCTCTACAAGGAGAACTACAAAGCACTGTTGAAATAAAACAATAGATGAATGGATAAAGAAAATGTGGTATGTATACACAACAGAGTACTATTCATTCTTAAAAAAGAATGAGATCCAGTCAATTTCAAAAACATGGATAGAACTGAAGATTATTATGTTAAGTGAAATAAGCTGGGCACACAAAGACAAACATCGCATGTTCCCACTTGTCTGTGGTATCTAAAAATCAAATCAACTGAATTCATGGACATAGAGAGTTGAAGGATGTTTACCAGAGGCTGGGAAGGGCAGTGGGTGGTTGGTGGGGGTGGGGAAGTGGGGATGGTTAATGGGTACAAAAAATAGAATAAATAAGACCTACTATTTGATAGCATAATTGGGTGATTATAGTCAATAATAACTTAATTGTATCATTTTAAATAACATAAATAATGTAATCAGATTGATTGTAATGCAAAGGATAAATGCTTGAGGGAATAGACACCCCATTCTTTATCATGTGCTTATTTCACATTGCATACCTGTATCAAAACATCTCATGTAACCCCATAAATACATACACCTACTATGCACCCACAAAAACATTTAAAAATAATTTAAAAATTAAAGAAAGAAATCACAGGACACAAACAAATGGAAATATATACCATTCTCACAGATTGGAAGAAGCAATATTGTGAAAATGACCATACTGCCCAAAGCTATTTACAGATTTGATAAAATTCCTATCAAAACACTAACATCATTTTTCACAAAATTAGAGAAAACAATCCTAAAATTCATATGGAACAAAAAAAAAACCATATAGCCAAAGCAATCCTAAGTAAAAAGAATAAATCTGGAGGCATCAAATTACCTGACTCAAATTATACTATAAGGCTATGGGAACTAAACCAGTATGCTACTAGCATAAAAGTAGATACATAAACCAATGGAACAGAATAGAGTACGGACAAATAAAGCCAAATACTTACAACCATCTGATCTTCAACAAAGCATGCAGACACATGAACTCGGGAAAGGACACCCGATTTAATAAATGGTGCTGGGGAAAATAGATAGCCATGTGTAGAAAAACGAAGTTAGATACCTATTGCTCATCTCATATAACAATCAACTCAAGTTGGATTAAAGACTTAAGTCTAAGAACTGAAATCATAAAGGTTCTGGAAGAAAACCTAGGAAAAACTCTTCTGGACAATGACGTAGGCAAATAATTTATGACTAAGACCTCAAAACCAAATGAGACAAAAAACCCATAAATTAATAAATGAAGCTTAAACCAAAAAGCTTTTGCACAGTAAAAGAAATAATCATCAGAGTAGTCAACCCAAAGAATGAGAGAAATTAGTTGCAATCTATGCATCCAACAAAGAATTAAGGTGCTGATTCTACAAGGAATGCAAACAGATCAGCAAGAACAAAACAAATTATCCCATTTAAATGTGGGCAAGTGACATGAATGGACATTCTCAGAAGATATACAAATGGCCAAAAAACGTATGAGAAATGCTCAACATGACTAATAATCAGGGAAATGCAAATTAAAACCACAATGAGATACCACCTTACCCCAACCAGAATGATCATCATTAAAAAGTCAAAAAACAGTAGATGTTGACATGGATGTGGTGAAAAGGGAATATTTACACACTGCTGGTTGGAATGTAAACTTGTACACCTCCTATGGAAGAAAGTATGGAGTTTTCTCAAAGAACTACAAGTAGATCTACCATTCAATCCAGCGATCTCACTACTGGGTATCTATCTAAAGGAAAAGTAATTATATCAAAACAACATCTGCTTGCATATGTTTACTGCAGCACAATTCACAATTGCAAAGATATGGAGCCAATCCTAAGTGCCCATCAGCTGATGATGGATAAAGAATATCTGCCATATATGTGTGTAACATATACATATATGTGTAATATATACATATTGTAATATATACATATATATGTATATATTACACACGCACAACCCATGGAATACTACTCAGCCATAAAAAACAATGAAAGTATGTTTGTTGCAGCAACGTACATAGAACCAGAAGCCATTATTCTAAGTGATATAATTCAGAAATAAAAAACCAGATATCCTATGTTCTCACTTGTAAGTGAGAGCTAAGCTACGGGTGCATAAAGGCATACAAAGTGGTGAAATGGACAATGGAGACTCAGGAAAGTGTATGGTGGAAGGAGGCTGAGGGATAAAAAACTTCATATTGGGTACAATGTACACTACTGAAGTGATGAGTGCGCTAAAATTTCAGACTTCACCACTCTACAGTTTATCCATGTGAAAAAAAAATGCTTGTACCCCTAAAACTATTAAAATAGATTTTCAGATAAGAAAACAAAACAAAACAAAAAAACCCAGTGAATTGGATAAAGAAAATGTGGTAAATATACCATGGAATATTACATAGCCATAAAAAAGAATGAAATCATTTTCTTTACATTTCCTTTGCAGAAACACAGGTATGCACAGACATAAAGATGGCAACAATAGACACTGGGGACTACTAGAGCAGGAGAGATGGAGTGAGGCAAGAGCTGCAAACTAATTATTGGGTACTGTGCTCAGTACCTGGGTAATGGGATTCATTGTACTAAACCTCAGCATCACACAATATACCAGTTAACAAACCTGCACATGTATCCCCTCAGTCTAAAATAAAAGTTGAAATTTTAATAAATAATAAAATAAGAAATAAAAAAGTTAAAAATCATGCCAGAAACTTTGAGAAATTATCTCTAAATACATATGATTTATAAGATCTTAGTATAAAAATCTATATATAATTCCTAAAGATAGACAATCAACCCTAGAATAACATACAAAATGAATATGAATAATACATTAATTAAAAAACATTCCTGAATGTCTTACAAACATATGGAAAGATGCTATTTCTCACTATTAGTCAAGGAAATATATGTTAAAAATAATGAGATCTCATATTAAATAATTTGGCAAATGTTATGGACATCATCACAAGTGTTGACAAACATAAAAAAAAAACCGACTGGCCAGAACTAACAGTAGTACTACGTTAAATAGGAATGGTGAGAGAGGGCAAACTTGTCTTGTGCCAGTTTTCAAGGGAAATGCTTCCAGCTTTTGCCTGTTCAGTATGATATTGGCTGTGGGTTTGTCATATATGGATCTTATTATTTTGAGGTATGTGCCTTCAATACCTAGTTTATTGAGAATTTTTAACATGAAGAGATACTGAATTTTATTGAAGGCATTTTCTGTATCTATTGAGATGATCATGTGGTTTTTGTCTTTAGTTCTGTTTATGTGATGAATGACATTTATTGATTTGCACATGTTGAACAAACCTTGCATCCCGGGGATGAAGCCAACTGCATTGTGGTGTATAAGCTTTTTGATGTGCTGCTAGATTCGGTTTGCCAGTATTTCATTGAAGTTTTCTGCATGGATGTTCATTAGGTATATTGTCCTAAAGTTTTCTATTTTTGTTGTATTATGAAAATGGCCATACTGCCCAAAGTAATTTAGAAATTCAATGCCATTCCCATTAAACTACCATGGACATTCTTCACAGAATTAGAAAAAAACTATTTTAAAATTCATATGGAACCCATAAAGAGCACATATAGCCAAGAAAATCCTAAGCAAAAAGAAAAAAGCTGGAGGCATCATGCTATAAGAGTTCAAACTATACTACAAGAGTACAGTAACCAAAACAGCACAATACTGGTACACAAACAGACACATTGAGTTAATAATTGGTGTTAAGTGAACTGGCTTGCCATATGCAGAAAATTGAAATTGGACCTTTGTCTTACACCTTATACGAAAATTAACTTGAGATGGATTGAAGACTTAAACGTAAAACCCAAAACTATAAAAACCCTAAAAGAAAATCTAGGCACTACCATTCAGGACATAGCACAGGCAAAGATTTCATGATGAAAACACCAAAAATAATTGCAACAAAAGCAAAAATTGACAAATGGGATCTAATTAAACTAAAGAGTTTCTGCATAGCAAAAGAAACTATCAGCAGAGTGAACGGACACCCTATAGAGTGAAAGAAAATTTTTGCAATCTGCATCTGGCAAAGGTCTAATATCCAGAATCTACAAGAAGCTTAAGCAAATTTACAAGAAAAATAACAAACAGCCCCATTAAAAAGGGGGCAAAGGACAGGAACAGACACTTCTCAAAAGAAGACATTCATGCAGCCAACAAACATGTGAAAAAACATATGTAAAAAAAGTTCAACATCTCTGATTATTTGAGAAATGCAAATCAAAACCACAATGAGAATGCCAACTATTAAAAAGTGAAGAAACAGTAGATGCTGGCAAGGCTGCAGAGAAAAAGGAACACTTTTACACTGTTGGTGGGAATGTAATTTAGTTCAACCATTGTGGAAGACAGTGTGCTGATTCCTCAAAGATCTAGAAGCAGAAATACCATTTGGCCCAGCAATCCCATTACTGGATATATACTCAAAGGAGTATAAATCATTCTATTAGAAAGATACGTGCATGCATATGTCAACTGTAGCACTATTCACAATAGCAGTGACACATGGAAACAACCTAAATTCCCATCAATGATAGATTGGTTAAAGAAAATGTGGTACGTGTTCATCATGGAATACTACACAGCCATTAAAGGAATGAGATCATGTCCCTTGCAGAGACATGGATGGAGTTGAAAACCATTATCCTCAGCAAACGAATGCAGGAACAGAAAACCAAACACTGCATGTTCTCACTTATAAGTGGGAGCTCAACGATGATAACACATGGACCCATGATGGGGAACAACACACACTGGGGCTTGTCAGGGGGAGAGTGGGGAGGGAGAGCATCAGGAAGGATAGCTAGCGAATAACGGGCTTACTACCTAAGTAATGGGTTAATCTGTGCAGCAAACCAGCATGGTACATGTATACCCATGTGACAAACCTGCCCATCCTGCACATGTACACTGGAACTTAAAATAAAAGTTAATGGAAAAAAAAGAGAAACAGACTCATACACTGCTTGTGGGTATATAAATTATAACAAGGTATTAGAAAGCAAATCAGCAAGCAAATTTACTTAGGATGGCATACTTAACAATTACAGTTCTAGGAGTATAACTTAGATTAAGGTTTTTTATCCTAAGCACTATTGAGATTTTCGGCTAGAAAAGTGCTTGATGTGGGGACTTTTTTTTACACAGGTATATTTAGCAGAATCCCTGAACACTACCCACTTGATGCCATTAGCACGTGCCACCACCAGTTGTGACAACCCTAAATAGCCCTAGATATTGCCAAATGTCCTCAAGAGGGAAGGGGAGCAAAATAATCTCTGTGTGAGAAGCACTGAACTAGAGAAACTTGAAAAACTCTCACATACACAAAGAGATATACCATTATGTGTTGAATTGTGTCTCCCACCAATTTACATGTTAAAGTCCTAATGTTCAGTACATCAGCATGTGACCTTATGCGGAAATAGGGTAATTGCAGATGCAATTAGATAATATGAGGTCATTAGGGTAGGCTGTAGTCCAATATGACTGGTGTTGTTACAAGAAGAGAAAATTTGGATATAGGCATAAAGAGAAGACAATGTCACGAGATAAAGGGGAAAAAATGGCCATCTACAATCCAAAAACAGAGGACCAAACGGATCTTTCTCTCAATGCCCTCAAAATGGACCAAGTCTACCAACACCTTTATTTTGGACTTTTAGACTCCAAATTTTTACTTTTGAAAAGTAAAAAAAATTAAAATTAGTTTGCTTTAATTTGTAAATTCTCTTCATAGACTAATGGTAAGACAATACACCACCCAGTTTGTGGTATTTTGTCAGAAACAGTGACAAAGTAAATTACAAGCACTCCTTAGTAAATTAATACTAACGTGTAAGAATGTTTATTGCATCATTATTTATAAAATTTGGCATCTATACAAAATCTAAGAGAGAATAAAATAATTACTTGTAGCTTATTCATACTTTTGAAAAGTATGCAGAAATTATAAATGAAATGGCACTACATATATTAAAATGTCTGCATGTAAATAATATTGAGTAAAACTATAATGTGCAAAATAACTTTTACATTATTACATCATTTATATAAAGCAGAGAAACATGCAAAGCCTCACACAAGCAAAAACAAATTGAAATGGTAAACAACAAATTCCAGACAGTGGCTAATGTGTGTAAAGAAGGAAGGGAATGAAATTATAAAGGCACAGATATTGAATGAAAGCCATCTTTATTTTTCCTATATTAAAAAGTTTGTAGCAAGTGTGGTGAAACGTTGAGATTTGTTAAGGCTATGTGTTGATTCCATATGTGTTCATTTATTTTTCTTCATATTTTAAATTATCAACATCTCACATAAATGTTTCTCATATTAATCCTTAATCAAAATTTCTATAATTATTATAGCTGAGTCAAAACTGATGAATATATTTAAGACTTTTGATACACATTTTCAAATTGTCATCTTTAAGTTTGCATCAACTTACATTTTCAATAACAGTGCATGGGAGAGATGGTTTTATTTACTCTTAACCATAATGGTATTACCATTATGTTTAGATTTCATAATTTAATTAATGCAAATGGAACCTCAAAGTTTTTATCAATTTATATTTTTATGTTACTTTGACTTCTGGTAATATTTGATGTGTTTGTTTTAACAGATGTCACTTGTATATTTTGTAAGTTGTGAGTATATAGTTTGGTAGTTTAGTAAACTTTATTGAGGTTTGGTTTATGTTTAAGGAATTGCCTTATTTTCAGTTTATAGTTCTATGAGTTTTGATAAATGTGTTTACACATATGATCATCACAACACTTAAAATATAGACTATATCTACCACCCTATAAAATTCCCTCATATCCCTTTGCACTTATTTCCTTCACCCCAGCCCCAGCAATCCTTGATCTTATATCACTATCAATTTGTTTTGCCTCTTCTTGAACTTTGTATAATCGGATCATACTCTGTGTGCTCTCTAGTTTCTGACTTTTTTCTCTCATTCTAATGCACCAATTTTTAAAATCTTGGTGTTAATTTTTGCTTTAATTTGTAAATGCTCTTCATAGACTAAAATATTAATCTTTTTCATGTTATATGTGTTACAAAATTTATCCAAATTTGCCCTTGCCCTCTTATATTTACTTAAGAATACTTTAAGTGTTTAGATGTTTATAATGTATACCTAATAAATTATGTCAACATTTTCTATTAGAGATTCTGCCTTTTCATAGAATGTGCTTAGATGCTTTTCAAAACCTGAAATCAGAGTTTTATCAGTGTGAAAAGGTGTGAGTAGGGAGAATGACTCTGGTGCACTGTGTCTCACCATACGTGAATAGTGCTTTCTGAAGATCACCTTTTTGAAGAGGTGATCTTGTATAGGGGGTGCTCTTTTCTCACTTTAATGTCAATGGAAGAGTCTTCGACGTCACCAGGGTACCCAATATGAATTATCTGTCACTTAGGGAAACACAGGGGACTGATGCTTGATTCATACCTAAGAAATATAAAGGAAGAGAATTTGGCTAAAAGGCTTGTGGCAGCAGAATAGAGGGCTTCAAATTAGGAGGGAATGATGCACCTACCAACAACAAATCAAACAAATACCTGTTAGTGACAAGATACCAAACATGTATGAGAAAACCCCATAAACCTAAGGAGCCCTAATGCCGGTGGAATATAAATGTCTTATATGTGACTGGTGCTATATTGCACCGGCATTAGGACTCCTTAGGTTTATGGGGTTTTCTCATACATGTTTGTTATGTGAGGACTTCAACACTAGAATAGTCAGAAACCACAGTTTGTTAGCTATAAGAGAAGCATTAAGGGCTCAAAGCATAAAAATAGGAAAGAATTAATTAATCATGCTTCGGCATCTGTCAGGACAAGCCAACTTATATTAAACTACCCCCAAATCTCAGTGGCTTACCACAATCAAAGTTTATTTTCCACTCACACAAAGTCTAATGCAGTGGGTGCTGGTTTGGATGTTCTCCTGCTCAACTGTCTTTCAGGTGAGGAACTCAGGAACCTGGGTCCCTGCAGCCCTGTTGTTCTGACATATTGAGGTTCTTTACTTCCAGGCTTATCTATAGTTCCATTTATATTCCTATATTAACTGTATCTATATTCATATATAAATAAAATCCTACACATTTTCAAGAGTCTGAGTTTTTAAAATTCTAAAAGAAAAGCTAAATCTCAACAATTTTTCTCTCAAGATAATATAAAAAATACAGATTTTTATTTGCAGGCATTTCTTTGCAATGATCAGAGGAAGTGTCCAGTTACTACAACCAGAATTCACTGAGAGTTATATAGAGGTTAATGATTATAACCAGAAAACAATAAATCAGCCAGCATTTGAGGAAAGTGAACACTATGAAAGAGAAGTAGTGACCTCAATAGAAAACTAAAGAATTAACCTCCAGGAAATAAAGTTAATACAGGAAATGGAAGAAAGCTTACAGTAAGTCCATTTTATATCCATAGAAAAATTTTAGTATATTTTATCCATTTAAACAGGGTACTATAAAATAAAATGTAAAAATTAATAGTAAAAATCAGATACATGAAATTACTGAAATTATAAAATTTCATATATATAATTACAGAAATTATAAAATTATAGACACTGAAATTATAAAAACACTTCAATACATGTAGATGAATAACAGAAGAGACTCAGCTAAGGATGTATAAAGTTATCTAAAAGACATAAAAGAGGTATTCTCCAAGAACGCAGTACAAATGGACAGGGATCATATAAGAGGAGAGCTCTTATTCCAACATGTATCTAATCAGACTTCCATAAAGATAGAATAAAAAGAAATAACTTAAATGATGACTAGCAATCTGCCATTACTATGGATATGTACAAGTCACATGTTCTACTCATCTCTCATATCCAGTTTATCAATGAATATCTTATTTCCAACTAGTAATCAGAGTGGACTTTTAAAGTATAAATGAGAGCACTTTATCCTTCTTTAGTCATCCATTGCTTCTCATTGCATGTAGAAAAAATAATAATCTGCTCCAAGTCTCCCATTATCCTACTCTTCCTTTCCGTACAATATATCCATTACAATGACCACTTGTTATTTCCCAGAAAATCTCAAGATGCATTCTGTCTCTTGGCCTTTGGTCTTACTGTTCCTTTTGCCTAGACTACTCTCCCCAACTCATACCCAAGCTTTTCACAAATCTTCCTCCTAGGTATTCTTCAGACTAATATTACATACCAACTTCTTAGGGATGTTTACACACATAACAATAAGTATTTAATTTCTGTGGCTATTCTTTATCATAGCTTACTGTGTATCTTCTTTACAAATTTATCAGGATATGTAGGTTAAGAAATTTTGCATACTTGTTGTCTAACACAATGAAATATAATTTCCAAGAGAATAGAGGTCTTTTCTATCCAGTTCCCCATTGCATTTCCATCATTCTTATAGTGCCTAGTCTAGCACAGGATAAGTGCTTACTATATTTGCTAAATGAATATATGTACTATTTCATTTGAAAGGATCCACTAAGATTTTAAAGCAATTCATTAAAAATAGTGTGCATTTTTACCTACATAGTTATGGTAAAATTTCAGAATTCAAAGGATAAAGAGAACATATTAAAAAAAATAAGAGAGCAAATTAACAATGAGCTGTCAAAGACTGGACACTTTCACAACTCTAAAATCTAATTCAAAACACAGCAAATAGGAATATGCTTAATAAAGGAAAGGATAACTGAATTTCAGTAAGACAGCACTGTGACATTTTTGATAACCATCTTATAACCCCCATTCTTCAGCATGGTGCCAGTGGCTATGAATATGATGGCCTACATTTTTGATGTGGCTAACTTGAGACAAGAGGTTAATAATAAAGAACTTGTTCTTAAAATACTGTGTTCATGTGTTTTGACCTGTCTGGTGGTTCCCTGAGGAATCACACAGAGACTCACATTTGTTTTGCCCTAATCTCAGGGCTCGAATAAATTTCCAGGTTGCAGAGGTATCTGTCAAAATATTTTAAAACATTCATTTCCATAACTACCAGAGAAGTGGGTGACAGATGGGGCAAACAGATAACAAATCCAAAATCCTGGAAACGAGAAGGCTGAGAAGGCTCAGAATGAAGATACAAGTATTAAGTCACTTAAGAAAACCTTTTAGGTCACTGATGATCACTGACACAATGGAAAACACAGAATTTAGTTAATATACACAAAAGATAGTCATCACAAAAAGTTTTAAAAAGTTGCTACAAAATGGATGACTGCAGGCCTCAACAATCAAAAATAGCAAACCCTGAGGAAAGGAGATTTAAGTTCCAAAATACTCTTCAGGATGCCGAGCTTAAGTAGAAAATTTCAAGACATACAAACAGAAAAATAAATCCCATCCAGAGGTAAAAAAAAAAAAAAATGACTTAAGCTGTTCTTTGGGGAACCTAGATATTCAATTAACTACACAAAGATTATAAATTAACTTTCTGAAATATGCTGAAAGAGCTTAAGGAAACTGGACAAATAACTAAAGAAAAGCAGGAAAATTATGTACGAACAAATAAGAATATCAATAGAAACAGAGACTATAAAAAGGTATCAAAGTAAAATTCTGAAGATGTAAAGTATAATAACTCCAATGTAAATATCACTGAAGGATTCAAGAAATTTAAATAGGTAGTAGAAAATATCTGTGAACTTGAAGGTAAAAAATGGAAATTCTCCCCTCTGATAAGCAGAAAGTAAAAAGAATGAAGAGAAGCGAACATAGCCTAAGGCTTTTGTGGGACACCATCAAAAATACCAACATACACATGGGAGTCTCAGAAAAAGAAGAGATAAAGAAATGGGAATAAAACAGATTTGAGGACCTAAAAGTCAAAAACAATTTAAATGTTGTTAAAGACTTGCATCTACACATCCAAGAAGTTCAATTAACTTCAAATAGGATAAATTCAAAGTGATCAACACAAAGGCACATTATAATAAAATTGTCATAAGCCAAGAAGGAGAGAATCTTGAGCACCAGAAGTGACTCCTTATGTACAAAGAATTGTCAGAAATATTAACAGCACATTTCTCATCAGAAAATATGGAAGCCAGAAGGCAATGGAATGACATATTAAAAGTGATGTAAGAAAAAAACCTGTCAACTAAGAATTCTGTATCTTGCAAAGTTGTTTGTCAAAAATAAGAGATATTAGAACATTCCCTATAAACAAAAGCTGAGAAAGTTTGTTACTTGAATACCTGCCTTACAATAATTATTTATTTGAGTTCTTAAGACTGAAAGAAACACTGGACAGTAAATCAAAAGAATACAGAGAAATGAAGAAATTTGGTAAAAGTAAATACATAAGAAAATATGAAAGCCAGTATTATTATATTTCTGGTTTGTAACTTTTTATTTTATATGTGATTTTAAAAAGTAATATGTTAAAAGATTATTATAAATATATATTAATAGGAAAACAATGTACAAAGATGTAATTTATGACAACTTAAAAGGGTGGTAGGGCTCTATAAGATCAGGGTTTTGTAGGTTATTTAAACTAAGTTAATATCAAATAAATTAGATTGTTATATACTTAGGATGCTAACTGTAACTTCCATAGTAACTATTACAAAAATATCTAAAACTACATACATAAAAAGAAATTAGAAGAGAATCCAAAAAAATGACTTAAAGACAAATAAGACAGTAATGGAGGAAATGAAGTAAAAAAGAGTTATGACACACAGAAAACAAATAGCAGACAGGTGACATAAGCAAGATGACTGAATAGGAACACTTGGACTCTCCCACGTGGACACACCAATTGAAAAGCAACACACAAATTATTTCCCTTTGTGAGAAATCCAGGAACTAGATGATATGTTCCTGCAGCTTCATCTTCATGGATGAGTATGAAACTGTCCACATTGAAACCAGTTGGAAAAATAAATACATCCTCTAGCCATAATTCCCACTACCTGGCACAGTAACATATGTTCAGAATGGAACCCCCAGCTCCCAGCTTCTCTGTGAGAGTGAAAGAGATAGACCGACTACATGTAGCATACTAACACTTCCAGGCGCTGCCTGAGGATCTGGCTTCTCTCTCATCTGTTTTGGAAAGCTGATAGAATCTGACATATGTGTATCTTCTGGGGACTACAGAGAACAAAGAAGTGGTTTGAACTAGTGTGTGGGCACTTGCCACAGCTCTTCTACTTGGCTCAGCATAGAATTAGAGTGTGAAAACTACCAACTCTCTGCATCTCCCTGAGGAGGGAAAGAGTTGTATTGCATATGTTATGTCTTAACTTTTCCAAGTGCTATATGAGAGGCTGGCTTCTACCCCACCTATCTCTGAGAGTTTATGAGGCTTGACATATTCAAATACCCTGGGGACTACAAAGACAAAATTATTAGTTTGAGCTGGCATATTAAGCACTTGCCACAACTCCTCCCTTAAACTTCACACAGAGCGAGTGGGTAATAAAGTCACCCAAGATTGCAGCTTCAACCAGGGGGAGAAAAGAGATTGAACATGCACTCAAATGCCCTAAATTTTCTGAGGACTGCCAAAATAACTGGTTTATTCCTTTTTTTTTCTTTTTTTTAGTGCTAATGTGACCCGTTATGCTCTAGTCATCTGAGGGCCAATGAGAACAAAGAGGGCAGTTTGAACTAGAATAAAACTGCTGCAATCACCTTCCCCCAGATCAACATAGAGATAAAAGGCACAATTTCCCAGTTCTCAGCTTCTTCCTGGAGATGGAAAGATTGGAGCAGAGTGTCTAATGATGCACCTTCTCTGAAGCCTTCCTGAGAAACTGGCTTCATTCTTGCTTGTCTTGAAGCACTGAGGGGACCTGCAATACTCTAGATGCTAGGAACAAAGAAAGTGGTGTGGCCTAGCATTAAGGTTTGAGAGACCTCCAGAATGTCTGAATAGGGTAATTGGTAAGAGTTTTCTCCTGTGAAAGGCCAGTGCTTGAAGACTGAGAGAGGTGACTCTTTTGTCTAATGTGTTAACAGCAACACAGAGAATCAAAAAAATGAGGAAACAAGAAAATTTGTTCCAAACGAAGGAAAAAGATAAATTTCAAGCAACCAATCGTAATGAAATGAGGATATATGATACACATGACAGAATTGAAAATGGCTGTTATAAAACTGTTCACAAATGGAAAACACTATATTTAAAGAAGTACAGCTAATATGCTGAGAAGAAGAGAAAAGAGGATCATATTAATTTTTCACTAAAACCATAAAAGACTGAATGAGAAAAATAGGAACTAAGAACAAGGGAAACAAATAGAAAACAGTAACAAATATGGGGGCTTGACATATTCTAGTCTCCTGGGGGCTAGAAAGAACAAGTGGTTGGTTTAAACTAGCATAGGATACTTGCCACAACTTTTCCCCCAAGCTTAGTACAGATATTAATACAACTATACTAGTAATCACATTGGATGTCAATGGTCTAAATGCACCAATTCATACACAGAGATTGTCAAAATAGAACAAAAATCAAGAGCTAAATACGGGTTGTGTGTAAGGAGCCCACTTTAAATATAAAGATACATATAGAGTCAAAGAAAGTGGATGGAGAAAGATATGCTATGCCAACACTAAATAAAATAAATTGGGAGTAGCTATGTTAATTTCAGAAAGAGCAGACTTTAAGGAAAGTTATCAGGGGAAAACAGGGAGATTACATTTTTTACAACTTTTATTTTAGGTTCTGGGTTATGCGTGCAGATTTGTTATATACATAAACTGCATGTCTCAGAGGTTTGGTGTACACAGTATATCTGCACCCAGGTAATAAGCATAGTGCCCAATAGGCAGTTTTTTGATCCTCTCCTTTCTCCCAGTCCTCTACTCTCAAGTTATCCCTGGGGTCTCTTGTATCCCTCTTTGCATCCATGTGTTCTCAAATTTTAGCTTCCATGTATAAATGAGAACATGCAATATTTGTTTTTCTGTTCCTGTGTGATTTTAATTAGATTAATGGCCTCCAGCTCCATCCATGTTGCTGCGAAGGGTATAATCTTGTGTTTTTATGACGGCTTAGTTTATACACCACATTTTTAAAATCCAGTCTGCTGTTGATGGGCATTTAGTTTGATTCTATGTCTTTGCCACGGTGAATAATATTGTGATGGACATATGTGTGCATGTGTCTTTATGGTAGAACTACCATAAAGACATGAGTAGATGCCCAATATGGGTAAATACCCAGTAATTGAATTGCTGGGTGAAATGGTAAATAAGCCCTAGTATTTGAGAGCACTGAAAGGGGATTCTAGTCAATAATTATTTAATTGTACATTTAAAAATAACTAAAAGAGTATAATGGAATTGTTTGTAACACAAAGGATAAATACTTGGGGTGGATACCCAATTTTCCATGATGTGATTATTATGCATTGTATGGCTGTAACAAATATCTCATGTATCTCATAAATATATACATCTAATATGTACCAACAAAATTTAAAAATAAAATAAATTAATAAAATGAGACATTACATAATGGTAAAGAGATCAGTGCTCCAAAGAGATGTAACAATCCTAACATGTGTGAGTCTAAAAACAGAGCATCAAAATACATAAGACAAAATCTAACAGAACTTCAAGGAAAAATGGATGAATCTACTATTATTTGGAGATTTTAACATCCATCTTTCAGAAATGAACAAGCCAAACCAGCAGAAAATTGGAAAGAGCATAGTTAAACTCAAAAACTCTATCAATCAACAGAATGAAATGTAAATATCTAAGCTACTTCATCCAACATCAGAATACACATTCTTCTCAACCTCACGTGAAACATTCACCAGGATAGATAAGATTCTGGACAATGAAACACATATTTAAACAGTTAAAATATGAGATATTATACAATGTCTCCTCTTAGACCACAATGAAATGCAATTAGACATCAATGACAAGTGCTCACTGAAGTCAGGTAAAAAATGCATGCACAAATTTAAAGCAGTAAGACATGGCATGAGAACATAAGAGATTTTTTAAAAACATTTTAAAAGGTATCAAACAGAAATCGTGGAGCCTAATTGAACTGAACTGAAAATTTCACTAGAGATGTTCAAGAGCAGACTAGATTAAGTATAAGAAAAAATTAGCAAACTCAAAGACAGTTTATTGGAAATAATTAAGTCAGAGAAATGAAAATAAAAAAATGAGTAAAGAAAGCTTAAAGGATTTATGGGACGGTATAAAGTGGACTAATATACACAGCATGGAGTCCCAGAAGGAGAAAGGACCAGAAATTTTATTCAAACAAATAATGGTTGATAACTTTCCAAATCTGGGGAAGAAAACGGACATACAAATCCAGGAAGCCAGAGGACTTGATATAAAAAGAATACAGTGAAATTTATACCCAGATATATAATCAAATTGCCAAAAATTAAAGACATAAAAAGTTTTGAAAGAAGCAAGAGAAAAGTGACTTATCACATACCTCTATAAGTTTATAAGAAGGATTTTCTGCAGAAATCTTATAGGCCAGAAGAGAGTGGGATGATATAAAAAGTGAAAAAAAAAAACCTTGCATATCAAGAATACTGTACTTGGGAGAACTATCCCTCAAAAATGAAGGAAGAGAGAATTTCCCTGACCAAAAAAAAAGTTAAGTTTGTTCACCACAACTAAACCTGCCTTGCAAGATATACTAAAGTAACTTCCCAATCAAAAGATATAGGATGGCTGAACAGATTTTTAAAAAATAAGATTTAACTATATACTGTCTATAAGAGATTTACTTTGGATTTAAGAAGACACATAGGCTGAAAATAAAAGAATGAGAAAAGATATTACATGCAAATAAAAACCAAAAGAGAATGAGGGTGGCTATATTGATATCTGAAAAAATATATTGCAAGTCCAAAACTTTAGCAATAGACAAAGAAGAACATTACATAATAAAAATGGATAGTTCACCAGAAATAGTTGACAATTATAAATAAATATGCACCAATCATCAGAGAACATAAATATATAAAGCGAACATTGATGGGACTGACAAGAGAAATAGCAATACAATGATAGGAGGAGATTTCAATACTCCATTTCAAAAATGGAAAAAAAAATCCAGACAGATGATCCATATGGAAGCAGAGGACTTGAATAACACTATAAAACAAGTGGACCTAACAGAAATATAAATAATATAACACAGAACAGTAGCAGAATGCACATTCTTCTCAAGTTCATATGAATCTTTCCCCAGGATAGATTACACGTTAGGTGACAAAATAAGTTTAACAAACTTAAGAAGAGTAAAATCATAACAAGTATATTTTATATAAAAAATGAAAAAAAATCATGGCCATGTGGATTTTTAAATTTTTATTGTTTTATTTTTATGGGTACAGAGTAGTTGTATATATTTTAGGTGATATAGGGTTTGGATTTGTGTCCCTGCTCAAATCTCATGTCAAATTGGAGGAGGGATGTGGTGGGAGGTGATTGGATTATGGGGTCAGATATCCCCCTTGCTCTTCTTGTGATAGTGAGTGAGTTTTCATGAGACGTGATGGTTTAAAAGTGTGTAACACGTCCCCCCTCACTCACTCTCTCTCCTGCCAACATGTGAAGATGGTCATTGCTTCCTGTTCACCTCCTGCCATGATTGTAAGTTTCCTGATGCCTGCAAGTCATGCTTCCTGTTAAGCCTGTGGAACTGTGAGTCAATTAAATCTCTTTTCTTTATAAATTACTCAGTCTCAGGTAGTTCTTTATAGCAGTGTGAACACAGAGTAACACAAAAAATTGGTACCAGGATTTGGGCACTACTATAAAGATACCTGAAAATGTGAAAGTGACTTTGGAACTGTGTAACAGACACTGGGGTTGGAATATTTTGGAGGGCTCAGAAGAAGACAGGAAAATGAGAGAATGTTTGGAACTTCCTAGAGACTTGTTGAATGGTTTTGATTAAAACGCTGATAGTGATATAAACAATGAAGTCCAGGCTGAGGTGCTCTCAGATAGAGATGAGGAACTTATTGGAAAATGGAATAAAGGTCACGCTTGTTATGCTTTAGCAAAGAGACTGGTGGCATTTTGCCCCTGCCCTAGAGATCTGTGGAACCTTGAACTTGAGGGAGATGATTTAGAGTATCTGGTGAAAGAAATTTCTAAGTAGCAAAGAATTCAAGATGTGACTTCACTGTTTCTGAAAGTGTATACTCGTGTGTGTGTGAACAAAGAGATTATCTGCTACTGGAACTTGTACTTACAAGGGAAGTATAACGTAACAGTTTGGGAAATTTGCAGCTGAGTCGTGGAAAAATGAAAAATCAATTTTCTGGGTAAAAATTCAAGCCTGCTGCAGAAATGTGCATAAGTAGAGTAGCCAAATGTGAATAGCCAAGACAGTGGGGAAAATGTCTCCAGAACATTTCAGAGACATTCAAGGCAGGCCCCCTCCCCATCCCAGGTCTGAAGGTCTAGGAGGGAAAAGTTATTTCCCAGGCTAGGCCCAGGGACCTGCTGCTCTGTGCAGCCTTGGGACATGGTACTCTGTGTCCCAGCAGCTCCAGCTCCAAAGATGGCTAAAATGGGCCAAGGTACAGCTCAAGTCATGGCTTCAGAGGATGCAAGCTCCAAGCCTTGGTGGCTTCCATGTGGTATTGGGCCTGTGGGTGCACAGAAAGCAAGAGTTGAGATTTGGGAATCTCTGTCTAGATTTCAGAGGATGCATGGAAATGCCTAGATGTCCAGGCAGAAGTCTACTGCCATGGCAGAGCCCTCACGGAGAACCTCTATTAGGGAAGTGCACAGGGGAAGTGTGGGGTTGAAGCCCCCATGCAGAGTCCTCACTGGGGCACTGCCTAGTAGAGCTGTGAGAAGAAGGCCACCACCATCCTCGAGAACCTTGAATGATAGATCCACCAACAGCTTGCACCATGCACCTGGAAAAGCTGCAGACAATACCAGCCCACCAAAGCAGCCATGGAGCTTGTACCCTGCAGAGCCACAGGGGTGGAACTGCCCAAGTCCATGGGAGCCTGCCCCTTGTGTCGATGTGGCCTGGGTGTGAGACAAAGAGTCAAATGAAATCATTTTGGAATTTTACAATTTATGACTGTTCTGCTGTATATCTTGGAAGCAACTATTAGCCTGTAAAATCAATAACTTGTTTTTAATTTTACAGGCTCATAGGCAGAAGGGGCTTGCCTTGTCTCAGAGGAGACTTTGAACTTGAACTTTTGGGTTAATGATGGAATATGTTAAGACCTTGGGAAACTGTTGGGAAGGCATGATTGTGGTTTGAAATGTGAGAAGGACAAGAGATTTAGGAGGGGCCAAAGGTGGAATGTTACGGTTCAGATGTGTGTCCCCACTCAAATCTTATGTTGAATTGAAGGGGGGGGGGTCTGCAGGGAGGTAATTGGATTATGAGAATAGATTTCCTCCTTGCTGTTCTCATGATAGTAAATTCTCATGAGATGTAATGGTTTAAAATTGTGTGGCACTTGTCCCCTCGGTCACTCTCTCTCCTGTAAACCTGTGAAGAAAGTCCTTGCTTCTCTGTCACCTTCTGCCATGATTTTAAGTTTCCTGAGGCCTCCCAGTCATGCTTCCTGTTAAGCCTGTGGAACTGAGTCAATTAAATCTGTTTTCTTAATAAATTGCCCAGTCTCAGGTAGTTCTTTATAGCAGTGTGAAAATAGACTAGTACAATAGGTTACATGAGATATTTTGATGCAGACATACAATGCATAATAATCACATCAGGGCAAATGGAAAATCAATGTACTCAAACATTTATCCTTTCTTTGTGTTATAATCAATCCAGTTATACTCTTTTAGTTATTTTAAAATGTACAATAAATTATTGTTGACTGTAGTCACCCTGTTGTGCTATCGAATAGTAAGTCTTATTCACTCTATCTATTGTTTTTTGTACACATTAACCATCCACATTTCCCCCTCCTTACTACCCTTCCTAGCCTCTGGTAACCTTTCCTCTACCTCTGTCACCAGGAGTTTAATTATTTTAGCTTTTAGATCCCACAGATAAGTGAGAATGTGTGGTTTGTCTTTCTGTGCCTGGCTTATTTTACTTAACATAATGGCCTTCAATTTCATCCAAGTTGTTGCAAATGACAGTATTTCATTTTTTTATAGCTAAATAGTTCTCTATGGTGTATATGTACCACATTTTCTTATCCATTCATTTGTTGATGGACACTTATGTTGCTTTCAAATCTTGGCTGGAAAAAACATGAGAATGCAGATATGTCTTTGATATATCAAGTTCCTTTGTTTTGGTTTCATACCTAGCAATGGAATTGCTGGATCACATGATAGCCCTATTTTTAGTTTTTTGAGGAACCTCCAAACTGTTCTCCTTAGTGGTTTTACTAATGTGCATTCCCACCAACAATGTATGAGGGCTTCCTCTACTCTGCATCCTCACCAGTATTTGTTATTGACTCTCTTTTGGATTTAAGCCATTTTAATTGTTGTGAGGTAATATCTCATCATAATGTTGATTTGCATTTATCTTATCATTAATGATATTGACCTCCTTTTCATATACCTATTTTCCATTTGTATGTCTTCTTTTGAGAAATGTCTATTCAGATCTTTTGACCATTTTTAATTGAATTATTAGATTTTTTTCATATAGAATTGTTTATGCTTTTTATGTGTTCTGGTTATTAATCCCTTGTTAGATAGAGAGACTGCAAATATTTTCCCCCCTTCTGTGGGTTTTCTCTTCATTTTGTTGATTGCTTTGCTATGTGGAAACTTTTTCAGTTGATGTGATACCATTTGTCCATTTTTGCATTGGCTCCCTGTGCTTGTAAAGTAGTACTCAAAAACTCTTTGCCCAGTCCAATGTACTGGAGAGCTGCCTCAAAGTTTTCTTGTAGTAGTTTCAGAGGTCCAGCCCTTAGATTTGTTTTTAATCCATTTTAATTTGATTTTTGTAAATGGCAACAGATAGGACTCCAGTTTTATTCTTCTGCGTATGGATATCCATTTTTCCTAGCACCGTTTAATGAAGAGACTTCCCTTTCCCCAGTGATTTTTCTTGACATCTTTATTGGAAATGAGTTCACTGTAGATGTATGGATTTGTTTCTGCATTCTATGTTGTGCTCCACTGATCTGTGTGTGTGTGTGTGTGTGTGTGTGTGTGTGTGTGTGTGTGTTTATGCCAGTACCATGTTGTATTGGTTACTGTAGCTTATAGTAGAAGCCAGGTAATGTGATTACTTCAGTTGTTTTTATTTTTGCTCTGGATAGCTTTGGCTATTCTTGGCCTTCTGTGTTTCCATATAAATTTAAGATTACGTTTTCTAGTTCTGTGAAGAATATCATCAATATTTTCATATCATCATCCAACTCTATGCTCTGCTACAAGAGACTTCCTTGGATACAAATAAACAAATTGGTTGAAATTAGAAGTAACGAAAAGAGAGCTAGCTTGGCTAACGCAAATATGAGATAAAATACAATTAAAAAAGAAATAGGTCTACAATAATAGTTGAACACTTCAGTACTTCACTTTGAATAATAGATAAAACACTTAAGCAGAAAATCAATAAGGAAATAGAGAACCTGAGCACTATAAATGAAGTAGACCCAAGAGACAAATATAAAATGGTATACCCCAAACCAGCTGAATCCACATTTTTCTCAGCTGCACATGGAAAATCATCAAGGACACAAAACAAATCTTAATAAACTTAAAAAATGATATTATAGAAAGAAACACAAGAAAGGAAACTATAGACAAATATCCCGTATGAAAATAGATCCCCAAATCCTGAATGTTATACTAGCAAACCAAACCCAACAGTATAATAAAAGGCTTATACACCATGACTAAGTAGGATTTATCTCAGGAATGCAAAGTTGGTTCAACACAAAAGTATCAATCAATGAAATCAATCACAGTAATAAATTGTAGGGAAGAAAAACACATATTTATTTCAATTAATGTAAAAATCATTCAAAAAAGAAAATACAACAATATAATAAGAAGTGAAGCACTCAGAAAACTAGAAACAGAATGAAACTCACACCATGATAAAGAACACTTAGAGAAACCCAGAACTAACATCATATTCAATAGCTAAAGACTAAAGTCTACCCTCATGAGATCAGGAATAAGACAAGGATGCTCACTTTCAAGATTGCTTTTCAACATTGATCTGGCAGTTCTAACTAGAGTAATAAAGAAATATATATATATATATATATATATATATCTGTGTGTGTGTGTATAATCCAAATTGGAATGAAAGAAGGAAAATTACTTATATTTGCAGATGACATAACTCTATAAATAGAACCTAAAAAAACCTATTAGTGATAGTTAATAAATTCAGCAAAATTTCAAGGCACAATATCAACATGAAAAATTAGATTGTGTTTTAATACACCAGCAACTAACCATGCTGAATGGAAATTAAGAAAGCAATTTCATTAACAAGAGCACTTAAAGAATAAAACATCTTGAAATAAGCTTAACCAATGAGACAAAAGATTTGTGTACCAAAAGCCACAAAATACTGCTGAAAAACAAGAGCTAAATAAATTGAAAGATATCCTATGTTTATTTACTGGAAGACTTAATATTATTAAAATGGCACTACTACCCAAAGTGACAAAGATATTCAATAAAATCCTTATCAAAATTCCAACGGCCTGTTTTGAAGAAATAAAATAAATAAATCTTCAAATGAATATGTAAGTGCAAGAAGCCTCAAGTAGTCAAAAAAATTTAGTAAAAGCAAATGTAGGAGAACTCACACTTACTGATTTCAAAACTTATTATAAGTCTACAGTAGTCAATACAGTGTGATACTTGCATAAAAATGGACATATAGACCCATGGAATAGCAAAAGCATTCAGAAACAAACCCACTTACCTATGGAAGATTTTCAGCAAAGTCCAAAGAAAATTAAACAGAAAAAATAATAGTCCCTTCAAAACAGGATGCTGGAACAACTAAATATCCACATACAAAGGGATGAACTTGGACCCCTACTTCACACAACGTACAAAAAAGTAACTCAAATAAACCCATGACATAGATCGCAGAGCAAAAACCACAAATCTCTTAGAAGAAAAGATAGAGATAAGTTTTCATAACTTTTAATTTGGCATTAATTTCTTAAATATGACACAGAAAGCATGAGCAGTGAAAGAAAAAAATTGATAAATTTGACTTTATCAAAATTAAAAACTTCGTGCATGAAAGAACATTATCAAGACAATCTAATGAATGGCAGAAAATGGCCGGGCACGGTGTCTCACGCCTGTAATAACAGCACTTTGGGAGGCCGAGGCGGGCAGATCACAAGGTCGGAAGATCGAGACCATCCTGGTTAACACGGTGAAACCCTGTCTCTACTAAAAAATACAAAAAAATTAGCTGGGCCTGGTGGTGGGTGCCTGTAGTCCCAGCTACTCGGGAGGCTGAGGCAGGAGAATGGCGTGAACCCGGGAGGCGGAGCTTGCAGTGAGCCAAGATCAAGCCACTGCACTCCAGCCTGGGCGACAGAGCAAGACTCCGTTTCAAAAGAAAAAAAAAAAAAAAGGCAGAAAATATTTCCAAATCGTATATCTAAGAGTCTAGTATCCACAAAATAAAAGTAATGTTTACAAGTCAGTAACAAAAAGGCAATAAATTCCACTTAAAAATGGGCGAAATAATTCAATAGACATCTCTCCAAAGAAGATACACAAATGACCAGCAAACACATGAAAATATGCTCAACATATTTAGTCATGAGGGAAGTGTGAAGGAACACCAAAATGAAACACCACTTTGTACCTACTAGTATGGCCTTAATATATTTAAAAATGGAAAACAATAAGTGTTTGTGAGGATGGAAACAAATTGGAACCCTTATATCGATCAGGTTGGTATATAAAATGTTTCAGCTTCTATGGAAAACAATTTGGCAAAAACTAGAAGTTAAATATCACATTATTTATATTATACCACAATTCCAATATTAGGTATATATTCCAAATAATTGAAACAGGTACCAAGCAAATATGTGAATACATATGTTCATAGCATATTCACAGAAGCAAATGTACACATTTTATGAACAGGTGAATGGATAAATAAATCATGGTATATACACATGATGGAATATTATTCAGCCATCAGAAAGAATGAAATGCTGAGACATGTTAAAAGATAAACTGAGGCACATTAAAATATTAGAGTTATTTGAGCAAACATCAATTTATGAATTGAGATCTGTCAGACTGCAGGTGGTTTGGGGGCTCCACAGAAAGGGCACAAGGTGAAGGCTTCTATAGATTAAGCATGGAAGCAAGGCAAATAAAATATTTGATTAAAGTGGAGAAATATCCTTATTTGTATTATTCCAGTAGAAAGTCCCCATTTAGAGGTTATTTGGTGGTTTCTAATTGGTTAAACTTGAAAATTTATTTCACTGTTTACACTGAGTTGGGTTGTGGTTTTCTTTCATACAATCATGGGATGTTGGATCTGCCTCAGCCTAAAGGCTTCCCAATTAATTATTCTAACGGGTATTATATGATGTGGACAAATTTGAAAGCATGCTGTGTGAAAGAATTCACACACAAAAGGCTGCATATATTAAATGACTCCATTTATATTAAATATTTAGAACAGGCAAATCCATAGGAACAGAAAGCAGATTGCTGCATACCTGAGGCTGGGTAGAAAAGAAGATGAATAGCAACTGCTTAATGATATGAGGATTTGTTTTAGGTGATGGTGAAATATTTTGTAAATACAAATTGTGGTTGCACAATATTGCTGATGTACTAAATACATGTAACTAAATTGTTCACTTTAAAATGTTTCATTTTATGTTATGTGAACTCCATCTCAATAAAAAAGAACCTCAAGTAAAATTAATTATGCACAAAATATGACAGCAATATTGACATATGTTTTTTCCTATTTCTGTGGGAAAATTATTTAAAATACGTAGTGTAATACTTAGTTAGACCACCATTCAATTATGGGAGCAAAATTTATAGCTCAGAATATACAATATTTGTAAAGTATATGACAGGTAATCTCTGAATAAGATAATACCTGTAAATTTCTTAAATTAGTGTCTGACACATAGGTTCAATTAGCCACTGTCATTATTTGAAGGGCATTACGCAATTACTTCAAAGTCATGACTGAACTAGAAAACTTATCTTGGTACTACGGTATTGGTGAAACTCATGAAGGTGGGCTCCCCAACTACAGGATTAAAATCCTAGTCTTAGC
The DNA here is from genome assembly GCF_000001405.40 of Homo sapiens. Lineage (NCBI taxonomy): Eukaryota > Metazoa > Chordata > Mammalia > Primates > Hominidae > Homo > Homo sapiens. The sequence continues at coordinate 99,549,693 of NC_000023.11, forward strand.
TCTACTTTGCATGCGTACCTAAATCCTTCTATCACTGTGGAAATAAGGGCCTCAACCCTTGCTCTGATTTCCACATCCTGACCAGTCGTTTGGCCATCATTTGAACAAAAATCCCAAGATAATTCTAGAACTTTGGAATGACTGAAATTTCTGATTTTGAAGACATAATTAGGCACAACAATGCATATTTATCTAGAGGGGAGAGAAAGGAAATCCATATGTACAAAAAGAAGCATCAGATTTCTTAAACACTTAAGGAAAAAAAATACAACAATGAAAATTAGTTCAACCCAACCAAAATCAGGCTAGAGAAGGGTGTGGAAAAAGGGATGGAGGGGGAGAGAAAGAGAGAAAAAAACAATATATAGGGAAGCTATTAGAAAGTGCTCATATTGATGGATAATCTAAAATTATAAAATACAGAAAATGATTATCCTGTTCCATGTCAAAGGATGGTAAGCAAATTTAGGAAGCATTTTCTATTTAAAATAATATAAATAGAGTACCAAGGTGGGCAAATTAAAATAAATAATGGATAAATAAATATTCAGAAACAGTAACACTGTGGTGAAACTTATTAAAGATAAAAAATACAAATATTTCTATAAAGATGGAAGACAGTTCCCACCAAGAATATATAAGGAAAATGAAACCTTTTTATCTAGCAGCACAGCTTTGAAGTATATATCACATACGCTATTCAAAATACAAGAAACAGAAAATGTATAATATTTTCAGTCATTATTGAAATAAATTTTAGCAGTTCTCCATTATGCTACCAAAACTCTCAATTTCAAAAAGAATAAAATGTAGAGGGCACACCTATGTATAGCCATGTGATAATATTATAAATATACAACAATGTGAACATGTCCTAAAATAATCCAATGGAAAATTAAAGACAAAAAGGTTATTTTGCATGGCTCATTCAATAAAAGGGAATTGAAACGTGAACTCACATTTTCTTGGGACGTCAACAACAAAGCCACTCATACCAAAAGCTATGGGTTATGGCAAAAGTGGTGCTGATAGAAAATTTACTAATATATTCATTTCTCAGATATCCATTCAGCACCTACCATGAGCCAGGCATTATTCTTGGTGTTAATATAGATATATTTAGATGAATATTATTCAGGTAGAAAGTACCAACAATAAAATGGACAGATTTTAAATGTTCAGGTAAATGAGTTTTGACAGTTATATACACTCACGTAACCACCACTTACAATAATAATATACAACATTTCCACTGTGGCAAAATGTCCCGTCATGCTCCTTCTCACTCTGTCATATTTTTGGACAAACAACTGTGGTTCTGATTTCTAACATCATAGATGAGTTTTACATGTTCTTTGACTTCACACGTATGTTATCAGATAATACATATTTTTTATTATTATACTTTTAAGTTCTGGGGTACATGTGCAGAATGTGCAGATTTGTCACATGGGTATAACACATGCTATGGTGGTTTGCTACACCCATCAACCTGTCACCTACATTAGGTATTTCTCCTAATGCTATCCCTCCCCTAGCCCTCCACCTCCCGACAGGCCCTGGTGTATGGTGTACTATGCAGTCATAAAAAAGGATGAGTTCATGTCCTATGCAGGGACATGGATGAAGCTGGAAACCATCATTCTCAGCAAACTATCACAAGAACAGAAAACCAAACACAGTATGTTCTCACTGATAAGTGGAAGTTGAACAAGGGAGTTGAACGAGGAGAACACATGAACATAGGGAGGGGAATATGTACTTTTTGGATCAGTTTTCTTTTTCAAACAATGTCTGTGACGTTCACCCATGTTGTTTTATGTATCAGCTGCAATTTTTTAAGTTTAAATTCTATTTATTTCTTTTTTTAAGAATTTATTTTTTAAAAAATTGGAGTCGGGGTACATGCACAGGTTTGTTACAAGGTGATATTGCTAGATGCTGAAGTTTGAGGTGGATGGTCCTGTCACCCAAGTAGTGAGCATAGTACCCAATATCTTCTCTCGCTTCCCCGTCTAGGACCCAGTGGCTATTGTTTCCATCTTCATGTCCATGAGTATTCAATGTTTAGCTCCCACTTACAAGCGGGAATATGCAGTATTTGGTTTTCTGTTACTATAATAATTTGCTTAGGATAATGGCTTCCAGCTGCATCTATGTGGCTGCAAAGGACATAATTTTATTCTTTTATATAGCTGTATAGTATTCCGTGGTGTATATGTACCATATTTTATTTATCCAATCCACCTTTGATGTGCACCTAAGTTGAATCCTTGACTTTGTTATTGTGAACAGTGCTGCAGTGAACATACGAATGCACGTGTCTTTTTGGCTGAATAGTTTATTTTCCTTTAGGTATATCCTAGTAATAGAATTGCTGGGTCAAAATGTAGTTTTATGTTCTTTGACAGATCTCTGAACTGTTTTTCACAATGGCTGAACTAATTTGCATTCTCACCAACAGTGTATAAGCATTCCCTTTCCTCCACAGCCTCACCAGCATCTGTTAAATTTTGACTTTTTAACAAATGCCATTCTGACAGGCGTGAAATTGTGTCTCATACTCATTTTGATTTGCATTTCTCCGATGATTAGTAATATGGAGCATTTTTTCATATTTTGGATGCTTATACATCTTCTTTTGAGAAGTGTCTGTTCATGTCCTTTGTCGATATTTAAATTGAATTACTTGCTTTATGCTTGTTGATTTGTTTAATCAATTACACCAAAATAAAAAATTAACAAATGGACCTAATCAAACTAAAGAGCTACTGCACAGCAAAAGAAATTATTAAGAGAGCAAACAACCTATAGAAAGTGAGAAAATATTTGCAAACTGTGCATCAAACAAAGGCCTAATACCCAGAATTTACAAGATACTTAAATCAACAAGTTCTGTGTTTTTAATTGCTGAGAATAAAGCATTTATGATTGCATTGTGTGGATATACTACAGTATGTTTGTCCATTCACCTGCTAATATACATTTGGATTGTTTCCAGTTGGCGATGATTACCAATAAAACTGCTAGGAACATTTGTATACAGGTATTTTAGTGGATAGTATGCTTTTATTTCTCTTGGGTAAATGCCTAGAAGTGAAATTATTGGGTTGTAGGGTAAGTTAATATATAACTTCATATGAAACTGCCAAATTGTTTTACTAAGTAACTGTAATGCATCTTCTTTGTTCTAAATTTGGAAAACATACGAATATATATATATATATATATATATATATATATATATACACACACACATATATATATACACACACATATATATATATATGTGAAAAGGAGAAAAGAAAATCTTTCTGTGCCCATATCAGAGATAAAATCTCTACCCATATCCAGAGATAACTATTAGCATTTTGGTGAATTTCCATTCATTCATTCTCAGTCTCTCCTTTTATCTCTCCTTCCTCTCCCTCCTACTCTTGCTTTATCCTCATTTCCTCTCTCTCTCTCTCTCTCTCCTTACACACACACACACACACACACACACACACACACATATATGTGCGTGTGTGCATATCAACTCTAAATTTAGATCATATTCATAGAAACATAACAAAAATTTGATCATACTCTATATATGGGTTTAATATTCCATATTTATTGAATTTATTATGAATTTCCCACGTTTTAAATTTACCTTTAAAAGTATGAAACTTTAGCTCTTCCCCCTTTATCAAGTACCCATTTTTTAATATTACATCATTATACAACCCCCTTACATTGAATTTTTAACAAATTTTATTATTTGCCTAATATTTCCTATTAGCTTCATGAGGGTTGCCTTGTCGCTGTTTTCCCAGTACCTAAGGGCTAGCAAGTATTAAGTTTGCCATTAATAATTATACAATAATTTCGACATTTGTATTTAAAGAAACATCACCTCAAGTATATTTTATTTTAAAAAATTTAAGGGAACCGGCCGGGCGTGGGGGCTCATGCCTGTAATCCCAGCACTATGGGAGGCCAAAGTGGGTGGATCACCTGAGGTCAGGAGTTTGAGACAAGCCTGACCAATATGGTGAAACCATGTCTCTACTAAAAAATAAATAAATAAATAAATAAAATTAGCCAGGCATGGTGGTGGGCGCCTGTAGTCCCAGCTACTCGGGAGGCTGAGACAGGAGAATTGCCTGAACCTGGGAGGTGGAGGTTGCAATAAGCCAAGATCGTGTCACTGCACTCCAGCCTGGGCGACAGAGTGAGACTCTGTCTCAAAAAAAAAAAAAAAAAAAAAAATATGAGGGAACCGTGTAATGTGGTGTATCACATTTATGGATTTGTGTATGCTGAACCATCTTTGGATTCCAGGGATATATATCACTTGTTAGTGGTGAATGATCCTTTTAATGTGTCCTTGAATTTGCTTTGCTAGTATGATGTTTAGGACTTTTGAATCTATATTCATCAGGGATAATGACCCTGTAATTTTCTTTTGTTTGGCTTTGGTATCAGGATAATGCTGTCCTCATAAGATGAGTTTGGAAGTGTTACTGCCTCTGTAGTTTTTTGAAAGAGTTTGATAGGGTTGCCATAATATTTTTTCTTTTGAACTTTAATTTTAGGTTCAAGGGGTACACGTGCAGGTTTGTTACATTGGTAAATTGCATATTGTGGAGGTTTGATATACAGATAAATTTGTACCCAGGTGAACAGCATAATACCTGATAGGTAGTTCAGTCCTCACCCTCCTTCCAACCTCCACCCTCAACTAGTCTCAGTGTCTGTTGTTTCCTTCTTTGAGTCCATGTGTGCTCAATGTTTAGCCCTCACTTATAAGTAAAAACACGTTGTATTTAGCTTTCTGTTCCTGCATTAATTCTCTCAGGATAATGGCCTCCAGCATTTCATGTCTTTGCTATTGTTTTTTAAATGCTTGGTAGAATTCATAAGTAAAGCCATCAGCTCCTGAGCTTTTCTTTGATGGGAGATTAGTTCATTATTAATTCAATGTCCTTTCTCATTTAGAATCTGTTCACATTTTCTATTTTTTAAAGATTCAGTCTTGGTAAGTGGTATGTTTCTAGGAATTCATCCATTTCTTCTAGGTTATCCAATTTGTTGTGTACAATTGTTTTTGGAAGTCTCCTGTCATCCTTCATATTTCTGTAGTATCAGTTTTAATGTACCACTTTTTGTTTCTAATTTTATTTATTTTAATTTTCTCTTTTTGTTTCTTAGTCTAGCTAAAGAAGGTTTTTCTATTTTGTTTATCTTTATTTAAATAGAAAGCTAAGGTTTTTCTATTTTGTTTATCTTTAAAAACCAACTCTTAATTTTTTGAACTTTTCTATTGTTTTTTCTAGTCTTCATTTTATTTTTTTCTGCTCTGATTCTTTGTTATTTTATTTCTTATACTAACTTTGAGTTTAGTGTGTTCTATTTTTTTGCTTCTTTAACCGTTATAGCTAGGTTTTTTATTTGAGGTCTTTCTGTTTTCTTCATGTAGGTTTTTATCACTATAAACTTCCCTCTTATAACTGGTTTTGCTGCATCCCATACGTTTTGATATATTGTATTTCCATCGCTCTTCATCTCAGTATATATTTACATTTTTTTAAATTTCATGTTTGATCCATTGGTTGTTCAGGAGTGTGTTGTTTAATTGCCACATATTTTTAGATTTTTAAAAATTCCTCTTATTATTGATTTCTAGTTTCGTGCCATTGTGGTCAGAAAAGATACTTGACATAATTTCAGTCTTAAGTTTATTAAAGCTTGTCTTTTGCCTAATTTTTGATTTATACTGGAGAAAGTTTCAGGTGCGCTTGAGAATGTATATTCTATGGCTATTGAATGGAATGTTCTGTATATGTCTGTTAGGACTGTTTGGTCTACACTGTAGTTCAAACCCAATAGTTTTTATTGATTCTTTTTCTGGATTATCTATACATTGTTGAAAATTAGGCATTGAAGGTGATTATTTTTGTATTGTTGTCTATCTCTCCATTCAGATCAATTAATTTTTAATATATATTTAGGTACTGTGATGTTGGGTGTGTATATATTTACAATTTTATTTCCTCTTGATGAATTGACCCTTTTATCATTATCAAACAACTTTTGTCTTTTTGTACAGTTTTTGACATAAATTCTATTTTATCTGATATAAGTATAGCTATTTCTGCTGTTTGTTTCTATTTGAATAGAATATCTCTTTTTCCATGCTTTCACAGGTATGTCTCTAAATCTGGTGTGAGTCTCTTGTAGGCAGTATATAGACAGCTCACCTTGTTAATCCATTTAGCCACTCTGCATTTTGATTGGAGAATATAATCTATGTGAATTCAATGTAAGTTTTGTTAGATACGGACTTATTATTGCTATTTTGATAATTGTGTTTGGATGTTTTGTTGACATTCCTTATTTTTCTCTTTCTGCCTCCATATTTCTGTAATAGTATGCTTTAATTTCATTTTTGTTATCTTTTTTTGCATCTACCATAGGTTTTTGCTTTATGGTTACCCTGAGGTTTACATATACAATATTATAAGTCATTTAAGCTGATAACATTCTAATTCCAATGGCACATAAGCATTCTAGACTTTTACTTTTCCCAATTTTATGTTTTTGATGGCACAATGTGTATATTTTTATATTGCATATTTATTCACAAATTATTGTAGCTATAGTTATTTAATTTGTTTTGTCTTTTAACTTTATACTAGAGATCTAAGTGATTTACATACCACCATTAAAGTATTAGAATATTCTGTTTTTGACTATTTATCTGTATTTGAATATTTATTTACTTTCACCAGTGATTTTTATACTTTTATAAGATTTCATGTTACCAATTAGCATTCTTTCATTTCAGCTTGGAAAATTTCCTTTAGCATTTCTTGTAAGGCAGATCTAGTAATGATGAACTACATCAGCTCTTGTTTGTCTGGAAGTCTTTTTCTCTCCTTCATTTCTGAACAATAGCTTTGCCAGAAAAAGTAATCTTGTTTGGCAGTTTTTTGTTTCAGCACGTTCTTCCTGTCTCCTGACCTGCAAAGTTTCTGCCAAGAAATCCAGATAGCCTTATAGTCATTTCCTTGTATGTGAAGAACCACTTTTCTCTTATCTTTTTAATACTCTTTGAAGACTATATTTTTTCTTTTTTTAAAGTTTGGTTATAATATATTGTGGTGTACTTTCATTTGGTTTGAATCTTATTGCATTCCTTTGAGCTTGATGTACATACACGTTTGTATCTTCTTCCAGATTTGGGGAGTTTTCAGTCAATATTCGTTAAATCTTTCCCTTTATTTATCTGTTCTCTTTCTGGAACCCCTATAATGCAAAGTTAGCTCTTTTGATGGTGCCCTATAAATCCCCTAGGCTTTCTTTATTTTTATTCTTTTTTTCTTTTTTATCCTTCGCCTAGATATTTTACAATTACATCTCTTAAGAGTTCACAGATTCTTCCTTCTCCTTAGTCAATTCTGCTATTGATGCTTTTTATTTGCATTTTTCATTTCTTATATTGAATTCTTCAACTGCAGAATTTCACTCTTTTTAAAATTATTTCTATCTCTATATTGAACTTCTCAATTTTGTGTGTATTATATTTCTGATTTTGTTCATTTGTACATCTGTGTTTTTTTGGAAGTTGCTGAACTTCCTTAAAGCACTTATTCTGAATTCTTTGTCAGACAATTCATAGATCTCCTTGTCCCTGGGGCCAGTTACTGGAAAATTATTGTATTCCTGTGGTGGTGTCATGTTTCCTTGATTTTCATGTTTTGTGTTGCCTTGATTGAGATCTGTGCTTTTGATTCATCCATTATCTCTTCTTGACTTTGTGGACTGATTTTAGTGGGAAAGACTTTCCCCTATAGGTGGGTGCAAGGGAACTTGTTGGATGAGGTGTTGTGGTCATGGCTCTGGTGAAACCACAGTAGCATAATCCCCATGGAGCTCTACTCTCTGAGACTGGCATCAAAGAAGATTGTAGGAGTCCTCAGCAGCCAAGCCTATGGGTGTCTGCAGCAGCAACAAAGGCTGATGACGTCTTCAATGGTAGTGGCTTCTGAGATTCTCCTAATAACATTTTCTCCCACAGGGAATGTAGTGGCTGAGTGGATCCCTTTTGTCCCCAAATCACGCTTGCAGATGTACTTCAGTGGTGATGGCACTAGTGTCTGATGTACAATGCCTGTGGAATAGCAACAGAGCTAAGGTATGAAGTGTGGGCATGCATAGAAGGATGATGGCTTTGGGGTCTGAGGAAGCAGTGGCACCCCATTTCCATGTTTTTAACAGTATGTGATGCATGGGTGCTTGCATTGTGGACATGGAGCCAGGGTCTGGAGTACAGGTTGGTGCAGAGCTACTGCTGCTCTGGGAACCAGAGTAAGAAGACACTTGCTCTAGTAGTGGCTCTGATGTCTGTGGTGCAAGTAGTTGCAGCATGGTTTCAGAGCCAGTGTCTAAAATGTAGGAACTTATGCATCAATAATGGGGTCAGGTGCACGTGCTAAGTCACTCTGCAGCTGGCATAGCTGTCCAAGGCACATGTGCTCACAGAGCAGCAGCAGCAGAGACAGGGACTATAGCATAGGAGAACACAGAGTAACCATGATTCTGAGGCCTGGGGCAGTGCTATTTCACGGTGGCACTAGCATCAGTTTCTGAGCCATAGGAATTTGTGGTGTAGTTATGGACTTTGATTCTGGAGTGCACACACGTGGAGCAGCTGCGGTCCCATGGTCTGGGTAATGCATGTTGCTGGGACATGCATTGGGGTGTGCACCATTCATTGGTGGTGGCCCTGGTTCTGGGGTAGCACAACAATGTCTTCTTCTTAGGGGGCATAATACTGTGTCTACTTCTCTGTGGGTTCCATAGTGGTAATGGCTGCTGGTTACTTCAGCAGAGAATGCTGCTCTTGGCACATGCCATATGATTGATACTGATAGTCTCCAAACTGGCTGTCTCCATATTTCTCACATATGCTGGTCTCCCCAGTGATCCTTTCTGTGAAGTACTCTCTATTTTATTGATCCATTGTGTTGTTGCTGATCCTTAATTGAATCCTTCATCCCTCCCAAGGCTATTATTTTTGTTGGATAGCTGTCTAATTGCTCTTCTTTGTGTGAGAATGAAGGCTTGTATCTTATGCTTCACCATATTGTTGATATTGCTAGCTATACGTTTTTAAATAAAGTGTCTAAGCCTCCTCTGAATCAGTTTTACTAGCTACTCTCTCAATTTATTCCCTCTTCAGCTGTATTCTTATTCTTTCATATTACTATTTTTCTAGAGAAAGCATGGCATTAAGAAAATGTACGGAATGAAAAAAAATAGCATACAAGGGCATGGATTTCCACGTACTCAGAAGAGTTGTAGAATGATGCAGGAAATATATACCTAGAATTTTACCCTATGATTCTGAGACAGAGTATTACAACCTCAGCATTATGGTCATTTTCAACTAGGTAATTGTTGGGTGGAAATTTTCTGTTCATTTTAGGGTATTTAGCAGCATTCCTGGCCTACATTCACTAGATGCCTGTAGCACCCTCCCACAAGGCATAGAAATAAAATAATGACAATTGCCAGATGTTCCCTGTGAGGAAGATAAAAATTGTCCTCAGCTGAGAACAATTGTTCTGATGTAACACCACTCTCAGACAACAGTGCAATAAAAATAGAGATCAATACCAAGAATATCTCTGAAAACTATACAATTACATGGAAATGTCATAATCAGTGCCTGAATGACTTTTGGGTAATCAATGAAATTAAGGGGAAAAATCAAGAAATTATTAAAACGAATGAAACAAAAGAAACAACATGTCTGAATTTCTGGGACACTGCTAAAGCAGTAATAGGAAAGTTTATAGTTCTAAATCCCTGCATCAAAAGGAAAGATCTAAAATTAACAACCTAACATTAGACCTAGAGGAATTAGAAAAACAAGAGAATATCAACCATAAAGCTACCAGATGGAAATGAAGAACCATAATCAGAGCTAAACTGAATGAAATTGAGACATGAAAAACTGTGCAAAAGATCAATGAAACTAAAAGTTTACTATTGTAAAGGATAAATAAGATTGATAGACCACTAGCTATACTAATAAAGAAAAAAGAGAGAAGATTCAAATAATCGCAAGCAGAAAAGGCAAAGGAGTCATTACCACCAACCCTACAGAAACACAAAATACCCTCAATGACAGTTATGAACACCTCCATCCAGATAAATTAGAAAACCTAGAAGAAATGGAGAAATTCCCGGAAACATACAACCTCCTAAGATTGAATCAGAAAGAAAAGGAAACCCCCAAAAGACCAATGGGTTCCAAAATTGAGTGAGTGATAAAAACCTACCAACCAGAAAAAAGCCAAAGGCCAGACAGATTCACAGCCCAATTCTACCAGATGTATAACAAAGAGCTGGTACCAATCCTTCTGAAACTATACTAAAAGACTGAGGAGAAAGGACTCCTCCCTTACTCATTCTGCAAGGCCAGCATCATTCTGATAATGAAACCTGGCAGAGACACAGTGAAAAAGGAAAATGTCAGGTCAATATCTCTGATGAACATAGAGGCAAAAATTCTTAACAAAATACTAGTAGAACCAAATTTAAACAGAACTAAAAACAAAATACACATGATTCTCTTAATAGATGCACACAAAGCTTTTGATAAAATTCCATATCCATTCATGTTAAAAACCCTCAACCAACTACATATTGAAGGAACATACCTCAAAATAATAGGAGCCTTCTATAGCAAACCCACAGTCAATGTCATACTGAACAGGAAGGAAGCATTCTCTTTAAGAGTTGGAACAAGACAATGATGACCACTCTCACCACACCTACTCAGTATAGTTCTGGAAGTCCTAGCCAGAGCAATCAGGCAAGAGAAAGAAATAAAAAGCATCAACTTAGAGAGGAAGTCAAATTATTTCCCTTTTTAGACATATGATTCTATACCTAGGAAACTCAATAGTGTCTATCCAAAGGCTCCTAGAAATTATAAGCAACTTCAGCAATGTTTCTGGATACAAAATCCACATACAAAAATCACTAGCATTTCTATAAGCCAATGACATTGGCTGATAGCCAAATCAAGAACATTATCCAGGTCAGATGTGGTGGTTCATGCCTATAATCCCAGCACTTCAGGAGGCCGAGGCAGGCAGATCATCTGAAGCAGGAGTTCAAGATCAGCCTGGCCAACATGGTGAAACCCTGTGTCTACTAAAAATATAAAAAAGTTAGCCAGGCATGGTGGCAGGCTCCTGTAATCCCAGTTACTTGGGAGGCTGAGGCAGGAGAATTGCTAGAACCTGGGAGGCAGAGGCTGCAGTTAGCCAAGATTGCACCATTGCACTCCAGCCTGGGCAACAAGAGCAAAACTCCATCTCAAAAAAAAAAAAAAAAAAAAAAAGAATGTTATCCAATTCATAATAGCCAAAAAAAGAGTAAAATATCTAGGGATACAGCTAACCAGAGAGATGAAAGATCTCTACCACAAAAATTACAAAATACTGCTGAAAGAATTCAGAGGTCACACAAATAAATAGAAAAACATTCTATGTTCATGAATAAAAATAATTAATATCTTTAAAATGACCATACAGCCCAAAGCAATTGGCTTCAATGCTATTTTTATCAAAATACCAATGAGATATTGTCATGGAATAAGAAAAACTATTGTAAAATTCATATGGAACAACAACAAAAAAACTAAATAGCCAAAGCAATCCTCAGCAAAAAAATAAAAATAAAAAAATAAAATAAATAAAAAATAAACAACCCAGAGACATCACACTACCCAATATCAAACTGTACTTCAAAGTTAGAGTAATCAAAACAGTATGATATTAGTACAAAAACAGACATGTAGAGACCAATGGAACAGAATAGAGAGCCCAAAAACAATGCCACACGCCTACAACCACCTGATCTTGGACAGAGTTAACAACAACAAGCAATGGGGAAGGGCCTCTCTATTTAATAAACAGTGCTGGAATAAATGGCTGCCAAAATGCCAAAGCTTGAAACCAGGCTCCTTCCTTTCATTATATCTAAAAATCACATCAATATTAATGAAAGACTTAAATGTAAAATTTAAAACTATAGAAACCCTAGTAGAAAACCTAGGAAATACCATTCTGGATATAGGCCCTGGCAAAAATTGTATGACAAAGACTTAAAAAGCAATTGCAACAAAGGCAAAATTTGACAAGTGGGACCTAACTAAACTATAGAGCTTCTGCACAATAAAAGAAACTATCAACAGAGCAGAGAGACAGCCTACCGAATGGAAGAAAATATTTACAAACTTTACATCTTATTAAAGTCTACTATCCAGAATCCCTGAGGAACTTAAACCAATCAGCAAGCAAAAAACAACCACATTAAAAAATGGGCAAAGGACATCAACAAACATTTTTGAAAAGAAGACGTACATGTGGACAACAAGCATAGGAAAAAAATGCTCAAGATTACTAATCATTAGAGAAATGAAAATCAAAACCACAATTAGATATTATCTAACACCAGTCAGATTCGTGATTATTAAAATGTCAAAAATAACAGATGATGGCAACATTGCAGAGAAACGGGAATGCTTATACACTGCTGATAGGAATGTAAATTCGTTCAGCCATTGTGGAAAGCAGCTTGATGATTTCACAAATAACTTAAAACCTTAAGTACCATTTGACCCAGCAATCCCATTATTGGGTATTTATCCAAAATAATATAAATCTTTCTACCATTAGGACACATTAATGCGTATATTCATCACAGCATTATTCACAATGGCAAAATCATGGAATCAACATAAGTGACCATCAACAGGAGATTGGAGAAAGAAAATATGATACATATACACCATGGAATACTATGCAGCCATAGAAGAGAACAAGATCATGTCCTTTGCAGCATCATGGATGGTGCTGGTGGTCAAGATCCTAAGCAAACTAATTCAGGAACAGAAAATCAAATACTACGTCTTCTCACTTATAAGTGGAAGCTAAACATTGAGTACACATGAACACAAAGAAGGGAAAAACAGATACTACGGCCTTCTTGAAGGTGGAGGGTGGGAGAAGGCAGAGGATTGAAAAACCTTTTGAGTAGTGTGCTTATTAGCAGTAGTATGCTTATTGCTAGTATAATACCTATCAAATACTATGCTTATTAGTAAATACTATACTAGTAATAAGCATACTACTGGTAATAAGCATATGATAAGCATACTATTAGCAATATACATATGATGAAATAATGTGCATACCAAATCCTTGTGACAGGCAATTCGTCTATATAACCATCTTTTATATGTACCCCTGAACCTAAAATAAAATTTTTTAAAATGTTTTAGCTAAATAGTGAATCTCAGGTTATTATATTTACCAACGAGAAAAAAATAATTATCTTCTCATTAACTAAGAAGCCTTTAAAAGAAAGTATGGTCAATTCTAACTGGATTCTGCAAATGATTCTAAATAATTACATCTAAGGAAATAGCATAAAATAAGAAATGTACATTTTAAATTCATATACATATTCATTCTTACTAATATTATCTGTTGATATCCTTTATATTTTCAGAACACAGTAGCTGGCCACTGCTTTCAATTGTAAATTCAAAATTAAGTATAAAAATACCATTTGATTCAAAGTTTATAGGTTGAGAAAGGAGTGGTATAATTACATATAGTGATTATAGTACAAGTTAATATATATTTATTAGTTAAGAGTTTACTATATAGAATACATTTCCTTTCTCCTTTATTCATGTACAGTCATGCATCACTTAACAGGGATAAATTTTGAGAAATGTGCCCTTAAGCAATTTTGTGGTGTAAACATCATAGAATGTATTTATACAAACCTGGATGGTATAGCCTACTACACACCTAGGCCAGGTGGTACAGCCTATTGCTCCCAGGATGCAAACCTGTATGGCATGTTCCATTATTGAATACTGTAGGCAACTGTAATACAGTAGTCAGCATTTGTGTATCTAAACATATCTAAACCTAGAAAAAGTACAGTAGAAATATGACATAAAAGATAAAAAACAGTACACCTGTATATGGCACTTACCATCAGTGGAGCTTGCAGGATTGGAAGTTGCTCTGGGTGAGTCAGTGAGTTAGTGGATGAAATTGAAGGCCTAGTACATTACTGTGCACTACTGTAGACTTTATAAACACTATACACTTAGCCTACAGTAAACATAAATAATTTATTCAATAATAAATTAACCTTAGCTTAATTTAACTATTTTTTACTTTATAAAATTTTATCTTTTTAACTACTGGATGTTTTAATAGCACTTAGTTTAAAAAACACACACATTGTATAGCTGTACAAAAACATTTTTCTTTATATCCTTATTCTATAAGCTTTTTTTAGTAGTTTTAAACTTTTATCTTTCTACTTTTACAACTTTTTGCTAAGAAGGAAGATACAACCACACACATTAGCCTAGGCCTACAGAGGGTCAGGATCATCAATATCACCAACTTTCATCTCCACATCATTTTCCACTGGCAGGTCTTCAGGGACAATAGGACACATGGAGTTGTCATCTCCAATGATAACAATGCCTTCTGGAATTTCATGAAGAACCTGCCTGAGGGAGTCTTAGAGTTAACTTCGTTTTTCTAATATAAGTAGAAGAAGTATACTCCAAAATAATGATAAAAGGTATATTAGAGTAAGTACTAAGCAATAGGAATATTTTCACTCCATTATAATCTTATGACATCATCATCTTATATGTGGTCTGTCAATGACCAAAATATTGCTATGCAGTGCATGACTGTATTTCTTTATCCACTTATTAGTATAAATCTATGAGTTGTTTTTTTATGTAGTGAGTTGTAATATCATATTGTACTAGTTTTTTTGACTAATGATACAAATTTTTTTTTTCTGTGCTCATTGAAAATTTGGATATCTTCTTTTATGGAGTACCTTTTCAATCTTGTGCCATTTTTGTATTTGTGGTTTGTCTTTTTACTTTTTACATGTAGAGGTTTTTTCAGTATATTTTGCATGTGATTCCTTTCATTCATAGTATAAATGAGAAAGGAAAAATAGTGCTATGTTGATTCAGAAAAAGTAGATTTATTCTAGCTAGGAGAACATTTAGAAAACTAAATTCAAAATAAAAAAGCACCAATCAAGAGGATTATTTGGTGTCACTCTTTTTCCAGAAGGAAAAGTGGATTATTTAAGAACTTTCCATCTTGGATCTTTTCAACCTTCTCTTCCTAATATCAATCTCTTCATTCCTAGTGGCTAATCCTAGGTCTCATTATCTTTCCTCCCCCTAGTATTTCAAAAACTTGTAGTGAAAAGATTTCAGTTGCTTTTCAATTAGTAATCTAATTGAAGGCTAGGTATGATGAACCAGATTTATAAGTGACACTAAGAGTAGCTTTTCAAATCATATTATTAGATAAAAAAGCAACTTGTAGAGTACTGCCTGCAATAAGATACCATTTATGTAAAGCAAACACATTTATATATTTTAAGTGTCTATGAAACACTCGTAATAATGACAGTGGCATCTTTTAGGAAAAGGCAGTATGCTGATGAAAGAGACCAAGGTTAGTGTTGTAGAACAAGGTATTTAAAATTGATTGTAGTATTTTACTATTTCATTAATTATAATGGATTAAAATGCTTTTTATGTAACTAATAATGTATATGTAACGAGAGCTACAGAGAGGTGGCATCATCAACATGACAGAATAGGAAACATCAATAAATGGCCACTCCACTGAAAAAAAACATTCAGCTGGCAACAACGGACAAAATAATCTTTTTTATAACTCTGGAATCTAAACAGATACAGCAAACAGGGGAGTGCTTAATGAAGAAAGAAGTAGCTAAATTTTGGTAAGAAAGTGTGGTAATTTTGTTTATTTACCTACCTACCACTCTCTATGCCCTAGCTCAGCAAGCTGCAGTTCTTGTGTGGCTTCCTGGTGCCACGGGATAATATGGATCTTTTTCTTAAAATACTGTGGATGTGCATTTTGACTTTTCTGGAGATTCCTTGAATCTGATCTTAGTTTCACACACCACCTCAGGCTAGAGTGCTCGCTGGTAAATGTCTGATGAAAGCATTTAAAGACATATGCTACTTATAGATGACTTGGACAGTTGATGCAAGAAAAAGCAAGCATTAGACAGACTGAAAACTGTGAAGAAAAAGGCTAAGAAGAAAGATTCTTGGGGAAATGAGGTTTAGAAAGGCTACCATATATACTAGGGAATGTGGAGTGCAATTCATATACCTAGGGACAGATATATGCTCAGAAAAGACATGAGAGGAATCTAAACTCAGATTTTTGGTTGATCTTTAAGGTCTGAACTAACAGGAGGTGGAGATTAACGCAGGGTTGCATGTTGACTGGCTTAGCATTGATGGTGTACCCAGATAAAAGTCAATTTGAAAAGACTGAGAGAGCTTTTTCTCTCTGTTAGCCCCAGGCTCTCACACGTATCTCTGACAGATCACTGGCTGACCAGTGAGATATATAAAAAGAGACTTCAGTGACCACACCTAAAAAATAATATAAATTTTGCAAACCTACTTAGTAAAAGCTACTAAACAACTGGATGGTCACAGCCGTCAACAATCAATGGCAATAAACCCTGGGGAGGGGGCATAATCTGATTTCTAGAGGTACTACATTCTAATATTTAATATATGCAGCTTATAAACAAAAATAAAAGGCATACAAGTATGGTATGTAAAGTATAGAAAGTATGATTAATTCACCGGGGAAGAAACCCAAACCTGACAGAAATAATCCATGAAGAAGACTATAAATTAAATATACTAAACTAACTTTTTTTTATTATTACACTTTAAGTTCTGGGATACATGTGCAGAATGTGCTGGTTTGTTACATAGGTATACATGTGCAATGGTGGTTTGCGGCACCCATCAACCCGTAATCTACATTAGGTATTTCTCCTAATGCTATCTTTCCTCTAGCCTCCCACTCCCTGAGAGGCCCTGGTGTGTAATGTTCCCCTCCCTGTGTCCATGTGTTCTCATTGTTCAACTCCCACTTATGAGTGAGAACATGCAGTATTTGGTTTTCTGTTCGTGTGTTAGTTTGCTGAGAATGATGGTTTCTAGTGTCATCCATCTCCCTGCAAAGGACATGAACTCATCCTTTTTTATGGCTACATAGTATTCCATGGTGTATATGTGCCACATTTTCTTTATCCAGTCTATCATTGATGAGCATTTGGGTTGGTCCAAGTCTTTGCTATGGTGAACAGTGCTGCAATAACCATACGTGTGCATGTGTCTTTATAGTAGAGTGATTCATAATCCTTCTGGTATATACCCAGTAATGGGATTGCTGGGTCAAATGGTATTTCTGGTTCTAGATCCTTGAGGAATCGCCACACTGTCTTCCACAATGGTTGAACTAATTTATGCTTCTACCAACAGTTTAGTAGCATTCCTATTACTCCACATCCTCGCCAGCATCTGTTGTCTCCTGACTTTTTAATGATCGCCATTCTAACTGGCATGAGATGGTATCTCATTGTGGTTTTGATTTGCATTTGTCTAGTGACCAGTGATGATGAGCTTTTTTTCATATGTTTGTTGGCTACATAAATGTCTTCTTTTGAGAAGTGTCTGTTCATATCCTTCACCCAATTTTTGATGGGGTTGTTTATTTCTTGTAAATTTGTTTACATTCTGTGTAGATTCTGGATATTAGCCCTTAGTCAGATGGATAAATTGCAAAAATTTTCTCCCATTTTGTAGGTTGCCTGTTCACTCTGATAATAGTTTCTTTTGCTGTGCAGAAGCTCTTTAGTTTAGTTAGATCTCATTTGTCAATTTTGGCTTTTATTGCCATTGCATTTCGTGTTTAAGTTATGAAGCCTTTGCTCATGACTATCTCCTGAATGGTATTGCCTAGGTTTTCTTCTAGGGTTTTTATGGTTTTGGGTCTTACGTTTAAGTCTTTAACCCATCTTGAGTTAATTTTTGTATATGGTGTAAGGAAGGGATCCAGTTTTAGTTTTCTGCATATGGCTAGCCAGCTTTCCCAACACCATTTATTAAGTAGGGAATCCTTTCCCCATTGCTTGTTTTTGTCAGGTTTTTCAAAAATCAGATTGTTGTAGATGTGTGGTGTTATTTCAGAGGCCTTTGTTCTGTTCCATTGGTTTATATATCTGTTTTGGAACCAGTACCATGCTGTTTTGGTTACTGTAGCCTTGTAGTATAGTTTGAAGACAGGTAGTGTGATGCCTCCAGCTTTGTTCTTTTTGCTTTGGATTGTCTTGGCTATATGGATTCTTTTTTGTTTCCATATGAAATTTAAAGTAGTTTTTTCTAGTTCTGTGAAGAAAGTCAATGGTAGCTTGATGGGAATAGCATTGAATCTATAAATTACTTTGGGCAGTATGGCCATTTTCACAATATTGATTCTTCCTATCCATGAGCATATAATATTTTTCCATTTGTTTGTGTCTTCTCCTATTTCCTTGAGCAGTGGTTTGTAGTTCTCCTTGAAGAGGTCATTCACGTCCCTTGTAAGTTGTATTCCTAGGTATTTTATTCTCTTGGTAGCATTTGTGAATATGAGTTCACTCGTCATTTGGCTCTCTGTTTGTCTACTATTGGTTTAAAGAAATGCTTGTAATTTTTGCACATTAATTTTGTATCCTGAGACTTTGCTGAAGTTGCTTATCAGCTTAAAGAGTTTTGGGGCTGAGATGATGAGGTTCTCTAAATAAACCATCATGTCATCTGCAAAGAGAGACAATTTGGCTTTCTCTCTTCTTATTTGAATACTCTTCATTTCTTTCTCTTGCCTGATTGCCCGGGCCAGAATTTCCAATACTATGTTGAATAGAAGTGGTGAGAGAGGATATCCTTTTCTTGTGCTGGTTTTCAAAGGGAATGCTTCCAGCTTTTGCCCATTCAGTATGATACTGGCTATAGGTTTGTCATAAATAGCTCTTATTTTTTTGAGATACGTTCCACCAATACCTAGTGTATTGAGAGTTTTTCACATGAAGGGGTGTTGAATTTTATTGAAGGCCTTTTCTGCATCTGTTGAGATGATTATGTGGTTTTTGTCATTGTTTCTGTTTATGTGATGCATTAAATTTATTAATTTGTGTATGTTGAAGTAGCCTTGCATCCCAGGTATAAAGTCGACCTGATTGTCATGGATAAGCTTTGTGATGTGCTGCTAGATTCAGTTTGCCAGTGTTTAATTAAGGTTTTTTGGCATTGATGTTCATCAGGGATATTGGCCTGAAATTTTGTTTTTTTTGTTGTGCCCCTGCCAGGATTTGATATAAGAATGAAGCTGGGCTCATAAAATGAGTTAGGGAGGAGTACCTCTTTTTATATTGTTTGGAATAGTTTCAGAAGCAATGGTACCGGCTCCTCTTTGTACCTCTGGTGGAATTCAGCTGTGAATCCATCTGGTCCTGGGCTTTATTTGTTTGGTAGGCTACTACGTACTGCATCAATTTCAGAACTTTTTATTAGTCTATTCAGGGATTCGACTTCTTCCTGGTTTGGATTTGGGAGGGTTTATGTGTCCAGGAAGTTATCCATTTCTTCTAGATTTTATAGTTTATTTGCGTAGAGGTGTTTATAGTATTCTCTGATGATAGTTTGTATTTCTGTGAGATCAGTGGTGATATCCCCTTCATCATTTTCTGTTGTGTCTATTTGATTCTTGTCTCTTTTCTTCTTTATTAGTCTGGCTAGTGGTCTATTTTACTAATCTTTTAAAAAAAAAAACATCTCCTGGATTTGTTAATTTTTGAAGGGTTTTTCGTGTCTCTCTCTCCTTCAGTTCTGCTTTTATCTTCATCATTTCTTGTCTTCTGCTAGCTTTTGAATTTGTTTGCTCTTGCTTCTCTAGTTCTTTTAATTGTCATGTTAGAGTGTTGATTTTAGATCATTTCCCCTTTCTCCTGTGGGCATTTAATGCTGTAAATTTCCCTCTACACACTGCTTTAGCTGTGTCCCAGAGATTCTGGTACATTGTGTCTTTGTTCTCATTGGTTTCAAAGAGCTTATTTATTTCTGCCTTAATTTCGTTATTTACCCAGTAGTCATTCAGGAGCAGGTTGTTCATTTTCCATGTAGTTTTGCGGTTTTGAGTGAGTTTCTTAATCCTGAGTTCTAGTTTGATTGCACTGTGGTCTGAGAGACAGTTTGTTATTTTTTTCAAAAATCCAGCTGGATTCATTCATTTTTGGAAGGGTTTTTTGTGCCTCTATATTCTTTAGTTCTGCTCTGATCTTAGTTATTTCTTGTCTTCTGCTAGCTTTTTAATTTGTTTGCTCTTGCTTCTCTAGTTCTTTTAATTGGGACGTTAAGGTGTGAATTTGAGATAGTTCCCACTTTCTGATGTGAGCATTTAGTGCTATGAATTTTCCTCTTAACACTGCTTTAGCTGTTTCCCAGAGATTCTGGAATGTTGTGTCTTTGTTCTCATTGATTTCAAATAACTTATTTATTTCTGCCTTAATTTTGTTATTTACCCAGTAGTCATTCAGGAGCAGGTTGTTCGGTTTCCATGTAATTGTGTGGTTTTGAGTGAGTTTTTTAATCCTGAGTTCTAATTTGATCGCACTGTGGTCTGAGAGACTGCTTGTTTTGATTTCTATTCTTTTGCATTTGCTGAGGAGTGTTTTACTCACAATTATGTGGTAGATTTTAGAATAAGTGCTATGTGGCACTAAGAGTGTATATTCTGTTGATTTGGGGTGGAGAGTTCTGTAGAAGTCTATTAGTTCCACTTGTTCCAGAGCTGAGTTCAAGTCCTAAATATCCTTGTTAATTTTCTGTCTCATTGATCTGTCTAATATTGACAGATGGGTGTTAAAGTCTCCCAGTATTATTGTGTGAGAGGCTGTCTCTTTAAATTCACCTCCCCTTGAGGTCCCAAGATAACTTGGGGATCCTGGACCTGTCAGAAAGTGAAACTCTTTACTCACAATAGGTCAGGAATCCTGTATGGAAACTCTGTAGACAAGGTATGAGGGCAGTTTTCCCAAGGGGCTTTTATTGGCTCTTTAAGTCAAGTGTGTTTCCTTAAAGAAAAGCACACCATTACAGTCAAAGAGTTGGTAAAAATAACCAGTTCCTCCAATGGCTTCCTGTTGCAAATGCAAACATTCTTACTGCTCTTTTGCAAATAACTATATTGCCATAAGTTAAGAATACTCACAAATAGTTTGCAAATTCTGGATAAGTCAGGTAGAGAGAAACAAATATGCTCCAAATCTCGTGCACAGGAGTATAATTTACTCAATTGCCACAAGCTGTAAATAGCTCAATGGAAAAGTTGTTTTGACTCTGAAAAACAAAACAAAGGATCAGCAAAAAAGTCAAAAAGGGTTACTTCAGTCTTCTGTTAGTCCAGATCATGTAGGTAACTTCTGTTCTGCTTGATATTCATGAACATTACAGCTTGCTATGCGAGTCCTGATAGTTTTTTCCTCTATTTTAGTGTTACAATCTTCAAAATTATCAGAGCCCTGCATTCAAGAACACCTGCTAGATTTTTCTAGCTTATTATAAAACCACTTTCTAAAGAGGACCAAAACAAGACAGCAATTGTATGTGGTTGACAAAATGTTTTAAGGCAGTCACAGTCAAAGTCACAATTGACAAGGAAATTTGTTATCTCTTTGGCACATAGTAATTTAATATAACAATTATAAGTATTACTTATAACCTACACTAAGTCATATCAGGAATTTTCCATAATTTTGAAACATATACCAATAACATATTTATACAGATACAGCCCAAAGAAAGCCAAATACAATTTCATGTTTGACAATGCTTCCTGTATGATTTTTGTACCAAATACACCAAATTTGTCATTTTTGGACTTTAGGGAACTTAATATTTAAAAGATTAATTAGGTCAGAAAAGGACATAACTGATAATTTGATTTTGGAAAATTTGTCAAATATCAAAGGTTTAAAATGCTTGATATCACAAAATAGAATCACAGGTGATTGTAAAATAAGTCATTTATTTAACCAAAGTAATAACTCAGAAATTTCAAAACAAAAGTTGAAAACCTTTATTCTTTGAGAAAGGAGACTTAATTTTTCAAACAGCAATTCCTAATACAAACAGCATGTGTTCAACTAAATTTGCTTTTCACAATTTTATAAACAATCTATAAATTTTTAATCATCTTGACCATAAGATATTACATCTTATAATATAAGCCTTTTATAAGCCTTTCCATAAGTCTTTTATAACCTTTAAAACCTCTATTAAAGAGTGGTTTAATGCCTCAAGAAAACCTTGTTAGTGTGACACAGGCGCCCATATGCTGGTCTTGCATCAGTGTGTCTTTGACATTAATGATTAATTTATAGAGAAATCAAACTTATTTTGTCTCTTGAAATCCACCCTTAAAATCTCATGCACCTACTTCTTCTGCAATAGTCCCTGAGCCTTGAGGAGTTGAATACCTTTAATTTTTGGCCCCTTGTCTCACAAATGTAATTTCTTTTGATTGGCATCTTCTACTGGGTCTGAAGATGAGGCTTTAACTACTATCAGTGTCAAGATTTATCAGGAGTTTGTGTCCTTTTTTAATTGTACAACGACTTTAAAAGCACACACAGAAAGTTAAACAGTTAACTCAAAAAAGAAGTTTTAATCTCAGTTTTTTCTAAGGAAACTAAAGTTAGTAATGATGGTATAGGAATTATTTCGATAAAGCATAATATCTGTTTATTAGGCCAGTTACACAAAGGCAAAAGAAAGGGCCTTCTGCCATATGACTGCTGTTCCTTATGGGGGATATTATGTTGGGAGGGTACATAAGATACATTTGCTTCAGACCTCTAAGAGAAAACTTTTTTTTTTTAAGTGTGAGGCCACAACAGTTAAAACCCAGAGGAAAAAAAAAACTTGTAGTATCTGAAAATGAGTTGAATAATAAAGTTATTATTTCAGGCCTTTCAAGGGGGAGAGAAAGCTGAAAACAGCAAGATGTAATAAAAGTTAAACTTTGTGTAAAAAATTATAATGTCTTGTAATTTATTAAGAATCAAGCAATACCTTAAGAAAATTTTATAGTTTGAACCAATTGTTTAAAGTGTTTTTTTAAATAAAAACCCAATCTCTAGAAAGACCATGATAATTTTCTTTAATTATAGACAACTTAGTCCTATTAAAGTTGTTTCCATAAATCCTCTCATTATGACTTACACAGACCATTTAGAGCATGCTTAGACTTTCTGGTTTCTCCTGAACATACCTTTTTTTCTTTAAACTTTCCTACTAAAAATACCTCTTTATTTCTACAACTTTCTTTACATTTCTTTTATTTCCTGGTTCCTTTTACCTTGTTTTATACATAACCTTTACCTAAGCTTAGAATTAGACAAATATTATTCACCTTTTGAAAAGGACACATATTTTTTAGAATGTTTTTCTACAGTATTTTTATTGGAAAATACTAAATTAATGAAATGTTCATTATTTGATTTAATGTAACTTTAGATTCTAAATTATGACTTGTTTGTCTACAAGTACTTATCCCATTACATTTACCTAATTATTTTATTTTAGTGGTTTATCAAGATTATTTATGAAAACTGAGACAGTCATCATTTAAAGTTATAAAACTGCCGTTGAAAAATTATAATTGAGACAGTGAAAAAGATCTCACCTAACCCACTCCATCTTGCTTCTAACCTCCAAGGTGTTTTTGTTCATTCCTGGGTGTAGGTCTAACTAACTTTAGAAGGAAGTTAGTTTATAGTTTAGCTTTGAAACAAAGATAATAACAGTCATTTGCCAAAACAAACCCCCTTCCTGCCTGGGGACTAGACTTCCTAAAGTCACATGATTACAAGTAACAGTTATTTTACAACATAATGCAAGATTCTGACACCTTATAGTACTTGGTAGGGATAACTATGAAGCTGCTTGATCAGTAACTGCAAAGAAAAATGTTTGCTGGAAATTCTTAAGACACTTCTAATATTTTATCAATAATTTTAAAGCTAGCTTAATAAAAAATTTACTTAAGTCATGTGCACTTAAAAAGCATTTGGGTTTATTAATTTATGAGTACTCCTTAAGACATCTTGTGGCCAAAATGCAACAAAATACATATACATACACACAAACACACATATACACACTCATACAACCAAAGATCCTATAGCTTATAGCTTTTACTTCAGAACTCTAGCCATGAGATACTAATACGAACTCATTGGTTTGCAAAAACAATAACAAAAAGAAATGGTTGGATGCAAACAGTGGATTTTATCTTAGTAGAAAAGTAACATCAGCTTTAAAGCATGGAGAAAAGAAAATAGAAAAAAAAAGAGGACTTAGGAACTTTATAGTTTGTTGTTCGACCTTAGGATTTTTGTTTAACACAAACTCTAACAAGTTGCACTGCCAGAAAACCAACAGAGTGCCAGAAAGGGGGTCATTATCCTTGTTTTCTTCTCATTCTTAGATTATTTCCCACTTTTTCTGTTTTTTGTTTGTTTGTTTGTTTTTATTATTATTATTATACTTTAAGTTTTAGGGTACATGTGCACAATGTGCAGGTTAGTTACATATGTATACATGTGCCATGCTGGTGTGCTGCACCCGTTAACTCATCATTTAGCATTAGGTATATCTCCTAATGCTATCCCTCCCTGTTTTTGTTTTTTCTTAAAAGGAGAAACTGACCTGTGGCTTAAGGTTTTTGTGGAGTGGGTCAAAGTGTGTGCTGGTTGTGACCAGGACTCCACAGTGTGTTACCAATGAGTCATTGCTGCCCTCTTATGTGTCTCAGTTTCTCTCTCTGGAGGTCTAGCACCTCCAGTAGGGCACAGATTGTAGATTGACGAGCTCCCATATGTGCTTCCTGGATGAGCCTTTTTAAAACTAATTTTCCTGGGGGTTCCCTGTAGGACGACTGCATGTCATTGGGGGTCAACCCACTAGACACTCCCATGAGGCCCCTGGTCACCCATGGGTGCCTTTTAGCTGGGAAGAGCAAAATGCTTTTTCTTTTTGGAGCTGTGGAAACTCGGTCTCTCATTTACCTATTAAAACAACAGTACAGTTCCTCACACAAATGTGCACAGGCAAACGAAATTGAGACTCTTTGGGGAGAAAAATCAGTGGGGGAAACCCTTGAGAATGCATCCTTGAACTAGAAGTAAGATTCTTAAACAACTTCCTAGGAGAGAGAGAGAGGAAAAAAAAAAGCAACAACCAAGACTACTTCCTGTAAACTGTCCTCAGCCACTGCTAACTTTGTAGCTCTCATCCTCCATTACACACACCAAAGTCAAGTCCTCTCACAGTACAAGGTAATTTCTGGTACTCCCAAAGACAAAGAGGTCAGGTAATGCCATACAGGAAAGCAGAGCTTTAGACCTAAAGAGAATCTGCCCATGATACTTGAAAATCCACAAAGAAAACAGAACACCGGAACGGGGTGAGTGGTGCCTTTGTTCTGAGTTATTTAAGGGGTTTGAGTTATTAGAAGACTTATCTCTAGATTTTTCTTGGTACTGAAGATGGCAAAGGGGGAAGGAGGTTGATATGGTTTGTCTATGTCCTTACCCAAATCTCATCTTGAATTGTAGTTTCCACAATCCCCATGTGTTGTGAGAGGGACCTTGTGGGAGAAAACCTCTTGGTGTTCCCCATGCTGTTCTCATGAAAATGAGTGATTTTTCATGAGATCTGATGGTTTTATAAGTGTCTGGCATTTCCCCTGCTGGCACACATTTTCTCTCCTGCCACCCTGTGAAGAGGTGCCTTCTGCCATGATTATAAGTTTACTGAGGCCTCCCCAGCCATGCGGAACCATGAGTCAATTAAACCTCTTTCCTTTATACATTACCCAGTCCAGGGTATTTCTTCATAGCAGTGTGAGAATAGACTAATGCAGTAAATTGGTATTGAGGTTGTGGGGTGCTGCTGTGGAGATAACAAAAAATGTGAAAACAACTTTGGAACTGGGTAACAGACATAGGTTGGAACAGTTTGGAGGGCTCAGAAGAAGATAGAAAGATGTGGGAAAGTTTGTAACTTCTTACAGACTTGTTGAACGGTTTTGACCAAAATGCTGATAGTGATATTAACAATAAATTCCAGGCTGAGGTGGTCTCCAAAAGAGATAAGGAACTTCTTGGGAACTGGAGCAAAAGTGACTTACTATGATTTAACCAAAAGACTTCTGGCATTTTGCCACTGCTTTAGAGATCTGTGGACCTTAGAACTTGGGAGAGATGATTTAGGGTATGTGGTGGAAGAAATTTCTAAAGGGCAAAGCATTCAGAGGAAGCAGAGCATAAAAGTTTTGAAAATTTGAAGCCTGACAATGCAATAGAAAAGAAAAGCCCATTTTCAGGTGAGGAGTTCAAGCCTGCTGCAGAAATTTTCATAAGTAACAAGAAGCCAAATGTTAATCACCAAGACAATGGGAAAAATATCTCCAGGGCATGTCAGAGACCTTCACAGCTTCTCCCATCACAGGCCCAGAGACCTAGGAGGGAAAAATTGTTTCCTGGGCTGTGTCCAGGGCCCTCCTGCTCTGTGCAGCCTTGGGAGATGGTGGCCAGCTGCTTCAGCTCCAGCAGTGGCTAAAAAAGGCTAAGATACAGCTTGGGACATTGCTTCAGAGGATGCAAGTCCCAGGCCTTCGTGTTTTCCATGTGGTGTTGAGCATGTGGGTACACACAGGTCAGGAATTGAGGTTTGAGAACCTCTGCCTACATTTCAGAGGATGTATGAAAATGCCTGGATGTCCAGGAAGAAGGTTGGTGCAGGGATGGAGCCCGTATGGAGAACCTCTGCTAGGGCAGTGTAAAAGGGAAATTTGGGGTTGGAGCCCCCACACGGAGTCCCCACTGAGGCACTCCCTAGTGGAGCTGTGAAAAGAGGGCCACTGTCTTCCAGACTCCAGAAAGGTAGATCAACCCACAGATTGCACCAAGTGCCTGGAAAACCACAGACACTTAATGCCAGCCTGTGAAAGCAGCCAGGAAGGGGGCTTTACCCTGAAAAGCCACAGGGGTAGAGCTGCTCAAGGCCATGGGAGCCCACCTCTTGCATCAGCGTGACCTGGATGTGAGACATGGAGTCAAAGGAGATCATTTTGGAACTTTAAGGTTTAGTGACTACCTATTGGATTTCATACTTGCATGGGGCCTATAGCCCCTTTGTTTTGGTCAGTTTCTCCCATTTGAAATGAGTATATTTACCCAATACCTGTAACCCCATTGTATGTAGGAAGTAACTAACTTGCTTTTGATTTTATAGGCTCATAGGTAAAAGGGACTTGCCTTGTCTCAGATGAGACTTTGGACTTGGATTTTTGTGTTAATGTTGGAATAAGTTAAAACTTTGAGGGACTGTTAGTAAGGCATGATTCTGCTTTGAAATGTAAAGACATGAGATTTGAGCGGGGCCAGGGATGGAATGATATGGTCTGGCTGTGTCCCCACCCAGATCTCATTTTGAATTGTAGTTCCCATAATTTCCATGTGTCATGGGAGGGACTCAGTGGGAGGTAATTGAATCATGGGGGCAGTTTCCTTCATGTTGTTCTCATAATAGTGACTGAGTTCTCACAAGATCTGAGGGTTTTATAAGCATCTGGCATTTCTTATGCTGGCACTCATTCTCTCTCCTGCCACCTTTGTGAAGAGGTGCCTTCTGCCATGACTATAAGTTTTCTGAGGCCTCCCCAGCCATGTGGAACTGTGAGTCAATAAAAACTCTTTTCTTTATAAATTACCCAGTTTCAGGTATTTCTTCACAGCAGTGTGAGAACAGACTAATACAGAGGTATAGGGTGGAAGAAAAATTAACCAAAGAACATATTTTTTAAGATGGGAAGGAAACACAGAAACCAAGCACATGCTTTTTGTTGTTGTTGTTGTTGTTGTTGTTGTTTGTTGCTGTAGTTTTTCCCACTTTTGCAGCTGCAAGGAATTTTAGCCAATTCAGAGAGGCCTTGTTCAAGTTGTCCTGCCTTTCTGGACAAAATCAATTTACATCTTAGGTATATCGATTGATGTCTCATGTCTCACAACTTGGTTGGGACCGAGCTGTGTCCTGACCCCCTTGCACACATGTCATCAGGACCTCCTGAGGCTGTGTCATGGGTGAATATCCTTAACTTTGGCAAGGTAAACTTCCTAAATTGACTGAGACCAGTCTCAGATATTTGTGGTTCACTTTTGGTAACCATGGAGGGAATAATTTGAAATTCTCATTCTGATTTGACCAAGTCATTCAGATTTGGTCAAATCTGACAGAGAAAGACTGGAACAAACAACAACAGACCCAAAAATATGATTACTGGGCACTCTAATGGTAAGGAGAAATTAAGACCAAATGATTGTTAATCATAGCTTTAGCCAAGACGAAACCTTATTGTAGCTACTTATGTGGGGATGGGTCTCAGGCTGAAGAGTGTTCTCTACCATTCTAGAAGCAGGAAAAAACTCAAATTCACCTTCTCTGTTGGAAGCAAGTTCAAATTCCAGGAAGGAGTTCCCTGCCTTCTATTGTCATGGAAGCAGAAAAACTTGCTTTTCTTACTGGAAGCAGGTAAAACTCCAAAAAAAAGGAGTTATACAGCAAAATAAACTTTAGATCTTTGCCAAATTTGGGGAGATCAGGTATTCTCTGGAGGGGGTGTGTCCAGGCCTCAGCATATTGTCCTATTGGTTGGATCCATAAAGATAGCTCAAGCTGGTATCAAGCACTGATAGGATATTAGCCAAAGTTCAGGGGCACCTCCACTCAGAATCCCTCCATGGTTACCAAATGTGAACCCCAAATATCCGAGACAGGTCTCAGTCAATTTAGAAAGTTTATTTTGCCAAAGTTAAAAATGTGCACCCATGACACAGCCTCAGGAGGTCCTGATGATATGTGCCCAAGGTGGTTGGGACACAGCTTGGTTTTATACATTTTAGGGATATATGAGACATCAATCAATATATGTAAGATGTAAATTGATTTGTTTCAGAAAGGCAAGACAACTTGAAGTTGGGGCAGGGGTTTCAGGTCATAGATAGATAAGAGACAGATGGTTGTATTCTTTTAAGTTTCTGATTAGCCTTTCCAAAGGAGGCAGTCAGATATGCATTTATCTCAGTGAGCAGAGGGATGACTTTGAATAGAATAGGAGGCATGATTGCACTAAATACTTCCCAGATTGACCTTTTTAATTTTAGCTTAGTGATTTTTGGGTCCCAAAATATATTTTCCTTTCACTTGACTAATCAGGATTTATCTCAGGCAGGAAGAGAAAAGGAAATGGAGAACATTTTAATTAAGCACTGTACAAATCTTAATAAAATCAGTGCATGTAATACACTGCATTAATAAAATGTAGGAAGAAACACATGACATCTCAGTTGACACCTAAAGAGTATCTGACAAAATCCAACATGCTTTCATGTCAAAAACACTCATTAAACTAGTAAAAAGAAAAAAAAAACTGGCTCAACGTGACAAAAGACATTTATGAAAAACCCAGAGCTGACAGTATACTCAAAGGTTAAAGAATGAATGCTTTCTTCCCAAAACTAAAAGAAAGACAAGAATATCCATTTTTACTACTTCTATTCAACATAGTACTGTAAAATTTAGCTAGAGCTAATTAGGCAAGGAAAGGAAATAAAATTTATCCAAATAGGATAAGATGAAGTATAACTATCTATATTCAGAGGCGGCGTGTTTTCATGTATTAAATAAAAACAAAAAAAAAATCCACCAAAAATCTACTGGCCCTAGTAAACACATTCTGCAAAGTTACAGGGTACAAAATCAACACACGAAAAACATTTGTGTTTCTATATACTAAACATTCCAAATGAAAATTAAGAAAATTCTATTACAATAGCATGAAGCAGAAAAAAATAGCTAGCAATAAATTTAATCAAGATGTTCAAAGACTCATTTATTAAAAATTTCAAAACATTGCTAAAGAAAATTAATGAATTGTAAATAAACAGAAAATATTACGTATCATAAAATGACAAACGTGGTATTGTCAAGGTGTGAATACTACCATAAATGATCTACAAATTCAATGCAATCTGTATCAAAATCTTAATGACCATTTTAGCAGAAATGAAAAAGCTGATTCTCAAATTCATATGGAATTTCAAGAGCCCCAAATAGTCAAATCAATCCTGCAAAGAACAAAGTTGGAGAATTTATACTTCGTTATTCCAAAACTTACTGTAAAGTTACAATAATCAAGTGTTGTGCAGTTATAAGGATACACATATAGTACAATGCGATAGAACTGAATCGCCAGAAGTAAACCCATAAATCTATGGTCAATTGACTTTCATCAAGGGTACCAAGACCATTCAGTGAGGAAAGAATTTTTTCTTCAACAGATGACACTGAGAAAATTTTATATCTACATAAAAACATAAATTTGGATGCCTATATCATACAATATACACAAAATACCTCAAAACAAATTGATAACATAAATATTACAGCTATGATTTTATAAAACTCTTAGAAGAAACCATAGGGATAAATATTTACGATTTTGAATTTTGCATTGGACTCAGATATAACACCAAAAGTATGAAAAACAATGAAAAATAGATAAATTTGAACCCATCAAAATTAAATACATTTGTGCATCAAAAGATGTTATCAAGAAAGTAAAAACACAATATAGACAATGAAAAGGAATATTTCCAAATTTTATATCTGATAATGTTCCAGTATCCAGAATATATAAAGAATTTTTGTAATTCAGCAACAAAAACCAAACAACCCAATTAAAAAATTAGAAAAGCATTCGAATGGAAATTTTTCCAAAAACGATAGATAAATGGGCAATAAGCACATGGAAAGAAGTGTAACATCACTAGACATTAGAGGATATAAAGCCAAACCACAATTAGTCACTTCACATCTATAAGAATGGCTATAATAATAATAATACTTTTTACATTTTTAATTTATATGGATACATAATAGTTTTACATATTTGTGGGGCACATGTGATGTTTTGATACAAACACATAATGTCTAATGATCAAATCAGGGTGATTGGGATATTCTTTACCTCAAAAATATATCTTTTTTTTGTGCTAGGAACATTCCAATTCCACTCCTCTAGTTATTTTGAAATATACAACAAATTATTGTTAACTACAGTCACCCTATTGTCCAAATAGTGGATCCTATTTAACCTATCTAACTGTATTTTTTTACTCATCAATCATTCCCCACTTTTTCCCCCCATCTCCTCGTGACCCTTCACAAACTCTAGCAACTATCATTCTACTCTCTATCTCCACGAGTTCAATTTTTCTTCAGCTCCTATCTATGAGTGAGAAAATGTGATATTTTTCTTTCTGTGCCTGGCTTATTTCACTTATGTCCTGTAGTTCAATCTGTGTTGTTGCAAATGTCATGATTGTATTATTTTTATGGCTGAATATTTCATGGGGTAGCACATTTTTTTAATCCATTCATCTGTTGATACACACAGGTAGATTCTATAACTTGGCTATTGTGAATAGTGCTGTAAAAAACATGGGAGTGTATATATCTATTCAATATGCTTATTTCCTTTCTTTACATATATACTCTTAGTGTCTGTATTACCATCTACAGTGTAAAAGGGCTCCCTTTTCTCCATATCCTCACCAGCATTTGTTGTTTCTGTTTTCTTTTTGAGAAAAGCCATTTTAACTGGGGTGACATGATATTTCATTGTACATTTCTGTGATAATTTGTGATTTTCAACATTTTTAAGACACCTGTTAGCGACTTGTATATCACCTTTTGATAAATGTTTATTCATATATTTTGTTCATTTGATACCAGGATTATTTGGTTTCTGCTATGTTTTGATTTTGTTTTTGTTTTTTTGTTTTTGTTTTTGTTTTGATATTGAGTTGAGTTTCTCGTATATTCTGGTCATTATTCCTTTGTAAGTTGAACAGTCAGCAAGTATTTTTTCTTATTCTGTAGATTATCTCTTCATTTATTAATTATTTCCGTGGCTATGCAAAAGCTTATTAGCTTGATGTGATCCCATTTGTCCATTTTAAGTTTGGTTGCCTATGCTTTTGCAGTCTTACTCAAGCAATATTTGCCCAGACCAATGTCCCCATGTATTTGCCCTATGTATTGTCTCACTAGTTTCATAGTTTCATGTCTTACAGTTAAGTACTTAATCAAGTATTTCTTTGATTTTTGCATGTGGTGAGAGATAGGCATCTAGTTTCATTCTTTGGCAAATATATATCCAGGTTCCTATAACAATTTATTGAAAAGTCTATTCCTTCCCAAATATATGCTTTTGGCATCTTTGTCAAGAATGAGTTGATTCTAAATGTGTGAATTTATTTATGTATTCTATATTTTCTTCTGCTGGATTATATGTCTGTTTCTAATGGCAGTAACACGATGTTTTAGTTACTATAGTTTTGTACTACAATTTGGTTTTTATTTTTTTTCCATAGGTTTTTTAGGAACAGGTGCTATTTGGTTACATGAGTAAGTTCTTTAGTGGTGATTTGTGAGATTTTGGTGCACCCATCACCCGAACAGTATACTCTGAACCCAATTTGTAGTCTTTTATCCCTCACCCTCCGCCCACCCTTTCCCTCAAGTCCCCGAAGTCCGTTGTATCATTCTTTTGACATTTCATCCTCATAGCTTAGCTCCCACATATGAGTGAGAACATACGATGTTTCGTTTTCCATTCCTGAGTTACTTCACTTAGAATAATAGTTTCCAGTTTCATCCAGGTTGCTGTGAATGCCATTAATTCATTAATGTTTATGGCTGAGTAGTACTTGATTTTATATATATATATATATATATATATATATATATATATATATATGCCATAATTTCTTTATCTACTCATTGATGGATGGGCATTTGGGCTGGTTCCATATTTTTGCAGTTGCGAATTGTGCTGCTATAAACATGGGTGTGCAAGTATCTTTTTTGTGTAATGACTTATTTTCCTTTGGGTAGATACCCAGTAGTGGGATTGCTGGATCAAATGGTAGTTATATGTTTAGTTCTTTAAGGAATCTCCACACTGCTTTCCATCGTGGTTGTACTAGTTTACATTCCCAACAGCAGCACAGTGTAGAAGTGTTCCCTTTTCACCACATCCATCCACGTCAGCATCTATTATTTTTTAATTTTTTGATTATGGCCATTCTTGCAGGAGTAAGGTGGTATTGCATTGTGGTTCTGATTTGCATTTACCTGATCATTAGTGATGTCGAGCATTTTTTCATATGTTTGTTGGCCATTTGTATGTCTTCTTTTGAGAATTGTCTATTCATATCCTTAGCCCACTTTTTGATGGGATTGCTTGTTCTTTTCTTGCTAATTTGTTTGAGTTCCTGTAGATTCTGGATATTAGTCTCTTGTCGGATGTAGAGATTGTGAAGCTATTCTCTCACTCTGTGGGTTCTCCGTTTACTCTGCTGACTGTTTCTTTTTCTGTGCAGTATCTCTTTAGTTTAATAAAGTCCCACCTATTTATCTTTGTTATTGTTTCATTTCCTTTTGGGTTCTTGGTTATGAAATCATTGGCTAAGCCAATGTCTAGAAGGGTTTTATCAATGTTATATTCTAGAATTTTCAGAGTTTCTGATCTTAGATTTCAGTCTTTGATCCACCTTGATTTTTGTGTAAGGTGAGAGATGAACATCCAGTTTTATTCTCCTACATGTGGCTTGCCAATTATCCCAGCATCATTTGTTGAATAGGGTGTCCTTTTCCCACTTCATGTTTTTGTTTGCTTTGTCAAAGATCAGTCAGCTGTAAGGATTTGGGTTTATTTCTGGGTTCTCTATTCTGTTCCATTGGTCTGTGTGCCTATTTTTATACCAGTACCATGCCGCTTTGGTGACTATGGCCTTCTGGTATAGTTTGAAGCCAGATAATGTGATGCCTCCACATTTGTTTTTTTTTTTTTTTGCTTGATCTTGCTTTGGCTTTCTGTGCTCTTTTTTGTTTCCATATGAATTTTACGATTGTTTTTTCTAGTTCTGTGAAGAACGATGATGGTGTTTTGATGGGAATTGCACTGAATTTGCTTTTGACAGAATGGTCATTTTCAAAATATTGATTCTACCCATCCATGATCATAGGATGTGTTTCCATTTGTTTGTGTCATCTATGATTTCCTTCAGCAGTGTTTTGTAGTTTTCCTTGTAGAGCTCTTTCACCTCTCTGGTTAGGTACATTCCTAAGTATTTTATTTATTTATTTTTTGCAGCTATCGTAAAAGAGGTAGAATTCTTGATTTGATTCTCAGCTTGATCACTGCTGGTGTATAGCAGAACTACTGATTTGTGTAAATTATTTTTTTGTATCCAGTAGCTTTGCTGAATTTATTTATCAGTTCTGGGAGCTTTTTGGAGGAGTTTTTAGTGTTTTCTAGGCACACGATCATATCATCAGCAAACAGTGACAGTTTGACTTCCTCTTCACTGATTGGGATGCCCTTTCTTTCTTTCTCTTGTCTGACTTCTGTGGTTAGAACTTCAAGTACTATGTTGAAGAGGAGTAGTGAGAGTGGGCATCCTTGTCTTGTTCCAGTTCTCAGAGAGAATGCTGTCAACTTTTTCCCATTCAGTATTATGTTGGCTTTGGGTTTGCCATAGATCGCTTTTATTACATTGAGGTATGTCCCTTGCATGCTGATTTTGCTGAGTGTTTTAATCATACAGAGATGCTGGACTTTGTCAAATGCTTTTTCTGCATCTATTGAGATGATCATGTGATTTTTTGTTTTTAATTCTGTTTATGTGATGTATCACATTATTGACTTGTATATGTTAAAACATCCCTGCATTTCTGATATGAGGAGTCTTCAAAACCATGCGAATACATGGAAATTAAATAACCTGCTCCTGTACGATCTTTGGGTCAACAATGAAATCAAGATGGATATTAAAAAATTATTTGAACTGAATGATAATAGTGACAAAACCTATCAAAACCTCTGGGATACAGCAAAGGCGGTGCTAGGAGGAAAGTTTATAGCCTTAAATGTCTACATCAAGAAATTTGAAAGAGCACAAATAGACAATCTAAGGTCCTCAAGGAACTAGAGAAACAATAACAAACAGAATCCAAACCCAGCAGAGGAAAAGAAATACCCAAGCTCAGATTAGAACTAAAATGGAAAAAAAAAGTATAAAAGATAAATGAAACAAAAGATTATTTGAAAAGATAAATAAAATTGATATACCATTTGCAAGATTTACCAAAAAAAAAGAAAGAAGATCCAAAATACTCAATTAGAAACAAAATGGCGGACTGTCAGAAACAACTGACACTGCAGAAATGCAGATGATCATTCAAGGATTCTGTGAATATCTTTACGTGTATAAACCAGAAAACCTGGAGGAGATGAATAAAATCCCAGAAATATGCAACCCTCCCAGATTAAGTCAGGAAGAATTAGAAACCCTGAAAGGACCAATAACATGCAGCAAGATTGAAATGGTAATAAAAATTTGCCAACAAAAGAAAAGTCCAGGACCAGAGAGATTCACAGCTGAATTCTATCAGACATTCAAAGAAGAAATGGTACCAATCCTATTGACACTATTCCACAAGAAAGAGAAAGAGGAAATCCTCTCTAAATCATTCTATGAATCCGGTATCACCCTAATACCAAAACTAGGAACGGACATAACAAAAACAGAAAACTACAGGCCAATATTCCTGGTGAACACAGATGCAAAATTTCTTAACAAAATACCAACTAACCGAATCTAACAGCATATCAAAACGATAATCCTCATGATTGAGTGGATTTCATACCATGCAAGCAAAGATGGTTAGACATACGCCCGTTGATAAATGTGATACACCCCATAAACAGAATTAAAAACAAATATCACCTGATCATCCAAATAGATGCAGAAAAAGCTTTTGACAAAGTCCAGTATCTCTTCGTGATTAAAACAGCAAAATCGGCATATAAGGGACATACCTTAATATAATAAAAGCCATCTATGACAGACCCACAGCCAACATAATACTGAGTAGAAAAACGTTGAAAGCATTCCCTTTGATAACTGCAACAAGACAGTGATGTCCACTCTTACCACTTTTATTCAACATATTACTGTAAGTCCTAGCCAGAGCTATCAGACAACAGTAAGAAATTTAGTATAATTTGAAGTCAGTTAGTGTGATGTGTCCAGGTTTGTTCTATTTGATTAGGATTCCTTTGACTACTCTAGGTCTTTTGTGGTTATACATCAATTTTGAGGTTATTTTTTCTATTTCTGTCATGAATGTCATTGGTATTTTGATAGGGGTTGCAAGGAATGTGTAAATTGCTTTCGTAACATGGACATTTTAACAATTTTGATTTTTCTAATCCAGAAAATTACAGGTATTTATGAGAATTAGAGAAATGTTAGTCTTTGTATAAGATGATGGGAATGTAAAATGTTTTACATGCTGTGAAGCAATTTTGTGTGTGATATGGCTGTATCCCCACAAAAATCCCATCTTTATTGCCGCTCCCGTAATTCCCACGTGTTGTAGAAGGGATGTGGTGGGAGGTAATTGAATCATGGGGGCAGGTTTTTCTCATGTTCTTCCCATGATAGTGAATAAGTTTCACGAGATTTGATGGTTTTATAAAGGGCAGTTCCCCTGCACATGCTCCCTTGCCTGCCACCACGCAAGTCATACCTTTTTCCCTCCTTTGCCTTCCGCCATGATTATGAGGCCTCCCAAACCATGTGGAACTGTTAGTCCATTAAACCTCTTTTTTCTTTATAAATTACCCAGTCTTAGGTATTTCTTCATGGCAGTATGAAAATGGACTAATACAATGTGCTTTATGGTGATTCTTCAAAAAGTTAAACATAGAATTATCATATGACCCAACAGTTCTCCTTTTGAATGTATATCTCTAAGAATTGAAAACAAATACTGAAAGAAATTCTTATACGTAAATGTTCAATAAAACTCTGCACAAGAGCAAAGAGGTGAAAACAATCCATCCATCAATGGGTGAATGGATAAACAACTTGTAGCATATTTATGCAATGAAATATTTTGTCATAAAAAGGAATGAATTACTGGCACATACCACAACATGGATGAAACTCAAAAACATTATGCTATTTGAAAGAATCCAGACACAAATAAGCACACGTTTTATGATTTGATTTATATAAATTATCCAGAATAGGTAAAACCATAACAGAAGACAGATTGATAGTTGCCAGGGGTTGGGGGCAGAGGATAATAAGTAATAACTGTTCAATGAATATGACATTTTCTTTGGAAGATTAGTTAACCATCTAATAGCGTTGTGAGTGTACTATATGCCATTGAATTTTTTATTTCATTATATTTACTGTTGCAGCAAGCAAAAATTGTTCACTTTAAAATAATTAATTTAATGTCGTGAATTTCTTCTTAATAAAAATGACACATATGTTCATAAATGGCCATTTATGATGAACTATCTCTGGGAAAAGTGACGGTAAGCAGCATTTGCCTTTCAGTATCAAACAAGGAGGAAGGAATCATAAGGACAATGTTTCTGCTTGAACTATTTACCATGTGCATGTATTATCTTTATAGTAAAACATTAAATCGATTGTTAAAAATAAATGACAATGAGAGGTATTCTAAAGTTGTAGTAGCAAAGTTTGCTGGTAAACTTCGTCTTTGGATAAAGGAAAGAGGAGTAAGAGGAAGCAAAAGACCATTTATAGTGGTAGTAGAAAATAGGAGAATGGAATATATTAAACAGACTTTTAAAAAAGCTTAGGAAATGAGACTGGGATGGGAAAACAAATTGGCCACTGTGAAGTATAGGAGCTATAAGGAAGTTAGGAAGGTCACATCACTGTACATCCTTTACAGGTCCATAGCCCAGTAATGCTAAATAAATAAATAAACAATAATAGTGCGTCTCTCACACAGCAAATTGAATATACATGATTAATTTTAGCAAACATTTTTCAGCAACTACTAGAAACAAGGCATTATGGACCACTAAATAAAGCAATCACAGTTTCCCAAGAGTATAGGGCATCAAGTGTTGCAGGGTGAGCCAATACTAAAAAAGAGTGTGGATGCTAAATTTTTACCATCAAAAGCTTATTCATGGTGCGTCATGGAAATGTATCTCTTAAGGGAACTTCAGTAGGACTGGATCATTCTGTAAGGCAAATAATCTTGTATAATGGGTCCCCTGCCTTATGGACATAATAAGAGTGTAAAGCTTCTCTTCAGAGAGAGTTCACTAATTCTCCATGATTAGAAACTGTTTCTTAACTATGTACCTATTTGTACTGTGCAATATCAGCAGAAGCTTCTCTTATTCCCCAAAATAAGCATCTTGCAGCTATAAGCTTGAAAAACTGTGCAGTGCACACACAGAGTAATCATAAATTCTTCAACCTCACTCTTTGGTGCAAAAAGACTGTGTTAGACTAGAACAAACTAAGTGACCTTAAATTTAAAAAATAGAAACCCAACAACAGAGATTGTAAAAGAGCAAAATATTTTAGAATCAAATGAAGAAAAAACAAAAATCAATTGGATTCTTTCAAAAGAATTCATTTTCAGCTTGGATAACATCCATCTAAAGATTTTTTCCCCTAGAAATTAATGCTATAAAAGTCTTAGGCTGTGATAACTCTAATTCAGAGCTGTTTTGTGTCTGCTAAATGGAATGTGACGGGGATCTAAAACAGTGCTATGTTATAGAAAATAATTAGTTGAGAACAAACTTGATAATTTCACCACAGAGAAGAATGGACTGAAAACAACTTTCACTTTAATTATGTGTAAAGAAAAAGCATAATTACCTGCATAGATAGTAATCAGGAAAAATGAAAATACATTTCTCTGTTATCTGGTAGATAGCAAGGTAGCTTTTTAAATCTGTTCACCTCTTGTATAATAAAGATAACAAACTGGTTATTGTAATGCCATCAAAATCTCACCCCAGAGTAAAACTAGGAAAAAAAAATACAAACTATGTTTCTAATGTAATAATATTCTTATTTTTCCTGTTGGTATTTATCCTTACCAGGAACATTTGAGGAATATACTTATAAGAATTCTTCCCAGGATATTAAGATAATGACATCAAAGCAAAGTGGTAATTTACTGGAGGCTTCAATTAAGGCACAAAAAACATTTGAACCATTAGAATAATACTATGTTTTTTCATCCTCATTTAAATTCATTAGCTTTTGCCTTTTTAATGCTCAAGGAACAGGACTCCTCTGAATTGTAGATATCAGTATCCGCCATGGACATTTGGAATGCATCTACACACTCAACAGCAATATAGCATTCACAAAAATTTGGGTCGGTCCAATCAGCTTCAGTGTGCATACATAAAGGCAGAATTGGCAGACATCCTTGGCTCTCAGCAGCTGATATCACAGGCTGGCCAGTTGAGATGCAAGTTAGAGCCAAGTTTTTGAGCCACAGATACTTCAGGCTGAATAATTCTACATTGCTGTGTGAAGCAACTTGAAATTTGGATATAGCAATCTAAATTTCACCACCTATCTAAAGCGCTAGGGAAAGTGGCCACTTTCAGTAATTTCACATTTCATCTGTAAGCCTTTTCTGTAACTCAGGGAAGCCAAGAGCATGGTGGCCTAGTTGGGCAGTAAAGATGCCAAGTAAGAAGTTTCTTCACTTCCTGCCACAACACCACCTTTGGAGTGTGATTACATCATGTTGTTTTCATTTAATTTCTTTTACCTATGTCTCTAATTGCTCCAGATTATGAGAGTTGACAAGTCCATAGTTTGATAAGAACTAGTTTGAGATGATAAACCACGTTATTATTTCATTCTTTATAGTTCCTTGTGGTCTGCCTTGTATGACAGCTACTGTAGAAAATAAAACTGTGCCACATAATAAAAATTACTAAGACTTAAAGTTGCATGCAGAAATGGAGTGAAACTTAAGAATCCATAAGATTTAAGTAGCAATTAGATGAATTGACACTTGGCTTAATCTACTTCCCAATTAGGACCAAAACCATTGTCGAGGGAAAAAAAAATAGAAAAAGGAGAGTGCTTTCCACTCCGGATACAATCTAACATCTAAGACATGTTAAAGAAAGTGTGCAAAGAGAAAAGAAGAAATGGAGGTTATTAGAACAATGAATAGTATAAAGGAACAAAAGGAAGCGGAGGGTTATGAAGGTGGCTAGAATCCAAAAAAACCACAGTGGATAATATTATCTAACTTATGTGTTACACCAACCTACAATCTCAAAAGACCTGATAGAGGAGTTTAATGCTTTAATCATGGAAATGTGGAATTTCTTAATGACTCCTTAGAGAAACAGAAGTATTTATTGAGACACAAGACAAATTTAAAACAAAAAAAAATGTGAAATGAAACTCAGGGATCTAAAAGTATGCATCACTTTTCCCTCCGGGAGGTAGAAAAAAAAACTCCAGAAATATGAATAAAGAATGAAATCACAGAGGTTTCAGGAAATGAGAAACTTGTCAAAGTAACCAATGAATATTCAGAAAGGCCATTCTTAGTCATATACAATGGTAGAGATTCAGGCCAGAAGCAAAGAAGATCAGAGATGAAGCTGTCAGAGGTGAAACAGCTCTCTACATATGCTCTAAATATTATATATATTCCAATTGATCATTGTGCATTATCATCTTGATATGCTGTTGGATTCGGCTAGTTGGTATTTTGTTAGGAAATTTTGCATCTCTGTTCACCAGGAATATTGGCCTGTGGTTTTCTGTTTTTGTTATGTCCATTCCTAGTTTTGGTATTAGGGTGATACCGGATTCATAGAATGATTTAGAGAGGATTTCCTCTTTCTCTTTCTTGTGGAATAGTGTCAATAGGATTGGTACCATTTCTTCTTTGAATGTCTGATAGAATTCAGCTGTGAATCTCTCTGGTCCTGGACTTTTCTTTTGTTGGCAAATTTTTATTACCATTTCAATCTTGCTGCATGTTATTGGTCCTTTCAGGGTTTCTAATTCTTCCTGACTTAATCTGGGAGGGTTGCATATTTCCGGGATTTTATTCATCTCCTCGAGGTTTTCTAATTTATACACGTAATGATATTCATAGAATCCTTGAATGATCATTTGTATTTCTGCAGTGTCAGTTGTAATATCCGCCATTTTGTTTCTAATTGAGCGTATTTGGATCTTCTTTCTTCTTCTTTTAGTTAATCTTGTAAATGGTCTATCAATTTTATTTATCTTTTCAAAGAATCAGCATTTTGTTTCATTTATCTTTTATACTTTTTTTTCATTTTATTTAGTTCTGCTCTGATCTTGGGTATTTCTTTTCCTCTGCTGGGTTTGGATTCTGTTTGTTCTTGTTTTCCTAGTTCCTTGAGGACCTTACATTGTCCATTTGTGCTCTTTCAAATTTTTTGATGTAGACATTTAAGGCTATAAACTTTCCTCCTAGCACCGCCTTTGCTGTATCCCAGAGGTTTTGATAGATTTTGTCACTATTATCGTTCAGTTCAAGTAATTTTTAAATTTCCATCTTGATTTCATTGTTGATCCAATGATCATACAGGAGCAGGTTATTTAATTTCCATGTATTTGCATGGTTTTGAAGACTCCTCATATCAGAAATGCAGGGATGGTTTAACATACGCAAGTCAATAATGTGATAAACCACATAAACAGAATTAAAAATAAAAATCACATGATCATCTCAATAGATGCAGAAAAAGCATTTGACAAAGTCCAGCATCTCTGTATGATTAAAACACTCAGCAAAATCAGCATGCAAGGGACATACCTCAATGTAATAAAAGCGATCTATGGCAAACCCAAAGCCAACATAATACTGAATGGGAAAAAGTTGACAGCATTCTCTCTGAGAACTGGAACAAGACAAGGATGCCCACTCTCACTACTCCTCTTCAACATAGTACTTGAAGTTCTAACCACAGAAGTCAGACAAGAGAAAGAAAGAAAGGGCATCCCAATCAGTGAAGAGGAAGTCAAACTGTCACTGTTTGCTGATGATATGATCGTGTACCTAGAAAACACTAAAAACTCCTCCAAAAAGCTCCCAGAACTGATAAATAAATTCAGCAAAGCTACTGGATACAAAAAATAATTTACACAAATCAGTAGTTCTGCTATACACCAGCAGCGATCAAGCTGAGAATCAAATCAAGAATTCTACCTCTTTTACGATAGCTGCAAAAAATAAATAAATAAAATACTTAGGAATGTACCTAACCAAAGAGGTGAAAGAGCTCTACAAGGAAAACTACAAAACACTGCTGAGGGAAATCATATATGACACAAACAGATGGAAATACATCCCATGATCATGGATGGGTAGAATCAATATTTTGAAAATGACCATTCTGTCAAAAGTAATCTGCAAATTCAGTGCAATTCCCATCAAAACACCGTCATTCTTCACAGAACTAGAAAAAACAATCGTAAAATTCATATGGAAACAAAAAAAGAGGCCAGAAAGCCAAAGCAAGATCGAGCAAAAAAAAACAAATGTGGAGGCATCACATTATCTGGCTTCAAACTATACCAGAAGGCCATAGTCACCAAAGCGGCATGGTACTGGTATAAAAATAGGCACACAGACCAATGGAACAGAATAGAGAACCCAGAAATAAACCCAAATCCTTACAGCTGACTGATCTTTGACAAAGCAAACAAAAACATGAAGTGGGAAAAGGACACCCTATTCAACAAATGATGCTGGGATAATTGGCAAGCCACATGTAGGAGAATAAAACTGGATGTTCATCTCTCACCTTACACAAAAATCAAGGTGGATCAAAGACTGAAATCTAAGATCAGAAACTCTGAAAATTCTAGAATATAACATTGATAAAACCCTTCTAGACATTGGCTTAGCCAATGATTTCATAACCAAGAACCCAAAAGGTAATGCCACAATAACAAAGATAAATAGGTGGGACTTCATTAAACTAAAGAGATACTGCACAGAAAAAGAAACAGTCAGCAGAGTAAACGGAGAACCCAGAGAGTGAGAGAATAGCTTCACAATCTCTACATCCGACAAGAGACTAATATCCAGAATCTACAGGAACTCAAACAAATTAGCAAGAAAAGAACAAGCAATCCCATCAAAAAGTGGGCTAGGGACATGAATAGGTAATTCTCAAAAGAAGACATACAAATGGCCAACAAACATATGAAAAAATGCTCGACATCACTAATGATCAGGTAAATGCAAATCAGAACCACAATGCAATACCACCCTACTCCTGCAAGAATGGCCATAATCAAAAAATTAAAAAATAATAGATGCTGACGTGGATGGATGTGGTGAAAAGGGAACACTTCTACACTGCGCTGCTGTTGGGAATGTAAACTAGTACAACCACGATGGAAAGCAGTGTGGAGATTCCTTAAAGAACTAAACATAAAACTACCATTTGATCCAGCAATCCCTCTACTGGGTATCTACCCAAAGGAAAATA
Source organism: Homo sapiens (assembly GCF_000001405.40). Classification (NCBI taxonomy): domain Eukaryota; kingdom Metazoa; phylum Chordata; class Mammalia; order Primates; family Hominidae; genus Homo; species Homo sapiens. Next base: position 99,593,213 of record NC_000023.11, read on the forward strand.
AGTCATTATACAAAAAAGATACTTGCACACCCATGTTTATAGCAGCACAATTCGCAACTGCAAAAATATGGAACCAGCCCAAATGCCCATCCATCGACGAGTGGATAAAGAAATTATGGCATATATATATATATATATATATATATATATAAAATCAAGTACTACTCAGCCATAAACATTAATGAATTAATGGCATTCACAGCAACCTGGATGAAACTGGAAACTATTATTCTAAGTGAAGTAACTCAGGAATGGAAAACAAAACATCGTATGTTCTCACTCATATGTGGGAGCTAAGCTATGAGGATGAAAAGGCATAAGAATGATACAACGGACTTCGGGGACTTGAGGGAAAGGGTGGGCGGGGGGTGCGGGATAAAAGACTACAAATTGGGTTCAGAGTATACTGTTCGGATGATGGGTGCACCAAAATCTCACAAATCACCACTAAAGAACTTATTCATGTAACCAAATATCACCTGTTCCCCAAAAACCTATAAGAAAAAAAGGTTTTTAAAAAAGATTATGTATTTCCCAAAATTATAGGTAGAATGAGTGATTGGAGAAAGAAAATTTTGGTTATAGAGTATTGCAAGTACAGGGGCAATAAAGGGACTCAGCTCTTCCTACTCCATGAGCTGTATTATGATCCAGAGAAATGCAAGCAGTTGGTAATAGTCTCAGGAAAAGTAGGAGAGCAGATCAAAGGTAAAGGTTAGTACAGAATTCTTTCCGTGGCAGGTCATATCGGAACTTTTCTTTTTTTTGTTTGTTAGTTTGTTTTTTATTTTATTATTATTATACTTTAAGTTTTAGGGTACATGTGCACAATGTGCAGGTTATGTATACATGTGCCATGCTGGTGTGCTGCAACCATTAACTTATCATTTAGCATTAGATATATCTCCTAATGCTATCCTTTCCCCCTCCCCCCACCCCACAACAGTCCCCAGAGTGTGATGTTCCCCTTCCTGGGTCCATGTGTTTTCATTGTTCAATTCCCACCTATGAGTGAGAACAAGCAGTGTTTGGTTTTTTGTCCTTGTGATAGTTTACTGAGAATGATGATTTCCAATTTCATCCATGTCCCCACAAAGGACATGAACTCATCATTTTTTATGGCTGCATAGTATTGCATGGTGTATATGTGCCACATTTTCTTAATCCAGTCTATCATTGTTGGACCTTTGGGTTGGTTCCAAGTCTTTGCTATCGTGAATAGTGCCACAATAAATATATGTGTGCATGTCTCTTTATAGCAGCATGATTTATAGTCCTTTGGGTATATACCCAGTAATGAGATGGCTGGGTCAAATGGTATTTCCAGTTCTAGATCCCTGAGGAATGGCCACACTGACTTCCACAATGGTTGAACTAGTTTCCAGTCCCACCAACAGTGTAAAAGTGTTCCTGTTTCTCCACATCCTCTCCAGCACCTGTTGTTTCCTGACTTTTTAATGACTGCCATTCTAACTGGTATGAGATGGTATCTCATTGTGGTTTTGATTTGCATTTCTCTGATGGCCAGTGATGGTGAGCATTTTTTCATGTGTTTTTTGGCTGCATAAATGTCTTCTTTTGAGAAGTGTCTGTTCATATCCTTTGCCCACTTTTTGATGGGGTTGTTTTTTTCTTGTAAATTTGTTTGAGTTCATTGTAGATTCTGGATATTAGCCCTTTGTCAGATGAGTAGGTTGCGAAAATTTTCTCCCATTTTGTAGGTTGCCTGTTCACTCTGATGGTAGTTTCTTTTGCTATGCAGAAGCTCTTTAGTTTAATTAGATCCCATTTGTCAATGTTGGCTTTTGTTGCCATTGCTTTTGGTGTTTTAGACATGAAGTCCTTGCCCATGCCTATGTCCTGAATGGTAATGCCTAGGTTTTCTTCTAGGGTTTTTATGGTTTTAGGTCTAACATTTAAGTCTTTAATTCATCTTGAATTAATTTTTGTATAAGGTGTAAGGAAGGGATCCAGTTTCAGCTTTCTACATATGGCTAGCCAGTTTTCCCAGCACATTTATTAAATTTATTAAAAACAGCACCCATTGCTCGTTTTTCTCAGGTTTGTGAAAGATCAGATAGTTGTAGATATGCGGTGTTATTTCTGAGGGCTCTGTTCTGTTCCATTGATCTATATCTCTGTTTTGGTACCGGTACCATGCTGTTTTGGTTACTGTAGCGTTGTAGTATAGTTTGAAGTCAGGTAGCGTGATGCCTCCAGCTTTGTTCTTTTGGCTTAGGATTGACTTGGCGATGTGGGCTCTTTTTTGGTTCCATACGAACTTTAAAGTAGATTTTCCAATTCTGTGAAGAAAGTCATTGGTAGCTTGATGGGGATGGCATTGAATCTATAAATTACCTTGGGCAGTATGGCCATTTTCACGATATTGATTCTTCCTACCCATGAGCATGGAATGTTCTTCCATTTGTTTGTATCCTCTTTTATTTCACTGAGCAGTGGTTTGTAGTTCTCCTTGAAGAGGTCCTTCATGTCCATTGTAAGTTGGATTCCTAGGTATTTTATTCTCTTTGAAGCAATAGTGAATGGGAGTTCACTCATGATTTGGCTCTCTGTTTGTCTGTTATTGGTGTATAAGAATGCTTGTGATTTTTGTACATTGATTTTGTATCCTGAGACTTTGCTGAAGTTGCTTATCAGCTTAAGGAGATTTTGGGCTGAGACAATGGGGTTTTCCAGATATACAATCATGTCATCTGCAAACAGGGACAGTTTGACTTCCTCTTTTCCTAATTGAATACCCTTTATTTCCTTCTCCTGCCTAATTGCCCTGGCCAGAACTTCCAACACTCTGTTGAATAGGAGTGGTGAGAGAGGGCATCCCTGTCTTGTGCCAGTTTTCAAAGGGAATGCTTCCAGTTTTTGCCCATTCAGTATGATATTGGCTGTGGGTTTGTCATAGATAGCTCTTATTATTTTGAAATACGTCCCATCAATAACTAATTTCTTGAGAGTTTTTAGCATGAAGCATTGTTGAATTTTGTCAAAGGACTTTTCTGCATCTATTGAGATAATCATGTGGTTTTTGTCTTTGGCTGTGTTTATATGCTGGATTACATTTATTGATTTGCATATATTGAACCAGCCTTGCATCCCAGGGATGAAGCCCACTTGATCATGGTGGATAAGCTTTTTGATGTGCTGCTGGATTCGGTTTGCCAGTATTTTATTGAGGATTTTTGCATCAATGTTCATCAAGGATATTGGTCTAAAATTCTCTTTTTTGGTTGTGTCTCTGCCCGGCTTTGGTATCAGAATGATGCTGGCCTCATAAAATGAGTTAGGGAGGATTCCCTCTTTTTCTTTTGATTGGAATAGTTTCAGAAGGAATGGTACCAGTTCCTCCTTGTACCTCTGGTAGAATTCAGCTGTGAATCCATCTGGTCCTGGACTCTTTTTGGTTGGTAAGCTATTGATTATTGCCACAATTTCAGATCCTGTTATTGGTCTATTCAGAGATTCAACTTCTTCCTCGTTTAGTCTTGGGAGAGTGTATGTGTCGAGGAATTTATCCATTTCTTCTAGATTTTCTAGTTTATTTGTGTAGAGGTGTTTATAGTATTCTCTGATGGTAGTTTGTATTTCTGTGGGATCGGTGGTGATATCCCCTTTATCATTTTTTATTGCGTCTATTTGATTCTTCTCTCTTTTTTCCTTTATTAGTCTTGCTAGCAGTCTATCAATTTTGTTGATCCTTTCAAAAAACCAGCTCCTGGATTCATTAATTTTTTGAAGGGTTTTTTGTGTCTCTATTTCCTTCAGTTCTGCTCTGATTTTAGTTATTTCTTGCCTTCTGCTAGCTTTTGAATGTGTTTGTTCTTGCTTTTCTAGTTCTTTTAATTGTGATGTTAGGGTGTCAACTTTGGATCTTTCCTGCTTTCTCTTGTGGGCATTTAGTGCTATAAATTTCCCTCTACACACTGCTTTGAATGCATCCCAGAGATTCTGGTATGTTGTGTCTTCATTCTCGTTGATTTCAAAGAACATCTTTATTTCTGCCTTCATTTTCTTATGTATCCAGTAGTCATTCAGGAGCAGGTTGTTCAGTTTCCATGTAGTTGAGCGGTTTTGAGTGAGTTTCTTAATCCTGAGTTCTAGTTTGATTGCACTGTGGTCTGAGAGACAGTTTGTTATAATTTCTGTTCTTTTAAATTTGCTGAGGAGAGCTTTACTTCCAAGTATGTGGTCAATTTTGGAATAGGTGTGGTGTGGTGCTGAAAAAAATGTATATTCTGTTGATTTAGGGTGGAGAGTTCTGTAGATGTCTATTAGGTCCACTTGGTGCAGAGCTGAGTTCAATTCCTGGATATCCTTGTTAACTTTCTGTCTCATTGATCTGTCTAATGTTGACAGCGGGGTGTTAAAGTCTCCCATTATTATTCTGTGGGAGTCTAAGTCTCTTTGTAGGTCACTCAGGACTTGCTTTATGAATCTGGGTGCTCCTGTATTGGGTGCATATATATTTAGGATAGTTAGCTCTTCTTGTTGAATTGATCCCTTTACCATTATGTAATGGCCTTCTTTGTCTCTTTTGATCTTTGTTGGTTTAAAGTCTGTTTTATCAGAGACTAGGATTGCAACTCCTGCCTTGTTTTGTTTTCCATTTGCTTGGTAGATCTTCCTCCATCCTTTTATTTTGAGCCTATGTGTGTCTCTGCACGTGAGATGGGTTTCCTGAATACAGCCCACTGATGGGTCTTGACTCTTTATCTAATTTGCCAGTCCGTGTCTTTTAATTGGAGCATTTAGTCCATTTACATTTGAAGTTAATATTGTTATGTGTGAATTTGATCCTGTCATTATGATGTTAGCTGGTGATTTTGCTCGTTAGTTGATGCAGTTTCTTCCTAGCCTCGATGATCTTTACAATTTGGCATGATTTTGCAGTGGCTGGTACTGGTTGTTCCTTTCCATGTTTAGTGCTTCCTTCAGGAGCTCTTGTAGGGCAGGCCTGGTGGTGAAAAAATCTCTCAGCATTTGCTTGTCTGTAAAGTATTTTATTTCTCCTTCACTTATGAAGCTTAGTTTGGCTGGATATGAAATTCTGGGTTGAAAATTCTTTTCTTTAAGAATGTTGAATATTGGCCCCCACTCTTTTCTGGCTTGTAGAGTTTCTGACGAGAGATCCGCTGTTAGTCTGATGGGCTTCCCTTTGTGGGTAACCTGACCTTTCTCTCTGGCTGCCCTTAACATTTTGTCCTTCATTTCAACTTTGGTGAATCTGACAATTATGTGTCTTGGAGTTGCTCTTCTTGAGGAGTATCTTTGTGGCGTTCTCTGTATTTCCTGAATCTGAATTTTGGCCTGCCTTGCTAGACTGGGGAAGTTCTCCTGGATAACATCCTGCAGAGTGTTTTCCAACTTGGTTCCATTCTCCCCGTCACTTTCAGGTACACCAATCAGATGTAGATTTGGTCTTTTCACATCGTCCCATATTTCTTGGAGGCTTTGTTCATTTATTTTTATTCTTTTTTCTCTAAACTTCCCTTCTTGCTTCATTTCATTCATTTCATCAGTGATGGAAGATATCAGAACTTTTCAAACTCAAAGACCAAAAAAAAAAATCTGTGTCTCAAATGTTTGAAGTCAAATGTATTCTTATGTACTTATTTACTTGCAACATTCTCTGCTGATTATAGTTTTTCCTTCTTAATTCTGAGTCTTTTTCCCCAATGTCTGTTATTGATCACTATCTGATATTAAATTGATACTCTACCAGCCTAAATAGATGAATATTTCAGTGAACTATTTGGGGAAAATCCAAAGATATGTGATGAAAAGTTAGGTTACAATTTCATATATAGACCAGAGAGAGAATAAAGCCAAGTACGCCTGCTGGATTCTAGACAACAGTTTATGTTTTTGAATTAAATGTGACAGCTTACATATAGGATGACATCACAGATAATTCCAAACCCAAATACATGAAAAAAAAGTTAAAAAAGAGACCTGCATTTATTTCCCCCCTGTAAAAAGTGAGTGTCAAAAAAACATAATTAGTTATGAGAATATGTGAAATTAATAGGACCATTAATTTTACATCTGGACATCTAAGATAACATTATTTTGCACTTAGATTTATGTCAACTGCAAGATGAAGAAAAATATATGTTTCTATCACATAAGTGTTATAAGAAACAATAAATATGTGCAAAATTTATATAAAAACCTAAGTGCTATAAACAAAAATATTATTGGTGACAAAAGTTTATTCACTAAAAATATTCATAGGTTACTTATGTCAGAGATTGCTTTTAACAAATATAATGGGAGGGGGAAGAGTTGTTTCTCTACCCTATAAACTTTCCATTGTTTTTTATATTTTAAAAAATGTAAATAATTTTAAACTGATAGATAAGTAACACGAATGGTAAAGAAAACTCGGACATATATGCAACCCGAATTTCCAAACATTTAAATTTTGTTTCAGTTGCATTTGTTGTCTCTGTCTCTCTCTCTCTCTATGTATGTGTGTGTGTGTGTGTGTGTGTGTGTGTGTGTGTGTGTGTGTGTTTATATGGAGGAATCATCAGTGGATTCAAAATTAATAGGGAGGATTGATGAAGAGCAGGGTAATGGTATGGTCTCAAAGTGTCTTGCACATAGAGGGATTATTAATTGCAAAGTAAAAGCTAGTAACTACACAATGGAGAAACCTGAGAATGGAGAAACTACAATGTAGTAACTATAGAAAAGAGAAATCTTGCAACTAGTTTTATATATATATATATATATATATATATATATATGCATATATAATATATAGTAATTTATATATATATATTTAATATACAACATATAATGTATATTATAGGAATATATGATATATACTATATATTTACTATATATGTAGAGAGAAGGAACCTTCAACATTACATAATATAACATATGATTAGTTGCAATTATTATAATATATTTTTAGTTGCAATTATTATATATTATTAGTTTCAATTATTATAATTACTTTATTATTAGTTGCAATTATATTACACATTAATTAGTTGTCATGTATTATTAGCTGCAAGATTTCTTCATTGTATAGTTACTATGTTGTATAGTTTCTCCATTCTCAGGTTTTTCTATTGTGCAGTTACCAGCTTTTACCTTGCAATCAATAATCCCTCTATGTGCAAGATCCTTTGAGGCCATACCATTACCCTGCTCCTAATCAATTCTCCTCACTCAGTTTTGAATCCATTGATGATTCTTGCATCTTTATGATGATGATCATGCAATGGTTATCCCCACCTTCAATTCCACCACTTCTTTCATGTTTATGACAGCATTATACTGTAGGGAAGCATCTTCTCATCCCTCTTAATTTATGCATTTATTAATCATTTATATTTTTATGATCAGCATAAACTCATGGATTCCACTTTTTAAAAATCAATGGGTTATAATACATTGCTCTTATTTTTTATTTTGATGCTACAATTGTCTAAGATTTGACCAGTGGGGACCCCTTCAAGCCGTATTTTGGATATGCTTCATGCCACCTTTTGAATACTTTCTTACTTTTTGGCAAAAGATGTTTCAGGCTCATTTTGTGCTTTACCTATGCTAATGCTGGCATTAGACATTTATCTAAGAAGCTGTGCTTCTGTAGTGTGGATTGATATTTAGAAACCATAATCTGAGAGCTAAGTGGGATATATTTACTTGCAGGACCTTTCCTCTGTCAAAGCTGGAAAATCATGAGTTTATACTAATATCTCCAATTCCAGTTTACCCCCGTATAGTTTGCACTACTCTGTTCCATAGTCATATTCCCCATCTTCCATAAGAACTCAAGCTCTTCCTCCAAAAGAAAGCACATATTTACATATTTTCTTGATCCTGCAGTATATAAAAACTTGTCAGTATATCCATCATCTATCTATGTCTATATGTGTTTCTATGTATCATCAATCAAAAAGAGTTCAAGAGTTACAGTTCCATTTGCAATCCTTTTTTATATAGTCAACGTACTGTTTTTAAATGTTGCATGGATTAGTTCCCTTTTTCCTTCCTTAAGTTTGATTATGTAATCTATGTGAAATACATTTGGGTACATTTGTTTCTATCTGCATGTAGTTTTAGAGAGTTTTTTCCCATTCTGGTTTACTTCATTTTATTCCCTGTATATGTAGAGCATCACAACAATTGTTACTTACCTTCCCAACCCTTCCATGCTGTCCACCCCAACACACACATGATTTGTAGGTAACCAATTTCATAGTTTCTGATTTATCCACGTATGTTATATTTTGCAGATAAGTGCATGATTTCAATTTCTCTTATAGGCAAGTACCTCTGTGTATTATATATAAAGAGAGAGACATTTAACCTACCCTGTGATGAGTTTTCTGTAAGCTACAGTAATCATGACAATCGAAGTGACATAATTGTTAGATTTATATACGGTGTAAGTATTAGATGAGGTTAAAATACTGTTTAAACATAACTATTTGTATGCATGATAATGTCATAATACAAAAGGAGGAGTGGGATAATTCAGATGTAGGCAACATTTGGCCTTCCTTACTTAGACTTTTTTTCTATTCCAATCTGAAGATAAACTAAAAGCATTACCATGAATGATAAGGTATTTCCATGATTATATTAGATTTACTAGGCTGTAATCCCAGCTACTCGGGAGGCTCAGGCAGGAGAATCGCTTGAACCCAGAGAACCCAGGAGCAGAGTTCGTGCCACTTCACTCCAGCTTGGGCGACAAAGCAAGACTCTGTCTCAATAAATAATTAATTAATTAATTAATAAAACTAGGTACACTATTATTACAACAAAATTATATACTGTATTTTATTGCAGCCATATAGATAACCCTCTGGAAAGTACAGTAAATACATAAAATTAAAACTACTGGATTTTAATACCAAAGGAATCTCAAATTTTCAATGGTTCTTAATACTCCTGAAGTTACAACTTTAAAAATCTCTTTAAAGTTATAGAGTCTCACCAAGAAAAAAATGTACATATACCATACCAAAATATGCTTCTAATTTTGAGGTTTCACAAACACTCCAGAGTAAGAAGTACAGGTGTCCTTGATCACTACTGCTAACTGTTGTGGGTTTCTTCAGAACTTATTTTAAGTCTTGCTGGATATGTATTTCATTCTACAAGATGTAACACATGACTATCATTGGTTACTTTGTTACTTAAGCTGTTCAAACATTGGCCATTTGAAGATCCTTCAAGTTGGACCCTATGTCATTTGAATAAGTTCCCATATATATTTTTTAACATTTTCTTAATTTCTTACACAGCAATATGTCCCAGGCTTGTTGTGTACTTTCCATGACCTAATCCTGGAATCGACTATTTCTCCAAGTAATATTGCTTCCTTGTAGTGAAGAAGAGGAGAGAGGGGAGGATGAAAAGAAGTGGGTTAAAGGGTACAAACATACAGTAAGACAGAAGGAATAAATTCAAAGTTTAATAGCAGGATAGGGTTAATATACTTAAAATTGTATCATACTTGGATTGTGGACACCCTAAATACCCTGACTTGATCATTGTGCATCTTATACATGTAACAAAATTTCATAGGTAACCTTAAGTTTGTACAAATGAAAAATAAACCATCCATTACTACTATTAGCAAAGAAGAGCCCACACCTTCTTCTGACAACTGGTATTTAAGGAAAATTGACAAAATGACCACTTTAATAATAATTCATTATACTCTTCAATTTTCCCAACACTTTCTTTTCATTAGATCAAAAAATATAATATTGTAGAGTCCAATCACTTTGAACTAATTTTGATAATCACATTGTTTCTTCTTACAAAACTCTATAAGCATGTAAGTTTCTAATCAGCAAAGAATACATGCACTGTTCAAAAGTTATTTTTTCCTACAAAGGAGATTGTCTGTTTCATCTAAAATAGACTTACTATTGTGTGTGCAATATATAGTTTAAGGATTTTGAAGGAGATATAATAAATCGTAGCATGTTTCATTACTTACTTTGTCACCTACAGAATTCTCTACATTTTTTTCTTTATGAGAACTAATCCCCAACCCCCTTCACAGCTCTTTTTACAACGGATGTAGAGTTCTGCATTACCACAACAAAAGAAAACCATGTAGAAAAAAAAAGGAAGAACAGAAAAGAAAATGTTTACAGAGGGAAAAAGTTTCCTTTCCTTCTTTGTGGTTTTCTGTGTAAAATCTTAGTTTGGCAATCTTGATATCATCCATTAATTTATTGATGAATAAAATGTGTCACTCATAAACACTTCCAGAAGTGTCTTAATAGTTGTCAGAAAAGTATTTGCCAGCTATTCAAATAAAGACAGATTACTTGGATAGCAAAGACAATCTGGTATTCAATACCAGCATCTGGCCACTTACTAATATCTTTATCTCCCTGAAATCTCAAGAAGATTAAAGTTTTTCTGAAGTCTCAGGTGTTCATTTTTGTAAGCTTGCCCAGATTCCAAGCCTTCATTTTCCCAGCCCAGGGTACTATGAAAAAGAGTGTCTGCTATGTTCATCAGAGCTCACTGGACATGCTCACAAATACATGGCGTTTCAACTGAGCATAAACTTCCAATTTTATGTTAAATTTAAGCAATCTCCCTTTTCATAAAAGAAAAAAAAGTTGTTTTTTTTTTTTTTTTTTTTTTTTTTTTTTTGAGACAGAGTCTCGCTTTGTTGCCAAGCTGGAGTGCAGTGGTGCATCTGGGCTCACTGTAGCCTCCGCCTCCCAGGTTCAAGCCATTCTCCTCCCTCAGCCTCCCGAGTAGCTGGGACTACAGGTGCACGCCACCACACCCAGCTAATTTTTGTGTTTTTAATGGAGACGGGGCTTCACCATGTTTGACAGGATGGTCTCGATCTCTTGACTTCGTGATCCACCTGCCTCGGCCTCCGAAAGTGCTGGGATTACAGGCGTGAGCCACCGCTCCTGGCCAAGAAAACATATATTATTTTTATAACACTAAAATATGTGGCCTACACACAGGCTTTAAAAGAATTTCTCTAATGCTCTAATTAATGGGTTTATTTTTCATGCAGGATGTGTGTAAGGAAACCACCATGTTTCTCCTTCATCCAGCTCCATACTGCACTGTTTGGGATCCGGTGTGATCCTATCTAAAATTAACACTTTCCTTTTGAAAATGTATTGGGTTTCTTAATGCAATTTCTCTCTCTTCAAAGTATAACATGGGGTGATTTCCTGGTCAATACATTTAGGAATGGTGGAGAAGGAGAGGAAGGAGTGAGCTATGGTCTTTGCTTACTTTGAAACTTGATTTTTAATGTTTACTTTCTCTTATTTTTGTCTTTATGACACTGGATCACTGCTTCTACTAGTGTGTCTCCTTCTTTCACAAACAGACAATTGCCTTAATATAAACAAACCTCTCTAGTGGCTGACAAAATCTTCCAAAACTGTTCATATATTTTAACTGTGATGCAGATTATAAGTGTCAACACTACATAAACAAAGAGAACAAGAACATAGACACCAATTTATCTTTATAGTGGGGATGCATACTTGCTATAGCATTATATTGTTTAGACTTTAACAAATTCCACTATAATTATAGGTTAATAACTATCAGGTGTTTTGTAGAGTTAATACATACATTTATCCATTTCTTAATGTGGAAGATAAAAAGTAGTTGAGATTGTGTTGGTTGACCAATTATACATGCCTTACTAAATAATATATGAGAACTTTGCACTAGATTTGGAAGGATGGAAGACATCCAATTAACTGTCCCTTTTCCCTCAAGCTGCAAGGGTCTGATCATAAGAATAATTGGGAACCTCCAGTAGTGTGGTACAAATGCCTGAGGCTGTAGTGCCAACCACGAGAAACCCCTCCTTTAGAAGTGCCTGGAGAGGGTGAAAAGCAAGTGTGAGAATGTGAATCCAGACTGTGAAAGACCTTTTACTGTCAATTCCCGCTCTGTTTTGCCAAAGGGAAGGGACAGGCACTAAAAAAATCTTCAACTTGCAAAGGATACAGAAAATGCTCAGACCTTGTTAAAAACAAGAAGCCACATTAGTGGTTCTTCATGAAATATCTGAGTCCTAAGTCATTCTATATACATTAAAAGCACCTTCTTAGCATTACAGAACATACTGCTGTCACTTCTGGAGGCATTGAAAAGTTTTCTCGGGGAAGGCATTGCTATGTTCCACTATTTTTCAGTAACATTCCTTATTGGGTTCTTCTTTTCCATCCGTCCCTCCGTCCCTTCCGTCCGTCCGTCCGTCCTTCCTTCCTTCCTTCCTTCCTTCCTTCCGTCAGTCCTTCCCTTTCTATCTTTTGTCTCTTTTCTCCCTAGGTTAATACCTGTTTAAAAAGCCATGAAGCTAATAATGAAGGAAATCAAAAATAATAGCAGATACATAAGTGCATGCTTGCAATAATAAATTACATGAGTACTAAAGAATTAGAGCAGCAAGAAATTTTACAGTTTAGGATTGTGGAAGAGGGTAATTGTCTCATTTTTCTAAGAGCTGAAACCTTGAAAGAGAATACAAAATCAACTACTACTGGTTCTGTTACTCCAGGATTTTCACTAATAATATGGCTCTCTGCCCTTTCTTCCTACAGCATCTGATTTACGCCTCTTGTTTTATTTTGTAGTTCAATATTTTTCTTTCCTCAGTGGAATGTTGGTGGTGGTGGTGTTTATTAAGGGTGCAGTGTTATTTAACCATTTTGATCCTTTCCATTTTATAAGAATCACTGAAAGGAACGTCTTTGAAAGCCCTAGGGGGGTGGAAGTTGATACAAATACCTGAAGCCAATTTCTTACAAGCAAAGCAGCCTACACTGGAAAATAAATAAATAAATAAATAAATAAAAACCTTTATTCCAAAAAGTTATTTTTTCTTTACCATTAATCTCTATTTACCACACCAGATACATCTTTTAAATATGTGTGTATGTCAGGGGAGGAGAGAGATCAAGGTACATAGATTCAAAATAAATACGTAAATAATATGTGAAGGAGAAATCTATCAACTGAGATAGTCAAACTAGGAGATAGGCAGGTCTCCATAGTTCCAAGGTACATTTATTCTTCACAAAACCTATAAACAGAGGAGAACGATGTTGACTATGGATACTATAATGCTATCATTGAAAATCACAAAAGTCAAGAAGTACACAGAGACACAGAATGTGATTGTTGTAGACTTCATAATTTCAATGTTTTCTTGTTCTCTTTTCTAGAACTAAACATTCTCATATTTAACCAAATCTCTGACCTGAACTAAAATATCAATATAAATAGTAATCTTCAGAATAGCATTAAATGAAAATGGTTTCACACCCTTCCATTGACAGGTCTCAGAACCTGAGACAGTATAAAAGAATCACTATTTTTTAATCATATAAATGTCCAAATAAAATTATAAAAGGGAACTCAGATCTTTCAATTTTGTGAACAGCATTCTTCCTTGTATCTTTTCTGTTAAGGATGGGGTTTTTTTCCTATGGTACATTTTTCAATGCATTATCTAATTTTAAATGTCTCTAGAACTGAGACATCCACTTTTTCACAATCAGAAATATGAAATCTTTATTTAAAATCGTATCCATCCTAAAATCCCCCTTGTTTGCCTTTGAGTCTTAGTTATATTTTGAAGACTTCCTAACTGCTTTTACTTTTCTCTTGCTTATTTTTCTGTATCTTTCATAGATGTGATGGAAATACTATATTCCAATGTTTTATGCTTAATATCAATAGTAATGCTGCAGAGCTGTGTGTTATCAGAAGTGGGAATATGCTGTAGAGGTGAAAAAAAAGTTCAGGTTCCAGAATCAGTCTACCTGGCTTTGAGTCCCAACTTTGCCACTTGCATTTCTGTATCTCAATTTGTTTATCTGTAACAATCATAGCATATATAAAGTCCATAGAAAAATATTTAACACATACATGCTCACTTAATATCCACTTTTTTATTATGATCTTAAGAGTATGCAACAAATATCGATTTCTCAAAGGAAATTGGTTATATATATGATATACATATAATTGACTTTAAATAAAATTTTAATAATCTATAAATCGTTTACATAACTGGAATTGTTTACGACTACTTCTCATTAAACAGAAAATTACCCCAATCACTTCAAGCTACGATTGAGGCATTATGATAAAATGAGAAGGCAGTATGGTAAAAGGAAAAGAGCAGGCTTTTGATTTAGAAAACCTGTATTGAAATTACAGCTCTAACATTTACTTGTTGCATGATCATAGACAAGTTTCTTACCTTCTCTGAGCCTTTATTTGTAAAATAAGGATAAAATAGTACTAACCTCATAAATTTGTTGTGAGCATTAATTAGCACATTGGAAATACTTATTGAATGCCAGACATTCACATATTATATACTCAAAATTGTTAAGAGATCTTCAGTCAGACTTTCTGGGCTTACATCTGTGATGGTTAATTTTGTGTCAACTTGAAGGTGTGTGTTTCTGGGTGATATTAACATTTAAATTGGTGAACTTTGAATAAGCAGATTGCCCTCCATAATGTGGATGGGCTTTATCCTGGATAGAACAGAAAAGAAGAACCTCCCTAAACAATAGGGTATTCTCCAAAAGACTGCCTTTAAACTTTATCTGCACATTAGCTCTTCTGGGTCTCCAGGAAGCCTGGCTTTGGACTGGATTTGCACCACTTGGATCTCCTGGGTCTCAAACCTACACTGCAAATTTGGACTTGCTAGCCTTCATAATCATGTGAACCAACTCCATATAATAAATATTTGTCTATAAATATATGCTTCCTATTGGTTTTATTTCTCTGGAGCATCCTGACTACACAGTATCACAGCTCTGCAACTTAGTTCTTAGGTGACCTTGTACAAGTTTCTTAACCACTCTGAGACTCTTTTCTTCATCTACCCATTAGAAATAGCAATGCCTACCCTCTTTTGATTATTGGGAGAATTAAATGAGTTAAAGTCTATAAAGTGCCTAGCAGACTATTTGGCACCCACCTAGGAAGCTCTCAGAAATGAGCTTCATAGAGTACCTAAAAACAGGAGGCACTGACTATTTCCCCAGATGAGGATATGGCTGATTTTAGTTCTTTGTTTTGTTAAAGAACTAAGAGAGCACAAGGTTTGTAAACATTCTCTTTAAAGCAAAATGTAAAGATTTCCAGTGTAAATTATTTCAACAGGTGAATTAGGTCCAAAATATAAAATATGTGGGGTATACAAAAAAACTTTACTATTGTGTCAGATCCAGTTATTTCTCAGCTCTAGCAGGGCCCATCATGTGTGGACAATGTAACCTATAAGCACACATTCCCTCAGGGAACTGGAACCATGAGAAAGCTATCCCAAGATATGTTGCATCTTGTTTTGCCTTGTGGGGTTCCCTGCTTCTGACAAAATTTGTATATGACCACTGTGTGGGTGTGGTCATACGGTGTCTTCTCACCAACTTGCAACCATTCTTAAAACACTGTATAGATTGATGACAAAAAAACTGTTTACTCCTCTGTTACTCTGCCATAAATTGGGCAATGTGTTTTCTTCTCGGTTTCATTCTCTGAACATGCTTATGAAATGGGTGCAATTTTAAGCCATATTTGATAAATATGGAAACTGGGGCTTTTTAAGATTATGCATTTTGTCAGAGTGCAGACCCTGCACAGAGCAAGATCTTTCCTTAAAAAAAAAAAAAAAAAAGAAAGAAAATTACTGCTCTACTCCAGTAGTTCTCAAACTTCACTGCAATCAGAATCACCTGTGGATTTTTCAAAACTATAATCATATCCAATCTCCAGAAATTTCAATTAATTTTTGGTGGAGTCAAGGAACCAGTAATACGTAATTAAAAATTCTTTTCAACTTTTTCTACTGTGCAAATTTGAGAAGCCTTTTTCTAAACCATTACACTATATCAGTGTTTTCCAAAATTGTTTGACTGAAATCTTCAGTAAAAAACATTTAACATCATCAACCAATATACATATAAATATAAAACTGAAACAAAAGTTTTACAAAACAATGCACTTACTACCTGCAAGCATTCTGTTAATTTATCTTCTATTCTATTATATACTATATCTTTTATTTTAATTGCAACCTTCTCAATTGATTTCATAACCCACTGGTTGGTTACCAAGCACAGTTTGAAAAATCACTGCTCAGGGCCAAGTGTGGTGGCTCACGCCTGTAATCCCAGCAATTTGGAAGACAGAGGCAGGTGGCTCACTTGAGCCCAGGAGTTCAAGACCAGCCTGGGAAACATGGCAAAACCCTGCCTCTACAAAAAATACAAAAATTAGCCAGGCGTGATGGCACACACCTGTATTCCCAGCTACCCAGCTACTTAGCAGGCTGATGTGGGAGGACAGCTGAGCCTGGGAGGTCAAAGCTGCAGTGAGATATGATTGCACCACTGAACTCCAGAGTAGATGACCTTTCCTTAAAAAAGAAAACAAAAGAAAGGCAAATAAAAGACAGGAAAATCACTGCTCTGTACAATGCTTAATAAAAATATGCTCCATTTCCCTACCCTTTCCTGATATATATTCTATTTTAGCCTCCTCTCCAAATTGGAGACCATTTATTCCTGAGTGCTGAGAGATCATTCCACTGCACTCCCTTCTTGGCAACACTCCGCTCGCTCTATATCCTCTTTCTACAGCTGAATACCTATGCATGACAACTGTTCTGACATACTTTCTTCAAATATATGATTCTTAAAACAAGTAGTGCTATGGTTCAAGAAAGATGACCCCTTTTAGGTCCAAGAAAGGGTGACAAGTCCATACATTTTATTCCATTCTGAAGTAGAATGACCAATTGCATTTGTAGTATTTTATTGCTGTGTAACAAATTACCACAAATTTAGTGGCTTGAAACAACACAGTGTCCATGGATCAGATAGCCAGGAACAGGATGGCTTGGTCCTCTGCTCAGGGTCTCACCAGGCTGAAATCAAGGTGTTGGCTGGGGCTGTGATCTCATCTGAGGCTCGGGATCCTTTTCTCAGCTCACTGGTTGTTGGCAGAGTTCAGTTCTTTGTGGCTATTGAAAACTAAAATAAAACCATAAAGCACCCCAAACTGACTGGACCCTCTCTTGACCAAGGGGATCCCAGAGAAACTTTGGAAGCTGTGTTTCTGGCCATGACAGGAAGGGAGGTCAGACACACCTTATTATATCCCCTCCATTTTGTGGTTTAGACACAAAAACTGACAAGCATTAATGTTAAAACAGAAATCATAAGACAAATAGAACAGACTCTTTATAGCAGTAAGATATCAAATTATATACAAGACCTAAGGCCACACCAGGAAGAGGTTAAGTCACACACCCTGCACTTAAGAATCAGCTGTGTTCTAATTGTTATAAGATTTTCTTAATTTATTTCTCTCGAGCAGCTAAACAATCACTGGCCTTGAGATAAGCAATGTGTAAGCAGTTGCAGCATACCCACCACCAGTCGCTGACTAACTGAGCCCCCCATTCCACAAGCCATAACTATAACTTTGACTGGACAAGAGACTGAGTTCTGTAACTTTTCCTGATAAAAGACCACTGGCCATGGATTGGTTCTGGCCAGTTTACAGAGGCTACACACTTGAGTGCTTCTGTGTCCCTACTTCACGTTTTTATGTGTAGGTCCAAACTGTAATACATTTAAATCTTAAGTCTCCACCCCAAAATGAACATGGATCACATGTAACATGCATGTTTGCTTATGACACATAGGCACGACCCCTTGTCATGAATATTCATAGTTTCTCCTATATACTCTTAAATATGGCCATTCAGCTTAAATGCCTGATTTACTCCTCACTCCCTCAAAGTGCTTGCCTTTCAGGCTCTACCACAGGCTACATTTCTCAACATGTCAGAATGGCTACCTTGAGGTCTGTAGCCCTTTATAAGAAATAAAGCTCTTCTTTCTAACTTTATAAATTGTGTAATTTCTAAGCTAATGCTGTAAGACTCATGGTAATTTTTAAGCTAATGCTATAAAACTTAAGTCAGCAGGAGAATCTCTTTTTAGGAATGGCTTGGTGCCTTTTATAAAGCATCACCCGATTAGGTCACACTCACATAGAATAATTACCTTCGTGATAAGTCTCAATCCACAGATTAGTAGCCTAATCACAAGAGTGGTACCCCATTCACAATTCCTACCCACATTCAAGGGATGAGAATCATACAGATATACAGAATCATACAGATATAGATATACAGAATCATACAGATATGTACATCAAAGTTTTAAGGACCATCACAGATGTCAGCCTACCACATCAGCCATCTCAATTTTCTTCAGTATGTTCTGGTTTTACCACTGAAAGTTCCACAACCCAAGGGAAAATCCTAGGCAAACTGGTACAGTGGTCCCCTTACCAGTGGAAAGCAAAATCTCTCACCTAGCATCCTTTATGTCACACACCTAACGAAAGTCCAATTACAGAAAACCTGAACATAGAGTTTATTCCTATTCTCCTCTGATACAATGCTTGTAAAGATGAGTTAAGTCATGTGCTTATAGTCAGAGATGCCTTAGCGTGAGCACCATAGAAACACTTGACCAATAACTTATTTTTCTTCTAGAGCATATCCCATCCACTATACCCAAAAAAAAGTTCATGAATAAAACTATGATGCAAAGGGAAAAGTACTGCATTTTCAAATTTCCTTCATGTCACATGCTATGTGTGTCTGTTAATAAATACAGTATAATCCCAATGGTGTGATATAAAACTCTAAGTGCAGGCACCAATGCTAAAGTTAGCAGTGCTTTCAGAACAAGCCTAATTTAAACATCAAACCTCACTAATTAGCATATTTTTCCCTGGCAAATTTTGTTTTACAAACTCCGGCCTAAATCTGAAAATCATGGTAGCTTAATAATCATAGAATTGTAGAATAATAAACACGGTACTGAGCACAACATTGAATTGCAGTTAAGAAGAAAACCTGAATTATATATGTTATGCAATTTTCTTTCTTCCCATGATTGAAAAATTCTTCTTCTAAACTAAAAACTGAAATAAAGACAGTTGCCTGTTTTCTATCAATTTATTTCTACTCAGATTATTTTAAAGCATTTAGAAATGGAAATTCCAAGGGAGAAAAATCAGGAATATCTCTTCCCACAGTCTAATATAAGTTTCCAGCTTCTATAAATATTAGGTCCCTGGAGTTCTTGACATTGAAATGTGATACTTTGTATTACTTTTGTCTATTTCAAAGGATAGATCAATGGCTTTTTTTATTATTATTATTTGATTCTAGCTTGAATTTTTCTTTTTCTCTTTCCTCTGCTTGGAACAAATTCAGTTGCATAAAAAGACAGTCCTTAGGCACCTACTCATTATAAATCACTTCTCATTCTACTTTACTAACGTTGTACCATCAGTTTAAAAAGGTTCTTCAGAATATTAAAAGACTTAGAACAATACCTCTGAAAATGGAATTGGGTTTTCTTTGAAATTTCAGATGGTTTTCTTTTTCATATGGATATTTGTTGCCCACATCCCATTCCATTTCTTTTCCTAAGGTCTGCTTCAGTGTAGAGGTGATAATCATTCCTTGATTCACTCGAAACATTTCCGATATAATGGGCTTCTACATTGGTTGTTTACATCTGTGTACGAAGAATCTCTTCAGCTTTCTAGTTTGACTAGTAAGCAAACATCAGCAAGACAATACTTCACTGTCTTACTTCCTTGGCATCATAAGGAAAAAGGCCATTTCAGCATCCGAAACCTGGGAAGTCTTTTATCTCCTTTCCATTTTTATAGGTTTAAGGTGATTTATTTGAAGAAGCACTTAGGAGAAAAGAGGGCAAGAATTTAATACACATCACAGGATTCTGCACTACATGCCTCACTATATCTTAGTAAAACATATTTTGGCATAATTGGTGGTGCTGGAATCTTTCCCAGAAGCACAGAATTGCCTACAATGGGGGTAAAACTGAACTGCCTATGCTAAATCTAGACAGTCATTTCAGACTGTTAATTCCACCATATGAAAATGTCTTTTCAGGCCTTAAAAATGAAAAAAAAAAGCTTCATTCAGAATGTTTAAGTATATCAAAGAGTACTGTTTCATGGCTAGTGCCAATGTTCACTGTTAAACATAGGGGCCTCAAAGGAAAAACAGACTGCTTAGAAATAGAATATTCATCAAGTTATAATGGTTGATAATTATATTGCTACATTCCCCAGTTGTTTTCTAAAGAAGACGGAAAGCAACATTTACATGTTGGCATCATATCACCACCAACTGGCCAAGAGTGTTTACTAGGAATGTTTACTAGGAAGAAAATAATCAACTTCTAAAAACAAAACAAACAGGAATAGACAAACACAGTATTTGATAAGCTCATGGGGAAGCTAAATACTCCTCAACTTGCTTTTCTTTTTTTAATTGGCAATTGAGATTGAATTTCAACATCAAATCTGAGAAATACTGGCAGCTGAGATTCTGTCAATTCTGTGAGTCCACCACTTGTCAATCTATATTTTAGCCTTGAAAAATGTTCAAGAGTTGGTTCACTAAGTCTGTTTTCTGCTTTATGAACCTGGTCCAAATAAACTATTTTATGCAATTATTTGGTGACAACATTAGCTGAATATTCAGTATTTTAAAAGGTGATACTGCTTCCTGGTGGTTAAACTTTATTTAGAACAACCAGATATAAAACTGGAAACCTGACTGGATTTATTGTTAACCTAAGTGCAGTTCTGACAATATTCAGGAGCTTCTAGTACTTATCCAGGAAGAATATATTTCTAGTTCTTATCAAACCCTCAAATTCACCTTCTCAATTGCAGAACTCATATTATGACAGAGTACATATCTTGTAGATGTTTGTATGTGGTCAAAGGTGATTGGACTCTATTCAATACATATGTATTTGGAAAACTATAGTCCGTTCTACAGTGATGATCCTTGTAGCTTTGTTTAGATGATTATGTCAGCTCTTTCCCCTTAATATTTACCTCATCACCAATACAATTATTTGGCTATAGGCAGGGGAAATGAGGCTTCTGAGTGGCTAACTCTTCAGTATAGATACATTCCTGATAATTATATACACTATTTGACCACATCACTATGTCCCTTTTAACATTATTATTTCTCATTCACCACTAAGGAAGCGTGGTATCTAATAGCATTCGAGTTTGGCGCTTTGTCTCAACTCTGGCTGCCACTACTCTTATCTAAACCTCCTTATTTACAATACCACAACAATTTCCAAACTAATTTCCTAGTCTCAAGTCTCTTTGCTCTCAAATCCATTTTCTGCACCATTGCCCAGCTCACCATTTTCAAGGATCACTTGCAACTTGTAGTCTTATAATTACAAGCTACTGGAAAGGTACCCTGTTGTCTACTGGATCAAATCTAAATTCATCAATTGGCAAAGCAAACAACCTATAATCTAACACAACACTCCCTCACACTAGCCACCAATATTGACCTTCAGTTCTGGCCAGGTGACTCCTCTTGTCATCCTATTTCAACTCCCACAAAAGTCATGACACATTTTTATAATTTAACTATTTTTTAAGCTGCAAAATGAATATTATAATAATAGAAAAATACAACAGAATTCTCACAATTTCATAACAAATATTTTTCTTTTGTCTATATAATAATAGCAAATAGTAATAGTGATATATTGTTTGCTATGGATTGAATGTTTGTGTCCCCCTAAATTTTATACTGTGAAATCATAATGTCCAGTGTGATAGTCTTAGTAAGTGGGGCCTTTGGGAGATAATTAGATCATGAAGTTGAAGCCCTCATTAATGAGATTAGTGCCTTTTAAGAAGAGGCATGAAAGCTTGCTCTTTGTCTCTGCTCTCTGCCACTTGAGGATACAACAAGATGGCCAGTTGCAAAACAGGAAGCATATCCTCATGAGACACTGGATCTGCTAATGCCTTAATGCTGTACTTCTCAATCTCCAGTACTATGATAAACAAATTTCTGTTGTTCAAGCCATCTAATTGATGATATTCTGTTATAGAAGCCTGAACTGATTAAGACAGCTCTTATCAGGTTTCATGCCCTATTCTAACGTCTTTAAAAATGTGACCTCTATACACAGCATCTATTTTGATTGGTTGGTGCCAGTGTCATACTGCTTCTAAATACCTGTATGGTGAATATCATTCTGGGGAGCAGAAGTGGTCAGAGAGGTTTACATCTATGCTGAATTAGAAGCAGGAGTACTGAATAACATTTCAGGCAGAGGAAGTGACAGGCCAAGGGGCACCAGGGTCCAATAAAACATAGCAAATTTGGGAAATTGCAAGAGTCCCAGTATGCTTGGGGTGAAGAGAGAGTATGGAACTGAGAAAGAATGCTTGAAAGAAACACTAGAGTCTGATTACTAAGAGCCTTAAAAGTCATGAAAGCAAAGAAGGGACTAAAGTTAGGAAATTGCCTGTTCAGACTAGTATTTCGGAAACTACTTGATATGATTTGGATTTATGTCTCCGCCCAAATCTCATGTCAAATTGTAATTTCCAGTGTTGGAGATGGGGCCTGGTGCAGGGTGATTGGATCATGAGGGTGGACTTACCCTTGCTGTTCTCTTGATAACGAGTGAGTTCTCATGAAATCTGGTTGTTTAAAAGTGTGTAGCACCTCCCTTTCACTCTCTTTCTCCTACTCCCACCATGTAAGACAGGGCTGCTTCCTCTTTGCATTCCACCATAATTGTAAGCTTCCTGAGGCTTCCGCAGCCATGCTTCCTGTACAACCTGCGGAACTGTGAGTCAGTTAAACCTCTTTTCTTTACAAATTATCCAGTCTCAGGTAGTTCTTTATAACAATGTGAGAATGGACCAATACACAACTACTGCAGCAATGTGGGAAATAGATTTCAGAGATTAGGTTGCAGGCGTAAATAGTTGTATGGGGAAACTCTCTTCTGACTTTGTCACATTTGGCTCACTCAAACTGTATTCTGTGAACAGTTTTAAGCTTTAAACATCTTTCTCAAGCACAAATGGACTACACCATTTTTTTTTTTTATCTTTTCAGAACTAGCTCGTGTGTGTCCAACAGGAGCATCCATTTCTGTTCTGTCACCTGGTCACCTTTTAGCTTAATGCTTTCTAAGGACTGGCAATCAAAGTTAAAATAAAATCCAAAGTCCTTCCTTTGGCTTACAAGGGCCAATATGATCTTCTTCTCTGCACATGTCCATGTGTTCATCTCATATCACTTTCACACTCACTTACCATACTCCAGTGACACTGGTTTTATTACTATTATTTGAATAAATGAAGTATTTGGCAATAGTTGTTTTCTTCTGCTTGAAATGTACCCACACTCTCCCCTTCTCAATCTCCAGTGTTACTCAGCTGGATCCTTTCGTGCTCTTCAGATCTCAGTTTAAATATTACCTTTACAAAAAGGTCTTCCCTAACTACTAAATCTAAATAACCAAAACACTTACATATCCAAGGTAAAATTCCATGCATAGCACATATTATTCTCTGCCACTTTTCTTGTAATTTGTTTGTTGATTTCTTAGCAAGTTATTGTCTATATTTCTTCAACACTAAAATGTACATTATGAGAAGACAAGAAACATGTCTATCTCATTCATTGTTGAATTTCCAAGTATAGGATATAATATATGTTCAATAAATATTTGTTGACGGAATAGATGAACCAAGCGAGCACTAACCATACTGATTCAAGAAAGCTAGAAATCTGTTTACTATATATCAATAAACAAGTATTAAAAATAATACTTATGGTATTGTTTATGCTGTGTTTTTCTGCATATTAAAACACAACTGATGAACATACATGGTGTGAACCTCAAAGAATAACACAGTTATTCTGTATTTTGCAAGCCCTTAAGGAAATGTATTCTGTGGAGTTTCTCAGTTTGAGAGAAGTCTAGTATTGTACTAATAATATATGAGCAAAAAATATAGTGAAGATGTGGATGCAAAATATAAGAGACCTTGATCCATACTTACCAGAATTTCTTGAATGTACACATGCTGCTATTCACACTACTTTTATCACACAAACATATCATCTAGGAGGTTCACTGGTGGATATGACTAAATGAATCCATTTCTAGTAACTTTTTGTTATAAAACAGACCTATTTATTCAGGAGATTATGTTGTTTTGTTGAGGCTTTACATTTACATATACATGTAGTGAAGATAAACCTTTCATGCACTCATTTGTTAAATAATAAATTATTGATTACTGCAGACAAAAAAAAACTGACCACCAAGACAGAAGAAAAAGTGCAGTAATAAATCCATACATTTTTCTTTTTAAAAAATTTTAATTTAAGTTCTAGGATACAGAACATGCAGGTTTGTTACATAGGTATACATGTGCCATGGTGATTTGCTGCCCCTATCAACCCGTCATCTAGCTTTTAAGCCCCTCATGCATTAGGTATTTGTCCAAATGCTCTCCCTCTCCTTGCACTCCAACCCCCAACAGGCCCTGGTGTGTGTTGTTCCCCTCCCTGTGTCCATATGTTCTCATTGTTTAACTTCCACTTATGAGTGCGAACATGCAGTATTTGGTTTTCTGTTCCTGTGTTATTTTGTTGAGAAGATGGCTTACAGCTTCATCCATGTCCCAGAAAAGGGCATGAACTCATTCTTTTTTATGACTACATAGTATTCCATGGTGTATTTGTGTCACATTTTCTTTATCCAGGCTATAATTAATGATCATTTGGGTTGGTTCCAAGTCTTTGCTATTGTATATAGTGCTGCAATAAACATACGTATGCAGGTGTCTTTATAGTAGAATGATTTCTAATCCTTTGGGTATATACCCAGTAGTGAGATTGCTGGGTCAAATGGTATTTCTTGTTCTAGATCCTTGAGAAATCACCACACTTGTCTTCCACAATGGTTGAACTAATTTACATTCCCACCAACAGTGTAAAAGAGTTCCTATTTCTCCACAGCCTTGCCAGCATCTGTTGCTTGCTGACTTTTTAATAATCAACATTCTGACTTGCGTGAGATGGTATCTCATTCTGGTCTTGATTTGCGTTTCTCTAATGACCAGTAATGAGGTTTTTTTCATGTGTTTGTTGGCCGCATAAATGTCTTCTTTGAGAAGTGTCTGTTCATATCCTTACCCCAATTTTTGATGGTGTTGTTTCTTTATTTTTTATAAATTTGTTTAAGTTCCTTGTAGATTCTGGATATTAGACATTTTTCAGATGGGTAGATTGCAAAAATTTTCTACCATTCTGTAGGTTGCCTGTTCACACTGATGATAGTTTCTGACCTCTTCAAGGAGAACTACAAACCACTGGTCAAGGAAATAAGAGAGGACACACACAAATGGAAAAATAAAAAACTTTCCTGCTCATGGATAGGAAGACTCAGTATCATGAAAATGGCCAGACTGCCCAAAGTAATTTATAGATTCAATGCTATTCCCATCAAGCTACCATTGGCTTTATTCATTGAATTAGGAAAAACTACTTTAAATTTCATATGAAACCGAAAAAGAGCCCATATAGCCAAGACAAACCTAAGCAAAAAGAACAAAGCTGGAGGCATCACACTACCTGACTTCAAACTATACTACAAGGCTACAGTAACCAAAACAGCTTGGTACTGGTGCCAAAACAGATATATAGACCAATGAAACAGAACAGAGGCCTCAGAAATAACACCACACATCTACAACCATCTGATCTTCAGCAAACCTGATAAAAACAAGCAGTAGGGAAAGGATTTCCTATTTAACAAATGGTGCTGGGAAAATTGGCTAACCATATGCAGAAAACTGAAACTGGACCCCCTTCCTTACACCTTATACAAAAATTCACTCAAGATGGATTAAAGACTTAAATGTAAAACCCCAAACCATAAAAACCCTAGAAGAAAACCTAGGAAATACCATTCAGGACATAGGCATGGGCAAGGACTTCATGACTAAAACACCCAAAGCAATTGGAACAAAAGCCAAAATAGACAAATGGGATCTAATTAAACTAAAGAGCTTCTGCACAGCAAAATAAACCATATATTTTTCTAAAATGCTATTTATGTCAATCAAATGGAAATATCAGGAAAACTATTTGAGAAGAATTCACGAAAGAGAGTATGCACGTGATTAAGAAATACGTGAAAAGTTGATAAACCTTATTAGTTATCAAGAAAATGCAAATGAAACCACCATGAAATATCCTATAAACCCACCAGAATGACTAAAATAAAAATACCATATTTTGGCAACGATATAGAGCAACTATAACTCTCTTACCTTGTGGGTGGGAATGTAAATTGGTGCAACAACTTTGGAATACTGTTAAGTAGTATCTACTAAAGCTGAACATATGCCTATCCCATGACTCAACAATTCCACTTTGACAATTTTGTATATAACCAGCACAAATGCCTACATTTTGTTCACCAAGAGACATGATTTAGAATGCTTATGTCAGCACCATTTGTAAGATCCTCAAACTGGAAGTTTTCTATTAACAGTATAATGAATAAATATTGGTATATTTTACAAAAGAAAATAGTATATAGTAATCATAAAGAAAAACTGCAACTGTATCAAGTAACATAGATAAATCTTACTAACATAATGCTGAGTGAAAATACCCAGAAACAAAAAAAAATGCTACTGTATTTTTCAATAATATAATGCAGCAAACAGACAAAACTCATCTATATTAGTAGATATTCTGATAGTGGTTACCCTTAGGCCATGAGTAATGATGAAAAGGAAGCATAAATTAGTTTCTAGAGTGCTGGTACTCTTTTATGTTTTATCTAGATACTGTTTTACATTATAGTGATAAGTCAGCGATTATTTATTAGCCCGTATACTTACATTATGTTCATTTTTCTGTATGTATATTTAAAATGTAAACAAAAATTTGAAAATGTTGTTTTGAGCACCTCCTATGCTCTAGGATTTTTTTTTTATTGTGGATGCATATACAGATGAACAAGCTGATGTGGTTCCTGCTCTCAGAGAGCTTACTTTTTATTTAGAGAAAATAGACAAGCAGACAATAAGTATTTACATAATAAAATAATAAAATATCAGTGTTATAATAAACATGACAAATATGTTGCCTAACTACACTGAGTTTACTGTTCACTAGAAAAACTAGACCATTAAACTGCTAATTTCAACAAAATGTGATAAAGTTATACACTCTAAAATAAAGTGCACTATGCTAGTCTGGAGACTGCAGAAAAGAAGAAGAATATGAGTTGAGATCTGAAGCACGAGGTAGTAGTTAGAGAATGGGGAAGGATATGTATGTTTCTAAATAAATTTAATTCCCTGAAACTCTGAAGCTAAGTTTAAAGAGAATCACTGAAACTTGAAGACCAAGGGGAAAATACAGCAGAATGGGGTACAGTGGTCATCAAGAACCCTATTATTAGGCCGTGTGGACCTAGTTCACAAACTTGGATTTTATTCTAAGTGCAATGCAAAGCCAAATTTTAAGGACAGGGGTCACAAAATATGATTTACAGTCTTAAAAAATCATTCTGGCTGCAAGGTTAAAAGAATACGTAGCTAGATATCGGTTAAACTATTGTAGTTCACCAGGATAGATGATAAGTTGGGACAAAATGATAGCAATTGGACTGGAAAAATGGTTACCAGAGGCTAGAATTGATAGTGGGAAACTTGGGGGAGGTGGGGATGGTTAATAGATACAACAAGTAGTTGGAAAAAATGAATACGATCTACTGCTTGATAGCACAACAAGGTGACTATAGTCAATAATAACTTATATGTACATTTTTAAATGACTAAAAGAGTCTAATTGGATTGTTTGTAACACAAGGATAAATGACTGAAGGGATAGAAACCCCATTCTCCATGATGTATTTCACATTGCATGTCTTCATAAAAAAATCTCATATACTCCATAAATATATATATATACTATGTACCCACAAAGATTAAATATTTAAAAATAAAAAATAAGTAGACTAATATGGGATATATTTTGAAGTTAAAGTGAACTGACTTAGTTCCCATGTTAAAAAGTGGTGAGGGACTCAATCGTCTTTGATTGACACTTGTTTGGTACTTAAATAGCTGGATAGTGCCCATTATGTAATTCTTACCTATATATAACTGGCTCACTCTCTTACTTCATTTAGGTATCTATTCATAAATCACCTAATCAGAGAGCCTTTTCCTGACTTCTCTATCTATAATATTAGCAATTTCCATCACTCTTTCTCTCCTTACCCTTTTTATTTTCCTTCTTACCATTTATAACCTGACATTTTGTTTTTTATTTGTTGACACTTTCATCAGTAGCAGACATACTCCATAAAATCATGAACATTGTCAGTTTTGTTCATTGTTATAGCCGTCATCTAAAATGATATCTGGCATAATATATGTACAATAAAGTTTTGCTGAGTGGATACATTTTTCTGAATATATAGAATACTAATGAGGGTAAAAGTTAGAAGAAAATCAAAGTTTTCATTATTTGAAGTTTGAGCTATTACACATTTCAGTAGAGATCATGAGTAGGCAGTGGATCTACAGGTATGAAGGTCAGGAAGAGGTCAGGAATAGAGATATAAATTTATCAGAATATCTATGGCTTCTAAAATGGTTGAACATCATAATGCCATGGTGCTAGTTTGAGGCCTTGCAGTTTTGCTCTTGCCCTCTTAGAATGCTGTTCTGAGACTTCCATGTGAAGAAGCTGTCTTAGCCTATTGGAAAATGAGAGACCACATGAAGACCTGAGGTGGCACAGCCAATGCTAGCACCAACTGCAAAATCTATGAGTGATACCATCTTGACTCCTACAGCCATTATAGCTGCCACCTAACCATACAAATAAGATGGATGAGAACAGAATAGTCAGCTCACAAGTTTGTAAGTAATAGTAATTTGGTATGTTTTACACCAATAAACTTTGTAATAGTTTGCTAAATAGCAGTAGCTAGCTGGAGCAGTCAACCTGGGTGAAACTGAAGAAAAACATGCAGTTAGATGAATAAATTGGAGAAAAATTGAGACACATTTTGATGCATATATTTGGGTGGTAGAATGGAACAGAGGGGAATGGAATGAATGTGTTAAATGACAAGAAATCCTAAATAACTTCAATGTTCTATGAGTTGACAGAGAAAGTAGGAATAGAAAAGGAGACTTAGAAGAAGTAGCCAAGGGGATAGGAGAAAAAGCAGAAAAATAAAATGTCACAGAACAAAATAAAATAGTTCACATAAAGAGTAGTAAATTGTATGAAAAACTTCTGATAGATGAAAAGTACATGAACATTCTAAAATAATCATTATATTTAGGGAGATCACATAAACAAAAATAAATGTGATATATATTATAATGAACTACTGAATGGATACATAAATTATTCAAAAAGTTTAAACTCTACATTATACAAACATCATTGATAATTGATTTAATATATTGGTAATCATTTTCATTTTTAAATGTATTGTTACTGTGCCCTTTACTATGTAATCTCCTAGTATGAAATTGTTTCTAAGAGAAAACAATATTTGCGTAAATTATTTCATCTTGAAGGTTTTTGTAGGAAAAACTAAGTTACAACTTTGAATAATTTATTTGATTAGGAAAAAAGTCTGGTACTCAAGAAGGGTAGTATGGCATTTGCCATTGTTGAAATAATTTTAGTCTGACAAACATACCTCTCAGAATTCTCTTATGAAAATTTACCTTTAAATGCAAGAAATACTTCTTTAAAGCTGAAATATATTACCTCATTATTTTTCTCTGAAAGTAGACAACAGAAAACTCAATTACTTGAGTTTTCAAAATTTACTTTTAAATTTATTTTATACATCTTAGCAATTCATAATGAATTCAAAGGGTACAGGAAATCAAATGCAACTTTATAACAAAAACACCTAGAAAAAGCAATCTAAGCATCTTGCATATGCCCATTTGATTATTTTACACTGTTGACACTTGTGAACATCAATATAAGACTATAATGGAGACTGACCTACAAATATGCTGCTTCCCTTACCTGTTTACATTTGAGCATTGTTCTGTGCTACTTCTCTACTTACTCACTCTTACTGTTTTGATGTTTAATTGTCAGAAGCATACATGAATCCAGAAATATATAGACCTTTTCAAGTTACTAAATTACTGTACATTGCCTCACTAGTCAAGTGAGGTTATTGATGTAAAGAAACTTACTGATGTAGCAGAAACATTTTATCCTTCTGTGTGTTGAGCATTTATAATTACTTCAACTGAAACCCAAATAGAAACACACACACACACACACACACACACACACACACACACAATTGTCACTACATCCTCTTCAACCCTTTAATTCTAGCGCAAGTTGCCATAACAATCTCAGGTTTCAATGAAAGGTGTATGGAAAGATTTATAGTTGAAAACGATGAAGTTAACTTGGCATTTTCTCTATTTTTTCTCATAAATCACTGAAAAGCAAACAGTATGGAAGAAAAAAATACAAACTATATCTGCAAAGAAACTAAAAGGTGCCTCAAATTTCAAAGGCTAAAATAAGAGAAAGTCTGCAAAAGTATTGATGGGCAAGTAAAATTGAGGGGATTCAAGGAGACGGAATGCAGACCTTAGTGAAATCTGGCAAGTAAATGGCATAGCCTGAAATACAAAATCAATGTTCATTTGTTTGTCACATCAAAAAGATTGAGTGATGGTAGTAACTGAAGCTTTTCTGGGCCACATTAAACATAAAGTCTTGAGAAGCTGTGAAAATGAGGCTGAATATAATATAAACATGCAACATTTACAGGAAATTGACTACCAATAATTCAGGGAAAAAAAGAAAGATTCTGCCTACGCTGATTCTAGTTTATTGACTCTGAAAATAGCACACTCACAACCCTTTGGCATCAGGAAAATATCCGAGAGTTTAGATTATCATCTTTCTCCCACCCTCATGCAGGTTTTCTAAATAAACTTATCTTAGGAAAAAATGTAGCTCATTAAGAACTATGTAAAAAAAATTAAATTTTGGTTTAAACTCTGACATATGAAATACTTAGAAGTTGTCACTCCTGTCCTTATAAGAAAAAGCTGAACACATTGAAAAAAAAAAAAGTAATTTCAATGAATCGCAAAAGGCTGAGTGTGGACCACCATTAAGAGTGACAAATTCCTGGGGATATAATCTTTAGGGTGCATCCAGACTATTGTAGATTTTGCCTCCAGGAATTTGATGAGGTTTTCATAGCCAGAAGACAAGAAAGACTCATCTTCATTCTGGTAAAAGAGGAGAAGAGTAACCACTTTGAAATACACCCACAGAATTTTTTTAAATTACACTTTAAGTTCTGGGATACATGTGCAGAGCGTGCAGGTTTGTTACATAGGTAACAATTTATGAATTTCTTCATAACAAAATCCTACCAAACTTTAGCAGAGCCTTAGGCCACCTGGGAGAAGGGTATTTCTTTCAATCTAGAACCACCTATTCTTCCTGTTTTATCTAAGGAAAGAAAAAGCCAAGGAATATTTGGAAAGTCACAGCCTAAAGACGCAGGCCCACTAAGAGACTGAGATTTAATCATAATATTATAGAATACTTCTGCTACTCTACATCTTACTACCACACAACAGGGATCCAGTATAGTAACAGTGGATTATAGCTGAAAGAACTACAAGATACAGACTGTCTGAGGAGAAGTACCTAGGGAAGTCCAAAGGCAAGAAGGTATATGAAAACAAAGACACCAGAGGATTTTGAAGACTTTGGCACCTACAGCTACAGCAAACATTCTAAAAAGTTCAACTACTAGCCAAGTTAACATAAATCCTAACACTAGAAGGCATTTATCTCAGATCCTATTACCTGACACGTCTGGCTTTAAACAGAAAATTTCAAGGCACACCAAAATACAAGAACAAAACAAAGTCTAAAGATACAAACCATTCATTAGAAATAAACTCAAATATTACAAAGATGGGATTATCAGACAGTTTAAAATAACAATGATTAATAAGTTAAAAGTTCTAATGGAAAAAGTAGACAATTTGGAAGAACAGATGGGTACCATAAGCAGAGAGACTGAAACTCTACAAAACAATCTTAAGGAAGTATTGAAAATAAACACTGTTACAGAAATGAAGAATGTATTGGATAAACTAATTAGTAGAATAGACACTGCTGAGGATAGAATCAGTGAGTTGGAAACAGGTCAATAAAAACTTCCAAAACTTAAATTCAAAGAGAAAAAATAACTAAAAACAAATTCAGGGCTGGGCGCAGTGGCTCATGCCTGTAATCCCAGCACTTTGGGAGGCCGAGGCAGGTGGATCACGAGGTCAGGAGATCCAGACCATCCTGGCTAACACGGTGAAATCCTGTCTCTTCTAAAAATACAAAAAATTAGCTGGGCACGGTAGCAGGCGCCTGTAGTCCCAGCTACTCGGGAAGCTGAGGCTGGAGAATGGCGTAAACCCGGGAGGTGGAGCTGGCAGTGAGCCGAGATCGCGCCACTGCACTCTAGCCTGGGAGACAGAGCGAGACTCTGTCTCAAAAAAAAAAAAAAAAAAAAAAACAAACAACAACAACAACAACAAAAACAAAAACAAAAAAACTCAGAACATTAATAACTATGGGACAATAACAATAGATATAACGTATGTATAATGGGAATATCAAAAGCAGAAAGGAAGAAAAAAATTAATTAATGATAACTGAGAATTTTCCAGACACCAAACCACAGATCCAGGAGGCCAGAGAATATAAAACAGAAAATAAAATCAAAGAAAAATAAGAAACTACACTTGGGGAAATCATATTCAAACAAACAAACAAACAAAAAAAGACCAAGAGAAAATCTTGATGAAAACCAAATAAATAAAGTGCATTGCCAATAGATGGACAAATGAAACAAATTCAATGGATTTCTCATCTGAAATCATGCAAGCAATAAGAGAGTGAAATAAAATATTTAATATAATGAAAGAAAAAAGAAACAGCAACCCAGAATTATTTACTCAGTGAACTTGTTCTTCCAAAGTGAAGGAGAAATAAAAACTTTTTCAAACAAAAATGAGGAACTTCATCACTAACAGATCTGTCCAGAAATAAATGTTAAAAGTAGCTATTCAGAGAGCATGAAAATGATATAGATCAGAAAGGTTAATCTACAAAAGAAAAGAAAACATCAGAAAATGAATAAAGGAGAATAAAATAAAATTTTTAAATTAATCTTATTCTTAATTGAGATAACATAACTTTCTTGAAATCAATAATAATAATGTATTGGATGATTATAGTAAATGGATAAGTGAAACGAATGACAGCAACATTGCAAGGGATGGGAGGGAGGACTTGGGAATACTCTGTTAGAATGTATCTAAGTACATATAAAATGATAGAGTGTTATGTGATACTGAACTTAGTTAAAACTACATACTGCTAACTCCAGGGCAACCACTGAAAACAGTTTTTTAAAAAGTTGAAACTGATACGCGAACAGGGAGATAAAATGAGTTCATCTAAGATTTTCATTGGAAACATAGAAGGCAGAAAATAAGGGAAAAAATGCAATAAATAGAAAATAGTTATACATATAGTACATATTAATACAAATCTATCAATGATAACTTTAAATGTGACTAGACTAAAATATACCAATTGAAAGACAGACACAATCAGAGTGAATAAAAAACAAGGATCATGTATATATCATCTACAAGAATCTCACTTTAAATAAAAACAAATAGGTTGAAAGTAAAGAAATGGAGAATTATATACTATGTTAATACTAATCAAAGGAAAGCCTGGATAGCTATATTAATTTCATATAAAGCAGACATGAGAACAAGGATGATAAACAGGAATACAAAGTGCCATTTTACAATGAAAAAGGGGCCAATTATCCAAAAAGTCTAAACAATGCTATGTGTATGCATGTGAAAACAGTGTCAAAATATGTGATGCCAAAAAACTGTTAGAAATGCAAGAAGAAATAAATAAATATACTATTATAGTTGCTTGGAAACATCAACATCCTCTCTCAGTAATCGATACATCAAACAGAAAGAAAACAGTAATTGACCTAAACAGAAGTATCAAACGATTTGATATAATAGACACAAAGACATACCCCATCCAACCACAGTAGAATGCACATTCTTCTCAGGTTTGCTTAGAACTTTCACTAAAAAACAATATTCTTGATAATAAAACACCCCTTTACAAATTTGTTAAAAATAAAAATCATAAAATTATGTTCTCAGACAATGGAATTAAGCTAGAAATAAATACCATAAAGAGAGCTGAAAAATCTGCAAGTATCTGGAGATTTAACAACATATTTCTAAATAACAAAAAGACCAAAGAAGAAAACTGAAGAAAAAAATAAAATATTTTGAGTGACATGAATATAAAATTATAGACCAAAAAAATTTGAGAGGTGCAGTAAAAATAGTGCTTAAATGGAAGTATATGGCACTAAATTGATATAATAGAAAAGAAGAAAGATACAGAATCAAAAATCTAAGCTTCCACCTTAGAAAACTCAAGAGGAAGTCAAATTATCCCTGTTTTCAGACCACATGATCCTGTATCTAGGAAATTTCATAGTCTCAGCCCAAAAGCTCCTTAATCTGATAAACAACTTCAGCAAAATCTCAGAATACAAGATCAACGTGCAAAAATCACAAACATTCCTATATACCAACAACAGTCAAGCCAAGAGCCAAATCACAAATTCAATCCCATTCAAAATTGCCACACACAGAATAAAATAAAACAACTAGGAATACAGCTAAACAGGGAGGTGAAAGATTTCTACAAGGAGAACTACAAACCATTTCTCAAAGAAATAAGAGATGACATAAATAAATGGGAAAACATTCCGTGCTCATGGATAGAAGAAATCAATATTGTTAAAATGGCCATACTGCCCAAAGCAATTTATAGATTCAATGCTATGCCTATTAAATTACCACTGACACTCTTCACAGAACTAGAAAAAAATATTTTAAAATTTATGTGGAACCAAAGAAAGGCTGAATAGCCAAGGCACTCCTAAAGCAGCGGGGGCGGAAAGCTGGAGGCATCATGCTATCCCACTACCCAACTTCAAACTATACTGCAGAGCAGTAAGCAAAACAGCATGGTGCTGGTACAAGAACAGACACATAGACCAATGGAACAGAATAGACAACCCAGAAATAAGACCACACACCTAGAGCTATCTGATCTTCAACAAACTTGACAAAACCAAGCAGTGGGGAAAGGAATCCCTATGTAATAAATGGTGCTCGGAAAACTGGCTAGCCATATGTGGAAGATTGAAACTGGATCCCTTCCTTATACCATATACAAAGACTAACTCAAGATGGATGAAAGACTTAAATGTAAAACCAAAAACTATAAAATCCCTGGAGGAAAATCTAGGTGATACCATTCTGGACATAAGAATTGGCACAGATTTCATGCCGAAGACACAAAAGGCAATTGCAACAAAAACAAAGATTGACAAATGAGATATCATTAAATTAAGGAGCTCCTGCACAGCAAAGGAAACTATCAACAGATTAAATAGAGAACCTACAGGATGGGAGAAAATGTTTGCAAACTATGCATCTGAAAAAGGTCTAATATTCAGCATCTATAAGGAACTTAAATTTACAAGAAAACAAAACAAAACAAAAAAATTAAAAATTGGCCAAAGGACATGAACACTTTTCAAAAGAAGACATAAATGTGGCTAACAATCATATGAAAAACAGCTCAGCATCACTGACCATTAGAGAAATTCAAATCAATACCACAATGAGATACCATCTTGCACCAGTCAGAAAGGCTTTTATTAAAAAGTCAAAAAATAACAGATGCTGCTGAGGCAGTGGAGAAAAAGGAACACTTATACATTGCTGGTGGGAGTGTAAATGAATTCAACCATTGTGGAAGACAGTGTGGTGATTCCTCAAGGATGTAAAAAGAGAAATACTATTCAGCTATGGAAATAATTATAATAATTCTCTAGTATGTCTTTCAGACAGTAGAAGCAGAGGGAACATTTCTAATTTATTCTTTGCTATCATTACTGTAATACCAAAACCAGATAATGATATTACAGGAAAGAAAAATTATAGGACGAATTTCTCATGAACATAAATACATAAATGCAAAAATCCCCAACAAAGTGTTAGTGAATTAAATCCCACAATGTATCAAAATAATTAGACATCATGAGCAAGTGGGATTTATTTTAAGTATGCAAGACTGGGATTTATTTTAAGTATGCATGACTGGGACTTACTTTAAGTATGCAAGACTGGTTAAACATCCAAAAGTAAATCAATATATTCTACCATATCAATAGGCCAAAGGAATAAAAGTCATATGATCATATGAATAAGTGCAGAAAACACATATGACAAAAACCAACACTCATGATTGCATCTCTGATGAAGAAAATTAAAGAACGTCTACATAAATAGAAAACTATTTCTTCTTGTAAGAGTGAGAAATTTAATATTGTTAAATGTCACCTCTTCCCAACTGTATATACAGATTTAGTGCAATACAAATCAAACCAAGCTATTTTGTACATATGGACAAACTGATTCTAGTAGAAGTTTTATAGAACCCGATATGGGTAATTTATAAAGAAAAGAGGTTAAATTGATTCACAGTTCCACAGGCTATACAGGAGGCATGGTTGTGGGGGCCTCAGGAAACTTACAGTCATGGAAGAAGGGCAAATGGGAAGCAACCATGTCTTCACATGGTGACAGGAGAGAGAGAGAGAGAGAGCGAAGGGGAAAGCACTACACACTTTTAAACTACATGATCTTATGAGAACTCATTCACTGTCACAAGAATAGGGAGGGGGAAGCCTGCCCCATGATTCAATCACCTTCTTTTAGGCCCCTCCTCCAACACATGGGATTGCAACTCAACATGTAATTTGAGTGGGGACACAAAGCCAAACCATATTATTCCAGCACTGGCCCATCCCAAATCTCATGTCTTTCTTACATTTCAAAACACAATTATGCCTTCCCATCAAACCCCCAAAATCTTAACTCATTCCAGTATTAACTCAAAAGTCCATGTCCAAAGTCTCTTGACTTTGACATGGACTTTTGAGTTAATGCTGGAATCCTTCTTGAGACAAGTTGAGACAAGATGAGTTAATGCTCATCCTTCTTGAGACAAGCCAAGTCCCTTCTGCCTATGAGCCTGTAAAATAAAAAACAAGTTAGTTACTTTCAAGATACAATGGGGATACAGGCATTGGGAAATGGTCCCATTCCAAAAGGTAGAGATTTTCCAACACAAAGGGGCTACAAGCCACATGCAAGTCTGAAGCCAGCAGGGCAGTCATTAAATCTTAAAGTCCCAAAATAATCTCCTTTGATCCCATGTCTCACATCCAGGCCACACTGATGTGAGGGGTGGGCTCCCAAGTTCTTGGGGAGCTTAGTCCCTGTGGCTTTGCAGCATACAGCCCCCATGGCTACCTTCATTGGCTGGCGTTGAGTGCTAGTGGCTTTACCAGGTGCAAAGTGCAAGCTGTTGGTGGGTTCTACCATTCTGGGTTCTGGAGGATGGTGGCCTTCTTCTCACAGCTCCACTAGGCAGTGCCTCAGTGGGGACTCTATGTGGGGGCTCCAACCACACATTTCCCTTCTGCACTGCCCTAGTGAAGGTTCTCCATGAGGGCTCAAGCCCTGAAGCAGACCTCTGCCTGGACATCTAGATGTTTTTGTACATTCTCTGAAATCCAGGTGGAGGCTCCCAAACCTCACCTCTTGCTTTCTGTGCACCTGCAGGCTCAGCACCACATGGAAGCCATCAAGGCTTGGGGCTTGCACCCTCTGAAGCAATGATCCAAGCTGTACCTTGGCCCCTTTTAGCCATGGCTGGAGCTGGAGTTGCTGGGACACAGGATGCCACGTCCTAAGGGTGCACAGAGCAACAGGGCCCATGAAACCACTTTTTCCTCTTAGACCACTGGGTCTGTGATGGGAGGGGCTATCTGAAATGCCCTGGAGGCATTTTCCCCATTATCTTGGCCATTAACATTTGACTCCTCTTTACTTATGCAAACTTCTGCAAACTTCTGCAGCTGGCTTGAATTTCTCCTTGGAAAATTTTTTTTTTCTTTTTTACCACATGGTCAGGCTGCAAACTTTCCAAACTTTTATGCTCTCCTTTCCATTTAAATACAAGTTCCAGTTTCAGATCATCTCTGTTCATGTATATGACCGTGAGAAGCAGCCAGGTCACACCTTGAATGCTTTGCTGCTTAGAAATTTCTTCTGACAGATACCCTAAATCATCTCTCTCAATTTCAAAGTTCCACAGATCTCTAGAGCAGGGACATAATGCCCCCAGGCTCTTTGATAAAGCATAGCAAGAGTGACCTTTACTCCAGTTCCCAATAAGTTCTTCATCTCCATCTGAGACCAACTCATCCCGGACTTCGCTGTCCATGTCACTAACAGCATTTTTGTCACAACCTTTCAACAAGTCTCTAGGAAGCTCCAAACTTTCCCATCTTCCTTCTTCTTATGAGCCCTCCAAACTGTTCCAAACTCTGCCCATTACACAATTCCAAAGTCACTTCCACATTTTCAGGTATCTTTATAGTAATGCCCCACTTCTCTGGTATCAATTTTCTGTATTAGTCTGTTTTCACACTGCTATAAAGAGCTACCTGAGACTGGGAAATTTATAAAGAAAAGAGGTTTAATTGACTCAAAGTTCCATAGACTGACTGTACAGGAGGTATGGCTGGGGACACATCCTCAGATGGTGGCAGGCGAGAGAGAGAGTGAAGAAGGAAGTGCTACACACTTTTAAACAACCAGATTTCATAAGAACTCAGTCACTGTCATAAGAACAGCAAGGGGGAAGTCTGCCCCATGTTTCAACCACCTCACAGCAGGCCACTCCTCCAACACCTGGGGATTACAATTCAACATGAGGTTTTGGTGGGGACACAAAACCAAAGCATATCAGAGTCCTGTTCCCATTGCTTATTACTGTCAACTTTGTCAAAGATCAGAAGGCTACAGGTGTGTGGCTTTACTTCTAAGTTTCTCTAACCTGTTCCATTGGTTTATATGTCTGTTTTTGTATAAGTATTATGCCATTTTGATAGCTGTAGCCTTGATGAATAGTTTGAAGTTTGGTAATGTGATGCCTCCACCTTGTTCTTTTTGCTTAGAATTGCTCTGACTATTCAGGCTTTTATTGGGTTTCATGTAAATATTAGAATAGTTTTTTCTAATTCTATGAAAAATGACATTGGTAGTTTGAAAGGAATAGCAGCATGGCCATTTTAACAATATTGATTCTTCCTATCCGTTAGCATGAAATGTTTTTCCATTTTGTTTGTGTCATCTCTGATTTCTTCAAGTAATGTTTTGTAACTCTCCTTGTAGGGAACTTTCACCTCCTGGGTTAGTTGTATTCCTGTTTTTTTGTTTTGTTTTGTTTTTGGTTTTTTTTTTTGTTTTTTGATTTTTGTGTTTTTGTAGCAATTGTGAATGGGATTGCATTCCTGATTTGGCCCTCAGCTTGGACTATATTGGTGTATAGAAATGCACTGATTTTTGTACATTGATTTTGTATCCTGAAACTGTACTGAATTTTATCAATTCAAGGATCATTTGGGCAGAGAATGGGGTATTCTAGGTATAGAATCATATCATCTGTGAAGACATATTTTTACTTTCTTTCTTTCTATTTTGATGCCTTTTATTTCATTCTCTTGCCTGATTGCTTTGGCTATGACTTCTGGTACTATGTTGAATAAGAGTGGTGAGAATTGGCATCCTTGTCTTGTCCCAGTACTTAAGGGAAATGCTTCCACTTTTCACCTGTTCAGTATGACATTGGATGTGGGTTTGTCAAGGACATCACTTATTATTTTGAGGTGTGATCCTTCAATTCCTAGTTTTTTGAGAGTTTTTAACATGAAGAAATTTTGAATTTTTATCAAAAGCCTTTTCTGCATCTGTTGAGATGGTCACGTGGCTATTGTTTTTAGTTCTGTTCATTTGATGAATCACATTTATTGAGTTGCACATGTTTAACCAACCTTGCCTCCCAGAAATAATGCCTACTTGATTGTGGTAGATTAGCTTTTTGATGTGCTGCTGGATTTGGTTTCTAGTATTTTATTGAGAATTTTTGCATCTATATTCAACAGGTATATTGATCTGAAGTTTTCTTCTTTCATTGTGTCTCTGCCAGGTTTCAGAGGAAAACTAGCTAAAATATAAAGACACAAATAGGTTAAAAGTGAAAATAAAGACAAAGATATTCCATGCAAATTATAAACAAAAGAGATGGCTACACTAATATCAGACAAAATAGACTTTATGTCAAAAACTTTTACAAGACAAAGAACAATAATAAAAGTGTTCATTTTTAAGAAGATATAAGAATATAAATACATAGGCATCAAACATTAAAGCTCAAAAAAATAAAGTGAAATTAACAAAATTGAAGTGAGAAATAGATAGCTCTGCAATAATGGTAAAAGCCTTTAATTCTCACCTTCAATAATACATAGAACAACCAGAGAGAAAATCAGTAAGAGAATAGAGGACTTGAACAGCACTATAGACCACTTAGATCTAACAAACATATACAGAACACTTTATGCAACGGCAACAGAGTACAAATTTTTCTCAAGTGTACATGAAAAACTCTCTAGTATAGATCATGTTAGGCCACAAAACAAGTCTTTCTAAATTTTAAAAGATTTAAATCATACAAAGTATTTTACCCAATCACTATGAATTAAAACTAGAAATCCATAGCAGAAAGAAAACTGAGAAATTCCCAAATATGTGAAAGTTAAGCAGCATAATCTTAAATAGCAAATGGATAAAAGAAAAATTCACAAGGGAAATTGGAAAATATCTTGAGACAATTAAAAATGAAAACACAACATACCAAAATTTATTGGATGCAGTAAAAGCAGTGCTATGAAAAATATTTATGGCTGCAAATACTTAGATTAAAAAAGAAGAAATATCTCAAATAAACAACCTTTCGTTCCCCAAGGTACTAGAAAAAGAGGAGCAAATTAAACACAAGGTTAACAGAACAAAGAACATAAAAAAATTATATAAATAAAATAGACAATATGAAGCCAATAGAGTAAATTAATCACTATGTTCTTTGAGAAAAAATAATAATATGACAGATCTATAGACAGATTGAGTGATAAAAAGAAACAATTGTCAAATAACTAAAATCAGAAATGAAACTTGGGTCATTAATACTAATTTTATATAAATAAAAGTGATTATAAAAGAGTGCTATGAAGAATTGTATATCAACAAATTGGATTACCTAAATGAAAGTGACAAATTTCTAGACACGCATGGCCTACCAAAACTAAATATTTTTGTAAAAGATAGAAAATCTGAATGCACCTATAACTAATAATGATATCAAATCAGTGATAAAAAAAAAACCTTCTAACAAATAAAAGTCTAAAATCTGATGGCTTCACTGGTCAATTTTATCAAACATTTAAAGAATTAACACCAATATGTCTCAAAATCTTCCCCAAAATTGAACAAGAAGGAATACTTCTTAACTCATTCTATGAGGGCAACCTTACCTGATACCAAATCAAGGCAAAGACTGTAAAAGAAAACCACAGACCAACAATCCTTATGAATTCAAAAACTCTAAAAAAACTTTGTAAACCAAATTCAACAGCACATTACAAGAATTTATTACTGTGATGCAATGATGGTTCACAATACATAAATCAATCAATGTTAATATACCACATTAACAGAATGAAGAAAAACAAAATGGTCATCTTAATTAATATATAAAAAGCATTTGACAAAATTTAACAGATTTTCATGATAAAAACACTCAACATACTTGAAATTGAAAGAAACTACGTTGACATAATAAAGGTCATATATAAAAACTCCACAGCTAACATTTTACTCAAATGTAAAAGCCTGGAAGCCTTTCTTCTAAGATCAGAAACAAGACAAGCCTGATTTTGTCACTTCTATTCAATGTAGTAGTGAGATTTCTAGGCAGAGTAATTAGGCAAGAAAATAAAAGGCATACAAAAAGTTGTGTAATCTCTGATTACAGATGACATGATCCTCTATGTCTACATACCCTAAACATTCCACAAAAATGTATTGCACTAATAAAACAATTAGGCAAACATGTAGAACACAAAAATAATACACAAAATTAGTTGCTTTTCTATAAATTAAAAATAATCAATCTGATTAGAAAGTTATAAAAACAATTCCATTTATAACAGCATCAAAAATAATAAAATTCTTAGGAATAAATTTAACCACAGACATGAAGGTCTTGTACACTGAAAACCACAAAATATTGTGGAAAAAAAATAGAAACAAAAAAATTTAAAAATTCAAGTTTATTAATTTGAGGATATAATCTTGTGAAGATGTTAATACCATCCAAAGAGAGGTGAAAAATCAACGTAATCTCTCTCAAAATCCCAATGACATTATTTCAGAAATAGAAAAATAATCGTAAAATTCATGTGGATGCTTAAGGGACCTGGAATAGCCGAAACAATGTTGAAAAAGAACAAAGTTGGAGGTCTCATACT
Organism: Homo sapiens; assembly: GCF_000001405.40. NCBI lineage: Eukaryota > Metazoa > Chordata > Mammalia > Primates > Hominidae > Homo > Homo sapiens. The sequence goes on from NC_000023.11 coordinate 99,635,845, forward strand.
TCCTGATTTCAAATACTACTATGAATGACATTAATCAAAACAGTATGTTACCAGCATAAAAACAGATATACAAAACTCCAGAATAATATAGAGAGCCCAGACATACACCCTTGCATATATAGTCAAATGATTTTTGATAATAATTCTAAGACCATTCAATGGGGAAATAATAAGTTTTTCAACAAATTGTGTGGGGGAAAACTGGACATCCACGTGAAAAATAATGAAGTTAGACCCTTAACTTATACCATAGACAAAGAAAATTGATCAAAGACCTACATTTAAAAGCAGAAACTATGATACTCCCAGAAGGAAGTAATATGGGGAAACCTTCATGATATTGTGTTTGGCAATAATTTCTTGGCTATGATACCAAAAGCACAGGCAATAACACAACAAAAATAGGTAAGTTGGATTTCATCAAAATAAAATACATTTGTGCATCAAATGACACTATCAGGAGAGTAAAATGTCAATGTACAGAATAGAAGAAAATATTCACAAATCATATATCTGGTACAGGCTTAACATTCAGGATATGTAAAGGACTCCTACAAGTCAACAGTAACAAAGCAAGCAACCCAATTCAAAAATGGGCAAATGATTTTAATAGACATTTCTCTAAATAAGATATACAGATGACCAATAAGCATATGGAAAGATGCTCTACATCACTACTTGTCAGAAAAGTACAAATTAAAACTACAATGAGATAGAACTTTGCATCCATTAGAATGTCTATTATCAAAACCACAGAAAATAATAAGTGTTGGCAAAGATGAGAAATTGGAACTCATGAAATGCTTGTGGGCATGTAAAATGGTGCAGCTACTGTGGAAAACAGTTCCTCAAATAATTAAACATAAAATTAACAAAGACAACAGCAATTCCACTTCTGTCTATATAAGCAAAAGAAATAAAAGCAGTGACTTGAATAAATACTGGCACACTTATGTTTATAGCAGTATTATTCACAATAGTAAAGAAATGGAATCAACCCAAATGCCTATAAATGGATGATTGGATAAGCAAATTATGGCCTATCCATACAATCGAATATTATTGAACCTTGACTAGGAAGGAAATTTGGACAATTGCTACAACATGGATGGATCTTGAAACATTATGCAAAGTGAAATAAACCAGACAAAAAAGGACACATATTGTATGATTCTACTTATATAAAGCCCCCAAAGTAGTCAAATTCATAGAGGCAGAAAACAGAATGGTGTTGCCAAGAGCCAAGAAGGGGGAACGGAAAGTTATTGTTTAATTGGCACAGAGTTTCAGTTTGAGAAGACAAAAAGGTTCTGGAGTTGGATGGTGTAATAGTTAATATAAAGTGTTAACTTGATTGGATTGAAGGATGAGGGTGTTGCCAAAGGGATTAACATTTGAGTCAGTTTACTGGGAGAGGCAGACCCACCCTCTTATCAGGGTGGGCACCATCTAATCATCTGCTAGTGCAGCTAAAATAAAGCAGGCAGAAGAAGTTGAAAAAGAGCAGACTTGCTGTCTTCTGGCCTTCGTATTTCTCCCGTGCTATTTGCTTTCTATTGTCAAACATCAGACTCCAAGTTCTCCAGCTTGTGGACTCTTGGACTTAAACCAGTGGTTTGCCAGTGGCTCTTGGGCCTTTGGCCACAGACTGAAGGCTGCACTGTTGAGTTCCCTACTTTTCAGGTTTTAGAGCTTGGACTGATCCATCACTGGCTTCCTTCTTCCTCAACTTGCAGATGGCCTACTGTGGGACTTTACCTTGTGATCATGTGACTCAGCTATCCTTAATAAGCTCCCTTTCATATATACATATATCCTATTAGTTCTGTCCCTCTAGAGAACCCTAATACAGATGGTGTTCATGATTGCACAAAAATGTGAATGTACTTAATGTCATTAATTGAACGCCATACTTAAAATGGTTAAAATTGTTAATTTTATGTTACGTATATTTTAAAAATAACAAAACATAACTGCAGATTTGATATTGCACAGAGCATGATACAGCATGATTAAATAAGAATTCAATAACAAAAAAATAACTGAAGTGTCCAAATGTACGGAAATTAAGCAACACAATTCTAGGCAATTCATAGGTTAATCAATAAATCAGCGTAAATCTTAAAATATTTTAAAGTAAATGATTATAAAAATATGACAGGTCACAATGTGTGAGATGCAACAAAAGCTGAGAGATTATTTATAGCTTTTAATGCATATTTTAGAAAGAAAAAATAAATTATCTCTGTTTCCAACTAAAAAAAGCAGAAAAAGCACAGCAAATAACACTTAAGAAAAATAAAGGAAAAAGTAATGTAAATCTAATGTCAGAAATGTAAAACAGATATACAATAGAGAAAATTCAACAAAAGCAAACATTTATTATTTTATAATAAAATTAATAAACCCATAGGAAGATTGACCAAGAAATAGACAATGCATGGATTACCAATATCAGAAATGAAATAAGATTCATCTTTAGGATCCTGAATACATTAAAGGATAAAAAGAGCACATTATAAGCAACTTTATGTAATAAAGTTGACACATTAAATAAAATAAAAAAATTAAAGAGATAATTTGCTAAAATGAATACAAAAAGAAACAAAGTTTAAATAGTAAGATGATTTATTAAAGAAATTAAATCTGCACTTAGACAAAGAAAATTCTAATCCTGGATGGTTTCACTGGTAAACTCTTCCAAACATGTAAGAAAGAAATAATACAAATCTTACACAAATTCTTATAGACAAGAGAAATTAAAAATAAATACCTTCCAACAGTTTGTATGAAGCTAGTATAACCATAATATGAAAACCTGACAAAGATATTTCAAGAAAGGAAGACTATTGGCCATATTAAACTTGGATGTAAAAATTCAAAATATTAGCAAATATAATCCAGTGGTACATATAAAGCATAGTGCATCATGACCAAGTAAAATTTATTCAGAGAATGCTAGGTTGGTTTAACATTTGAAAATCAATCACTATAATTCTGCACATTCACATAATAAAGGAGAAAACATAAGATTATCTCCATAGATGCAGATAAAATATTGAGAACATTGAACAGCTATTTATGGTAAAATCCTCAGAAAATTAGAAGAAAGACATTTCTTTAATGTGGTAAATAATGTCCAATGAAATTTAAAGATATTATCCATTTTAATGGTAAAATGTTAAAACTCCCTGAGGTTACTACTAATCAAAGATGCCAACCATTATCCCTTCTATTTATTATTGAATAAAGATTATAGTCAATGCAATAAGACATTGAAAAAATAATAAAAGAATCACAGATAACTTGTAAGTATATGTATAAAATCTTTAAAAATCTGGAAACTATTATAATTAGTAAAATAATACAGCCAAGTCAATGAGTACAAGATTAATACAAAATATCAGCTTTTCCATATACTGGCCAAATAAATAGGAAATTATATTTTTAAAATACCATTTAAAATATAAAATATTAAATATCTTGTTAATATTTCTACAGAAATATACACAAGAATTCTACACTAAAAACTATAAAATATCACCAAGAAAAACTGATAACAACCTGAATAAATCCAAGGTCATGGATAAGAGGACTTCATATTGTTATAATGTCAGTTCTCCAAAAATTTATCTATAGATTCCAATCAAAATCTCAACAGGCTTTTTATTGTGTCCAGTGAGCTGATTTTAAAATTTATATAGAAATGCAAATGGCAAAGAATAACCAAGGCAATCTGGAAGAACAAAGCTGGAGAATTTATACTACAAAAGTCATGGCCTCTTACTGAAATTTAATAAAGTTTAATATTGACACAAGAATAAACAAATAGAACAACGGACAATCTAAGAGGGTCCACAAATAGATGCATACCTGTATTGATCATCTAGTATATGATAAAGTTGAAACTACATAGCACTGTGGAAAGTATCATTTTTCAGTAAATGAGTCACAGGGTCAATATGATATCCAACATAGGGATTAATTTTTGCTCTTACATGACATCATAAAAAGGCCAGATAAACAGAGGACCTAAATATCAAAGAATTTCCATAAAAATAGAAATATCAAAGAATTTCTTTAAAAAATAGAAAATTTACGTGAAAGTATATAAAGACACCTTTATGACTTTGGAGTAGACACATATTTTCAAACAAGACATTAAGATTACCAATGATAAATAGAAAATTGATAAATTGGACTATATTATGACTTAAACTTCTGTTCATCAGAAGACGCCAATAGGAAGAGTGAATAGATAGCCCACAAAGTGGGAAAAGGTATTTACAAAACATATTCCCCTCAAAAAAGGTTTAGATCCAGAATATATAAAGAGCTTTTATCAAATAAATAGGAAAAGAGAAAATCTTTTTTTAAATGAGCAAAAAACTCAAATAAGTACCTTACAGAAATGATATTTAAATTGGGAGTGGGTGCTGAGCTTCATTAGTCATCAAGAGAAATTAAAAGTAAAACCAGAACTTTATAACACTACATACCCTGTAGAATGGCTAAATTGAAAAAGAAAAATGATGCTGTTGTAAACATTCTTCTACTAATTGGGTAGAAATATACAGTTTATCTGTTGGGTATATACTTATTAGTGTAAAGACTGTCTGAAAAGTACACATATGTTATTTTTTGTATAAACTTCCAAACTGTTTTCCAGTGTTTATACCAACTTGCCTTCCCACAGTTGATGAGAGTTCTAGTAGCTCTTGAAATGTGTCTTGATAGCATTCATAATAAGCAAGCAGTAGATAAATGGATTCTAGTATGTTCACAAAATGGAATGCTATAAAGCAAGGAAAATGAACAAATTTCAACTACACACAAAAATATGGTTGAATCTTATAAACAATATGTAAAAGAATCTAGGCACAAAAGATTACATATTATATTATTTTATTAATATAAAGTTTAAAACACTAATCTGCATTTTCAGAAGTCAGGTTAGTGATTACCTTGATGGTGGAGGGAGAGAAGTGTATAGTGACCGGAAGTATAAATTTTGGTAAGTGCAAAGAAGGATGGGAAAGGTTAAAATATTATTGGTGAAAAGTGAGCATGTGAGCACAGACTTTGGTGTCACAGAGAGGAAAGAGCCCAGGCTTTGGGTTTATACCAAAAGGGATCTAAGTCTTCACTCTTTTACTAGCTGGTTAACCCTAAGCAAGTTACTTAACACTCTAATATTCAAGTATTCACTTATTAACACAGAGATGAAAATCCGTGCTTTACATTGATTTTCTGTGCATTAAGGAAAATAGAACTTAGGTAAAAAGAACTTAGTTTCATGGTTGGCATATGATAAATCGTCAACAAATGGTAGCAGTTACTATTTTTGGTAACAGAAATTAACGTGTCACACAGCGTACGATAATGTTAACCTGGTCCTGTCTGTTGTAAATGATGTGTGCTGTAGAGAAAAGAGCTATATGGATAGATAAACTGCAACTAGAGTGTAAAGGGCAGGGATAAAACTTGATATTTTAGGCACTGGAAAGCCATTGTAGATTTTTAAGCATGTGGACAACATAATTCATTCTTGTGTTTTATTGCAAGGTTGTTTTGGCAATGAATATACAGAGGAGACTGGAAAGTAGGCAGTGGCTTCTGAAGTTTAAGTTGGTAAAAGAAACTTGCACGGAAATCCAGATTGACTATAATCAATCCTAAAACTAGGATTATGATAAGGTAAATACAGTGGTAAGACAAATATATATTTGGAGGAAGAATCAACAGAGTTCCTTGAAAAGATGACAGAGATTAAATCTACTGAGGTGACTCTGTAGTTACTAATGTGGTAGCATAATTTTATCCTTTATAAAAACGTAGAAAATAATAGGTAATTTTGGAAAAGATGCTAATTTTATTTTGGAGCATATGGAATTTGAAGTGATTAGCCAGGAGTGGGTTTTCTATAAGCTGTCAACAAAAGAATTTTCACATAAACCTCCTTTATGTATGTGTGTGTCTTATTTTTCACTGTTTTGCATTCTGCCAAGTTCTTGCTATTATTTTCCACAGCTTTTACTCCAGGGTTTTTTGCTGAAGATTATTTGGAAGGTTAAGCTGTATAGATTTGGTACTTTTTGGTGTGGAAATTAGATCTGAATTAACATGAGGAACTACTTAGAGAGGAAGCCCCAAAGACTGCTTATTTGTGCCCAACCAGCCAGCTCCTGCAGAGCAGGTCTTTACTATACTTCCACAGGAATTGTGTCAAGACTTGAAGATCCCACTGTCACATCTTACACTCAACATGAATAAAGAAAGCTGCTTCCAATTCCAGATTGCACAGTCTGATTCCACAATCACGAATATTTTCCCCATTAGTTGCTGCCAAGGTAAACTTCACTTAAAATTGGTTTATAGACTGACTTCAAGAAACATAATGTAATGATGCATGATGAGCCAAACAAATAGATAGCAGATATTCTCTTCACATACCACTAATACTTCTTGGTAAAAATTTGCAGTTTCAGGAAACTGCAACTCCCCTCAACCAAGTCTTTTTCTTTGTTTCTCTGTCTGCAAATCAGAGAAAAACTAAATTTCTCATAGGAGTGCCACCAAAACAATAAGCCTGATTGATATCAAGAATTCATCCAGAGTTTATCCTACCATGATAATGTGCTATGTGTTGTTCGAGAAGCTTAAAGTACAAAGATAACTACTTCCAGTTTAAAAAGTCCTTCAACCATTTCATGAAATGAGATTCCCTGTTGACAGAACAGAACCATTATTGACACGCAAAGAGAGCCATCTATACATCTAAGTGGTGCATGAGTATGTATAAACCCTATAATATATATACTCATCAGATAGGCATGCTTACATCTCAGCAAAAATTGACAGTCATAGTCATTAAAATCAGCTTGGGAGGATTTTTTTCCTTACCTCTTAGTGAGATTTTCTGCTCTATTGGTGCAATGGAAACAATGCTTGTGCTCTCCAATTCAATCTCTTTTACCTACTCCATCACCACCACCAGAGACCACTCATTATCTGTAGCCTAAAACTATATGTTTCCCTTGGGGCCCAAGGTTCTTTGCCAAATTACTTTAAATGTTTACGTTTTTTTCCTAGTATAAATAACTGATTACAACATTTGATAATGAGTATTAATGTTGAAATAATTTAAACAATGACATAGGATTCTACCCTACTCCCTTTCAAAAGGCAGTACCACTATTTTGTTCTATCTGTACATTTTCTTTGGATGAGTCTGTGTCTGTGACAAAACCATCCTTCTTCTTTCTCCAATACAATTGCTAACACAACATTTATATTTTTTTCTGGCTTTAGCATAGCTACTTACCTGTTATAGGATAGGATGAAGAAAACTTGGAGGACTGGGATCTGAAACAAACTCTACACCTGGATGAGAAACACACATTTGGACCAACTCAGTCAATGGTGCTGTGAACACAATCCATCATCCAACGTATAGCATTCAAAGTGAATAATAGCTGTACTTTGTAACCTAGGCAAGCATGCCTGTAGGCAGCCATGTGCTTCAACTAATGGATGGATAACAGCTATAGGGTAGTGATACTCAAAGTCTGGGTAAGCAAGAGGCAGAGTGGAAGATGTCCAATGGATAGTAGAGCTCTAGTCACCGTGCTAAGGTTCAGTAACAGGAATTAAGGCAGGAAGATAGAAATCAAAGCAAAGGCAAGACCCAGATACAAGAGTATTAGGCAGACTACAAAGCCAAATGACTCAAGCACAAGAATATGAACTAAATCATATACTTTAAAAAAAATCAGTTACAATGGAGGAAGTTCACCTGTAGTAGGGGTAAACTGACTAAGTCTCAGAGTGCTGAAAAACAGCTATTTGTACATGTTATCATCTGGATAGAATTTGTCCTAGAGAAACTGATAGAGATGAATGTACAGGAAGGCTAATTTTTTAAGACAGGGGTCAGAAAACTTTTCTGTAAACAGCCCAACAGCCAATATTTTAGACCTAAGGACAATGCAGTTACAACTATTACACTCTGCCATCACAATGGGAAAGCAAGCATAGATGTAAACAAACAAACTTCTATGACTTTTTTTTTAAATTTTAATTTAATTCTGGAATACATGTGCATAACACGCAGATTTGTTACATAAGTATACATGTGCCATGGAGGTTTGCTGCACTTATCAACCCGTCATCTAGGTTTTAACCCCACATGCATTAGGTATTTGTCCTAATCCTCCCCTGGTCCCCCACTCCCAGACAGGCCCAGGTGTGTGTTGTTCCCCTCCTTGTGTCCATGTGTTCTCATTATTCAACTCCCTCTTATGAGTGAGAACATGCAGTGTTTGGTTTTCTGTTCCCATGTTAGTTCGCTGAGAATGATGGCTTCCAGCTTCATCTATGTCCCTGCAAAGGACATGATCTCATTCCTTTTCATGCCTGCGTAGTATTCCGTGGTGTGTATGTGCCACATTTTTTTTTTATCCAGTTTACCATTGATGGGCATTTGGACTGGTCCAATGTCTTTGATATTGTAAATACTACAGCAACAAACATGCATATTCATGAGTCTTTATAGTAGGATGATTTCTAATCCTGTGGGTATATACCCAGTAATGGGATTACTGGGTCAAACTGTATTTCTGGTTCTAGATCCTTGAGGAATCACCACACTGTCTTCCACAATGGTTGAACTAATTTACATTCCCACCAACAGTGTAAAAACATTCCTATTTCTCCACAGCCTCACCAGCATCTATTGTTTCTTAAATTTTTAATAATCACCATTCTGACTTGTGTGAGATGATATCTCATTGTGGTTTTGATTTGCATTTCTCTAATGGTCAGTGATAATGAGCTTTTTTTCATATGTTTCTTGATCACGTACATATCTTCTTTTGAGAAGTGTCTGCTCATATCCTTTGCCCACTTTTTGATGGGGTTGGTTGTTTTTTTTCTTGTAAATTTGTTTGAGTTCTTTGTAGATTCTGGGTATTAGACCTTTCTCAGATGGATAGATTGCAAAAATTTTCTCCCATTCCATAGGCTGTCTGTTCACTCTGATGCTAGTTTCTTTTGCTGTGCAGAAGCTTTTTAGTTTAAGTAGATCCCATTTGTCAGTTTTGGCTTTTCTTGCAATTGTTTTTGGTGTTTTAGTCATGAAGTCTTTGCCCATGCCTATGTCCTGAATGGTATTGCCTAGTCTTTCTTCTAGGGTTTTATGGTTTGGGGTTTTACATTTTAAGCGTTTAATCAATCCTGAGTTAATTTTTGTATAAGGTGTAAGGAAGGGGCCCAGTTTCTGTTTTCTGCATTTGGCTAGCCAGTGTTCCCAGCACCGTTTATTAAATAGGGAATCCTTTACCCATTGCTTGTTTTTTGCAGGTTTGTTGAAGATCAGATGGTTGTAGATGTGTGGTGTTATTTCTGAGATCTCTGTTCTGCTCCATTGGACTATAGGTCTGTTTTGGTACCGGTACCATATTTTATTGGTTATTGCACCCTTGTAGTATAGTTTGAAGTCAGGTAGTGTGGTGCCTCCAGCTTTGTTCTTTTCGCTTAGGATTGTCTTGGCTATATGGGCCATTTTTTGTTCCATATGAAATTTAAAGTAGGTTTTCTAATTCTGTGAAGAATATTAATGGTACTTGGGCGGGAATAGCATTGAATATATAAATTACTTTGGGCAATATGGCCATTTTTACAATATTGATTCTTTCTATCCATTGATTCTTTCTATTCTTTTTTTCCATTTGTTTGTGTCCTCTTCTATTTCATTGAGCAGTGGTTTGTAGTTCTCCTTGAAGAGGTCCTTCGCAACCCATGTGAGATGTATTTCTAGGTATTTTATTCTCTTTGTAGCAATTGCGAATAGACGTTCATTCATGATTTGGCTCTCTGCTTGTCTATTGTTGGTGTATAGGAATGCTTGGGATTTTTGCACATTGATTTTGTATCCTGAGACTTTGCTGAAGTTGCTTATCAGCTTAAAGAGTTTTTGAGCTGAGTTTTCTAAATATAGAATCATGTCATCTGCATACAGAGACAATTCACTTCCTTTCTTCCTATTTGAATACCGTTTATTTATTTCTTTATTTCTCTCTCCTGATTACCCAGACCAGAACGTCCAGTACTATGTTGAATAGGGGCAGTGAGAGAGGGCATTCTTGTCTTGTGCCATTTTTCTAAGGGAATGCTTCCCACTTTTGCCCATTCAGTATGATACTGGCTCTGGGTTTGTCATCAATACCTAGTTTATGTTCCATCAATACCTAGTTTATTGAGAGTTTTTATCATAAAGGGATGTTGAATTTTATTGAAGACCTTTACTGCGTCTATTGAGATAATCATGTGATTTTTGTCATTCGTTCTGTTTATGTGATGGATTACGTTTATTAATTTGTATGTGTCGAACCAGCCTTGCATCCCAGGGATGAAGTCAATTAGATCATGGTGGATAACCTTTTTGATGTGCTGGTGGATTCAGTTTGCCTGTATTTTATTAAGGATTTTCATATTGATGTTCATCAGGGATATTGGCCTGAAGTTTTCTTTTTTCATTGTGTCTCTGTCAGCTTTTAGTATCAGGACAATGCTGGCCTCATTAAATGAGTTAGGGAGGAGATCCTTCTTTTCAATTGTTTGGAATACTTTCAGAAGGAACGGTACCAGCTCCTCCTTGTACCTCTGGTAGAATTTGTCTGTGAATCCATCTGACCCTGGGCTTTCTTTTTTTTTTTTTTTTTTTTTTTTTTGGTTGTTAGGCTATTAATTACTGCCTCTATTTCAGAACTTGTTTGTCTATTCAGGGATTTGATTTCTTCCTGGTTTAGTAGTGGGAAGGTGTTTGTGTCCAGGAATTTATCCATTTCTTCTAGATTTTCTAGTTTATTTGCGTAGAGGTGTTTATAGTATTCTCTGATGTTAGTTTGTATTTATGTGGGGTCAGTGGTGATATCCCCTTTATTATTTTTTATTGTGTCTGTTTGATTCTTCTCTCTTTTCTTCTTTATTAGACTAGCTAGCAGTCTACCTATTTTGTTAATTTTTTCAAAAAACCAGCTGCTGGATTCATTGATTTTTTGGAAGCATTCTTTGTGCCTCTATCTCCTTCAGTTCTGCTATGATCTTAGTTATTTCGTGTCTTCTACTAGCTTTTGGATTTGTTTGCTCTTGCCTCTCTAGTTCTTTTATTTTTATCTTTATTATTATACTTTAAGTTCTGAGATACATGTGCAGAACGTGCAGGTTTGTTACATATGTATACACACACCGTGGTGGTTTGCTGCACCCATCAACCCGTCATCTACATTAGGTATTTCTCTTAATGCTATACTTCCCCAAGCTCCCCATTCCCCAACAGGCCTCAGTGTGTGATGGTCCCCTCCCTGTGTCCATGTGTTCTCATTGTTCAATTCCCACTTATGAGTGAGAACATGTGGTGTTTGGTTTTCTGTTCTTGTGTTAGTTTGCAGAGAACGATGGTTTCCAGCTTCTTCCGTGTCCCTGCAAAGGACATGAACTCTAGTTCTTTTAATAGTGATGTTACAGTGTCGATTTGAGATCTTTCAAGCTCTCTGATGTGGCCATTTGGTGCTATAAATTTCCCTCTTAACACTGCTTTAGCTGTGTTGTCTCTTTGTTCTCATTGGTTTCAAAGAACTTCTTGATTTCCAGCTTAATTTCGTGATTTACCCAAGAGTCATTCAGGTGCAGGTCATTCAATTTCCATGTAGTTGTGCAGTTTTGAGTGAATTTCTTAGTTCTGAGTTCTAATTTGATTGCACTGTGGTATGAGAGACTGTTATGACTTTTTTTTTTAATGTTCAAAAAACAGGTAGTGGGTCTGATTTGGCCCACAGGCTATAGTTTTTAAACCCTCTTTTAGGGTGACATTTAATGATATCAGGCGAAAGGAGAAATAAGCTTAACAACAGTGGGGCAAAGGCCAGGCCAAATACTCTTTTCACTTTAAACAATGAATTGGGCTTAAGACCACAGTCAGCCTTTTCTTTTTTCATTCCTTCCTAACTCTACCAAAGGACTACTCTCAAATACTCCTGTTGAGTCTTTGTAATTGAATAGGTCTGTTCATTTATGTAACTTAGAATAATATAATTAACTTAAAAAGATAATTATCTAAGAAAATAATTGAGCTAATAACCAAAAAGCACACTAGATTCCACTATTTTACCTATCTCTTTATATACCTGTGTTTCCTTTCTCTAGTTTCATGATTGCAATGTAACAAAATCCTTCTTCAAAGAAACTGCATAACCTTTGCCTGTAAATTCTTTACAACATAGCTATGGCCTAGTCCTTTCAGATGACTGTATAACTAGGAAAATGTTCTTACAGAAAATTAAGGCTACTTCTTATTTTGAAGCTTTAAGTAACGTAGGTCAGAAGATATAGGTCAGTAAAGGACACACAGAAACTGCAAATTCTCAGAGAGCCCTAAAATGTTTTCTGAATAATTTATTTGACTGAAATCATGTGGTGACCTATAGGCTGCAAAATATAAATCATATGATCCCACTATACTATCTCCTGGTTTGGCTTAAATGTGGAAAATCCTGACTAATATAGCACGCAATGATTTTTAAAAATACGGAATTTCCCAGAGGAAAATATAATAATAAGCTCTTTGGCTTGGACTAAATAATATTGAAAATATACATTTTCATGCTTTCCTAACATTATACAGATTGTGCAGCCAGTCAATCGATGTTATTCCATTATCTCAGTTGCATTTACTTCTTTGGAGTCAAGACCTTTGAATAAAGTAGTTATACAATAAAAAGAGTCCATCCCACGCTTTAAGTGATACTGGTGCTTATGGGAGAAAGCCATTGTGAGTTGACAGGTTTGTACCTAGTCTTTCAACCAAACAGCAACCACTGGGAGTTGACAGGTTTGTACCTATTCTTTCAACCAAACTGCAGGTATCATGTTCAATAAAGCTGCCAGCCTTTTCACTGAAAGTGTACTTATAGGCAGAAAAATAACTATTAAAATGACTCCATATGGAGTCTTGGGGCTCCATGTTTATTCTCTTTCAGTGATTTCCAGATCAGATTTGCTCAGTTTATAAGTAAAAAGATTTTCTTCCTAGCTCTCGGTCCAGGAAATTCCCATTAGGATAAAAACATAGCTGTATTCACTCAACCTCTGACACTATCACTTGGAATGACATTTCTGCAAACTGAGTTTCAGACAAAATCATATTGAAGTATAAACCAAAAGCTGCATCAGTTTTACCAACTTCCCCGCCACTTGTAATACATTTGTTGCCTTCTATTATTATGGAAATACCCACCCTGTCCCTTTACCCCAAGTAAAAATAATATTTTAAATGACAGTGAAGAGCTCAAATTCTTAAATGTGATATCATATAGATCATTTATCCCATAACTCTTAACACATGGTAGAATTCAGATTAGATTCTTACACATAATGTAACTATATTTCTAGGAAGTTCTTAGGCTATATAGCATACATTGAAGTAATCGCCACCAAAGATTCAGTTAATAGTTGTATTAGTCAGAGTTCTCTAAAGGGACAGAAGTAATAAGATATACGTATATATGAAGGGGAGTTTATTAAGGAGAATTGATTCACACGATCACAAAGTGAAGTCCCATGATAGGCCATCTGCAAGCTGAGGAGCAAAGAAGACAGTCTGAGTCCCAAAACCTCAAAAGCAGGGGACCCGACATTGCAGCTTTCAGTCTGTGACTGAAGGCCAAGAGCCCCTGGCAAACTACTGGTATAGGCCCAAGAGTCCAAAAGCAGAAGAACTTGGAGTATGTTGTTCGAGGACAGGAAGTATCCAGCACAGGATAAAGATGAAGTCAAGAAGACTCAGCAAGTCTGCTCCTTCCAACTTATTCTGCCTGCTTTGTTCTAGCTGCACTGGCAGCTGATTAGATGGTGCCCACCCAGACTGAGGACAAGTCTGCCTCTCCCAGTCCACTGACTCAAATGTTAATCTCCTTTGGCACCACCCTTACAGATACACCCAGGAATAATACTTTGCATCCTTCAATCCAATCAAGTTGACACTCAATATTAACCATCACAATAGTGTTATAGCTAAATGTCTGATTGAAACTTTTGAAAAGACCTATCCAAAATATGCTAGACCAGAATTATTAATGGCATTAAATACAGAATCCCTGCTTAGTGGTCCATATCTAAAAATTCAGCCTGATCCAACTTTACGTTCCTTCCACCATTATCCCATACTCTTAGTATCCATTCCCATGCCGGTTCTCCAGATTTCTGCTTATATAAATTAGAAAACTGAAACAGTTGTTTTGGAGTATAGCACACTTTCTCATGGGTCACTAACTAGTATACTCTCTCTGGTCCCTCTTTTATAGCCAGTATATTATGAAATTTGATGAGTTAAAAAGGAAAAAAAGTATATGTGATTCTTTCAAATTGTTGTTGATCTTAGAATTTTTGGGCTATTTTCACACATTTACAAATACTAGCAATAAATACTTTCCATAGACTGTGATACTCACTCTGCATAACATTTTAAAACACTGGCTCAACCATTTTATATAAAAAGCCAACTGACAATCCTTTAAAAAATCTCAAAATAAGGACCATATGGCTGCATATGGCTGTACAGTTACTTAATATAACTGGTGTATTAATTTTCTATCATTGTGTAACAAATTACCACAAAATAGTAGCTTAAAACACCACTCATTTATTAGTTCATAATTCTGTAGAAGTCTGGCAAACTATGATTGGGTTCTCTGGGTAGAATTTCACAAGGCTAAAATCTAGGTATTTGGCTTGAGTTTTTATCTGGAGGTGCTGGGGGGAATTTTCATTCCAAGCTCATGAATGTTATTCACAGTATTCAGTTCCTTGTGGTTTTAGACTGTGGTCCCCAATTCTTTTTTTATATGTACTTTAAGTTCTGGGGTACATGTGCAGAATGTGCCCTTTTGTTACATAGGTATGCATGTGCCATGGTGCTTTGCTGCACCCATCAACCAGTCATCTACATTAGGTATTTCTCCTAATGTTATCCCTCCTCTAGCCCCCCACCCACCGACAGGCCCCGGTGTATGATGTTCCCCTCCCTACGTCCATGTGTTCTCATTGTTCAATTCCCACTTATGAGTGAGAACATGCGGTGTTTGCTTTTCTGTTCTTGTGATAGTTTGCTGAGAATGATGGTTTCCAGCTTAATCCATGTTCCTGCAAAGGACACAAACTCATCCTTTTTTATGACCGCATAGTATTCCATGGTGTATATGTGCCACATTTTCTTTATCCAGTCTAGTATTGATGGGAGGTCCCCATTTATTTACTGGCTGTCAGCTGAGTGTCACTCTCAACTACTAAAGGTCATTTACATTTTTTGCATCATGTCCCTTTCCATATTCAAGCTAGCAATGACATGATAAGATGTTCTCATGTTTCAAACCACTGACATCTTTTATGACTAGCCAGAGAAAATGCTGCTTTAAAGGGTTTATGTGATTATGTCAGGATCTCCCAGATAATTTCCCTATCTTAAGGTTGACTATGCCATATAACATAATCTAATCACAGAAGTAAGATTCACAATATTTACATCCCAGGTACAGTGCAGGATGCGTATATGGTGGGGGAGGAGGAGGTTAGTGGTAAATTGTGGGTGCCATTTTAGATTTCCATCTACCACACTTAGGAAAATTGGACTTAGTATTATTAATTCATTTAATAAATAGTTTGTAATCCCCTACTATGTATAAGGTGCTGTTCTATTTGAGGAGTTATTACTTTCAACCAGAAATTAAGGTTTACCTTATTTTATAATTCTGTAACAATATATGACAGTGTCTTAGAACACAACTTTGGTATGAAACAGACCAGAGTTGAATCTCACTTATATCATTACTGGCTACATAATCTTGGATGCGTTATCTGAGCTTGTTTCTTTGTACAAAAAGTGAGAGTAATACCAGTATGTATTTCACAGGGTTGCTGTAAGAATTAAGTGAGATAATGGCTGCAAAGAATTTATTAATAGTACAATCTTAATATATCAATCACTGAATAAATGGTAGTAAGAAGTGCTGTTACATGACTTTTGAAACACATATGACAATTTGGCTGTGGGGTATTTATATTTTTTTCTTTGCAAGATCAGGCAAAATATACTTTATATTCCCAGTTTTTTCTTTCACTGTAAACTCCACTGGAAGGTATGTTGATATTCATGTTTATGGCAATGCCTTCAGGCACCAGTTACTATAATATATATCAAAATTACAATTAGCTGAGGCCAATAATACTGACCCTTTATCTGAAAAGAATGGCAGCTCTGTAGTGCTTGGATTATCTCAGTTCAACATTTCTTTAGCTAAGTGGTCTCTGAAGGATCATTCTTCCTCTTATTATAATAGAAATTAGAAAAATGCACACACACACACATGCACACACACGTGCTCACTATGCTCATCATAATTGTACCTCAATATCAAAGAAGGAATGATGAGAATCTAACCACTGAATTTCACTAATACTGAAAACACCAGTCTCTCATTTTAGCTGATAGATTAGAAAACTTTTCAGTACGTTTTAAAAATGGCTACTTTCTACCACTAAGCACGTAGTCTATGAGAAATCAAATTTACTAAAAGATAAGTTTAACAAAGTTCACATTTGACGAAGTACAGGGAAATGTACAAAAGGCAAGGCTTGGCAGAGCAATTTATGAGTTTTCACTAATGGAGAACTATTCTAAAATCAAAGTAATACTTATACTTGTTTACCGTCTTTATACAGATAGGCCAACAACCAACTGCCACATCTTAAACTCTTGAAACAAATATTTTCCATATGGCCTTAGAGAAATAGAGTTGTTACATAAGTTAGGAAGGATGATCCTTTATATTTATCCTGAAATTTAATAACGCAGAATATTGATCATCTAATTTAAAAACTGACATTAAAAGAAGGATGGATCACATTATTGTTCTCATTTTCATCATAATTTTGCTTAAGGCTGAAGTTATAATGACGGAGTGTCTGCAGCTTACATTTGGTGGCATCAGGGCCTATTACAGTTTTAATTTGCTGATTGCATTTATTTACAACAGAGCTATTCCAATAAACATGTGCCAATGGTTTGTTACCAGGGAGATGGTTAGTTACCAGGGAGATTCAAAGTTGATAAAAGTCTATTGAAGATGATGCTCCAATACAATGGCATTAAATACATTTATACATATCAATACTAATGTGCAATATTTGAAGTGTGAGTATTCTATTGATGATAGCCAGTCTCTACCCCAATATCCTCCAGATACTCATAGCCCACTTGGAGTCTTCAGATAGGCACTGAGGCGCATAGACAGTCAACTCCATATCTTAGTCATCAAATTAAAGATTTGGTGAATAACAACAGCACTGCAAGCTATTTCTTGAGATAACTCTATAGAATTTGAGGCAGTTCAAAGCAGTCCCTACCCAGTGGGTTAGCCAATCTAATTAAGCACCTAATTTTGAAAATCGAGCCCTCGATTTTATTGCATACTAAGCAGATGGCTTATTGCAAAATGGGGGTGGGAAGAGGTGGGAATGAAAACTTAAAAACTTAACAAAAGTTACTTGATAAGTCACTCTGACAGTAAAAACTAGCAGAAATCAGATAACAATATAAACTATGACTTAATGCTGACCTTTGAGAGTGGCCAGCACACTAAAAATAAGTCATTTTAATTAAATACAGATGATTTAAGAGAAATCATATGCTTCTGGCCTAACATAGGTGGATTAGGAAAAGGGAATATTATTAGTCATTAGTACTTTTCATTAATAATTTCTGGTTCTCCTTCTGGACAAATGGCAGAATTATACTTCCTGTCTCCTTGGAATTAGATGTGGCCTTGTGACTCATTTTGATCAGTGAAATGGTGACCTGTGGCATTTTCAGATGGAAGCTTTAAGAGCCAGTGTGAGACTTACTGACTTCTTTCCTTTTCTTTGCTACAGTGACTGGCAATGTTTGGGATTGCAGAGGCTCCAGTAGCCTGGGAAGGTGAGAAATAAACTTTGATACTTTAAGCCACCAAAACATTGGGATTCTTTGTTTCCAAAATATCCTCCTGGCCTATCCTGATTGCTACAGAAACCATTGAGCTGATTTCTAGGCGAAGAAATGATAAGCTAACTAGGATGAAGCCTTATTTCTACATATGAGGAAGATGGGCACAACATCCAGCTCTTTCCTTAACTTTGGACCAAAAAAAAAAAAAAAAACCCTCCTGAATCTGGATCCAAAAGTTGTTGTACACACTTGCACAAGTTGATTAGTGCTTGTAGTTTATGCTTTTATGCAATATTTGCATTGCAGAGAGAGTTTCAAGTAAAATTAAGAATAAAACATACAGCAAATTTATTTAAAGTCCTCCTCGAACATTAAGTCATAGGACCAAGGTCATGCATATAACTGTTTTGGTTGTATCATACAGCTATTGATTTTTTTTTCAGTTGGTATTATTTAAGACAGAAGAATCTCTCCCATGAATAGTCAATAAGTTTTTTACAAGATGACATCATCAGCTATACTATCTTGTCTTAGGATACTGGCCTAATTTTATGCATTAAATGTAGTTATGGAAAACACAGTCTTGGAAACTAAATGTGTACATTAAATTATATTTGCTTATTGACTTCCATTATAATTTTAGAGTTTATTTCCTATTAGAAAGCATGCTTACTTGAAAATAGAATATGAACTACATTTTCAAAGCCTAACATTCACTTTGAGTGGTATTATCTTGGTCTATGTGCATTTAACTATCTTATGAAATATCTCACAGTAAGTCTGCCAAATGGAAAAGTCATTCCTTTTTTCTATTGTTTGTTCACTGTTTCTTCAACTAACATCTACTGCATGCATTCTATGTACTATGGAAGATAAAAAGATAAATAACACATGGTTCCTACCCCAGGAAAGATCATTTCATAATTATTTAGATTATATATTGAATATTAAAATTCACCATAATTATTTTATATCCTTGGAAACTCTCATTTACTCCGTTAAACTTAAATTTAAAATTAAGTCACCACATTGACACTTCATGCACTCAACAGAGCTCACTAGTTAAAAAACTGTCATGAATATAATTTCCATTCTGAATTCAAGAATTTTTAAGTGATTATTACGTATTACTAGCAATAATGATAGTAAAATTTTTAAGTCTTTGGAAAGTGCAAGGCATAATATCATTCCATTTTTCTTCAATAACTTTTACTAAATAGTCAATAACTAAGTATTTCTATTACTGAAACACAGACCGAAATTGTGTGAACAGCAGCAGAATAGATCTTACTATAAAGAAACCAAACTTCAGAAAGCTCAAAGCATTAAGTAACATATGTACATCTAATCAGATGAAAGGTTGAGTCCAGGGACATTGTCTGAGGCAGCAAATTCAGTAACAGGTATAGGCTTGTAAGCTGTAGCATACAACAGGACAGACGAGTTAAGAAAAATGGTTCTTAATCCAGTCTATCATTGTTGGACATTTGGGTTGGTTCCAAGTCTTTGCTATCGTGAATAGTGCCGCAATAAACATACGTGTGCATGTGTCTTTATAGCAGCATGATTTATAATCCTTTGGGTATATACCCAGTAACGGGATGGCTGGGTCAAATGGTATTTCTAGTTCTAGATCCCTGAGGAATCACCACAGGCCTGTTGTGGGGTGGGGGGAGGGGGGAGGGATAGCATTAGGAGATATACCTAATGTTAAATGACGAGTTAATGGGTGCAGCACACCAACATGGCACATGTATACATATGTAACAAACCTGCACGCTTGCACATGTACCCTAAAACTTAAAGTATAATAAAAAAAAAAAAGAAAAATGGTTCTATGAAGTAAATGACTATGGTGGTGAATTATGAATGTGGTATGCTAGCTGTTTAATGTCTAACCACTTTACATTCCTTTCTATTCCTTGCTTCTCACTGCTCTCAGAGAGAGGGGGAGCTCTGTAAGAATTCTTCTGAGGTTCCACTTGTTAAGGTAGGCCTGAAAAATGCAAAGATAGAGACCTGTTGCTAAGTTTCCCAGGATCAGTCTTATAAACCACATTTTTTCCTCAGTGGATAAAATCTTAGAGGTCCACCCAGATTCATAGAGGTGCCCCCAGATTTCCTAGGTATGAAGGCTTTCCTAAACACAATATGGATTTCTTTATGCCTTTGAACAGCTACTGTCTAGGAGAGTGAGGAGAGTCACATATGGACTTTCAAGAAGAGGAGAAGAACTGTATGTGAACTTCCACAAAGGGTTAGACATTCACTCTGGAAGTGAGGCCTATTGTATGGCTGTCTGTAAACCACACAATGAAGCTCTGTGGCATCTTGAGACATGGCCCACTTTCCTTGGTGCAGGGTTGCCACTGTCATGTGAATAGTACTAGAAGTCCATAAAACAAGAGATGGAAAGCAGGAAAGTTGGTTACAGCATGAAAAATTAAGAATCAGTGTGCAAGAGCACAAGACTTGAGATAAGCTCTGAAACTAGAACTGTGGCTATTTGCTTTCTGTCCTATTTTATACGTCCTGTTGTATGGAGTTAGGCAGGGTTTTTCAGGCAAGTGTTTATAGCCAGCAGGAGGGGCTGGGCCCTGTAGGTGCAGCTAGCTACTGTCTAAGCTAAGGGCAAAGGCACGGGCCTTTTGGGAGGTACTTACATCAGTCTTTAAAGGATCTTTGCCACTTTGGCAGCACCTTTGATGGCAGGAGAGATGCTGCAGGCAAGATTCCACCTGGTGGAAGAGCCTGTGCATGAGCACATGTTAGCCATACAGATACGTAATCTCATTCACTGCCTTACTTTATTAATTGAATAAAACCCAAAGCAAAATTAAACCAATGCAAAAGCATGGCAAACTTGTATGTTTAATATCATATTAATGGTCTTGCTGATAAATATTTACGTCATTTATTCATGATTAGGACATCTTTTTATATAGATTAGAAAGACATACAAATGGTAAGGAGCATGTTCTCTTCAAACTCTTGAGAGACTAATATTAAGTACTGCCCAGGTTTACTCAACTGACATTCAGTTGTCTACATTTTCAACATAAAAGTGAGTGAACTAAAGGCAGTTTTAAAAATCTCTTCTAAAATCAGTGTATATCAATCAGTTTTGGGAGCTACAAGAGACTTCAGCTTCTAGTATGTCAACAACCCTCCATTGCTCAACCTTCATGGCTTTGGGGACCTGCTTCAGTGCTCCTAGTCTTTCCTGTCCTAATGGTACAAGTGGATTATATCAAGGAAAACTTGAGATTGCTGGAGGCAGCACTGATTCATCTGTGGAGGTCAAGGGCTGTACAGCCATGACTTTTTGCAGGTTGATAGCGCCAGAATCTTAATAAGAGGACCCATGTTAGTGAAAGAAAGGTGACTGCAGCAGCTATTCACTCAACCCTGAAAGGCTGAAAATGGGGTCACCTGTCTTGGTATTTCAATTAGGGGGTTACAGCTACTGCTGCCATTGCTGCTTCAATCATTTGCTCATTTTTTTTCCTGAGAAGGTACTTCTGATCCTGGGTCTCAGGACACCTTTTTGACTGGGAGTCTTCTGACTGTTGGTCATCAGCAAATTGAGGAGCAGGGGGGGATTTGAGGGAGAACATAAAGAGATGCTGTGGATGTATTTCACATCTTAGATAAAATTTCAGCTGTGATCTGTGTAGGCAGTAGATATTGCTAATAAAAAATTCTGCTGTGAAAAAAATTTTTTAGTTTGTTCTGAGTATCCCTGGATGAGTACTACAGAGCATAATTTGCTCTGTCCTCACCTAATCACAGTAGGGTTTGGGGCTTCTACATTGAAGAGTGAGTGTGGTCCTTGCCAAAGAGCAGATAAGGGAAATAATAGATCATCTATTTCCCTAGGGCAACTAACACTCTAGGTCTTCTACATCTCAGGATCCCAGTTTCTTCAGGTTTAATGTCTAAAATGAGGTGAAGCTCACAGTCTGAATCCAATTATATATATATATATATATATATATATATATATATATATATATATGATATAGATTAATATAATCTCTATATTATATTATTAATATAATAGAATACAGATATTAAACATATATATATGGCTGTATTTTATATGAAAACAATCATTCTAGAGGATGTTGTAAGCTATTTCTAGATTTTTTGCAAAATAAAACTTGGTCATTATATAATAACTGACAATGATAATAGTTACAACAATAAATAAGATACTGTTTTTCAATGGTGACTACATGTACATGCCAGTCACTGTGTCAGGCTTTTTCCCTTTATTTGTAACTAAATTGCAATAGGAGAATATATCATATTATGGGGGTAGGGATAACTCTGGCCATCTCAGAGGAAAAAACAGAAAAAGAGAGGAAATAAATGACATTAATTATGTTTGCTTTGCTGAAGAGTGTGTGAAACAGAGAAGCAATCCAAGAAGCCACACATATGAAGATGATAATAGAAACAATAATAACCATTTACTGAGTACTTATGTAGCAGTTATCTTATTAAATAACAATACATAAATTATATTGTTTACTTCCCAGGAAACTGGCGTTCAAGGAGGTGACTAATCTAAGGTCATCTAGCTAAGTGACAGAGACAGTATTCAAACTAAGGTGCCTCTGACTCCAAAGACTATTCAAACTTCCAGACTTTGCTAAGGACTTCCAACAACTGCATTATACTGATAAAAGTTGCCTGTCAGAACCTGCACGTTGTGCACATGTACCCTAAAACTTAAAGTATAATATTAGTAAAATAAAAAAAAAGAATAAAGAGGATGTTCCATAACTCAGTCTGTGAGTCAGACAACTGAAGAAGCCTACCTTCTGCCACATAGGTAAGTGAGGAGTGTCTCCAAGTTCATTTAGTAAGCTGGAGAAATATTACTTTCTGCATGAAAATACTAGCTCAGTAGATTTTTTAAAAATGTACTAATTACATGTTTTTAAAGTTAACTCTGTGGTAAGAGAATTTGTGTGTTTCATACATTCCCATGAGTGTTAGGAAAGGATAAAAAGCCAACAAAGGCCATATTCTCACGAACAAGAGAGCAATTCCCATTGGCAACAAAATACTGAAATTCGTTGCAATGATTTGTTACAGAGAGTATACTAGCCTGGAATGCACTGATTGTCAAGGAAATGGATCTCTGAATTTAAAAGACCAGTGCCTTTTAGGGAAGCAGAAAGAGAAGGTATTGCCCTAATATAACAGTATCAAATCTCAAACCAAAGAGATTTATGGAGCAGAAGAAGTCTTGATTGCCTTCTATAGAACTATAAAAGCTCAATGTGCTAAAGAAAACCTTTGGCTTCTTTTGAGCCACTCAATTGTTTGATTATTGTCATGTTCATCATCATCATAACTGAAATGTGTTGAATACTTAACACATGTTGAGCACTATACATATAACAATTCATTTAATCCCCATATCACACTATGTGGTAATGACTATTACTATATTATTTTATATTTGAAGGAACAGTGGCAATTAGAGATTAGATTACTTGCCTTTGGTCACAAAGGTAGCAAATTCAGATCTGGAATTCTTTACTTGGGCAATCTGACTTCAGAGATCTTCTAAACCACTATACTACACCTACTCCTGAAACTGAAATGGTAGGTATTATTATCACTATCATTAACCTGAAGCTTAGTCAATTTTAGTATTAGAATAATATTCATGGTTATTTGTCTTCCTTGGGCTGGAAGTGGGTACATATATTGAATGGCAGAAGATATGATTGGCAGCTTCCCTAACATGAACAGAAATGGGTCAACTATAAACAGTCTGAGCAAAAGAAGGTATTAAGGGTACACCAATATATGCGTACAAAATTAATTGCTTGAAAGAAGGACCATTCTATTCTAATTGTATAATGCTCAAATGGTCTTTCCATCTGTGCTGCTTTTTGGCTAAGGGATAAAAAGAAATAAAAATAAAAGAAGCAGAACTGCAAAAAGCATCCCACTGCAAATAACTGCTGGAATCTTAATCCGAAGATAACATAGGTGTATGTATTTTATGAAAGTGACTGCTACTCGTATATAAATCATTTGGAAAATTATATGCATTGTGATTATAAGTTTTTGACATAAAAATAAAATTCAATTTTACAAATTCTAGTTCCACTAATTTGAAATTATGATATTGATTGTCACAATTTATTAAATTCCTGCTGTGATTTAGGTACTAAACTGTGGAGTTAAGCCTAAGTTAACTTCTTTACATTTTATTTTAAAAGCTACAAAGTATAATATGTATATGCTTATTTTACAGTTAAGAAACGTAGGCTAAAATAAGCAATTTTCCAAAAATCACACTACTGGAAACTAGGCTTTCATCTTAATGGGGAAAGAATAGAGTCTAATACTTTTGACCTACTGTGTGCCCAGTACTGATCTAGGCAATTCACAAACATTGTCTCATTTACATATATATTCAGGGGAAGGATACAAATAATATAATATAATAGATCACGATAGTAGCTGCTGACTGTTTACTTGCTGGAAAAAAGGTTTATGGTCAGGTGAAATAGTGAATAAGCAAATTTTACTCTCAGAGACCTTTCTTCTTTGGTCAGACTGATCAAATGCACATTGACAGCTCCTGAAACAGCAAATAGAACCTCAGAACATGTTTAGGTATCAGCATTGTGTTGTACATGAAACCATGCCACCTTGTTTAAGCAGTGGACTATGTTTCTGAGCCGCATAGGCACATAGCTCAAAAAAACACTGATGGCCAAACCATGATTCCCAAAATATAAATGTATACAGTAGAGATGGTTTTGAACATGCCTAGCCAATAATGCAAGTTTTAGTTCTGTCCGGAGAGACAAGGGTTACAAAGAGTTTCTATAAAATATTAATAATTTTGCATATTCATGACCTAACACCAAAAATATCTTTTCTCTTTTTTGTAATTCTCAGAGAGCAGTTTAAGAATTTTACCTAAAGTCACCGTGCAAGGGGGATGAGCTCCAGGGACTGTCATTTTTCACAGGTGTGTTTTGGATTAAATTTGGATACCTTGTTAAAAAACGAGTTTTCTTTTTCTTTCTGCAGAGCACGTGTTTTTACCTTCGTTTTTATAGCAAGTTTAAGAAACCATTAATAAATTAGCCATCAGTGACTTTAAAATCAATGTGTTTCTGGCCATTGAGAAAACCTGTTCACGTGTTCTAGTGGTGATTGTTTGCTATTTTGGGGATAATAAAGTGTTGAATTTTTTTTTTTTTGAGAAAGGAATCCAGCAGAGCTCTGATTAAAGAGGACTTTCTAATAAACAGCAGTTTGAAACAACTGCTCTAGAATTTAATAGCCCCTTTGCATGCACCAGAATTTTGAGCTAAAGCTAGAATATAACAAAGTCATAAAGGGCTTCTCCTATATTCAAGTCACATCAAGATGAACCCAAAAGAGCACCCTCGCATTCTTTCAACATCCTTCCTCTTTCTCTTACATACATGAAATATCCCTTCTTCACCTGCTACTTCAAATACCCATTCATTGGTGGATAATATCCTCTATGATTTGAAACTCAAAATGTGGTCTGTGGATTTACATCATCAGCATCACCTGAGCCTTTGTTAATTACAGAATCTCTGGCCATACCTCAGACTTACTGAATCAGAATTTGCATTTAACAAGATTTCCAGGTGATTCATATGCACATTAAAGTCTGATAAGCACAGCTCTATAATAGAGTTTCTCAACCCTGGCTCACCATTAAAATATACATAGAAGAGGTTAAAAAAATACTAATGCCTGGCCCTAACCCCTTCTGCCCTTTTCCACCAAAATTCAGATTAAGTGTCTTGGTGTGAAGTCCAATGATTCATATATATATATATATATATATATATATATATATATATATATATTCAGATGTTCAGTTATTTCAACTATTTGCCCTAGGCTATAGATTGTCCAGCTTTGCTGTATTCCCATTCGTTCTTAACTTCAATTTCTGATACCAAGTTGCTATATTTTATCTTATTTTTGTAAATAATGGTCAATGTCTTTGAGAGACAAATTGAATTCATGTTGCTTTGTCACTGGGCATAATTGTCTTTAATTTCTGTTCTTAAATGGTGGCTACCAGCACTCTCAGATCTAAGCCCTGAATATTTGGCATGTGACTAGTTTGGGCCTAGCTGGGATGCATCCCTAAAATGGGCAACCAAAAAATATCTGACATGACAATAAACTATATTCAGTAAGAGTAGGATTTCTAATTACCCATTCACCTTGATTTGACAGCTATTAACTTTGTTATTAAAATATACCTAATGATGGCCAAGATGATATTTACAAATGTATTTGTTAGAGCTGCCATCTATACAAAATGTCATTGACTCTTCTTGGTTAATCATATTTAGTAAATCCTCATTAGAAAAATGACAAATACTCTTTTATTAAGATCACTAACCACAAAGTTATTTGTTATTCATATTGATATAATAGGTAGTTCCAAAGGAATTATGGATTAAGAGAAACTTTAGTCATAATACTAGTTTATAGTTTCCATGTTCATTATGCAAAATTTAGTGCAAATGATAATTCCCAGTCATATTAAATGAACAGGAAAACAGAAATGATCACATTTTCATGAAAGTGATTAAAGTGATATTTTCACCTTGAATAAAGCAGAAGCAATACACTGACAGTTTTCATTATACTCACTGTATCACTTCTCGAGTAGAAATAACCATCTCAAAGCTATATATGCATGTCACTTTTGAAATACAGTGTGTGTGTGTGTGTGTGTGTGTGTGTGTGTGTTTGTATTTATTTTTTATGGTTTTGTCGAAGACAAATTTTTAGGTAATTGGTACTTATAACTGCTGGCATAGCATTGAAAATCCAATAATTTCTCATTTTTAAATAGTTAATACTATATTTAAATAAATTGTTTTTATTTATTTTGTTTTAGTTTAGTATTTGTGTTGTTGTTATATCACAGCCTCGCCTCTACTTCCACTCCAGGAAAAGTCAAAGTCACAAATAATACCCACAGACCAAATTAGATTTAGATTTTTTTATACCAAGATTCAAATGCTAACAGATCAAGATTTTTCAGGTCACCAAAAGAAGGGACTTCAAAAAAGTCCTTAAATCATTTCTGTTCTCCAAGGCATGGCATGTGTTGTACTGTGCAACTCTCCATGTGTACATCTTATAATGAAAGTACAGAACACTCTGGGACTGTGCACAAAGAAGATACCAACTAATGAGATCACTGCAGCATTTGTCTACGGCATCCTTTTGGAAGTTGATAATAAGCAGTGAAAATAACACCTTTAGTGCCCCAAAACGTTGTTTGGACTGAAGTAACTTGCTTGCAGCAGTCACGATCAACTTGAGCAAACTAAACACAAAATAACAAAAGCTTAGACCCAGAGTCCTTGGAAGCTTACCAATAAGACTCTGAACTTGAATAGCAGTTTTTTTCTCAATATAGACAACTTTTCTGCTCAGTTTTGGCTGCGGACCAAAAACTAGCACAGTAGATTCCAACTTACCCATGTTATTGAGTTAAATCACAGATGTTAGCACTTACCAGAGTACTAGGCATGCAGTAGGGGCTCAAAAACTGACTTGTGAATCCAATTTAAAATTTTGTATCTGAAAATTGAGTTTGGGAAATGGGTAGGTAGGAAAGGGAGGAATTGCATTTGACTCTAATAACAGTGCCAATTAGAGACTGGAATGCTACTGTTGGAGGGACCGTATTGCCAGACGTACTGAGATTACCTGAAGGCAAATAATCAAGTAGCTATGATCTTGAATTGTTCATGTCAGGAAAATCTCATCTGAATCGAACCCCTGTCTTTCTATGATTGTGGGTTCTCTCTATCCGATGTATACTAGGTTCTTGGATTCTAAGTGGTAATAAGTGACAATGCCATGAGGATGCACTAGTAGCCCTTGTTATGGGCCTGTAAATGCACAAAGCTATGGCAATTTGGTCGTGCAATATATTATTTTGCAATGTCGTTGAGTCTACAAGGTTGGAGGAATTACTTCTCTTTGTCTCTTTCCCTTGCTGCTTATTTTGACTCTTTCTTCCCACTTAAGTCACAAGCAGCTAAGTTATATTCATTCTTGGAAGCTGTCTTGAGAAGCCTGGAGTACATGGAAGCAGATATTGTGGCAAATCCTCAGCCGCCCCTTCCTCTCTCCACCTGTCTTTCCCTTGCTCCTTCCCTCTCTTCTTTCTTTGGTTCAGCTGACACGGGATGGCTAGAAGTGGTGTCCCCACACAGGCTTGAAAAGATCTAGGGTGCGACATAACTCACTGAGGATCCACATTGTAATATGGGAAGAATCATAATGGTAATATAGTTACTTAACCTGGTTATGTCACAGGTTTCTTATCTCTAAAATGTAGATAAATAAAGGCATCTACCTCAAAGACTTACTTCTTCTAAGCATTCTATAAGAATGTATAGAGTGTGCTTAAAATAGCATCCAGGCTTAAGTAAAATCTACGTAAATATTTGATTTTATTTCAATAATTTCTACCAAAAAAAAGGTGGGGTCATGTGGTCTGAGCATAAAGATAGTCAGTGACATCTTAATGGCTTTATCACTGTCCAAAACATCCACCAAACCCTGGTGCCTTCCTAGGCCACTGAAGAAATACCCTGGCTCCGGCGAATGTTATAAGAAGATAAGAGGTCTTCATGTCTACCAGCCAGCTATTCCTAATCCAATTGGTGTATCTTCCTTCTGTTTCAACGATTCTTATATCTAGGTATGATCACAGTGATGTAAATCACATTTTTTGTTTTTCTACTTTTAAGTTCAGGGGTACATATACAGTTTTATTATATAGGTAAACTATCATGGGAGTTTGGTGTACAGATTATTTCATCATCATCTAAGTAATATGCATAATACCTGATAGACAGGTTTTTATATCCTTTCCCTCCTTCCACCCTCCACCCTCAAGTAGGCCCCTGTGTCTGTTGTTCCCTTATTTCTGTCCATGGGTACTCATTGTTTAGCTCCCACTTATAAGTGAAAATATATGGTATTTGCTTTTCTGTTCCTGCATTAATTTGCTTAGGATAATGGCCTACAGCTCCATCCATGTTGCTGCAAAGGACATGATCTTATTCCTTTTTATGACTGCATAGTGTTCCATGGTGTATATGTAACATATTTTCTTTATCTAATCTGTCATTGATGGGCATTTAGATTGATTCTATGCCTTTGATATTGTGAATAATGCTGCAATGAAAATTCACATACATGTATCTTTATGGTAGAATGATTTATATTCCTCTGGGTATATACCTAGTAATGATGTTGCTGGGTTGAATGGTAGTTCTGTCTTTAGCTCTTCGAGGTATTGCCATACTGCTTTCCACAATGATTGAACTAATTTACACTCCCACCAGCAGCATATAAATGTTCCCCTTTCTCTGCAACCTCACCAGCGTGTTATAGTAGTTCTGACTGATGTGAGATGGTATCTCGCTGTAGTTTTGATTTGCATTTCTTTGATGAATAGTGATTATTATTGCCTTGCCTATTCAGGCTCTTTATTTAATTTCGTTTTTTCATATGCTTCTTGGCCACATGATGTCTTCTTTTGAGAAGTGTCTGTTCATGTCCTTGCCCACTTTTTAATGGGGTTGCTTTATTTTGCTTGTGAATTTCATGTTCCTTATGGATTCTCAATATTAGACCTTTGTTGGATGCGCAGTTTGCACATGTTGTCTTCCCTTCTATAGGTTGTCTGTTTACTCTTGTCATAGTTTCTTTTGCTGTACAGAAGCTCTCTAGTTTAATTAGGTCTCATTTCTCAATCTTTGTTTTTTGTTGCCATTATTTTGGTGACATAATCACAAAAGCTTTGCCAGGTCCTATGTCCAGAATGGTATGGTATTTCCTAGGTTGTCTTACAGACTGCATTTCTTTTTTTTTTTTTTTTTTTTTTTTTTTTTTTTTAGTTTTGGGTTTTATGTTTAAGTCTTTGTTCTATCTTGAGTTAATTTTCATATGTGGTTTAAGGTATGGGCCCAGTTTCAATATTCTGCATATGGATATCCAGTTATCCTCTCACCATTTATTGAATGGGGAGTCCTTTCCTCATCGCTTGTTTTTGGCAACTTTATTGAAGATCAGATTACTGTATGTGTGCAGCATTATTTCTGGGCTTTCTATTCTGTTCCATTTGTCTATGTGTTTTATTTTTTGTACCAGTAACGTGCTGTTTTGGTTACTGTAGCCCTGTAGTATAGTTTGAAGTTGGGTAATGTTATGCTCCCAGTTTTGTCTTTTTGCTTAGAATTGTCTTGCCTATTCAGGCTCTGTTTTGATTATATGAATTTTGTAATAGTTTATTCTAGTTCTGTGAAGAATGTCATTGGTAGTTTAATGGGAATAGCATTGAATCTGTAAATTGCTTTGGGCAATATGGCCATTTTCATACTGATTCTTCCTATTCATGAGCATGAAATGTTTTTCCATTTGTTTGTGTAATTTCTGATTTCTTTGAGCAGTGTTTTGTAATTCTCATTGTATAGATCTTTGACCTTCCTGGTTAGCTGTATTCCTAGGTATTTTATTTTTTTGTGGGCTTTGTGAATGGGATTCCCTTCCCAATTTGGTTCTCAGCTTGTATGTTGTTGGTGAATGGGAATGCTGCTGATTTTTGTATATTGACTTTGTGTCCTGAAACTTTGCTGAAGAAGTTGTTTTTCAATTCAAGGAAGCTTTTGGTAGAGACTATTGGGTTTTGTAGTTAGGGAATTGTATCATCTGCAAACAGGGATGGTTTGACTCCCTTTCTTCCTATTTGGATGCCTTCTATTTCTTTCTCTTGCCTGATTGTTCTGGCCAGGACTTCTAGTACTACGTTGAATAGGAGTGGTAGGAGTGGTGACAGAAGGCATCCTTGTCTTGTTCTAGTTTTCAAGAGGAATGTAAAGCAGATTCTTTGAAGAGCATGTAAGGCAAGTGTCCTTGGTGGATTTGACTTCTGGTTATAATCTGGCCTGAAAGGAAATACTGCAAGATGTACATTGTTGGCCTGGCGCATGCTGATCACTCTGACAAGAAAGATCTCCCTCTATGAAAAGAATTCACCTAGGGACATAGGGGTGTGTGTGTTTGTGTGGGCGGGGGGGGGGGTGGGGGAAGTGGGGGGGAAGAAGACAAAGAGATACGGAGACATTTGTTTTCTAGCCTAGAAACAAATGCTAAGCAGTCTTATCTATATATTTTCCAATTCAGTTTTTCATACCCACGGAATTCAGATGGTTGGACATGACTGAACCCTGGTTTCAACGTAACCGTGTAAAATAATTGCTGTTTTTCACATTTTAAAGAAGGATTTCAGACTTGAAGACAAGAAGCTCCTTTCTCCTCAATAGTGCTCACTCTTCTTTAGTCAAATTTTAAAAGGCTCTGAGCTGCTAATCTGTACAAATATAAAATACGAAAATAAAATGAAAGAGCTGTTCAATTATTGCCCGGCATCATAATAAGAAAACATACTATCTATCTGTTAACTTTCTCTTTCACCTCTACCAAGTTCACCCTTTCACACCTATCCTCCCTTCAGTGTGTGTGATGCAGTTGCTAAACCCTATTACATACTGCAGTTCTTTTATTAAGGATTGATTGGGAAAATCTACTTGCCTTAAGATGCTATTATGGTTTTGATTAATTTGACTAAATTAATATAGAGAGTTAATATCTAGAAAGAAATATAAACTATCTAGCGTAAAGAACAAAAACCATACACCTGGAAATTAACCCTCCACCAGGAAATATTAGTATTAAGTAGCACCTGGTACATTCTTGATTTAGGCCCTTGTGATTGTTCTACAGGAAGATGCCAACTATGTGCAGAATAATGTTTCTCAGGTTATATCTACATTCATAAAGCATTTTAATTTATTATGATTTTATTTTATTACAAAACTGCTTAGAATTCAGTAATTGACAGATTGTTTCAAACATCACTAAGCTCAACAATGTTTGCTTCTCTCCAAATTATTCTGTATATTTAAGCGGTGCTTCTTTACTGAGCTTTCTAACCATATTTAGGTGGCATTCAAGTACTTACCCATTGTGCAGATAAAATGAAATAACGTGTATAAAAGCACAATAATATAATATGTTTAATATGTATGTGCTCCAAACAATGCAAGTGTGAGATAGCATTATTACCATGTGGCATTCATCCAGGTGGATGCAATGGAGTCCAAATGAACCTACCTGTGCCTTGGCTTAAGCTCTGTTCCTATATCTCTGTCCCCTATGATATCCCTGGAAAAAATAAATGCTCCCAGAAACCTGATGTACAAAGCTTCCCAAGTGTCTTAATATAATGGGAATTTAAATGGACCACCACTAAATGGAGCTATTGTGAATCCAAGTACTGCTTAACCTTGTTTGTTAGTCTTTTCAAAGTTATTAATGACCTTTAACTCTCTTCAAAATTATTTAACTACTCTATCTGGACATGAATACACACTCTGTTTCCCCCTCTCTCTCTCTCTGTAAAATGGGAATACAAGTTCTAACTCAATTTTGGTTTCATGGTGATAGGAAGATGGGTTTATTTTTACAAAATACTTTGTAGTTTAAAAGGTCTATTCCAACATTAATGAGTATTATTAGAAGATGGCATTGCAGCTTAATGAAGTGATGCCTCAACTGACACTACAGTTTGAATTCGGATCAGCCAATTTTAAGCCCACTGAGTCTGAATGCTCAGATGTCCATTTTTTCAGTCAGTAACAGATTTTGCTAGGGTTCATGTGCTTTAACAGATTTTTTCTTGGCTATGTTTATAGTAAAAATGTAATAGTAAATTATGAGCACTGTAAAACAGTGTTGTTCATATTCTGATTCTCCCATTAGAAATATATGGTCAAAATGTTAGAAAAAAATTGTAACAGAAATGTAGAGTTATTGTCTGTCTAGGTAAGGTATTATGCTTAATAAATAAGATTAGTATTTTCATTAAGAGTAAAACATTGAAAGTTGCTTGTAAATGAATTTACGTATAATAGTCCCATTTTTCTATTGACTTTCACTGTAAAATTACAGATTTGTTTCTCTGCTCTCCACAATGGTCCCAATACACAATAATATTTGAAGATGCAACAGTACTTTAATATGATTCATCTAAAGGAAAATGTTGAATTTTATACAACACAGTATTTATTACATATATTTAGCATATCCTAAATGTAGTTATGAATAGAATACAAGTTCATGAGCTTTGAGGTTATCATATTAATATTATAACTAACAAAATTGGGAAAGATAAAGAGGAAAAGTTCATTTATTCATCTTTTACACTAGATAACTTCTGGTATAAATTTGTCTCCCTGAATCTTGGCACATTATTTTACTTTGGGTGATACTTAGCTGTATTATTTCCTCACAGTTTTATAATTAACCAAAGGAGAATGGGAGCAAATTTAGAAAAAATGAATGCTAATACTCAAACTCACTCACAAAGTATAAAGTAGAAAAGGTTGCTTTGATGTTTGACACAGCAGCTTAAAGATCCCAAAAGGGGGGGACATTTGAAGTAAAATGGACTCACAAGACTAAACTGAAAAGCACTGTAGCATCTATTAGAGCCTCCTCCTTCCCCATAACCTCCAGCTAGAGTACACGCATCTCTCATTTCACAGGACCTGGTAACGGATTCTTATTTCTAGAAAATGAATATGTTGATCTAACATGAAGATACATAGGTAA
This sequence comes from Homo sapiens, assembly GCF_000001405.40. Lineage (NCBI taxonomy): Eukaryota > Metazoa > Chordata > Mammalia > Primates > Hominidae > Homo > Homo sapiens. The sequence continues at coordinate 99,669,626 of NC_000023.11, forward strand.
AAATAGCTTAATCCATTTTGGTACCAGTACCATGCTGTTTTGGTTATTGTACCCTTGTAGTATAGCTTGAACTCAGGAAGTGTGATGCCTCCAGCTTTGTTCTTTTTGCTTAGGATTCTCTCGGCTATATGGGCTGTTCTTTGGTTCCATATGAAATTTAAAGTAGTTTTTTCTAATTTTACAAAGAAAGTCAATGGTAGCTTGATGGGAATAGCATTGAATCTATAAATTACTTTGGGCAATACGGCCATGTTCACAATACTGATTCTTCCTATCCATGAGCACAGATACATAGACCAATAGAACAGAACAGAGACCTCAGAAATAACACCACACATCTACAAACATCTGGCATTACACAAACTTGACAAAAACAAACAACAAGGAAAGCATTCCCTATTTAATAAATGGTGCTGGGATAACTGGCTAGCCATATGCAGAAAACAGAAACTGGACCCCTTCCTTACATCTTATACAAATATTAACTCAAGATGGATTAAATACTTAAGTATAAAACTTAAAACCATAAAAACTCTAGAAGAAAACCTAGGCAATACCATTCAGGACATACATAGGCATGGGCAAAGTCTTCTTGACTCAAACACCAAAAGCAATTGCAACAAAAGCTAAAATTGATAAATGGGATCTAATTACACTAAAAAGCTTCTGCACAGCAAAAGAAACTACCATCAGAGTGAACAGGCAACCTACAGGATGGGAGAAAATTTTTGTAATCTACCTATCTGAAAAAGGGCTAATATCCAGAATCTACAAAGAACTCAAACAAATTTACAAGAAAAAAACAACCCCATCAACAAGTGGGTGAAGGATATGACCAGACACTTCTCAAAAGAAGACATTTATGTGGTCAACAAACATATGAAACAAAGCTCATCGTCACTGGTCATTAGAGCAAATGCAAATCAAAATCACAGTGAGATACCATCTCACACCAGTTAGAATGGCAATCATCAAAAAGTCCGGAAACAACAGATGCTGGTGAGACTGTGGAGAAATTGGAATGTTTTTATACTGTTGGTGGGAGTGTAAGTTAGTTCACCCATTGTGGAAGAGAGTGTGGCAATTCCTCAAGGATCTAGAACCAGAAATACCATTTGACTCAGCAATCCCATTACTTGGTATATACCCAAAGGAATATAAATCATTCTACTATAAAGACACATGTTTATTGTAGCACTATTTACAATAGCAAAGACTTGGAAGCAACCCAAATGCCCATCAATGATAGACTGGAAAAAGAAAATGTGGCACATATATACCATAAAATACTAGGCAGCCATTAAAAAAGAATGAGTTCATGTCCTTTCCAGGGACATGGATGAAGCTGGAAACCATCATTCTCAGCAAACTAACACAGGAAAACCAAACACCCCATGTTCTCGCTTATAAGTGGGAGTTGAACAATGAGAACACATGGACACAGGGAGGGGACATCACACACTGGGGTGTGTTGGGGGGTGGGGTCAAGGGGAGGGAGAGTATTAGGACAAATGCCTAATGCATGCGGGGCTTAAAACCTAGATGACGCGTTGAAAGGTGCAGCAAACCACCATGGCACATATATACCTATGTAACAAACCTGCACGTTCTGCACATCTATCCCAGAACTTAAAGTAAAATTTTTTTTAAAAAAAAAGAAATAACTTTATCCAAACAGTTACAATTCCAGGTGAAGCAACAAAAAACTAAACAGGAGTGTGTTTAATAAAATGGCAAATGGACTTGAAAAGTATCTCAAAAACATTGTCAACTGTTTAACGAGCTGGACCAGTATACGCATCTCCTAACCACTGTAGGACACTGAGGAAACAATACATTCATCAGAGATGATTAATGGTGCTAGTATGACCGTGTATAACATTTTCCTCACATTACGCTGTGACACAATGGTAAACACTTAGGCATATCAAAAAATAAAGGGAAGATTCAACATTGCTATGAGTTAAGCATCTTGTTGTAAGAACTTGAGTATTGCTACATTAAGACTCAGACCACTCAGATATTCCCTACAGGATTGCAAGAGAAAGTTGAATATGGCATCTACTAAAGAATAATTTTTGCTTCAGGCAATTAGTCAGATTTGAAAATCTTGACCTACCTCATCCATTAAAATCATACTCTGCTATCCCTATATACATACCATTCAAAGATACATATTTGATATGTGTACATACCATTCAAAGATACATATTTCACTTCTATGAAGTACCTCAAAACCAGAATCACTTTCTATAACTTGAGATTGTTTTTCCTATTTCTTGTGCATCCCCATTCTGACAATAAAATCAAGTACCTTCAAGAGCAGGCACCCTTAATATGAAAGTAATTAGTTTGCAAATATTTTATCCCATTGTGTATGTTGTCTTTTTACTCTGTTGATAGTTTCTTTTGCTGTACAGGAGCTCTTAAGTTAATTAGATACCATTTGTTAAGTTTTGCTTTTGTTGCTATTGCTTTCAGTGTCTTTGTCATGAAATCTTTGCCTGTTTCTATGTCCAGGAAGGTATTGCCTAGGTTGTCTTCCAGCGTTTTATAGTTTGGGGTTTTACATTTAAGTCTTTAATTCATCTTGAGTTGATTTTTGTATATGGTATAAGGAAGTATTCCAGTTTTAATTTTCTGCACATGGCTAGCCACTTATCCCAGCACCACTTATTGAATAGGGAGTCTTTTCCCCATTGCTTGTTTTTGTCAGCTTTGTCGAAGATCAGATGGCCGTAGATGTGCAGCATTATTTCTGGGCTCCCACAAAGATCTCATATTCAACATTTATAAAGAAATTAAACAAACTTATAAGAGAAAAACAAACAACTCATTAAAAAGTGGGCAAAGGACATGAACAGACATCTTTAAAATAAGACATACACGTGGCCAATAAGCATGTGAAAAAAAGCTCAATGTCACTGATTATCAGGGAAATGCAAATCAAAACCACAATAAATACCATCTCACACCAGTCAGATATGGCTGTTATTAAAAAGTAAAAAAATGACAGATACTGGAGGTTGCAGAGAAAAGGAAACACTTACACACTGTTGGCAGGGGTGTAAATTAGTTCAACCACTGTGGAAAGCAGTATGGCAATTCCTCAAAGAGCTAAAGAGAAAACTACCATTCAACCCAGCAATACCATTACTGGGCATATACTCAAAGGAATATAAATCATTCTACCATAAAGGCACATGCATGCAAATTTTCACTGTAGCATTATTCACATTAGCAAAGCCATGGCATCAACTTAAATGTCATCAATGAGGGATTAGATAAAGAAAATGTGGTACATAAACACCATGGAATACTATGTAGCCATAAAAAAGATGAGATTACATCTTTTGCAGGAACATGGATAGAGCTGGAGGCCATTATCCTTAGCAAACTGCTGAGACCAGCTCAGTCGGGGACACCCTAACCCAGCAGCGCTAGAGGAATTAAAGACACACACACAGAAATATAGAGGTGTGAAGTGGGAAATCAGGGGTCTCACAGCCTTCAGAGCTGAGAGCCTTGAACAGAGATTTACCCACATATTTATTAACAGCAAGCCAGTCAATTAGTATTGTTTCTATAGATATTAGACTCAGATACTCAACTGAAAGTATCCCTTTTGGGAAACGAAGGGATGGGCTGAAATAAAGGGATGGGTTGGGCTAGTTATCTGCAGCAGGAGCATGTCCTTAAGGCACAGATCGCTCATGCTATTGTTTGTGGTTTAAGAACGCCTTTAAGTGGTTTTCCGCTCTGGGTGGGCCAGGTGTTCCTTGCCCTCATTCCGGTAAACCCACAACCTTCCAGTATGGGCATTATGGCCATCATGAACATGTCACAGTGCTGCAGAGATTTTGTTTATGGCCAGTTTTGGGGCCAGTTTATGGCCAGATTTTGGGGGGCCTGTTCCCAACAGCAAACTAATGCAGGAATAGAAAACCAAATACCACTGTTCTCACTTATGATTGGGAGCTAAATGCTGAGAACTCATGAACACAAAGAAGGAGACAGCAGCACTGGGGTCTACTTGAGGGTAGGGAATGTGAGGAGGGAGAGGAGCAGAAAAGATAACTATTAAGTACCAGGCTTAATAGCTGGGTGATAAAATAATCTGTACAACAAACCCCCATGACATGAGTTTACCTATATAACAAACCTGCATCATGCCCCCAAACCTAAAATAAAAGTTAAAAAAAAAAAAACAAATTACTCATCACTGGATGTCTTTCATGTATATATGAGATATGGAGTTAATAAACTTGTTTTCTCTTAAAAATATCAGAGTAAGTAGTGCAATGGAAATACATATGTCCTTAATAGATTTTCATTTCATTTGCAAAATAACAGACATGCCTCTAATTGCGAAAGAGAGATTAAAGGAGTGCAGTGACAGTCTCGTACTCAGTCTGGCCCACGCATCTAGGAACATCTCAAAATTTTAGGTTAAAATAACACCACAGATGGGTGAAATACAGATGGGTGAAATGTGTAAGCATTTCTAGACTACTGAAGAAGTAAGATTAGCCACAAATCATATTTTCCAAGTGTGTAGCATGTGGAGTCCCTAAGCTCTTTGGACTCTGTAGCTACATATTCATTTCTTGGAGGTGTTTCTATGGGTTTATTCCCAAGAGGACCCAGCTTCCCACTCATTTTATCAATCAGCTGTCATTAACTAACGTAGAATTAGTATCTGTGCCAAAACCTTCGTGAGAAATATTTGACCCATGTTAAAATAGAGTTCATTAGGGTTCTAATATTTGAATTATTTTCTTTCCAATTCTGATTCAAAGCCTAAGTAAAACAACTAAACATTCAAAGGGGGCCTAAAGAAAGTGCAGCTCTTAATGCCTCTGGATCAGTGATTTTTATCCCCAGGTCCCATCTTGAGATTCTTATTTAGTTGAAGACAATCTGTAAATATAATACATGCAGTTGTAGATGGCCAGCATTCCAGAAGGTTAAAAATATTATTTTAGGGATCTCTTTGAGAATAAGATGAAAACTAGTTACCTTCTTACCATATAAAACAATAGTTTGCATATAATTTCAGTATCCTGGACACCTGTGGTCTATCCAAAGGGACCAGTTTAAGATTTGGATCTATGTCAGAGCAGATCAGTAGAATAAAACACACTGAATGTGTAAGTATTCTAGTTTTCTTCAGAAAACTTTCACTGATTTATAATTTAATATAATTGTCATCAGCCTTTACATCTTATTGATATAAAAATTGATTGCATAAAAAGTTTGTCTTTCCCACCAATAATTCCTATTTCTCCATATCCATGCCAGCATCTATCATTTCTTGACTTTTTAATAATTGCCATTCTGACAGGCGTGAGATGGTATCTCGTTGTGGTTTTGATTTGCATTTCTCTGATGATCAGTGATGTTGCTTTTTTTCATGTTTGTTGATCATATAAATTTCTTTTTTTGAAAAGTGTCTGTTCATATCCTTTGCCCACTGTTTGATGGGGTGGTTTGCTTTTTTCTTGTAAATTTGTTTATGTTTCTTGTAAAATCTGGATATTAGACGTTTGTCAGATGGGTGGATTGCAAAAATTTTCTCCCATTTTCTAGGTTGCCTGTTCACTCTGATGATAGTTTCTTTTGCTATGCAGAATCTCTTTAGTTTAATTAGATCCCATTTATCAATTTTTGCTTTTGTTGCAATTGCTTCTGGTGTTTTCTTCATGAAGTCTTTGCCCATTCATATGTCCTGAATAGTATTGCCTAGGTTTGCTCCTAGGGTTTTTATGGTTTTAGCTTTTACATTGAAATCTGTAATCTGTATTGAGTTAATTATTGTGTAAAGTGTAAGTAAGGGGTTCAGTTTCAGTTTTCTGCATATGGCTAGCCAGTTTTCCCAGAACCATTTATTGAATAGGAGATCCTTTCCCCATTGCTTGTTTTTGTTAGGATTGTTGAACATCAGATGCTTGTAGATGTGTGGTGTTATTTCTGAGGTCTCTACTCTGTTCCATTGGTCTATATGTCTGTTTTGGTACCAGTACCATGCTGTTTTGGTTACTGTAGCCTTGGAGTATAGTTTGAAGTCAGGTAGCATGATGCCTCTGGCTTTTTTTTTTCTTAGCATTGTCTTTGCTTTACCTGGTCTTCTTTGATTCCATAAGAAATTTAAGGTAGTTTTTTTGTTTTGTTTTGTTTTTTTTGTGAAGAACATCAATGGTAGTTTGATGGGAATAGCATTGAATCTATAAATTACTTTGGGCTTTGGGCAGTATGACCATTTTCACGATATTGATTCTTCCTATCCATGAGGATGAAAAGTTCTGCTATTTTTTTGTGTCCTCTCTTAATTCCTTGAGAAGTGGTTTGTAGTTCTCCTTGAAGAGGTCCTTCACATGCCTTGTTAGCTATATTCACAGGTATTTTATTCTCTTTATGGCAATTGTGAATGGGAGTTCATTCATGATTTGGCGCTCTACTTGCCTATTGTTCATGTAAAGGAATGCTTGAACCATTGTGGAAGACAGTATAGCGATTCCTCAAGGATCTAGAACCAGAAATACCATTTGACCCAGCAATCCCATTATTGGGTATGTACTCAAAGGAATATAAATCATTCTACTATTAAGACACATGCATACGTATGTTTATTGCAGCACTATTTACAACAACAAAGGCATGGAACCAACCCAAATACCCATCAATGATAGACTGGATAAAGAAAATGTGGTACATATACACCATGGAATACTATGCAGCCATAAAAAGGAATTAGATTATGTCCTTTGCAGGGACCTGGATGAAGCTGGAAGCCATCATCCTCAGCAAACTAACACAGGAACAGACAACCAAATGCTACATATTCTCACTCATAAGTGGGAACTGAACAATGAGAACACACACCAGGGCCTGTTGTGGGGCTGGGGGGAAGGGAGGGAACTTAGAGGATGGGTCAATAGGTGCAGCAAACCACCGTGACACATGTATGCTTATGTAACAAACCTGCACCTTCTGCACATGTATCCCATGGTTTTTCTTTTCAGAAGAAATGAAAACAAAAAATAAAAAAGTTTGTTAATTTCTTCTGAGAAAAGATGCCTTTGTGTCTACATTTACCCTAAATGTATCAAAATATTGAGGCTTCTAGCTCCCAATCCCTGCTTTGGAGGCTTGGGTTTACACTTCCCCCACACAACCGATGTTTGTCTACAGTAAATTTCTTCACACTAGTGCTACTTCCATTCCTTTTTATATCCTTCACTTTCTTCCTTCTGTAACCTTGGTACCTAAGATAATAGGTTCTCAATAAATACTTATATTTAGTATAATTCATTATTTTATTAATTACAAAGGTGTAACATGTATCTTGTAGAAAATGTATAAAATATAGAAAACTGCAAAATAATGACCAACTGCAATCTCACCCATTTTGTTTTGAGATTTTTGTCTGGAAATGTATTTTAAAAATGAATCATCCCCTTTCCTAATCCCAATTCTATTCCCAGGAGATGGCCACTGTGAATGATCCAGTATCTTTAAAGTGTTTTCTCTATTTTTATCCACACAAATATGTATACATGCACATATACACATCTATATCCTTTTTTTACAAATAGGATTGTACTATTTTGTGCTGCAGAAATTGCTTTCTTCATCAACCAAAGTACTATGAAATTTTCTCAGTTCTGCAGATTTACCTTACTCATTTGAATTTAACGCTATTTGATAAGTATTTTTGAACATACAAATTAATTATTTGATTTGGAAAGAAATGTCTTTTGGCTAACATCTTATTTTATTATTTTAGAAATCAGCCAGACCATAAGTAAGTGGTTATGACTATTCTTTCTTGTAAGATAGTATAATAAAATTCCGGAATTAGAATGATCTATGCATCCTTCGTTCAGGTTTAAGATATAAACTTTCTGTTTCAGAAGCTGGCCATATCACTACTGGTTTCCAAAGATCAGGGAATAAACATGACTTTGTACCCCCTTCCATAACTAACTACATGTAAAATTTCTTTTAACCATTGTCAGTTCTCCTGCTTCATTTTGTCAGACCACTAGACTGCAAATGTTTCTCAAACTTCAGGGGTCCTGTCACCTGCCTTTTGCTTCAGACAGCAGGATACTGAATTCTATTGCCATCACAGTAACAACAATGATAAGCACAGCGGTCAGGTTTTAATGGCACCACTTAATGAATTCTCTGAGAAAAGAATAATAGCGAGAAATCTCAAGGTCAGCAGTGTTTACTTTGAGAAGGACCTAACAATAGATCTGAGAAGTCCTTCAAGTGTACCAGGCATCTTTTTCTGCTCTGCCTGCAGTTAACTGAGATTTTCTTTCCTTTTTCCTCGTCTTCAGTATTACATGTGAAGCAAACCAATTCTAGTCTCAGAAAAGTGATAGCCCTTGATGTTAACATATCAAGCTTGGGTTCGATGGAAAGGTTAAAAGAAAACAGGCAAGATCACATCCTAACAATTCTCCCATAGATTTAGGGTGAGAATTTGGACCAATAAATTTGTTTAACACAGAAAAGAGGATGCATCAAGAATCCTTAGTGGAGAGTCTGAAATTATGGAAATGATTATAAAAGTAGCTTGGAGCTACACTGTGAAGAGAGTTGAGGGTATTCATTGTCTCTAGGGATTATATATAATATTATAAGTCTTGGAGTAAACAAACAAAAGCTGAACTACTTAATATGAAGGATAATAGAGTTTAGAATACATTCCTTAGGACAGCAATTAAGCATGGACATAAGTATAGGTCAATTTCATGAGGAAAAGAAAACTGACCATGAAATAATACAAAAAAGAAGAAATTCTGAATTAAGATAAAAACTGTGTGCAGAGACAAAGGACTAGATGGCATGCAAATTTTCCATGCAGTTAACAGTTTCCAAGTGTTTTAAAAAATGCAATAAAATATCTCTAAATGCATTTCATGCATCTCTTTAAGTTCTTTCTCAAATATCTATCCTATATTGCTATGAAGTAGTGAGGGGAAAATAGTTATTACTCTCTCTGTCTCTCTCCTTTGTTTTACGTAAGAGAGATGTTTAGGAAAGTTTGTGTGCGTGTATGTGTATGTATATATGTGTGTGTGCACGTGTGTCTGTCTGTCTGCCTCTCTCTGCTTCTGCCTCTCTGTCTATAAAGCAGGCCTCCTTCCAATAATTAACTATGGTTGATTTAGGGGTCACTCGCCTAAGGCCATACACCATGTCAAAATATGAATAAAGATTTCAGGGAGGATAAAAAGTGTTTTTCAGCTATTCAAACAAAGCCACTGACACTATACCAACACAAACTACTAGAGATGAAAAGTATCTTAGAGATCGATCCCTCATTTTCTGTATGAAACTGAGGTTCAGCAAGTTATACGCCAAAATCCAATGTTACCCAATGCTTTAATGGAAGATCTGGTCTACTTTTTGAACATGGTAAGATCTGAGGGTTGCTGCAGGGCTCCTTGCTCCAAAATATTTCCTACACAGCTTTCCAGAGGACTTGAAATTCCAAAGGTCAAAATCTTGCATCAGAATTATTAATATTCTGCTATCCCAAATGATACCTTGGATGACCTATCCACGCTTTTATTTACGTTCGATGCCTCCTTTTGTGTTCCTCTTGCCTACTCAGGAACTCTGTGTCAAAAATTAATCATCTATGTTCAATGTAGTCTAATTTTTCCTCTCTAATGGACAATTCCCATCAGCATGCTTTTATTATTATCTTATGTTTTTATTCCTCCCTTCTTGAAAATATGTACTTTAGAATTCTCTCTTCACCCTACATTCATTACCAGTTATGGTCCCACTTCTCTGCTCCCCTTAGTAACAAAATTCCCTGAAAGAGTTGTCTACATTTGTTATTGAATTTCTCCCTTCCCATTCTCTTTTCAACACATTCCAAACAAACAGACCATACTAGGCCATTCTTGCTTTGCTATAAAGAAATAACTGAGGATGAGTAACTTATAAAGAAAAGAGTTTTAATTGGCTCAAGGTTCTGTAGGCTGTACAGGAAGCATAGTGCCGACATCTGCTCAGCCTTCCCTGAGGACCTCAGGAAGCTTACAATCATGATGGAAGGTAAAGAGGGAAGGTAAAGAGGCACACCTGGCCTGCATTCTAAATGTCTCCTTTTGTAACTTTAATATATGGTAACACTTGGAGAAATATAATTACTTTTTTCAACAGTGATAGTAATTCACACTATTGTGTAACTCCCTCACGTTGAAACCTTATTAAGTTGTTGACCAGTGACACCATATTGGAGAAGTATCATGGTTTAAGAAGCACAAGGATAATAAGAAAAGAAAAAAAAATACATTTGGGTTGTATAAAATGTATAGGTAAATTCATGAATTGTAGTTAAAAAACCTTTTTTTTTTTCAAATAAAATATGATCCAATTCTGACCCTTCTATTGAAGTCCTTAGCTAGAATTCCATTTGGAATTTCAGCCTCCTTTCCCCTTTATTGTCTCAAAGTGGAAAATAGGCTAAACTCCAATTGAAATACTGTGCTAATTGGAAAAACATAGGTGAGCAAATGACTTCTAAGGTGTGTGCTGCACTCTGCATTGTGCTTTAGTCATAAGAATATCTTTAAAGCAAAATGAGATATTCAACAGAGTCAGATGGAATCCCCTAGCTTGCTAGACAGAAGCAAGGAACTTCAAATTAATTCTGACACATTTTTCATTGAATTATCCCAGTTTCATGCCCTCAAGTCACTCATGACTCATTATTCATATGCTCTTTTAGAACTATACACATCGGGGCCTGTCAGGGGGTGGGGGACTAAGGGAGGGATAGCATTAGGATAAATATCTAATGTAGATAACAGGTTGATGGGTGCAGCAAACCACTACGGCATGCGTATATCTATGTAAAAAACCTGCACATTTAGCACATGTACCCCAGAACTTAAGTATAGAAAAAAAAAGCCTATATTTGTCACTTACTTACCTGCCTATAAGACCTTTACTTCATTAATTTTCTTGCCTGTTTTTTTGTTCGCTATTCTTTAATCTTTATTATAGCCACGACTGAAAATTGACATATACCTAGGATTGATGCCTTTGTCAAGAACACATATTACATATGCAAAATCACTTATATTGATGTTATATTATGCTAAAATATTTGTTTCCTTCAATTAAGACTAAAGTAAGAGTCAGGAATGGCAGGGCACATTTCAAAATAAGCGTGATCTAACTTAGTACAATTTGAGAGACAAAAGTGATCTCAGAATTGATCCAGGCTAAATACCTACCTACCCAATGTCAGAATCCCCTCAACTGAAATCTAATTCCCTGTAATTTCAGAACTTCAACCTATTTATCTATCCTCCCCCTGTTTTTTTTTTCTTCTTAGCAATGTGGAATAAATCTAAATCTACCACAAAATAAAAGTGATTTGAAGTATGGGAAAGACATATCATACTCTGTTCCCAAAATTTCTCTTCTCTAGGCAAAACTTCCTTCCATTAAGTTCCTTAGACAACATGTCATTTTTAGCAGCAGGTTGCTCATCTTCCTCTGAGCTCAATCCTTTCTTAAAATATGACACTCAAATGCTAAATTCCAGTATTCATCACACTAAGATTGTCTATGTAAGAGTAATTTACATACATGTTTGCATTATGGTCTTCATATTTTAAAAGTCCAATCTAATGAGATCAGATACAAAGCTTATGAGGAATGTTTCTAAAACGTGGCCTTTAGTAACAATCCATTAATTATTTTTGAGTGGAGTAATCCCAGTATTATCCAGCCCATGTAACTCAATCCTTTTCACTAAGTTAGTAAAATCAAGACTAAATTTAAGTCTGGCAAACCTAACACAAAAGAAAACGCTGTAAGCTTGGCATGTAGTTACTTAAGTCAATGTATTTGGGTTCTAGTAATCACTCTTCTCTGTTTAATAAATTAATTTTAATATATGGCAATGGAAATCAATACTGAACATGAAATCTGCTTTTACTTCTTTTGAAAATTCATACAAACATTATCCACCACCACACTGCTGATATTTCTCTGTGTTCCATGAACTCTCAAGCATATTACTTTTATACTGGAAGAAATTACATGTTACAGAAATATTTCAGCTGGGTTTGGAATTTCAAATTAATTTAAGTGTATTAAAACCTGTCAAGATATACTCAGGGCTACAACTACATTTTGGACACAACTACATTTTGGTAACAAGACTGCAGATAATATCTTGAATGTGTAAATTTCATAATATAAGGCAAGCAGCACAGTGGAAATAGTGGAGTCTACTAATCTATGGGTAGAAGTGACAGCCAGAAAACCAAACACCACATGTTCTCACTCATAAGTGGGAGTCGAACAATGAGAACACATGGGCACAGGGAGGGGAACATCACACGCTGGGGCCTGTCAGGTGTTGGGGGAGTAGAGGAGGGATAGCATTAGGAGAAATACCTAATGTAGATGACGGGTTGATGGGTGCAGCAAACCACCATGGCACATGTATACATATGTAACAAACCTGCACATTCTGCACATGTATCCCAGAACTTAAAGATAAAAAACAACTTAAAGATTAAAAAAATGAAAAAAATATGGCAAGTGACACTGGTGAAAATAAAAAATTTATAAAGTTAAAAAAAAAAGTGACAGCCAGGAGGAATAATTATGGCTAGTAAGTTAACTTTATTGGATTGCCCAATTCAGTGCTCAGAAAGAAACCGCCAATTGGAAATTAGAATTAGCTACAGTAGATTTGCAAACAGGTCAACTTACTGATATTCATGATATAATTCACTAAATATAGGTATCTTTTTCATTTCCCTTTACAGCTCTCATTTCTTGCCAATAACTCCAGATATTGTCAAATAATCACAACTGTACCTTATTGCTGCCAGTGAAAGGAAACTTTCCAAAAACCTCTGTGAGGATGAAAGCTAATGTCCAGCCCCCAATTATTCAATTAGATTTTGAAAAAGGGAGCTGTCATTCCTCAATTTACTTCAGCAAATGCTTAGTGCATGCAACGCATAAGGAATGTATACTCAATTGGAGGGATTCAATTAAGGAACTAATTTAAGAGTGAAAGCCACAATGTTTGTGGGATTTTTTTTAAATGATATAGGTATATTCAAAACATCAAGAACCAGTTCAAACCAAAGTTATATAAATTGTAGAAGCTTCATAATCAAATATTTATGACTCTCTCTACGGTGCTTGAAATATTAAATTATTAAAAGCAAATATTGTAGCAAACAGGTTATCATCAATCTCAATAAAAGTTACGTTTTACTATCACTGTCACATTATTACTTTTTGCTTTTAGTCGTTTAAGATTGAAGAGAGGTAACAAACTGTGGTAACAAATCAAACTTTTTCAGTGTAATTTACTTTGTGAGTAATTTCTAATTGATTCAGACTGATGAGACTGCACAGTCTGATGTACTGCTGAAGCAGGAGATACTTTGGACCAAGTAAATTTATAAGCTCCTCTTCTTGAGAGAAAAATGGCTGCTATATTTCATGTTGTCATTTTTTAGCTTTAACAATGTAGTTGTATACCTATGCGGATTCTTAAAAAAGAATACCAAATAATGTGTACACCTGTAACTGTCTCACCCACCTATCAATATTGGATTTGGCAGGCCCAACCTTCTACTTGCTCAAAATAAAGGATTTAAGCAAAATGCAGAATTAACCCAAAAAGACCAGTCTCATATATGAAAAGCAAAGCTGCATAGCAACATCACTCAGCCACCTGCAGTTCAAAGTTCATATCTTATTAACATCACTAAAATTAGAACAATGCAATGGCTTGGTTGTGTGTTTTGGTATGATTGTTTGTGATTCTGTTGAGATTGGCTCTGTGCTTTGCTTAAAAATCCTGAATGTTATTTTTCCAAAACATGATTCTAGATATAGATCCCAGTATTTTGAAAATGAGAGTTGGGGGGAAAAGATTGTGCTTGTCTGCTCAAAAGGTCAGAAGCACTTCACCTCAATTCAGTGACAAATAGCCTTATTTTACAGAAGATGTAACACTGGAATATGAAAATAGCCATGTCTGACACACCTTTGGATTTTTACTCAAGATCCCCATCCAATGTGTATGTCCCTTGGCTGATAAAACTGTTCTTTTTGATGTGAGGAAAAAATAATAAAAACAACCAACAAGTTTTCCTCTTTACTCATCTCATCCATTCTGGGATGGAATATCCCCAGAGGCTTGAGTCTGAAGGGCTTTTTTCAAATTTCACAACGTAATGGAGACCCCTCTATGGAACTCTTTTCCCTTTTCACCTAGGTATTATGCCATCTGGCTGAGGAGCTACTTGTCATCTCTGCTGTTCCCTGATAGGCCAGAAACAAAAGGTGTCCCTAGGTCTAGGTAAAAGTCAAATAAAATAAAAAAGAAAAACAACTTGAGGTGCAACTTTAGAGGCCTCAAGCATCTCAAAGGCTTTAACAAGTCTAGTTAAGTACCTGTGGGGCCATAGTGGGATTTCAATATCCTCACATGACCCAGGACTTTATAATTCCAAACATTGTCTTGTCATTAACTGTGGAACTCTTGCTAATTGAGTCTGAGTGTCTAGGAGACAGTAAGGGAGATGATGAAAACAATTATTTGTAATTTAGCAGAGTAAACTATGTAATTTTTCTTAAGCTAAACATTTTAGGCATTCCTCATTATAAACAAGTCAAAATTCCTTTCCATGTTTCCCATTCTTGTCCATTTCCAGACTGGCCTTCTGATTTTTAATTTCCAAAATGACCTCCATTTTGAAATTTAAAATTCAGGGATCATCTTTGAGGCATTTCTCTTTTTCATCTCACTATCAAACTTGTCATTAAATAATTACATTTCTCTCTCTTCATTCCCAGTATGCTAGTCCAGAATATCCCCAAATCCATATCTGAATTATTGCCACTGCCACTTCACTCTTTTTCTAGAATCAAGGCTCTCCTGCCTGCAGTCCATTTTACTTAGTGCTGTCAGGATGAATTCCTTAATATACCTACAAGCCTGAATATGCCCCACATTGACTTCTACATCAAGACCAGATAGTTTGGCCTTATTATCAATACTCTCAACAATGAGGCTCCAACTTATCTGTCCAACCTTACCACTCTCTTTTCTGCTCAGCTCTGTCTTTCCTTTGTATTCATCATGCTTATTCCTGTACTTATTTTATGCTGCGACCCTCCACTAAAATGTAATGAGTCTTAATCCTCACTTTCTTAAGGTTGATGATCCTTCAAGGTCCAAGTTAAGTTTCACTTTCACGAAACCTTCTATTTCAATTATCATTTATCTGTCCACACATAAACGTAGTATAATTGCGAGTGCTTAATATTTCCTTATTGAAATATTCAAATAGATGCTTCTCCCACAGATCTTTGCAACCCTCGGGTCAGGAGATACCCTGGTGAACCCACTCCACCAAGGCCTTGTATCTGACACACAGTGCTATGCGAAATTTCAGCAGAGCAGACACTCAGGCAGGCACAGAGACCCAGGAACTTTACATACTCCAGCTCTGGGATCCCTGGAAATGGTGACTGGAACTCAGGCAAAGCAGGAGGTTAGACCTCCGTACATATGCCTAGGAAGGGGGCTGAAGACAGGGAGCTGAGTAGCATTAGTCTGCGAGCCTCATTTGCAGGGCACCTCACAGGATAAGACCCATTGGCTTGGAATTCCAGCCAGCCACCAGCAGCACTGTTGCACTTACTTGGGATGGGACTGAGTTCCCCAGGGAAGGGGCAGGCTGCCATCTTTGCTGTTTGGAAGACTCAGCCATGCCAGCATGCAGGCTTAGGGGAGTCCAAAGTGTTGGGGGGTAATGCTATTCCCATTAAACTACCAATAATATTCTTCAGAAAACTAGGGAAAAAAAACTATTTTAAAATTCAAACAGAACCAAAAAAAGCCTAAATAGCCAAGGCAATCCTAAGCAAAAAGAACAAGATTGGAGGAATCACGCTACCTGACTTCAAACTGTACTAGAAGGCTACAGTAACCAAAACAGCATGGTACTGGTACAAGAACAGACACATAGACCAATGGAACAGAGTAGAGAACCAAGAAATAAGACCACAAACCTAGAACTATCTGATCTTCAACAAACCTGACAAAAGCAATAGGGAAAGCATTCCCTATTCACTAAATGGTGCTGGGAGAACTGGCTAGTCATAAGCAGAAGATTGAAAGTGGACCCCTTCCTTACACAATATACAAAAATTAACTCAAGATGGGTTAAAGACTTAAATATAAACCCAAAACTATAACAACTCTAGAAGACAACCTAGGCAATATCATTCAGGACATAGGCATGGGCAAAGATTTCATAATGAAGACAACAAAAGCAATTGCAACAAAAGTCAAAATTGACAAATGGGATCTTATTAAACTAAAGAGCTTCTGGACAGCAAAAGAAATTATCAACAGAGTAAAAAGGCAACCTATAGGATGGGAGAAAATTTTTGCAAACTATGAATCTGACAAACGTCTAATATACAGCATGTCTAAGGAAATTAAACAAATTCACAAGAAAAAAAACAACCCCATTAAAAGGTGGGCAAAGGACATGAACAGACACATTTCAAAAGAAGGCATACATGCAGCCAACAATCATATGAAGTAAAGCGTAACATCACTGATCATTATAGCAATGCAAATCAAAACCACAATGAGATACCATCTCACACCAGTTAGAATAGCTATTATTTCAAAGTAAAATCATAAGAGATGCTGGCGAGGATGTGCAGAAAAAGAAATGCTTATACCCTGTTGGTGGTAGTGGAAATTAGTTCAACCATTGTGGAAGAGAGTGTGTTAATTTTTTAAAGACCTAAAGAAAGAAATAATATCCAACCAAGCAATCCCATTACTGGGTATATACCCAAAGGAATATAAATCACTATTATTAAGATACATGCCCATGTATGTTCATTCCAGCACTATTCCCAATAGCAAAGACATGGACTCAACCTAAATGGCCATTAATGATAGACTGGGTAAAGAAAATTTGGTACATCTACACCATGGAATACTATGAAGCCACAAAAATGAGTGAGATCATGTCTTTTTCAGCAACGTGAAAGGAGCTGAAGGACATTATCCTTAGCAAACTAATGTGGGAACAGAAAACCAACTACCATGTGTTCTCATTTATAAGAGGGAGGTAAATGATGAGAACACATGGACACATACAGGGGGAACAACACAGACTTGGGCCTATCAAAGGGTGGAGAGTGGGAGGAGGGAGAGTATCAGGAAAAATAACTAATGGATACTAGGCTTAATACCTCAGTGACGAAATAATCTGTACGACAAACCCCTATGACACATGTTTACTTTGGTAGCAAAACTGCACATCCTGAACATGTACCCCTGAACTTAAAATGCAAGTTTAAAAAAAAGATTCCAGTAAATGATTTCAATAACTTTAAATTTGCTGTAATATTATTTATTATACATGAAACATATATTAATATATATTCATAGTTGTAATATGTTTAGGCATATTTTCAAAAGAAAGGAAAGTCACAGAGAAACACATACACACACACACATATATATGTATGCATTTATGTATAGGAATATATATCTTTATACAAAAGCATAGAAAAACAACAAGAAGTATACTTGCTTCAAATCATAAATGGTGGTCACCTGGTCACCTCCAGCAATGGGACAATGGGAGCAAGATTGACAAAAGTGTTAGTAAAGGAGATCTTTCAGGTTCTACTCTAAATACACCAATGCTGCTAGAAATTTTCCAAGAAATATATTCAAGTTTTACTTGTGTGATTTTTAAAAAAAAAATTATTTAATTAAAGGGGAAAAATAAAGTTATCAGCAGGCCATCCTGAGGCCTCAATATATGTAAAGCACCCTTCCTCCTATGTGTACAAGGATATATTCCCCTTTTATTCATAGCCTGCTGCATCCTTAAACAGTATTTTAAAATAATCTTTTGCTTTTGTTGTTTTGTTATCTCCCCTTCCCTTCATCCCATACCAACTTGTTCACTACACAAAGTCAGTAGAACCCACAAAGTCCTGGAAACATAGTTCAAACACCTAAAAGAGCTCTGGTTTTCTTGATGTAGTTAACTCAGGCAGTGAATTAATAAAAATTGAGCAATTTTCAATAGAATTAATTTAATTAAGCCGGAAATTTCTCTCCCGTAAACCTAAAATTACTGTCAAACATAAAAGTATTAAAAAAATTCTCTTTTTTTCATCAGATCCATATTGTTATTTGTTTTAAATATCATTTTAGAGCTATAGTCGTGTGCCACATAATGATGGTTTAGCCAACAATGGACCACGTATATGACAATGGTCCCATAAGATTATAATGAAGCTGAAAAGTTTCTATTGCCCTAGTGACATTTTGATGATCCTGACCCTCTGTAAGCCTAGGCTAATGTGTATGTTTGTGACTTCATTTTTAATTTAAGAAGTTTAAAAAAAAAAAAAAATAGAAAAAATAGAAAAAAGCTTGTAGAATAAGAATATCAAGAAAAAATATTTTGTACAGCTGAGCAATATGTTTGTGCTTTAAGCTAAGTGTTATTATTAGAGTCAAAAGTTTATCAAGTAATAAAGTTACAGAAAACTAAAGTTAATTTATTATTGAAGAAAGAAAAAGATTTATATATATTTGGGACAGCCTAATTATACAGTCCATAGTAGTGTACAATAATGTCCTAGGTCTTTACATTCACGTATCACTTACTCTCTGACTCACCCAGGGCAACTTGCCGTCCTGCAAGCTCCATCTGTGGTAAGTGTCCTATACAGGTGTACTGTCCTTTATCTTTTATACTGTATTTTTACTGCACCTTTTCTAGGTTAAGATACGCAAATACTGACCATTGTGTTACAATTGCCTACATAAACCATCTAGTTTTATGTAAGTACACTCTATAATGTTTGCACCATGATGAAATTACCTAAGGATGCATCTGTCAGAACAGATTCCTGTCATTAAGAGATGCATAACTGTATTGGCTTTCCACTAAATATATGACTTTTAATATTTTTTTCTTTGCTTTTAGTCATGGGGCCAAATTCTATTTTCTTAATTCTTCTTCGTCTTTTGTATAAGATACATTGTTCCTAATAAAAAATGCAATTTCATTTAGAGACATTTTGCTTTACATTTAATATTTTAGAAATGCAAGATATATCAAAGGATAACTAGAAGAAAGAAATGCGCTGTCCAAAATAAATGTGCTATCTTTTCCAAGGGCATGCAAATACATTTTCCCTCAAAGATTAGGAGGTGGGTAATGCTAGTACCTGAAATTCCAATTTTTCTCCTTTAAATATAATCAGTCCCCACCTTATGAAGGGGTTGTATTTCAAAACATTGTGCTTGTTGAGTTTTAGGAATAAATTCTCACTAGAAACAATGTTTATCCATGGTGAACATATGAAATTTTCAGGCAATCTTAAAATAAAAACTTATTCATTTCTTTTTGTACCTGAAGTTATATAAAGTTAAATACAAATGGTTCTTTCAAATCTAACCACCACATATGTCAATGTTTCTGTAGAAGTTAACTTTTTTAGAATTTTAACCTAGTTTGTTAGGAACGTATCTACTTCCACTGCAGGGAGAACAGATATTCACCTAACTGCATGCCACCAATAATGGCCATAATGATCTGAAAGAGATTCTAGGACACATTAAGGTTGCTTATTCAGCCATTCAAATAAAACATCACCACTGCTATATCCTTGGACCTGAAAATATAACTGTGATTAGAAAAGATATATTTCTTGCTCTCAGTAGGAATACTTAGCACAGAGACTTAAAGCATGTTAATATATGAGCCACACAGCTATTGGAGGTAGACTATTTGGGGCAGGTGAAACAGCAAGTGCAAAGGCCCTAAAGAGACAAAGTGCCTGGAATACCTAAAAAACAACATGTAAGTCAGCATTTTAGTCAGTGTTTCTGAAGTGGCAGTGAAAAGGGGAGCATTTATTAGAATATGAAATAAGAGAAAAAGAAGACATAGAGCCTTATTGGCCATTTTTAGGGCATTGAGTTTCACTCTGAATACTAATTGGAAGAACAGAGCAGTGACATAATCTGTATTAGGTTTTAACCTTATCATTGCGGGTGCTGCATTGAAGATTTTCTGAAGTGGGCAAAGGGTGAACTCAGGGAAATGAGTTCAAAGGTTGTTGCAATAGCCCCAGGAAGAGAAGATGGTGATTGGAGCCATGAAGTAACAATGAAGCAGAGGAAAAGTAGTCAGTGTCTGGATATATTTGAAAGCAGAGCCAAAAGTTTTTTGATGATAAGTCTAAGATAAAGAGAGAAATCAAGGATGATCCCAAGGTTTCTGAGAAAATGGAAGAAATTGGCTTGTCATTAGTTGATATAAGGAAGAAAGAGAGGAAAGTAGGTTTGAAGGAAATGAAAAAAAACTATCCTAAATTCAATTTTGGATATGCTAATTTTGAGCTATCAAAATCCCCAAAAGGAGATGCTGAATAGGTAATTAAATAATATGAATCTGGAATTTAAGGGAGAGGTCAGGATAGGTGATATGAATTTGGGAATCATTGGTACAAGAAAATTATTTAAAGCCATGAGACTAGATGTTCATACATCTTAACCTAATATGTAGAGTACAATTGCTATAGCAGAAAGACTGGGTGATATTGGAATGTAAACAAGGTGTATCTACCTTATAATGATAGCCAGGTTTAATAGAACAGTTGGGAATACCTTTGGAGAAAAGTTGACATTTACACTGAGAACAAAAGGAACCATCAGAATCAGCTAGATCAAAAGGTTATGGAGTGATTCGGGAATGCGCAATGTCCTGAAGGCAATGCTGATCATGGTGCAGTGGGAGGAAGTAAAAAATGTTCAAACTGGCAGCATCATAGACTGCAAGAAGTGGGGTTCTCAAGAGGCAAGAAAATAAGAGTTGTGCAAAATGAGCCTTGAGAAGAAGACAGAGGACAGTTCATCTCACATTTTGTAAGCCATATTATTAAGATTTAATTTTAGAACAGTTTTAAAAGGTTGGTAATAACATATTATGTAGGCTAAACCTTCTGACAATGATGCAGAATACACTCTCTCCCCATAAAAGATGCAACTCTATATATCTAAAAATACATTTCTCAGAACCTAGTAATGAGTTTGCTCTCTGCTTCATTTCTGCCAATCTCAAAGAATAGTTTCTTACTTCCCTTTCTACTGCCAATACCTACTGCTTCAAAGACTCCCTTTTTGACCTCTATCCCAAGTTGTATGAAGTGGGAAGACAGCAACTGTGGAAGCTTTTTCTCATATCTCCTTATCTTTATCAGCATCATCATCACCAGGATAAAGAGGTGCTTTTCCAAGTTGGCACTTGGGCAACACAGGAAATTTTTAAAAGGGTAGGATGAGGGAGAAGCACCAGGGAGCTGCCATCTAGGTGGCGTAAGATGCACAGCATCATTTCAAAACAAATCAAAAGTCAGCTTACAATGCAAAGCTATCGCCTGCCAGGTTTGCCAAGAAATGCTTTTGAGGACAGAAGAAAACAAGAAATTCATATATTTAATCATTATTCATATTTAATATAAAGCAAAGATGATGCAAAACTTGAAGGTGACTCCATGGCCCTCAAGGGATCACAGAATGTTAAAGACAGAAGAGATATGGAGATGCTATCGTCCAATCTCCTAATCTCTTCATTTCCAAGATAGGCAAACTGAGGCCCCCCCAGAAATGTTGACTTGTAAAATCTGGTGGTAGTCCTTCATAGTATATGTTCACTGGCTTTGAATTGCTTTTCCCTTTTAGGATTATTTTTGAGGAGACAGGGACCAAGGGTCCAAATGATCCCAGTGGCTAGTGCTTAGCAATAAATGTTTCAGAATCTATACTAAATACAGTGGCTTGGATGTTAACTGATTAAAATTAAAAAAGACAGAACTCCTCTCTGTGGGTTCTTAGACAGCCCCATTGCAATTTGAAGAAAATATGTTTAGTGGTTTGAGGTTTCAATGTTGTATTGTCTCGGTACTGTTCTTGTTATGTCTTTATTTTGACTCTGTTGGTACTAGACTTCAGAAATATTGCTGATATGCTGCCTAATCCATCAAAAGTCACAACAAAAGCTCTTAGGGTGAAAGACGTTGTCTTTAATAATGTAAGTTCTCATTATTGAGATTTAAGTGCCCCATGCACAGTGGTTTTGAATTTACAGTGTGACACTAGATGGTCCTATCAGCTAGTTCATGTTATGCCAGAAACTCAATATTCTCTCTTTCCTTTCTCTGACATGTAGGTGAGAGGATTAAGGATATTTAAAACAGAGGAGACACCAGAATGCATCCAGTACTACTGGTAGAGGGTGGAAGGACAGATTTAGAGGTTTTCTAAAGTAGTATTTTTGCACTGAAGTAGCTCTTAATGCAAGTATTCAATGAGGAATTTTATCTCCAGCATGTGAGAGTGTGTGTGTGTGTGTGTGTGTGTGTTTGTATGTGTGTGTGTGTGTGTGATTATGCATTGTATGTTGTGTTTGTAGATAAATAGCAGCATTAATACCTGGGTGATATATAAGGCTAGGGAGTTCTATATACTCATCTGCCCTTTGTGTCCCATCTCCCTAAAGCACAAGCCGTCAAAAGAATTTCTCTAAAATAATTAGATTGTAGTTAACAACCTAACATCTGGTAGAATTCAGCAGCACAGGCTGGAGGTGTATCTAAAGCAGGAAATATTCAAATACCTATAAAAGGGAGTAAATTATGTTGAAAATAATTATGATGATGAGACATACAGATATTTCAAGATTACTAGGCTGTTGATTCCTTTTTCAAAAGCCTTATGGAGGAAAATAACAGTGGCCTCTATTCTCCTACTCTTACTTCCACACAATTATTACATGGAAATGATATGGAGCTTTAAACAATGCCTTTCTCCAGAACTCCTGTTGAAAGCATGTCATTGTTTCTTACAGTGGGGATAATATTTTCTATTTGTACGTGGAGAAAAGAGCTAATAAAATGTTGCATGTATATTAAATGGATACCTGACTCAGGAACACATTAACTTAATGATTTATAGCCATCATGAGTTCATCTTAAATGGCCCCTGGTAAAGGAAAACAACGAATATACTTCAAGAAAACTACTGAATTTAATATGTATCCCTTTTAGCTGACAGTGAAATTCTAGCTTGTGTTCCTCTAAAGAGTAAAATATTTCAGCTACAAAAATTACCTCCACAAACTCTCATGTCTTAGCAAAAGCTGCTATTTTATTTGCACATTTTTCATAAGATGACCAATTAAAGTTAAAATTAAAGGAGCTGATTTGTACACATAAATATCCTACATAGAGTTTCTCTCTTATTTACAAGACTTGTCATTTAAAAACAAATATTGAACAGAATCTCCATGCACTCAGTACAACTCATAATAAGTAGTGAAAATATGAGATTGATAAATAAATTAGAAACTAAATAATATAATCAATTTATGTACAATTCTGTTGTTAAAGTAGTGTGCATTTGTCAAAAACATTTGGAAGCATTTCCCAAAGAAGTCTTAAAAAATGACTAAGGGTTTAGGACAAGGTGTCCCTTGCAGATCATTCTTACCTAACCCAAGTTCCAGCCTACATTTGGGTGTAGAGTTATGATCAGCCTCCTTCTATCAGATTTTGTGTCCTAGTGAGATCTCTATACATCACTGGAAATGAAGAGCTGCATTTGATCCTCATCTAACAGCGTTCTTTAAAAAATAAAATAAAAACTGAAACTTTGTCAATCAGAGCTGCTCACACCATTTACAAAGAGAAGCTTAAATAGAAAATAGCAGCAACAACAGGTGGCATGGATTCCAGAATGGGCTAGCAACCAAGAGGAGAAGCAACACTGATTCATGAGCATAGCTACAGGGCCTGGTACAGAGCCAGCTCCAAATCCCTCTGCTTTTAGAACAGCTTTTAATTTTTTATCATCTTATGAAATGAGAGCGAATTAGATGCTGATGGCTGGCAGCACTGTTGGCCTACTTTTGCCACAGGGATGTTTATTCAGGTGTATCAGCAGTACCCATAGCCACATACTTTAAATCTAATCTGGAGAAATAACCTTTGGGATCCTTCATCCTGACAAAGTTTAATATGAGACCAGAGATGATAGGTCTTTCTGCCTTCATGCTCACTCATGAATGAGACTGGAGTACATCAACTTGATTTCATTGAGATCATAATGATACAGCTTTTCCAAAGGAGTCCTTTTTCACTTTCTCTTAACCTGAGGGTACTACGTTTTGCAAACAGCGTACAAATGATTCATTAAAAGAGAATTTGAGAATCCCAAAAACGAAAATTATATTTCAGATCTGTATGGCAGTTGCCTCAATGAGGAGAGTGGATATGGATATCCTTGTTTATGTCCTTGAAAAAAAGACACTGAAAGCGAAGTATCACGTCCAAGGCTCTACTCACAAATTACTACAGAATTATTTTTAAGTTGTTGGTCAATGACTCTAAAATTCAAAAAGGAAAAAAGAAATAGAAGACTTGAAACTAGAAGTACCAAATAAAAAGAACAAATGGAAGAGGAAAAAGACACAAATTTAATCAGGAAAATAGGATGGAATTGTTGCTGTGTGACCTTGAGCAAGTTTTGTAACCCCTCTGTGCTTCACTTTCTTTATGCCTCATCTATAAAATAGGGATAAAGACAGTACTTACTTTAGATTTGATCTGAAGATTATTTTCACTTATAAAACATATAGAGCACTACTGTTCCTGCCTCATGCTAAAAACTCAATAAATGTTTGGCTGTGATAATAATTATTAATTAATTAAATGGTAATTATATGTCAGGCTCTGTGCTTGTTGCAAAGTAGTTTATAATATAATATTTGTATAATACCCGCAACACTTCTTATGATTTTTTACAGGTGAAGAAACTTAAGCAACTCTCCCAGGGCACAGGTAACAAACAGCAGAGCCAAGATTATCACCTAGGACCACCTGTTTCTTAAGATTATGCCCTCTAGATCAACCTATGTCTATTATTACCAAATACTTTTCTACATTCTTTCTTTTATGTAAAAAAAAGAACCATTCTACAAAATGTAAACAATGATATCATTTTGGCAAATTTTACATATCTCCTTTGTTATGCCAAATATACCAATTTCCTCATAGATATTAAATTAGTCACAATGGGTTCCTGCAATCTCCAGAAGATATAATCTGCAGCTTGTTAAACATCCACTAGTGCAGGGACATTGGGAAGCAATATATCGTATCTGTCATAATTCTTATCTGCTAGTAATAGTAATGAACTGTAGCTATCCTAGGAAATAAAAAGGATTTGTTGGAAGGTTATAATGGGTACTATTACATTGGCTGAGAAAACAGACTTCTAAGACTGGAAGGAACAAATGAGCTTTGGAGGGATAAGAAGCAAAACAAACAAACAAATAAATAAATAAAATTAATAACCTTTTAGCCAGAACGACCTGGCCAGGACAGAGCCACCAATATTTTTAGGCCTCCACCTCCTCTACGCACTACCATTATTACCGCTGGACATGGTAACAA
This sequence comes from Homo sapiens, assembly GCF_000001405.40. Classification (NCBI taxonomy): domain Eukaryota; kingdom Metazoa; phylum Chordata; class Mammalia; order Primates; family Hominidae; genus Homo; species Homo sapiens. The sequence goes on from NC_000023.11 coordinate 99,695,219, forward strand.
CTGCGCCAAATCAATTCTAATCATTATTCCATCCTTGTGTTATGCAATTTAGATTCATAGTCTGGGCTGATAGCATCTGATTAGCTGAGCCTGGCTTATATACCCATTATCTGGCTGCCAGAAGGCAAGGAAAGGAGCCTCCAGTCTTTGATTTTTGTATGAAAGGTGGGTACTGTGTTCAATTAGTACATTACACAGTGAAGAATTGGATGATGAACAGCCAAAAACACACAGCAAATTTCCACTATGCCGATTCAGGTGGCCCAGAATCCTTTCTCCTAGTGGCCTATATATAAAAGATTTGGTTACCCCATAAATTCCTGGGTATAATTAAAAAATTGGAGATACACCACTTTGTACACACTGCTTTTTGCAGTGGTTTCCTAGAACTGCTTGTTAATCAAAGGGCATTACTCTTGTGTTGGCATATACATCAATGAGATTTTATGCTTAAACATACACTTGGAAAACAAGACAACATTTAACACTTCAAATATATGTGTGTGTGTGTGTGTGTGTGTGTGTGTATGTATATATAATATATATATGTGTTCCAAATTTCCCTTTCACATGTTTTCAATTGTTCTTTTCATATCAATTGAACACAAATGACATTTACCAGCCTTCATCAGCCTGTATCTCAAAATGTTGGCATTATTTATATGTTCATAAGGGCTTTCAAAGACCATTACTGACACTCAACACACAACCACCTTTTCATCTTTACCATAGTTCATCTTAAGTGGAGGAAACAATCTTGTTTTACTTACACACTTTTCTGCTGCTATCTTAAATGTTCATAGGAATCAAAATTATAGCTAAGAATTAAGGTATTTATAGACATACATGAAACTTTAGAATATAGGCAGATAGTATAGCACATAGAATATCAATTCAGTACTTAGAAAAGATTTGGGTATCTACTATGAAGTGTCTAGAAACATACAATAGTATTTGTAGTATGTCATTCCTCACTGATTTGAAAAGTAAAACAATTTCTAATGTTTATATTACATGATTTGTTAATAGTATGCCTGGATTGTAAATAATACATCTCCTGAGACCAGCATGGAGAACCAAGATGCGTATTTTTTTAAAATAAAGAATGGTGAGAACTACAAAGTGATTGGCTCACTTTTGGTAATTCACTTATTAAAATAATACCAAACAATATCTAAGAAAATACACTAAATACTATGAATATGCTAGGTAGGTTGGAATTATAGTACCCACTCACCACCTGCCAATGCATGATGGATCTGATTAGCATAGATGAAATGCCAAACTCTCAAAGAGGAATACTGAAGAGAGAGAAGACACTCAGGCGCTTGGGACTGGCTTCACTGTACCATTTTTGCTTTTGTTGTGACCAGAGCCACTGAAAAACAAACCATCAAAAATATTTCAACTTGGCATTTGTATTCAGAATAATTTAAATGGACAAAGATAAACTTGCATGCAAAGCTGATTTGTTTATTTCTTTGCTATTTGTCTGCATCCTCCTTTTAAAAATGAAAGATATTAATTAAAAAGAGGTATGTGGAACCTATCAAGGCACAATATTTCAGCAAAATGCAGCCCTACTTTCTAAGTATTATAGACAGTAATCGTTCTGTGTACACGAATAGGTATTCAAGTTGACTAATAATAAATAGGATTAGAAAACAGGGGTCCTACAATATTCCTGATAGAAAATTAGATACGTAGATAATTTTTTCTTCCTTTTAGACTCATAAGCATCTCCTTATCAAGTCTAAAGGAAAGAAGAGAAGGCAATGAAGGTAAATACAGGGCAGCTTTTTCAGTCTGATAAGAAAAATAACATTTTGGGAAAGAGTAAGACTACTCTTTATTTTTTAAAATGCTGCATTATATATTGCTCCAGAGTATCATGGGGACTGTATTACATTTAATTTAGTTTTATTTATTCTTGGCCCTTACAACATAAAAGTTGACTTTTTCAAAAGTCATAAGGAAGTATATTCATTGATTTCTCAAAACTAGTATATCTAAAAACAAAAGATGATACTGCAGCCCACATATAAGGGTGAATGAAATAGCAAAGCAGTAGAAAAGCAGCAAGTGAAAACCATATGTGATGCATTTGTGGAAAATATATGATCATAGCAGACAGGACACATTCATAGAGAAAGGGACTTTTAAATAACAAAGTTTTGAGACACTACTCAATGAAAAAAAATTAAAGTTTTTTTGCCTAAAATCATGGAGCTTTACAGATTCAACTCCCATCACAAATGCATAGGCATTTTTAAAAAGGGCATTGGCAGAACAAACTCACGTTGGAAGGAAGCTGTGCACCTGGCTTTCCTTATTATATAGATGTGTGCAATGTCCAATAGAAAAACAAGTCTAGATTTTTAAATTCTGGTTAATATTTGTTTGTGATTCATTTCAAAGACTGAAATGTGAGTGATTATAGAACAAAGACAGAAACATCTTTGTAGGTATCAGATTAATATTAGCCAAGATATGATACGAAGGTCAGGACCTATTTGATGCAAAGTGTGAAGCAACATGGTCAAACACAGATGTAAAACTCTGTGTGATATAAAACCAAACCTACAAAAAAGAATATTTTACCAGAACCACTCATTTATTTACCCAGCGTTTATTGAATGAACACCTTTGATAGACCAGGCAGTGTGGGGTTACAAAAGTAAACAAGAAGCATCCCTGACCTCCTAGAACTCAAGGTGAGAGGGGCAGACATGTAAACCAATAATTAGAGCACAACTTGACAAGATACTCCCCCTTACTGCTCCCAGTTAATTAATCCTCCAGTGATAATGGATTGATAAGTAACACCAGGTAAGATTATTTGTAGTTGTATGCATGTGAATGGTCTATTTTAAACTTTAAAGAAGAAAAAATACCACATCTGCCTCCAGAACTAATCTTCTGTTACTGGCATAAATTCTAATTCAGAAACTATGTGAAACAGATTTTCTTCTTCCAAAGCAAGAGATCTCTTGTATCAAGGTCATATTTAATTCTTTTGACAGGATATTCTGTCAGGTATCAAGCTAAAATAGAAGCCAAAGAAGCCAGATTTCATCCTAATTTCAGGAAAACAAACAAATATATATATATATATTTGTTTGTTTGTTATATATATATTTGTTTGTTATATATATATGTGGTGTGTATGTGTGTGTGTGTGTGTGTGTATCCAAAATAAATCAGGAAAAATGTAAAAGAAAGAAATAAATAGTGAAAACTAATAGGAAATATATTTTAAAATTTCCAATCATTAGCAACATCTTGTCAGTTACAGACAGAAGGGGCTGCCTATAGAAGAGCTGAATCAGGCATCAGGAAGGGGATTGAAACCATCAAGTTCATATTAAATAATGCGTGGTGGCAACCCCAGGAGGCTGGCATCTGGAGGCAGCCAGAATGAGTTTTTAAATTACTTTTATTGGAACTCCTCAGCTGCAGGTAATGGCTTAAGGGCTGCAGAATATGCAGATTTGAAAGAAATGCAATCTTACTATTTCATAGCTTTGTCTCCCCTGACTCCCTGGCAGAAATCTTTGAGAATGTTTCTGCCACCTGCACGCCCAGCACATTTTCTTATCTTTCACACATTTTCTTCTCTTCTTCCCAGTATCACTAGATCTTGGAAATGTAAACTTCGACTTGTGGCTATCCTATACTACCCTTCTTCATTTACACAAAATTTTGCAATTATACAAAATAGCACTTCAATAGTACATAATATACCTGCAGGAGCATAGTATTTCTTAAACACTCAAAGAGCTATCTTTCATGGAAAATACCTTAGGTTCAACTGTCATAAGTTCTATCATTAAAATAATAAGGAAACGAATTATGTACGTAAAATTTTTAAAAATGCAAAAAAGTTTATGCAAAATAATGACCTGTTTGTCTTGATTATTATAATGAAAACATTAAACTCAGCTACATGTGCTGCTGCTCTAATTGTCAGATATCTCACAATTGCTCTTGTCTTAGAACTACTCATCTACTGTCCTGTTTCTATGATATCTATGAAGAGGTAGAAGGCATACTGAATAAGGAAAAATAATGACAATAGAAAATCCCTGCTGCAGAACCATCTGGATCACCCCAGTAACTTTGGCATCTCCAGTGTTATGTCAACATAAGGGAAAGGGTCCTTTCACCATCTTTGCCACCCCAGCCTTGGAGGCCAACTCCCAAATGACAGTTTACTTGGAATTTTGTCTAAAAACTGTGTCCCAGAACACATTTTCATCCGTCCATGCCTAGGGAAAGATATTTTTTTTTAAATCTGGAGAAAAATTAGAAAATCAGGACTAAGTGAAATAGATTTCTTTTTTTAGTAAATGTATCCAATAAGTAGATAATCTGTCCTTGAATTAGGATGGACCACAATTTACCTCTTTTCTGAATTGGTTTATAACTTGTTTTACAATACTTATGGTCTTGCAAAAAGAAAGAAATTTGGTCTAGTGCTATGTTTCAGTTAGTAAGAAATTCATGATGTATTTAAAATGATAGCAGAGTACACAGCCTATAATTACTGGTTGTTATCTCCCACCCAAAACTCAAAATCTGAAAGATAAGCACAATGGGGAAGTTTATTTTAACATCATCAGTAGCAGCTACAGCAACAGCATCACAAACACCTGGGTAGTACAATAGTTTATGTAGCACATTAATATCATGATATATATTAAGCTTCCTAAAATTTTATGAATTGACAGGGAAGGCATTATCTTTAGCATTTCTAGAAATGAAGCTCTGACAAACTATACATGTAATATTTGTCTATTTTTTTCTACCAGGTTGCTTCTCACAAGTACATAAAACATAGTAATCAATTACAAAAGCATTTTGTAGAAAAAAGTTGAGTCAGGGCTTTGCACCAATGTGTAACATGATAATTCATGACCAGAGATAAACCTTGCTTATCTAGTCATGACATAGATGAGTGATACACTTTTGATTAAGAGAGATTCGAATTCTTCATGGAAAAATGTGAAGGCCCAAGCTTTCACGGAGCCGTTTTGCCACATTGTGTTCAGTTAAGCAATAAGCTTCTTCTATTATATTGGAAGAGTAGGGGTTTTCCAGGGAATAAAAGTGATACAGTGGAAAGAAGAAAAGCTCCAGGTAAAGTAATAATTTGGGCCTTAAACATTTGCCTGGAGATACTATCAAAAGAATGATAGTTAGTAGAGACTAGGAAGGGTGTGTATGTAAGTGAGGGATAAAGGGAGGTTGGTTAATGGATACAAACATGCATTTAGACAGAAGGAGTAAGTTCCACTGTTCACTAGCATAGAAGGGTGACTATAGCTAGCAACAAGATATTATATATTTCAAAATAGCTAGAAAATTTGAAATGTTCCCAACACAAAGAACTGATAAATGTTTGAGGTGTTAGCTATCCTAAATACCCGGATTTGATCATGACATTCTACACATGTATCAAAATACCATATGTATCCCATAAATATGTACAAATATTATGAATCAATAAAAAGTAAATATCTGTTACTCATTTACACTTAATCTAAAAACAATTAACTTTTCTCTGGAAAAAGCATCTTCTTTAACTGAGCACACAACTTACAGATAGATGTACATGTGCATCAATCAGAATCTGGGCATAAAACCAGTCAGATCACATGAACTGGATATTCTGAGGAGAGTTTGAAAGAGGGAGTAGTTCCAAAGATATGAGCAGTGTATGGGGAATACCACAAGAAAGTATAAGGCAAAATCTTGGAGCTAGTAAGAGGTGAAGAGAGCCACTTTTAGGTCTAAATAGGCCAGAGAAGTGGATGATGACAACAACATTGAGATGAAGTGGCTATGAGGCCTCTTGACAAGATGCAGCTAGTCCATGTTGACCACACAGAAAAGGAGGATGAAGAATAACTAACCTAACCTCACTGTCTTCCCTTCATCTGATAGAACTTCTTCCAGTCTTCCCCATTGTCCTAATCTAAAATGAAGCCAGAAGGCAGACAAGTCCTTTAATGTAATCATAAAGATCAGACTTCCAAGGCACAAGGCAAGGTATAGAGGGATGGAATGGGAATCTGGAGACAAAATGAAGGTTCTAAGTATATCGAGGGTTAGAAACTGGCAAAAAAGGGAAAGGACAAATGTCACCAGCCAGGCCAACCGTATTAACTGTGACAGGTAAACTTAGGCTCAATGAAGTTAAGTGACTTGTCCCACTGAGTAAATGGCAGTCCTGGAATTATAACCAAGATTTTTATTTCCAAACTTGATTGTTAGTTTATTTCAATAAAGCTACCCATTTATTGGCTTTTAAATGGTTTCTAAATGTAGCTGACTAAAAGTTAAGTTAATGAGAGCCAAAACACTATGTAAATCCTCCTGGAACATCTCTTTATAATAGAAATGATAACTATACAAACATAAAGGCAGCAATTTCTAGAGTATTCATCACTTATTTTCCCAAAGTGTTAATCAAAATATATAAAAACAATGCTGTAAATTGCTCTTAGATCCCCCTCTGTCAACTTGTGAAAGGATATTTAATCCATCATAGCCATCAAATAATGTACCTACTATTGAAGCAATATAAGGAACTCAGTAATTAAAGGCCTGGGATTTGGAGTTCGACAGACCTGGGTTTGAAATCCTACTTAACTGCTAATTTACCATGTGGTTTTTGACAAGTTACCTAACTTCTCTAAGCTCTATTTTCACGTCTATGAGTTAGGAATAATTATAGCAACTATTTCATACAGCTGTGATAAATTATTTCAGATAGTGTTTTCAGTGCATAAAATGCCCTCAATCAAGTTTAACTGTCAGTGGTATTCTTAATAGTAGCTCAATTATATCTAATCACTTTGTACATCTAAATGAAAGATGACATCTCCCTAGGGAAACTCCTTCCCAAATACCACTCTTATGAGGACTCAAAGATCCATATTGAGATTCTCCAATAAATACATGACCATATGTGTACTTATAGTTTATCTGTAAGTCAAGTCTCTATCACTCCATCTGTCTATACTAGCAATGAAAATAAGACAACCTATCTCCATGATGTGTCAAGAAAGCAGGACAATTGTATTAAACTTTTGTAGTATGTAGGATGGGCCACCCAAGACATAATCACTTTGTCCCAGAAAGTAGTTTTTCTGCATGTGGTATTTTGTTTTGTACTTTCATGTTTTATTTTTTAATTGATAAGTAAAAATTGTATATATTTTGCACATGATATTTTTTATGTTTCCTGCAGTAGTGATGAGCTTCGTTCACAGCAACTAAATATTGGAGCAAAATGTTTGAATCTGTGATTCTCTATAGTCACTGTCATTCAAAAGGAAATTCCAGTTAGTGATTCAAATAGGCGATCTCTAATATTTAGTACTTTACTGAGCTCATATCTAATCCCTTTTAGTTGTAAAGTACAACTATCAGAATTTTTTTTACTATTTGAGGAAAAAAATTAGTTTCTATTCACCCAGAAGGGCTGATTACTCTCATCAAATACTCTGGCTTATGAATAATGTATGTATGTAGGTAGGTATTATATGTATGTATATACTAAGTTTGTATGTGTATGTGTGGTAAAACCCAGACTCCCACAGCTCAAGTTCTTTCATTCCTACCCCCTAAAGGAAAGCCTTGCTACCAGTTTGGTTTTTGTCCTTCTTGTTTTTTCTCTATGATTTTATAGGCATAAAATATATTTATATTGGCATTAATATAAACATAGACATGTTTAGCTATAGATATGTAAGAATATTTGTTTTATTTACAAAAATAGGATCATATTATAATTTTCATTTCCCATTTAACAATAAGATGTAGACAGCAAGATCTACATACATAGATCCAGATCAGCACATATAGCTCTATTTCACTCTAAGGGCATGGTACATGGTATTCCACTGAATAGCTGTATCATTCTTCTATTAAGGGACATTTAAGTTCTTATAGTTTTTGGGTTTTTTTGTTTTATTTTGTTTTGCTATTACAAACAATATTCCAGTAGCTTCCTTTGTACATAAGTATTTTTACTTATCTGTTTTGCTATAATTTTTGTCTAAATAGAATCTTATAGGTAAAACTTCTGAGTTATTGCATAGTATATTTTAAATGTTAATAAATACTTCTCAATTGCCTTCTAAAAGTTTGTTCCAATTTACATGCCCTCCCTGACAACAGTATGTGAGAATATTCTGATACTTTACTGGATTAGAAAATATTTCCATTACCTCAGAGATTACACTTGTGAGGATATAATCTCTGTTCATGGAGTAAACAGTGTATGTGTGTGTGCTTGTGTGTGTGCATTCGTGTGCGTGCGTGTGTGTGTAGGTTTGGTCATATTTTAAATGTGTTGGGAGTATGGTCTATCTCTAACTCAAATGGTGTCAACCCCATAGTGACAAGCATTCTGTGGCGTCATGCATTCCATGGACAGCTCAGCAACTGTTTCCCTTGATGTTGAAAACAGCATTCTGCCAGAGTCTGTGCTGACAGACAACATTAGTCATCCAGTCTTTTCCACAGGGCTGAATTGTTTGTTGAAAAAAGCCATTAGGAGTAATAAAGCAATGTGAGACTAAGATAATTTTTCTTGAGTTTGCTAATGCTAAACAAACACATACCCTGTCAAGGCAGCCAGTAAGCAGTATGAGGCCTGCTGCTTACCTGTGCTCACAGGTGGCAGCAAAATCAATTAGCTGCTTCTACCCATGGCAAGTCAGTGATATTGATCCACTTTATAAAGCTACATGACATTAAATTGTTTTTTTTTGTAAAAAGGCATCTTTCATTCTGTATTTTTCACAGAACTTCTCACAACTAACTCAGCTCTCTATGCCTCTTCGTACTAAAAGAAACTTGATAAATAGCCTAATTTTCTCTAAGGTTCCCAAAAGACTTTTATCAAAACTATCTCACATCTCACCATACCTGAGATCCATATGCAAATAATGTGCTGATCTTGGAGAAATTATATAAGACCAAAAAGACCAGATGTCACCCTCATCTTTAAAATGAGGCAAAATATGCATGATATCATTTAGTATCTTTATATCAGCATCTTTAAAAATTTTCAAAAAGTTGTACACAACTGAAATATGCAGAAGTTATTGGTAGAATAAATTATGGCACAGGCTAAGAGTGGAATATTTTGCAGTCATTATTAGTAAAAAGTGATATTTTGGAAGAGTATCTTATGAAATGGAGACTTATTCATGGTAGGCTCTTTAGTTTACAAAAGAAGTGTGTTGAAATGCAATATGTATAGTAGGATTTAATCCTGTACAACAAAATGTATTTAAATAACGAGAAATACCACTGTATATCAACAGATTGTTGCTGGGTAGTAGTATTGTGAGAGGTTTATATTTTCTTCCTTAAGTTTTTCCACATATTCTAAAATAAGTAGTACCAAATGTGCTTTATATAACACATAAGGAAGAACGTTTTAACCATCAAATGACGAGACGTTGGTATAGGTTATCAAAGAAAGTTATAAAGCTTCCATTATAGGGAAGGAGTGTTGAAGAAGATAATATATTTAAGCACATGTTCTTAACTATTTGCAGATAACTTGAACCTGATTATTTAGATAAACTTTGGCATCAGATCTCGGTACAAATTCAAGCTCTGCTTCTTACAAGCTAAATTATTCTGAAATTATTCTGGAGCAGTTGTATCACCAGTTTGAGCCACAGTTTTCTTGTATCTATTAAATGAGTATAATAAAAGCATTCCTGTAGAGCTTCTGTGGGAATAAACATAATGTAAGTAAAATTAGTATGTAACACATACCTGGTACATACTAAGTATGGCAGAGCTGGGATCTCTGTTCACCAAATCCATTTCCCTATCCTCCTAGGCAGACATCTAGTCTATATTTCTCAGCCTCAAATTACAGTGAAGGATGATAATTTTATGAAGTCGTGGCTATTGTAATGTAGGTAGATATAATGTATGCCAATTCCAGGTCTGGCCTATAAAGACCTCTTGCGAAATCCTTCATTCTTTCCGTAGCTGCTAAGTGGAAGTCACTGCCACTAGGTGAAGGTGGAAGAGCTCCCAATAACCTGGGTTTTAAAATTACTAGATCAAGGATTCTCTAATTCCTTCACCTATTGAACTTTACAAGAGCAACAAATTCTATTGTGTGAAGCCATTGGAACTCTTAAATTTATTTGTTATAGCAGTTAGTGTTATTTTAACTAATAGAGTGCTCAATAAATAGTAACTGTAACCACTACTAATATCTCCCCTAATTTTAAGATTTCCCTACTTACAACTGCTTTAAAATACAAAGGAGTGGGGTGGGCGTAGGGGCCAAAATTTAAAAGATAGTTGGTAATAAAGCTGGGACGGGATTTATGGTGACTGGCATGCCACCTGATTCTAAAAATAGGACTGTATTTCAGAAGAAGGAAAAGGTTATATAGAAATATGATCTAGTGAAGCAACTGCTTCAGAGAAGGTGCATGACATCATAGCCATATCCACCCTAAGGTCTGCACAAACCTCCTATACAAAGAGAAAGCTGATATATTTCCAAGAATATCTTCTAGGTGCTGTTATCCAGTTTGAGTACGTGATCTTTTTCTTTTATGCACGGTGCAGAGTCAAACGGTTGCAAAATTGAAGTATGCATTGCCTTTGCCTCTAGAATGAGTCATGAACTCAAAGGTCTGGCTAGTTGTGGTCATGAAAGATTCCCTAGACTCATTCACCAGAGCAAGATGCCTTTCAGTGTTGAGGTAAGTTAATTCCTGCACATGTGTAGTTTGTAAAGCCCTTTGGGATGCAAAGCTCTCTGCAATTGTCAGATGTTCTTTAGATTATTAGACAGGAAGTCAGGATAAAAGCGCTTCCAAATGCTACAAATCTCTAAGGATGTAAGCAGTGCTGTATAATAAAAATTGCAGTAAGCCATGCAAACCCTCTGCTACAGGCAGTATCACAAAAGTTCAGTTTTTGTTTGTCCTTCCTGTGAAGTATTACTCTTATTTAAGCATAGAATCTATGTCCTAAGTTGGTATACAATGTTTAGATGCTGATAGCTTTAACTATTTTTAAAACCTTGATGAAAATATCTCTACTGCTTCCAGACACTTGAAGTGAACATTTCAAATCCCCATAAGAATGATGTATGTAATTACATTACTGTATAATAAATGCAGTTATGAGATGAAATGGAATAGGTTTCAGGAGAAGAGTCCAAGAATTTCAGTACATAATGATACATTCTCAGTTCTGCAGTTCAAAATGAGATACAATATGGCACAGACTTCCAATGATGATCCACATTAGAGGAAAAAAAGCCCCAAGCAATAGACTGATGGGATGAGTAGTAACAAAAATATCTGAATGCTACACTGTGATTATCAAATTCTGTACTTAATATAAGCACTACCATCCCCAAACAGGGTCAAAAGTTTAAAGGGAACATTGCAGAAAATGAGGCACCAGAGAAAGTTATAACTAACTAGGTCAAAAGTGTTCAGAGTGTCAAAACTCAGAACGTCTATAAAAGGGCAGGAAAATGTCACAAGCCTACAAGAAGCAAGCGATGACTCCATAAAATCTGATTATTATTATAAAAGACAGGATTGTTGGAAGTAAGCAAGAAAATTATTCCCAGTATTTAAAATGTAAAAATAAAGATAACATACCTGTCACAGAAGTTTCTCCAAAATTAAATGCTAAATAAATTAAAGCAATTACCAGGCCAGTAGCTGTGAAAATTGTAATAAAGAAGGATCCCCTTCCTCAATACTTTTTCTCCATTTTTTCTGCTACCTGCCAGGCCTCTAACTTCCTGTTGTGAAATTGCTGCTTATTGTCATTTGAAAACCTAATTGTGATTTGTTTAAAATGTGCTTTTTATAATTTAGAATGAAAGCTACTTAATTATCTTTGTATTTCTTTACTCCTTGATTTAATGGGTCATTGCTTTAGATTTATTAACTAAATTTCACATCTTTGTTATTTATAAAAGACCTACTTTATAGAAAAATCATTGTTTTAAAAGCATGTAAGAAGTCCTCTCTTGCTATTATCTACACATACAGCTCGTCAAATAGACATATCTGATCATTTTGAAGGGGACTTAAAGGAAAAAAATAAAAATATAGAAGACCATTTGGGCTAGGAAGCTTTATCTGGTGCCAGTGATCAGGCAAAGGAACTACTGGGGTTCATGAGTAGTCCAAATAAATAGCATACTTCTTCAGCACCTTAATTTCCTGTAAAAGCTATTTTATAAAATATAGCTTAGTTTAAAAATTAAACAGCTTCTTAGTGTTTAACTTCAAAATTACTTTGCCCTTCCCACCCAATCTTATCAGAAGAGGACTGGGAGAAGTGTCCCCACGTGGGAGCAGATGAGAATGCATCCACTTTGCAGGAAGGCCAACTGCCTAGGGAAAAGCAGAAGCTGAATAAACCTTGCTCAATTTATTGGTTTCAAATTTACCAATTAAATATGTCCAGCAGAGGAATGAGTTAGAGGAAAAGAAAAGTCAGGAATGATATGACTAGTAAAACTTTCTACATAGAAAAAAAAGTCAGAGCTGGGAATAGGCATTCCCAGCTTATAGTTTCAAAAATAATTAAGCAGTCTTTTTGAAGAGTAGCCTTGCCAACTCAAATCTAGAAACATCAATCTCCAACCATCTTTGCTGCTGCCGCCTGATGATGCAGCACTGAAAACCAAAACTCAGCATCTTGATGTATTTTAACTTATCAGCCTTCAAAGAACAGCCAAGTACAATTTTTGAAAAGACAAAAATCAGTCAGCTGATAACTGGCCTGGATGGTGTTCCATTCAGGATTCTGGTAGTGACAGAATTCATTCAGATGGTTTAAATAAACATACTTTAATGAGGGTATTACTTATAAGGGTGTGGGCAGGATTAAGGGAACAAACAACAAATACTGGGGCACTCCAACTCTAATAATGGTAGGACATTAGTAGCACTCTTAGGTCAGAGGAAAATAGTTTCAATTACAAGGGGTTGGAAGGTGAAAGTAAAGTGAAGTAGAGGCATTTCTTCCCTTCTCCCTCCCTGCCTCAGCTTCACCCTACCTCCATTTTCCAGTCTCTTGTTGACCCCCATTGACTGAAGCCTATAGAAACTGGAGAGTAAGTGATCTGAAAGGACAGTTACTTGGGGTCAGCCTCCCAAGGCACAGAGTGTGACAGAGATGAGTGAAGAATGAATCTGAAGGTCAAATGGAGAACAACTAGCAGAGACAAATTTTACTCAAGAAGAAAAATATAATCCTAGAGATTTTATTTGTGGTCAATATAAATTCTGCAAACTAATTTTTAGAGTGATATTGTTGAAAGGTCCTAATTCCAGCTCTAACTCTCAGACAAGCTTTGCCCCAACTGATGCAAACAGATGGATGTCTATTCATCCACCTCATAAATGTCACCAAAGGGAAATGCTATGATTTCCCATAGTAAAACAATTGTAGCCATTTTATTTCAACTAATTTGGTAGATGTTTGCCTTTTTTCACTCCAAGTAGATTATATGGTATGCTTTTTTATGTGTATTCTAAGTAATTTCACCACTACATACTCTGTGTATTCATTTTCTATTTCTGCATAATAGATTCTCACAAAATTAGCAACTTAAAACAGCATTAACTTATTATTTCACAGTTTCTATAGATCAAAAATCCAGTAGGATATGATCAGGTGCTTGGTTCAGGATACCACAGGCTGAAATCAATGTGTTGACCAGGCTGAGTTCTTATTATTTGGAGACCGTGAGGAAAACTCTTCTACCAATCTCATTCTTCTTATTGGCAGTTTTGTTCCTTGTGTGTGTAGGATTAAGATCTTTGTTTCCTTATTGGCTATCAATCAGGGCCACTTTCAGCTCCTAGAGGTCACCCACATTCCTTGCCACATGGCCCCTTCCTTCTTCAAGCCATCAACAGCGCACCAAATATTTTTCATGCTTCAAACCTCTGACTTCCTCAGTCTGACTCCTAAGCCCAGATTTAAAGGGCTCATATGCTGAAGTCAAGCTCATTTGAATCATTTTTATATCATAAGGTCAACTAAATTGAGACCTTAATTACTTATGCAAAATCCCTTTTGCCATGTAATGTAACATAATAAAGAAAATTCTGTCTTATCACAGGTTTCACGTACACTTATTCACAGGTTTCACGTACACTCAAGGGGAGGAAATTACACAGTTCACAAACACCAGAGGGAAAAAATTGGGGGAGCTATCTTAGAACTCTGCATACCACACTATGGGATGTCAGTAAATCTTATTAATATAATCTAGTAATTTTCTCCCTTAATTCTAAATTTCCCTGTCTTTCAAGTATTCAGGAAAACAAAGCTCATTGTATCATCATCATTTTTAAAATGAACCATTTTGTTCTTGCAAACTTCATAAACCATATCTCATAACTTTTGAACCTCTGATTAAATAATTCCAACTCCTTTAATGTTTTTTCATGTTTACTTTTTCAAACACATTCATATTTCAATTTATATTCTCTTAATCTTCTTCATTTTTTCATATCCCTCTTACATTGGTGCGTCAATTTTTGTTCTTAAAGTCATTTACAGTGGAACAGTTCTTTAATATATTTGCAAGTCTTCTTGAACAGCTGATTCTTATTCTAATAATTATTGCTTTAGTCCTTTAAAAAGGAAGCCATGGCCATTAGAAAACTAAATTTAATCATTAAAAAGAAATCTTTCATTATCCAGGTACTCAAAATATTGTTGAAATATAGTAGTTGTAACAGAGGGAGTAAGTAGACAGGGGATAGTGCTAGAAACTGAGAAGTTGGAACTCAGTTAGCTTTCATGGTGTCACTCAGTTACCAAGTGATGCTGGAGAGTGTCTGAGACTTTTGTTTATCACAGTTACTTCATCCGTACAAGTGATTTTCTTGATTTCCTATTCTTGCTAACACTTCTTAATTGTCCTTGAGATAACAGAAAACAAAATCTATGAATAGGTGTATTGAACTCAGTATTTTTTAACTAAAATTAAATAATAAGTTGAAAATTACCTAAGGTAACAATTGAATTATAGTAAAAACTAATCTGAAAGTAGAAGTTTCTTGTTTGTCTCCATGGATGATTGATAGGTTTATACTATTGGCTCCCTAGGATCTGTAAACTAGGGTTCAAATGGTAAGAAAAAATAAAATTTGCTCCAGAAAGTATCGAATAATCCAACTGCCAATGATTACATTGTTCTGGATAATTGCATTTGACAGTCCATAACACACCACCCCGCTGTGAGGGAAGACATGTCAAGAACCGATGCACTGTTCTTGCTGTTATTCTGCAAGATTTACATTCATGCCTTGAGGTGCTCCAAAGAGAAAACATTCATACAAAATATTTTTAATGTTTTCTAATCTATTTGTTACAGGATTAGCTTTTGTTATGAAACATAGGGTGTCACAATTAAAATCAGCTCTAGGCTGGGCACAGTAACTCACACCTGTACTTTCAGCACTTTGGGAGGCTGAGGGGGAGGATCGATCACATAAGGCCAGGAGTTCAAGACAAGCCTGGACAACATAGTGAGACCCTATCTCTACAAAAAATTTTTAAAAATTAGCCAGACATGATGATGTGCTACTGTAGTCCTAGCTACTTGGGAGGCTGAGGTAGGAGGATTGTTTGAGCCTAGGAGGTCAAGATTGCAGTGAGATATGATTGCACCACTGCACTCCAGCCTGGGTGACAGAGTGAGATCCTGTCTGAAAACAAAACCAAAAATAAAAACCAATCTTAGTTGTGTTTTCCAGGCTGTGTTAAACTATTGAATGACTTGAGCAAAACAAAACAAAACAAAACAAAACAAAACAAAACAAAACAAAAAAGGCCTCTTATTCAAAATGCAATATAAAAAATGTTCAGCAACTCTTACTTGGGAGATTTTTATATAAGGAGTATGTTTGTTAGTAAATAAATACAACATAAAATTGAATGGAAGTGTGCTGAGTTGTTTTTCTATAGAAGGCAAAAGACACACAAATAGATGATATGAGAGAGAGTCATTAAACCGAGTCATTTGTTCAAGTCCAAGCCAGATCAGTAGCAACCAAAAGCTATTACTAAGTGATGACATGTTTTGACCTATGAGAAATAAGCCTGTCCAGTTCCTAAGCTACATGGATTGGCACTATATTTTGGAATAAATGAGCACAGGTACTTACCATCCTCCTCACCTCTAGGGATTGACCTTTTCCAATGGGGTTTTGGCCCATTGACATAACAATGGGGAAAATTGCAATGCAGATAACCTTTGTGTGACATTCTATAGGCAGTTGCCCCATAAGTCAAATTTCAGTTGACCCAGGATTATCTAAAAAGGTTGATCAAATTAGTACACTTAAGAATGAATAATGTATGGTCCTGTTTCCCAAATGAATTGGAGAAAACTTTACAGAGAGACAAAAGGGAAAGACAAAAAAATGCTAATCAATGTTCTAGCAGCCACCTGTGAGTGACTAAGAATCGTTAATTAAAATTCCATTCAACTATAAAAAATGCAATTACTGTAACTCCAATTGTTAACTTTCATTAGAGGCAAGAACAATCAGAAACACACATATACAGATACAAAGGAAAAATAACTTGCTTCTGATCTGTAAAATCGTGCATGCATGTGCACATGCACACACAAACACACTGACCAGATGGGTTTAAAATTTATTCTGTGGTAAACTACTATTGACAGATTCTAACTCTAGTTTGTCTCATTAGGTCACCCTAAAGAAATAGAACCAGAAGATTGCAGAATTGCGGCCTTCGATTCTCCTCTCTAAGTAGACTGAGTACACTTGAAGACAACAATATGGGCATTCATTAGATGGAATTTGGAAGACAAAGCTGAGGTTAAAAATTACATTTCTTTTGACTAAACTTAGGCAGGACATTTAGTCTAGCGTTCACCACAGGTCTCATTGGTCCCTACTACCTGTACCAGACTTTCCACAGGCACACTATATGCGTGGCCATTAAGGTTTTTAGTTTGCATTCCCAGGAATAAATTGATTTCTCACTTTGATAACATGCTGTGCTACTTCTGGCTTTTACATTAAAACCCTTAGAGGATGATAAGTATGGTTACAGAACACATTGTCTGAGTTTCAGATCTGGCTTATTCACTTAATAAATGCTATAGTTTGGATATTCATCCACCCCCCGATATCTCGCATTGAAATTTAATCCTCATTGATGGAAATGAGGCCTAATTGGAGCTGTTTGGGTCATGTGGGTGGATTCCTCATGAATGGCTTGACATCGTCCTCAAAGTAATGAGCGAGTTCTTGCTCTGTTAGTTCCCATGAGAGCTGGTTGTTAAGAAGAGCCTGGCACCTCCACTCTCTTTCTCTTGCTTCCTATCTCACCGTGTGATCTCTGCACAGTTGACCCCACTTTGTCTTCTGCCATGAGTAGAAGCAGCCTGAGTCCCTCAACAGAAGCCAAGCAGATGCTGGCACCATGCTTCTTGTACAGCCTACACAACATGAGCCAAATAAAGCTATTTTCTTTATAAATTACCCAGCCTCAGGTAATCCTTGAAAGCAATACTAAATGGACTAAAACAGTAACTATGTGACTACTTTATACCAGAGACTCAAAATTTCTGAGCCTCAGTTTCTATGACTATAAAATAGGGATGGAGATAATATTAATATCTAATTCACAGGGTTATTGTGAGTATTCAAGTGTGGTTAAAATACTGTCTGGAACGTAGTAAGTACTATGAAAGTGTTTGTTATTACTTTAAGAAGGTGGTAGGGTACTTTTGAACTACTCGGAGGCTAAATAGTGGTGACAAAGGAGGACAGAGGAAGCCAAAAGAGAAAAAGTCTTAATCTGATTAATTATATGTGGGTCAAAAATAAATACCAGCACCAATGAATATGAGGTAAGACAAGTGTTTTGCTCAATTACGATATTAAATCTTATTGCAAATTTTTTGAGCCTTCTATAAGACTTTAATTGGGACCAATTCCCCCACTGAAGGCAGCTTTTTATTCATTTCATTGTCAGTATAAATGACTTTCACTCATCTGAATGCAATCATGAGATCTACCTGACAGTTTCATCTCCTGAAGAAATTGTTTTTTATTACATGTGCTTTTATCATGTAAATTTTCTTGCATTGAAAATCAAGACATGCCCCAAAACAATCTAATTTTGGGTTTTACTTTTAATGGAGGCTTTAATGTCAATAATTTGTGGAGGAATACAGAGTAATTTAGAAGCCTATTTCAGAGTGATTGAGAAAATATTCATTGATGCCAGCAATATTCCAGTATTCTTTGTTTGAGACATCCATGGAAATGGTTTGAGTAGCTTATTCTAGTAATTTCCAAAGCTGGTGAAAAGAATTCACCATGAATCACAATAGCAGTGTTTTTAAACAGATAGAGCCATAGAAAATAAGGTATCAAATTTCTATATCTGATGTATGGTCTCCTCTAGTTTGGGAAAGGAAGATACTATATCATCAGTAAACAAGAACAGTGAGGGGAATAATAAACCTCAAAGCTCTGTGGCCTAAGACAGACAATAAAGGTTTTATTTTTTGCTCATGCTTCGTGTACAACACAGGTCAGAAGAAGGCTCTGCTTTTTGGAGTCATTCAGGAACCCACCCCGACAGAGACTCTGTTTCATCAGTGTAACAGAGGGAAGGAAATGTGAAGATTACGTACTGGCTATTAAAGTGTTTGCCTTGAAAAGATACCGGTTGGTTCTGCTCACATTTCATTAGCTACAAACAGTCACATGGCCATGCTTAACTTCAAGGGGACTGAAAAGTGCAATCCTACCATGTGCTGAGAATGATAAGGTCTGGAATAGTTATGAACAACCTTGATTACCACCACAGATGTTCATCTAATTTACAGGAAAATTAGAAGTCTGTGTAAGATTGCTGCACTTTTAGAAAAATTAGGTCTGATTGTTTTTATTTGAATACCCTTTCGTAGCCTGGGTTCCCAGAAAGTAAAGTCTGAGGCAATAGTTCTATGCTACTAATAGTATTGGAATATACAACTTCAGGACAGCAAGGGCAAGGGGAAAAGGGGAAAAGGTAGGGTAATAAGAAGAGTAAATATTAGAGCATGCATTAATATATGGCATTGGTAGGCATCAAGCCTGTATCAGTCTGTTTTCGTGCTGCTGATAAAGACATATCTGAGACCAGGAAATTTACAAAAGAAAGTGGTTTATGGACTTACTTACAGTTCCACATGGCTGGGGAGTCCTCACAATCATGGCAGAAGGTGAAAGGCATGTCTCACATGGTGGCAGACATGAGAAGAGAACTTGTGCAGGGAAACTCCCCTTTTTAAAACCATCAGATCTTGTGAGACATATTCACTCTCACAAGAACAGCATGGGAAAGACCTGCTCCTGTGATTGAGTTACCTCCCATGGTGTTCCTCCCACAACACATGGAAATTAAACATGAGATTTGGTTGAGGACACAACCAAACCATATCATTTCGCCCCTGCTCCCCTGCCAAATCTCATGCCTTCATATTTCAAAACAATCATGTCTTCCCAACAGTCCGCCAAATTCTTATTTCAGCATTAACTCAAAAGTTCACAGTCCAAAGTTTCCTCTGACACAAGGCAATTCCCTTCTGCCTATGAGCCTGCAAAATCAAAAGCAAGTTAGTTACTTCCTAAATACAACGTGGTACAGGCATTGGGTAAATACAGCCATTCCAAATTGGAGAAATTGGTCAAAACAAAGGGGTTACAGGCCCCACGCAAGTCCAAAATCCAGTGCGGCAGTCAAATCTTAAAGCTCCAAAATGATCTCTTTTGACTCCATGTCTCACATCCAGGTCACACTGATGCAAGAGGTGGGTTCCCATGGTTTTGGGCAGCTCCGCCCCTGTGGCATTGTTGGGTACAACCTCCCTCCTGGCTGCTTTCATGGGTTGACATTGTCTGCGACATTTCCAGGTGCACAGTGCAAGCTGTTGGCGGATCTATCATTCTAGCGTCTGGAGGATGGTGGCCTCTTCTCACAGCTCCACTAGGTAGTGCCCCAGTAGGGACTCAGTGTGGGGTCTCCAACCCCACATTTCCCTTCTGCATTGCCCTAGCAGAGGTTATCCATGACTCATCCCCACCCAAGTAAGAAACTTTTAAAATTATCTGATACTCAATAAATGTTGGTTAATTAAGCAACATTTTAAATGTATAATGTTTATAAGACAGTCATTTTCTAAAGGGAAACTAAACCTGTCATTTTGGTAGGAGAAATTTAAAAATAAAATATCAATCAGTAAGACTGAATCATTTCAAAACCTCTAACTTCTCACAATCAGTGGGAAAAAAAATCAAAAATTCCAAAAGAAGAGTTTTACAATGTGGAGAAGTAAAAAGGACATGAAGTGGTAATAATGATATGCTAACATAGGTATATATTAGGCCTGATGGCAAAGGGGTGAGAACTACCTCACAGGTTTTCACCCCAATTTCAAGCTTTGCTAATTCATAAAAAGCCATTTTTAGAAAATGATATCATTGAAAATCTTCTCATTGACTTTTCTCAGCTTAAACGTTTAAAATTTTATCTAGCTGTAAATCAATCATCCCTTTATTTAAAGAGCTATGAACATTTTTCTTAATATATAAAGGAAAAAACTGTCTTTAAATCTAGCAAATACTTTCACTGGTTAAATAAAAAAAAAATCTTGTTTTCTTTCTTCTGACAGCTGGTACACAAAGAAAAGGAGAATAATAAGTTTTAATTATACCTTTCAAAACCCAACAGATTTGAAAGCTATTCAGGAATTACATGAGAGAATTCTCAGCATTAACTTGTGGGTGGTTAAGAGATGTTAGCTCTCATTCTTGAGGGTGAGATGGCCAAACTTGTGAGTTGAACCACAAAACTAAAATTCCCAAATTTGCAAGCCTTTATAATGATTATTTTCTTCAGGAGTGCCCTGTGTCTGTTTTTCTCTTTTTTTTCCCCTTACTTAAGAATGGTTCAATCAAGTCATCAACACTTTAAATCATCACACAGCTCTTCTTCTCCAATTACATCAACCAACATCAGATGTGAAAATAGAGCACACATCAAGCAAAAAGATGGGATTATAATATCTTCCACTTTAGCCAGGGAGTCAAGCAGAGCGAAGAATGAGAGCATGCACAAGAGAGACGGTGTAAATAGTCTTTTATGATTCATTCCTTGACTCTGAGGAAAAAAAGAATATTGCATTTGTTAATTCTAAAGTTTAGAAATGAATCTGGAAGCAGATGTTGGCAAGATGGCCAAAAAGGACATTCGATCTCTTGTCTCCCCACAAAACCATCAGTGTAAACAACCACACATATGCAAAAATAACTTCCGAAGAGCTAAGGAAACCAGGTGAGAGATTACAGCATCTGGGAACAGCAAAGAAATAAGAAAAACATATTCAAGATAATAGGAACAACAGTTTTCATTATCATTATAACCTCTTCCCCAACCCCAGGCAGCACATCATGGCTAGAGACACCCTCCTCTTGAAAGAAGGAAGTGAGCATTGGACTTTGCCTCAGATTCTAACACAAGACTCACCACAGTAAAACCCAGTGCCAGGACCTCATGGCCCCAGACTCTAGTCCAGTATCCATGAGCTGAACTTCTAGGCCTGCCCCACTACCAGGCCAACCTTAGCAGCCCCCGGCTTCAGACCAGCCCCAGCACTCAGCCAGCCCCTGTGATTTCAGAGTTTATATCTATCCCAGCATCATGGAAGGCCCCCACAGCCCTAGATATCAGGCTGGCACCTGTGAATTTAGCCTCCGGGTCAGTTCCTTTGTATACAGGCTCTAGGCCCACCCAGAACCAGGCTAGCCCCTGCAGCCACAGGCTCCAGACCAGCCCAGAGTCAGGTTGGAATACACAGCTTTGAGCTTCAGACCCACCCCAGCACCACGTAAGCACCCCTGACCTCAGACATCAGGCCAACACCTGCAGACAGAGGCTCTAGGCTTGCCTAGAGCCAAGCCAGTCCCTGCAACACCACTCTTCAGGCCATCTCCTGTGTCCCCATGCTTCAGCCGACCCAAGGTGCAAGCTCATTCCAATAAATTGCAGTGCTAGGCCAGCCTTCAAAAACCAAGCTCCAAAACCACCCCTGTGGACTCAGGTTCCAGTTTGGCCCCAGCATCCCAAGGATCCAGGTCAGCCCTTGCAGATCTAACCTCCAGGCCACCACAGTCATACCAAGTCTCTAGGGTAGTCCCCATAGGTCCGGGTTCTAGCACGCTCCCTGTGGGCTGAGGTTCTAGGCCAGCAACCACACACAGCCTCCAGGCCAGATCTCACATAACAAGGTCCCAGGCCAGTCTCCACAGCTTCAGGATCCAGGCCAGTCCTCATGATTCTGGGAACTGGATCACCACCAATGATGCCAGGATCCAGACAAGCCCCCACAAACCCAGGCCCCATGACTTCCCAAGCACCAGGCAGGCCCCAGACCCTCAGCTAGTCCTGGTGGTCCCAGGCTCCAGTGAATCCAGGATCCAGGCTCATTCCAAGTCGACCTTTGTGCCAAGCCAGCCTCCACAGATTGACTCCAGGCCACCACTGCAAAACTAGGCTCCAGACCACCCCATGGACCCAGGGCCCAGGCCTGCTGCCATGGACTCAAGCTCGAGGCTTGCCCCAGCAAAAGACCAGCCCCTGTAGACTCAGGCTTCAGGCCAGCTCCCTCAGAATCAGGCAGAAGTCTCAACCACATGCTGATCCAGGTTACAGACAAGCCCCCTATGGGCCCAGGACCAAGGCCTATCCCTGTAAACTCCAACTTCAGACCCATCTCACTGAACCCAGGTTTCAGGCATGCCCTCATGGACCCAGGCTCCAGGATCACCCACCATGGACTCAATCAACTGGACCAACCCAGAGAATTCAGGCTCCAGGTCCAATCCTGTGGATTCAGGCACAATAACTGCCCGCCTGCTGACTCGGGTATCAGCCCAGACAGTCCAAGTACTTCAACAGTCAGCCCATCCACAGACCCTACCATACAGCCTTCCCAGAATCTCTGGATGCACTGATTGGTGAATGACTTTCCCAGATGATGTCCATCTGTAAAGACTGAAAACGTTCCAAATTTTTTAAATGTTCAGATACCAGTGCAGGACCACAGGGATCAGAAAAAGTCAGGGAAACTATATTACCAAATGAACAAAATAAAGTGCCAATAGCCAACCCTAATGAAATGAAGATGTATAAACTGCCTGAAAACAAGATCAAAATAATTGTTTTAAGGAAGCTCAGTGAACTTCAAGAAAATACAGAGGAACAATTCAACAAAACAGGAAAACAATAAATGATCAAAATTACAATTCAACAGAGAGATTGAAATTATTTTAAAAATCAAACAAATTCTGAAGCCAGAAATAAAAAGAACAAAATGAAAAGTGTGATAGAGTGTCAACAGCAGAACTGTTCAAGCAAAAGAAAAAATCTGTGAACCTGAACACAGGTTATTTGAAGATACATAATCAGAGGAGAAAAAAAGGATAAAAACAAATGAGGAAAGCTTATGAGACTTACAACATCAAGAGCAAATGTTCAGATTATAGGACTAAAATAAAAAGAAGAGAGAGACAACGGGCCAGAAAATGTATTTAAAGAAGTAATAGTAGAAAACTTTCCAAATCTGTAGAAAGATGTAAATATCCAGGTACGAGAAGGTCAAGTTTCCAATTATATTCAAACCAAACAAGAAAACACCAAGAAAAAAACAGAATCAAACTATCGAATATCAAAGACAAAGAAAGGATTCTAGAAACAGCACAAGAAACATATGTATGAGGAAATTCCAATAAAGCTAGCAATGTTGTTTTCATTATTTTTTTTATTTTTTTTTTTAATAGTACAAAGTTGGGGCTCTTTATTCAGACGATAGAGTAAGGAACAGCAAAGTGGGAGGGCTACACCATCACCATGACAACAGAAAGCCTCATAAACGTAAAGTCCCTCGACTTCTGTTGGGCAGACTCTTCCTAGCTCAGGAGAAACATGTTTTAACTGGCTGAGAACAAGGCCAGGCAGCCTGGCCACAGTGTGGAAGGGCAGCCAGAGGCGCGGCCTCTGGTCAGTCCTGGAAGTGCTTGGTGAGGGCTTCTAGCAGCTCCTGCTTCTTCAGCCAGTACTCCAGGCAGGCCTCTTTCATCATTGGCACAGTGAACTTTCCCAATGTGCCCTTGCTGATGTGGGTCTTCAGCTCCTCTTCTGAATACTCCGCTTGGGCCTTTTGCTTCTGGAACCTTCATTATTGCATTTTCTCTTGGTAATTTTCCCTTCAGGATTATAATCTGGTGAGTAGACAAGTTCCTTAAACTCATTCACCATGGAGCCCAGTCTTTTATTCATTTCTTCAACCTTGGGTAATATAAGGTCCACTGCTTGTTCCTCCATCAAATACAAGATCAAGGGCTCCAGGTTCCCGAAGTGCTGCTGCAGCACGGGGTTCTCAAAGCTGTCACTTCTGTATGTGAAGCAGAGCTTCTGAATGATAGCCTTCATGTTGTCCACCTGCTCTGGAGTTGCCATGACTTTTTCAGTAAAGGGCACCTTCCTTTTATCATCAGCAAAGGGTAAAAAGACCAGCTGGAAACCTGGAGTAGTCACCTGAATTTTCTGGTCATCCAACTCCTCTTCCTGTGACACCAAAGCCACCAAATAAGGGGGGATGTTCCTGCGGGGTGTGTATCTGCACAATGCTATGACCACCTTCTCCAGACACTTAATGAGCAGAGCACTGAACAGGGTTGAACTCCCATTCACCGGCGACTCCTCAGGGTACGTGAACAAGGAGGGCCTCGGGTAATGGTGCTCCTTCAGCATTACCAAGGGCTTGAAAACCATGAGCATCAAAGCTGGTTCATCAAACCATTTTAGCTCTTCTGTTTCCTCTTTCTCCAGTATAATCTGATGACTCCCATAGATCTGAGACCGCTTGGTATCGCTAGGCAGAAGCAAACTGCCGGTATTAATATTAAATTTCCGGGACTTGGTTTTCACTGGTTCATTTGTTTTCCGATAGAGTTTTATTGAAGGAGGCTTGAGAGCCTTCTGGACGAGACTGTAAATGCCCACAGAGATCACTATGTCTTTGTTGAGCTTCAGCTTTAACCTGCTGAGTGCCCATTTCCTGGTCTCCTTGGCACGAACCTTCTGCAACAGGTCTTCTAGATTGCTGGATTCCTCAAAGTGAACTGGATTCCTCAAAGGATGAGGTCCTCATCCTTTGCCATGCTGATGATATCTCTGTAGAACAAGGATATGTCAAAGCCCCCAGGTTTCTTCAGGGGCATCAAGTCAAGGAAGATGCCTATATCTCGTAGATCACCGGCTTTGGTCCTGGCCTGGCAGGCCTTAACACTGTCATTGCCATGAGGGTTGTCTTCATTGGTGAGCAGCATGATTTTCTATGACTCATCTTGAACTGGATATCACTAAACAGTTTGGCACAGACCCACAGAACTTCACTGAATGAGTAGTCAGATCCATGGCCCATCAGGTCTTCGAAACATTTTTGTCCCTGCTGCCCCTTAAACTGGTCAAGCTTTAGAATTTGTTTTGCACCTGGATTTTCCAACTCCTGTAAGACGTAAATATTTTTAAAATTCACTGAATTTTTGTCTTTCTCAGTATCATAAAGATCTCGATCACTGCTTATGATCTTACTCATGTACACACTTTGGATACACTGGATGCTCATGTCAAAAGGAGTCAACTCACCTTCGCTCTGAGATTCAAACATAGCCCTGGAGGCATCAACCAAAAAAAATTAAACTATCACTTCCTGAATATTTCTAGTATTCACTTGCTTCAAGGTCCTCTTCTTCTTCTGCTTCTTCATCACCCTCGGTTTTATAATAAGACTCACACCCTGATGTGTTGGCTACTGCTCACTTTGGCACAGGGAGGTAACCCACAATGGATTTCATAGCAGAAACCTTGCAGAACAAGAGAGAGTGGGATGATATATTCAAAATGATGAAGAAAAAACCCTGCCAACAAGAATGCTTTCTCTGGAAAAGCTGTTCTTCAGTAATAAAGGAGAAATAAATACTTTCCCAAACAAAAGCTGAAGGATATCATCACCACCAGACCTGTTTTTCAACAAATGCTAAAGAGAATTCTTCAAGCTTAATTTTAAGAAAATGCTAAATAGCAACACTAAAACGTGAAAGTGTAAAACTCACTGGTAAAAGTCAGCACAAGGTCAAATTCAGAACAGTCTAATACTGTAAAGGTGGTGTATAAATTATTTAAAAATTTAGTATGAAGATTAAAATAAAATTTATAAATAAAAGACAAGAAATCAAAGCATACCACTAGAGAAAATCACCTAATCACAAACAAAGACAGCAAGAGAGGAAGAAAGGAACAAAGGATCTACAAAACAACCAGAAAACAATTAACAAGAGAGGTGGCTAAGATGGCCGACTAAAAGCAGCTAGTGTGTGTGGCTCTCACAGAGAAGAGTGGAAGGGGTGAGTAAATATAGCACCTTCAACGGAATCATCCAGGTACATGCATGGGGATTAATCAAATAAACAACTTTACCCATGGAGAATAGAGAAAAGCACCACAGGATGATGGCCCACCTGGGAGTGGCAGGGAGCCAAAGGAACCTCCGCTCCCAGGGAAGTGGTGAGTGAATGTGTGTCCCCAAGAATGCATGCTTCTCCCACGGATCTTTGCAACCCTCAGATCAAGAGATCTCTTTGTGAACCCACTCCACCAGGGCCTTTAGTCTGCCACCCAGAGCTACGTGGAGTTTTGGCAGAGCAGCCGCTCAGGCATGCACAGAGATCTGGAAGTTTTAGATGCTCTTGCTTTCCAGGCTTCCCAGCAAAAGTAACTGCAACTCTGGAAAAGGGCAAAGTGGGAGGTTAGACTCCCATACATATCCCTAGGAAAGAGGCTGAATCCAGAAGGTCAAGCAGCAATGGTCTATGGGCACCACTTCCAAGGCACCTCACCAGATAAGACCCACTCGCCTGGAATTCCAGTCAGCTACAGATGGCAGTATTGTGCCTCCATGGGATGGAGCTCCCAGGGTGAGTGGTAGGCCCGGATCTTTGCTGTTTGGATGACTTAGCTGTTATGGCCTTCGGGCTTTGGTGAGTCCAAGCTGACCAGAGATGGAAAGAATCCTCCAGCACAGCACAACTGCTCTACTGAAATGTGGCCAGACTGCTTCTTTAAGTGTGTCCCTGATTCCATTCCTCATCACTGGGTGGAGCCTCCCAACCGGGGCCTTTAGCCACCCCCCTCAGTGTTCTCCAGTCAGCAGAGATTTGAAAACTCTCTGGGACAGAGCACTCAGAGGGAGAGTCAGAGAGCTCCCTGTGAGCTGTTTGGATGACTTAGTTGTTCTAGCTTTCAGGCTTTGGAGAGCCCAAGCCAACTGAGGGTGGAAGCAGTACCCCAGAATAGCACAGCTGCCCTACAGAAATGTGGCCAGACTGCTTTTTAAGCAGGTCTCTGATCCCATTTCTCCTCACCGAGTGGACTCTCCCAACAGGGGTCTTCAGCGACCCCCACCGGTGGTCTTTGGCTGACAGAGGTTTTAGACCTCCTTGGGATGGAGCTACCAGAGAGAGGGTCGGGCCACCATCATTTCTGTTTTGGTGACTTAGCTGTTCCAGCCTTTGAGCTTTGGAGTGTCTCAGGAGCCGAAGTGGACCCCAAGCACAGCACAGCTGCTCTACAAAAATGTGGCCAGACTAATTTTTTAAGCAGCTCCCAAACTCTGTTCCTCCTGACCGGGTGAGACCTCCCAACTGGGGTCCTCTGCCACCTCTTACAGGTGCGTTCAGGCCAGCAACACCTGTGCCTTCCTGGGACAGAGCACCCACAGGGAGCAGCAGGCTGCCATTTTGCCATTTTGCAGTCTTCACTGGTGATACCTCCAGGTACTGGAAAATCCCAGGAGACTAGGGAATGGAGTGGACCCCCAGTATATCACCATAGCTCTACGGAAAAGTGGCCAGACTCTTACATGGGGGTCCTCTCATACCTCCTCACTGGGCAGGTCCTCCAGGCCTGGGCCTCTAGCCACCCCCCACCAGAGATATGAAGCTAATAGCAACTTGGCAACTCCCTGGACAGAGCCTCCAGGGGCAACTGACAGCCTCTCTGCCACTGTCTCTGCAGTGGAACTGTCCTTACTACCCTCAGACTAATGAAGAAGCAAAGACCCTAAGTATCTTATCCACATCTCCAACAAGCTGCAATTGCCCCAAGGACAGGAGGCTAGTCCATCTCCCATGAGTCCCAAACATCCCCTACTGCTCATCACCAGGCAGAAAACCCCTGGCTTTGGGCCCACAGTACAGACTCTCCATCCTGGGCTGATTGCTCTGAGCAATTGCTGACCCACATCTCTCTCAGGTGGAGTCCCCAGGAGAGGAGCAAAGTGGTAAAGGCAGCAAGCCAGCTGATGCAGAGCCGAGAGGGTTTGGTGCAGGAGCATCTGTAGTAGAGCATGGCTATCCCTCTAGGTTCAACTTGCTTCCATAACAGACTTTAGCTCTGAGGGAACTGTCAGACATGATGTCCGCAGGGTGGTCATGCACATCAGATGGAGCTGGCCCAACCTGAGCACTCTTTGGTCTGCTGGCCTCTCCCAAGGCCCCAGCCTGGCCATGTCTGCTTACAGGGCAGTCTTGTGTGCCTGGGGGTCCACCTCATAGCTTCTGTACCAGTGGTTCATGCCTGACTGGTGGAGAGCTCCAGTGAGGCAGCCCCTATGGCCACACACCAGTCTGCATAGTACCTCTGCAAACTGCAGCTTCCCCAAGCCCACAGCAACCCCCCACATCACTTTGCTGGCACGTGTCTGCATGAACAAGATTTATTTTATTTGCCCCACCAGCACGCAGGAGTGCAGTATGCCCCCCTAACCCCCAACAACCAGCATTGCAGACGGAGCCTTGTTGGACACAGAGCCAGCAAAACCTACCCCTGACAGCACCCTGCCCTTGCACTAATGCTGCGCAGAGAACAGGGAATCCTCCCACATCCTGAATCATCACTCCTGCTTGCAGGGCACAGAGAAGGCACCAAGACCTTTGCTGGACAGCACCCTACTTCAAGCCAACACCACCTCCATTGCAACAGTGCACACAGTCACCAGCAGGAAACCCCCTCCTGCCCCATTTTCTGCCAACTGCCTTGACTCTGCCACTGTGATTAATGCCCGCAGGGAGGCAGACACCCCTGCATCTGCTGGCACTCTACTGCTGCTGCCACATCTCAGTCCCCTCTGTGCAGTAGACTCCAAAACTTGAGGAGCCAGAGAAAAAAGTCAGGGCCCAATACAAGTCCCCCAGAGTTAGAGCACAAAGTCCAGGTGTTGGGAGCTGAATGTCGGCCCCCTAAAATCTTCCAGAAATGAAGTAAGTTGGCTGAATCCACCTTATACCACAATCAAACTCTCAAGGTCATCAAATAGAATAAAAGGAAAAAAAAATTCCAAAGTTCAGCAATCACAAAGATTGAGGGTAGATAAGCCCACAAAGATGAAAAAGAATCAGCATAAGAACACTGAAAACTCAAAAAGCCAGAGTACCTTCTTTCCTCCAAATGACCTCATCATCTCTCCAGGAAGGGTTCGGACTGGGCTTATGCTGAGATGGCTGAAAGGACAAAAGTGGAAGTCAGAATACGAATTGGAACAAAGTTCACTGAGTTACTGGAGTACATTGTAACCCGATGCAAGGAAGCTAAAAATCATGAGAAAACATTGCAGAAGCTGATAGACAAAAGAGCCAGTATAGAGAACGACATAACTGACCTGATAGAGCTAAAAAACACGCTACAGTAATTTCATAATGCAATCACAAGTATTAATAGCAGAATACATAAAGTGGAGGAAAGAATCTCAGAGCTTGAATACTGGCCTTCTGAAACAAGACATCCAGATGAGAATAGAGAAAAAAAGAATGAAAAGGAATGAACACAACCTCAGAGAAATATGAAATTAGGTAAAGAGACTGAATCTATGACTAATTGGTATACCTGAAAGAGATGGAGAGAATGGAACCAATCTGCAAAACATATTTCAGGATATCACCCATACGAAATTCCCCAACCTAGCTAGAGTGGTCAACATACAAATTCAGAAAATGCAGAGAACCCCAGTAATATATTCCACTAGAAGATCATCCCCAAGACACAAAACCATCAGATTTGCCAACGTCAAAATGAAAGAAAAAATTTTAAAGGCAGCTAGAGAGAAAGGTCTGATCACCTAAAAATGGAAGCCCATCAGACTAACAATAGATCTCTCAGCTAAAACCTTACAAGCCAGAAGATTGGCACCAATATTCAACATTCTTAAGGGAAAGAAATTCCAACACAGAATTTTATATTTGGCCAAACTAAGTGTCATAAGCAAAGGAGAAGTAAAACCCTTTCCAGACAAGCAAATTCTGAGAGAATTTATTACCACCAGACCTGCCTTACAAGAGCTCCTGAAGGAAGTACCAAATATGGTAAGGACCATTACCAGCCACTACAAAAACACTTAAGTACACAGAACAGTGACATTATAAAGCAACGACATTAACCAGTCTGCAAAATAACCAGCTAACATCATGATGATAAGATCATATCCATGCATATCAATACTAACTTTAAATGTAAATGGGCTAAATGCCCCAATTAAAAGACACAGTGTGGCGAGCTCAATAAAGAACCACAACCCGTCGGTATGCTGTCTTCGAAAGATTCACCTCACATGCAATGACTCAAACAGGCTCAAAATAAAGGAACAGAGAAAAATCTACCAAGCAAATAAAAAACAGAAAAAAGAAGGGGTTGCAATCCTAGTTTCTCACGAAACAGACTTTAAACCAACAAAGATTTAAAAAGAGAAAAAAGGTACTACGTAATTTTAAAGGGTTCAATTCAACAAGAAGATGTAACTATTCTAAATATATATGCACCCAACGCAGGAGCACTCAGATTCATAAAGCAAGTTCTTAGAGACCTTTAAAGAGACAGACTCCAATGCTATAGGAGAAATTTTAACTCTTCACTGACAATATTAGACAGATCATGGAGACAGAAAATTAACAAAGATATTCAGGACCTGAACTCAGCACTGGATCAAATGGACCTGACAGATATCTAAAGAACTCTCCACCCAAAAACAACAGAACATACTTTCATCTCATCGCCAAATGGAACATACTCTAAAATTGATGAAATTATCAGAAGTAAAACACTCTTCAGCAAATGCATAAGTACTGAAGTCATAACAAACAGTCTCATGGACCACAGCACAATCAAATTAGAAATCAAGACTAAGCATTTTTTCATATGTTTGTTGGCCATTTGTATTTCTTCTTTTGAGAACTGTCTATTCATATCCTTAGCCCAATTTTGATGGATTGTTTTATTCTTGCTGATTTGTTTGAGTTCATTGTAGATTCTGGATATTAGTCCTTTGTCAGATGTATAGATTGTGAAGATTTTCTCCCACTCTGTGGGTTGTCTGTTTACTCTGCTGATTGTTCCTTTTGCCATGCAAACACTCTTTAGTTCAATTAAGTCCCAGCTATTTATCTTTGTTTTTAGTGCATTTGCTTTTGAGTCCTTGGTCATGAAATCCTTGCCTAAGCCAGTATCTAGAAGGGTTTTTCCAATGTTATCTTCTAGCATTTTTATAGTTTCAGGTCTTAGATTTAAGTCTTTAATCCATCTTGAGTTGATTTTTGTATAAGGTGAGAGATGAGGATCCAGTTTCATTCTTCTACATATGGTTAGCCAATTATCCCAGCACCGTTTGTTGAAAAGGGGATTGCTTCCCCACTTTATTTTTTTTGTTTGCTTTGTCGAAGATCAGTTGGCTGTAGGTATTTGGGTTTATTTCTGTTTTCTCTATACTGTTCCATTGGTCTATGTGCCTATTTTTATACCAGTACCATGCTGTTTTGGTGACTATGGCCTTATAGCTTACTTTGAAATCAGGTAGTGTGATGCCTCCAGATTTGTTCTTTTTACTTAGTCTTGCTTTGGCTGTGCATGCTCTTTTTTGGTTCCATATGAACTTTAGAATTGTTTTTTCTAATTCTGTGAATAATGATGATGGTATTTTGATGGGGATTGTGTTGCATTTGTAGATTGCCAACAAGTATATGAAAAAACGCTCAGCACCACTAATGATCGGGGAAATACAAATCAAAACCACAATGCGATATCATTTACTCCTGCAAGAATGGCCATAATCAAAAAAATTAAAAAACAGTAGATGTTGGTGTGCATGTGGTGATCAGGGAACACTTCTACACTGCTTGTAGGAATGTAAACTAGTACAAACGACTATGAAAAACAGTGTGGAGATTCCTTAAACAACTGAAATTAGAACTACTATTTGATCCAGCAATCCCACTACTGAGTATCTACCCAGAGAAAAAGAAGTCATTATATGAAAAAGATACTTGCACACACATGTTTATAGCAGCACAATTCCCAATTGCAAAATAGTGGAACCAACCCAAATGGCCATCAATCAATGAGTGGATAAAGAAACTGTTATATATATACGTATATATACACACACACACACACACACACACACACATATATATACGTAGATATATACATTATATACATATATACATATATATACATATATATTATATATATATATACGATGGAATGCTACTCAGCCATAAAAAGGAATGAATTAATGGCATTTGCAGTGACCTGGATGAGATTGGAGACTATTATTACAAGTGAAGTAACTCAGGAATTGAGAACCAAACATTTTATGTTCTCACTGATATGTGGAAGCTAAGCTATGAGAATGCAGATGCGTAAGAATGATAAAATGGACTTTGGGGACTTGGGGGGAAGGATAGGGGGGTGGGGGGAGGAGAGGAATAAAAGACTACAAATAGGGTACACTGTATACTATTCGGGTGATGGGTACACCAAAATCTCACAAATCACGACTAAAGAACTTACTCATGCAACCAAACACCACATGTACCCCAATAACCTATGGAAAAAATAAATAATAATAATGAAGAATAAATTTGAAAAAAGAAATCAAGACTAAGAAATTCACTCAAAATGATACTATTACATGGAAATTGAATAATCTGTTCATGAATGACTTCTGGGTAAATGATGAATTTAAGGCAGAAATCAAGAAATTATTTGAAACTATTGAGAACAGATAAAGAAAGAAGACACAGCTAAAGCAGTATTGAGAGAAATTTCAGCACTAAATGGTCACATCAAAAAGAAAGAAAGATCTCAAGTTAACAAGCTAACATCGCAACTAAAAGAACTAGAGAACCAAGGGCAAACAAATTCCAAGGCTACCAGAAGACAAGAAATAACCAAAATCTGAGCTGAACTGAAGGAAATAGAGACATGAAAGATCATTCAAAAGATAAATGAATCGAAGAGCTGTTTTTTTTCTTTTTTGGAAAAAAACTAATAAAATAGACAGCTAACTAGACTCATAAAGAAGAAAAGAGAGAGGGGATTCAAATAAACATAATCAGAAACGAAAAGGGGGATATTACCACTGACCCCACAGAAATATAAGCAACCATCAGGGAATATTATGAACACCTCTATGCACAAAAACTAGAAAATCTACAAGAAATGAAGAAATTACTGGACACATACACACTCCCAAGGCTGAACCAGGAATAAATTAAATCCCGGAACAGATCAATAATGAGCTCTGAAATTGAGGCAGTCATAAATAGCCTACCAAACAAAAAAAGCGCACGACCACGCAGATTAACAGCTTAATTCTAACAGATGTACAAAGAATAGCTTGTACCATTCCTACTGAAACTATTCTAAAAAATTGAAAAGGATGGATTCCTCCTTAATTTATTCTATGAGGCCAGCATCATCCTGATACCAAAACCTGACAGAGATAAAACAAAAAAAGAAAACTTCAGGCCAATATCCTTGACGAACATTGATGCAAAAATCCTCAACAAAACACTGGCAAACTGAACCCAGCAGTATATCAAAAAGTTTATGCAGGCCGGGTGAGGTGGCTCACACCTGTAATCCTGGCACTTTGAGAGGCCAAGGTGAGCAGGTCACCTGAGGTCAGGAGTTCGAGACCAGCCTGCCCAACATGGCGAAACCCCGTCTCTACTAAAAATACAAAAAATACGTGGTGGCGGGCACCTGTAATTCCAGTTACTCTGGAGGCTGAGGCAGGAGAATCCCTTGAATCCAGGAGGTGAAGGTTGCAGTGAGCCAAGATTGTGCCACTGCACTCCAGCCTGGGCGACAAGAGTGAAACTCCATCTGGGAAAAAAAAGGGGGGTTTATGCAATAAGATCAAGTAGGCTTTATCCCTGGGATGCAAGTTTGGTTCAAAATATGCAAATCAAGAAATGGGATTCATCACTTAAACAGAACTAAATATAAAACCCACAAAATTTTCTCAATAGGTGCAGAAAAGGCTTTTGATAAAATTCAACACTCCTTTGTGTTAAAAACTATCAATAAACTAGGTATTGAATGAACATACCTCAAAATAATAAGAGACATATGTGACAAATCCACAGCCAATATCATGCCAAATAGGCAAAAGCTGGAAGCATTCCCCTTTCAAACCTGCACAAGAAAATGATGCTCTCTCACCACTCCTATTCAATATAGTATTGAAAGTTATTGCCAGGGCAGCCAAGTAAGAGAAAGAAATAAAAGGCATCCAAATACCAAGAAAGGAAGTCAAACTATCCCTGTCTGCAGATGACATAATTCTCTATATAGAAAACCTCATAGCCTCAGCCCAAAAGCTTCTTAAGCTTATAAACAACCTCAGTGAAGTCTCAGGATACAAAATCAATGTGCAAATATCTCTAGTATTCCTATACACCAACAACAGTTAACCCAACAGCCAAATCAGGAATGTACTCCAATTTACAATAGCCATAAAAATAATAAAATACCTAGGAATACAACTTACAAGGGGCATGAAGTACCTCTTCAAGGAGAACTACAAACTACTGCTCAAGGAAATAAGACAGGACACAAACAAATGGAAAAACATTCCATGCTCATGGATAGGAAGAATCAATATCATGAAAATGGCAATAATGCCCAAAGCAATTTACAGATTTGATGCTATTCCTATTAAACTACCATTGACATTCTTCCCAGAAATAGAGAAAACTATTTTAACATTCACATGGAACCAAAAAAGAGCTCGAATAGCCAAGGCAGTCCTAAGCAAACAGAACAATGCTGGAGACATCACACTACCAGACTTCAAACCATGCTACAAGGCTACAGTAAATGAAACAACATGGTACAGGTACAAAAACAGACACATAGAGCAATGGAATAGAATAGGGAACCCAGAAATAAGACCACACACCTACAATTATCTGATCTTTGACAAACCTGACAAAAACAACAATGGGGAAACAATTCCCTATTCAATAAATAGTGCTGGAATAACTCCTAATGTCATATGCAGAAGATTAAAACTGGACCCCTTCCTTACACCATATATAAAAATTAACTCAAGATAGATTAAGGACTTAAATGTAAAACCCCAAACTATAAAAACCCTGGAAGACAACCCAGGCAGTACCATTTAGGACATAGGCATGGGCAAAGATTTCATGACACCAAAAGCAATTGCAACAAAAGCAAAAATTGACAAATGGGATCTCATTAAACTAAAGAGCTTGTGCACAGCAAAATAAACTATCAACAGAGTAAACAAACAATCTACAGGATGGGAGAAAAATTTTGCAAACTATGCATCTGACAATGGTCTAATATCCAGAATCTATAGGAAGCTTAAACAAATTTACGAGAAAAAAGCAACTCCATTGAAAAGTGGGCAAATTATGGGAAGAGACACATTTCAAAAGAGGACATACATTCAGCCAACAATCACATGAAGGAAAGCTCAATATCACTGATCATTACAGAAATGCAAAACAAAACTACAATGAGATATCATCTCACACCACTCAGAATAGCTATTAGTAAAAAGTCAAAAAATAACAGATACTGGCAAGATTGTGGAGAAAAAGGAATGCTTATATCCTGTTGGTGGAAGTGTAAATTAATTCAAGCATTGTGGAAGACAGTGTGGTGATTCCTCAAACACCTAAAGACAGAAATACCATTAGACCCAGCAATCCCATTACTGGGTATATACCTAAAGGAATATAAATTATTCTATTATAAAGACACATGCCTGCATATGTTCATTACAATCCCATTCACAATAGTAAAAACATGGAATCAACATAAATGCCCATCAATGATAGACCTTTTAAAGAAACTGTGGTACATATACACCTTGGAATACTATGCAGCAATAAAAATAATAAGATCATGTTCTTTGCAAGGACATGGATGGAGCCGGAGGTCATTATCCATAGCAAACTAACACAGGTACAGAAAACCAAATACTGCATGTTCTCCCTTACAAATGGAAGCTAAATTATGAGAATACATTGACACATAGAGGGGAACAACACCCACAAGGGCCTATTGGAGGGTGAAGGGTGAGAGGAAGGAGAGGATCAGAAAAAATAACTAATGGGTACCATGCTTAATACCTTGGTGATGAAGTAATCTGTACAACAAACCCCCATGAGACAAGTTTACCTATGTAACAAACCTGCTCATGCAACCCTCAACTTAAAATAAAAGTAAAAAAATGCAGTATAATCAAAAGAATACCCTAAACTCTGTATTACTTATTTTTTATTTTGTAATAAGGCAAAATTGCTATCATATTTGACATTCTACCTACCCCAGAAAATCCTGGTATTTAATGAAAAGTAAAAATTAATAACTAAATAAATTCCATTTTTGGTTCAAAAAATACCAAGCAAGTTTATGCATTAACAAGGCTGGATTTCTTTATAACCTAAGCAATTTCTCAAGGTAGACACGAGAGATAAAACATTTATGAAGACTAGTAATAACCACCATTTTCTATTTTATTCAGACATACAGGAATGTATGTTCTGGCTTAATTACCTATGGGCTCTGTGTCCTTAGGCAAGTTACTTTAATTCTCTGAACCCCAGTTTTCTAAAAAATAGTGTATATTATACTTCTCTGGTATGTTGAAAAGATAAAATGAGATAAAGATATAAAGCAACGGGTGACTGGCACATAAAACTACCAGTTTCATTTCTACTTCCCCTTATTCTTTTAGCTCTACCTAATATTTCTTCATAAACATGTATTGTAAGACACATACACATAACAAAACACATTACTATCCTTCTTATTTGAAGATGGTAGAGTTGTCAGAAGCTTGGATTTTCAAATCAAACAGATCTACTGTCTAACTCTAGCTTCTCCACTTAGTAACTCTGAGTCAGTTCCTTAACTTTTCGAACCTGCAGTTTCCTCATCTATAAATAGAAATGATAACAGAACCTGCCTCTTAAAGTTGTTGTTAAATGGGACAAGCAAGTAAAAGACACTGACTGTTCCAATAGCTGGAAGTACACAATAAATTATTAGCTGTTTTGTACCTATTGCTGTTATTCATAATATAATTATTATTACAATTCATTAGTATTATTCCAGATCAATGTTTCCTAACTTCGGGCTGAGGATAAATGAACAACAATTTTTTCAAATTTTATTTTAGATTTAGGAGGTACATGTGCATGTTTGTTACCTGGGTATATTGCATGATGCTGAAGTTTAGGGTATGAATGATCACGTCACTCAGGTATTGAGCGTAGTACCCAAAAGTTAGTTTTTCAATCCTTGCCCCCATTCCTCCTTCTGCCCTCTAGCACTCCCCAGTATCTATTGTTGCCATCTTTATGTCCCTGAATACCAGATGTTTAGCTCTTACTCATAAGTGAGAACATGCAGTACTTGCTTTTCTGTTTCTATGTTAATTTGTTTATGATAATGACCTCTAGCCCCAACCATGTTGCTACAAAGGACATAATAATGTCACTCATTTTTATGGCTATGCAGTAATCCATGGTATATATGTACCACATTTTCTCTATCTAGCCCACCATTGATCAGCACCGAGGTTGATTCTATGTCTTTTCTATTGTGAATAGATGAAGAGAAGAGTACATATTTCTTTTTGGTAGAACTATTTGTTTTCTTTTGGATGCATACCCTATAATAGGATTGCTGGGTCTAATGGTAGTTCTGTCTTGCGTTCTTGGAGAAATTGCCAAACTGCTTTCCGCAGTGGATGAATTAATTTACATTCCCACCAATAGTGTATAAACAGTCCCTTTTATTCACAGCCTGGTTAGCATCTGTTGCTTTTTGACATTTTAATAATTGCCATTCTAACTGGTATGAGACAGTATCTTATTGTGGTTTTGATTTACGTTTCTTTAATGAGCAGTGACATGGAGCATATTTTTCAAGTTTCTTGGCCGCTTGTTTATCTTATTTTCAGAAGTGTCTGTTCCTGTCTTTTGCTCATTTTTTAATGGGGTTATTTGTTTTTGCTTGTTGAATTAAATTCTTTAAAGATTCTGGCTATTAGGCATTTGTTGGATGCATAGTTTGCAAATATTTTCTCCAATTCTGTAGGTCATCTGTTTACTCTTTTGATAGTTTCTTTTGCTGTGCAAAAGTCCTTTATTTAATTAGGTGCCACTTGCCAATTTTTGCATTTGTTGCAATTGCTTTTGAGGACTTAGTAATAAATTAGTTTCCAAGGCCAAAATCCAGAATGATGTTTCCTAGGTTTCTTTCCAGGGTTCTTATAGTTTCAGGTTTACATTTAATATTTAATCCATCTTGATTTCATTTTTGTATATGGTGAAAGGTAGGGGTCCAGCTTCATCCTTCTGCATATGGCTAGCCCACTATCCCAACACCATTTATTAAATAAGGAGTCCTTTCCCCATTGCTTATTTT
Source organism: Homo sapiens (assembly GCF_000001405.40). NCBI lineage: Eukaryota > Metazoa > Chordata > Mammalia > Primates > Hominidae > Homo > Homo sapiens. The sequence continues at coordinate 99,734,159 of NC_000023.11, forward strand.
TGTTCACTTTGTTGAGTATCAGATGGATTAAACAACATTTTATGTGTTTCTTTTTATCAGTTTTTTTAGAGACTTCCTACTCCCCCACTCATTGCTAGGGTACAAAATAGGGAACATAACTTGATAGCAAAAGAAATATTGTTTTGGATGATGGAATTGTGTGAAAATGTGAGTAACTAATGAAGAACAATCTCTCCATTAATTGGAGAAGTCCTTCCTTCTAAGCCTGAATCACATGAGGCAGACCACATAGAAGACTCTTTCGTAGTCCCTTCTCCCTTTCAGAAAAACATATGCCAACTCTGATTAATCTAAGAACAAAATGGAGTGCTAGGTTTGGAGACTGCCTATCCAGGAATACCACCAAAAATCATGGTGCACAACTGATTCCATGAAGATACCACTGCTGCTATCACTGAGCACAGATACCACAGCTTGCTACTGATATCAACAATTTGGGGATGGGCACGGTGGCTCATGCCTGTACTCCCCCTACACTTTGGGAGGCCGAGGCAGGCAGATCACTTGAGGCCAGGAGTTCGAGACCAGCCTGGGCAACATGACAAAACCCCATCTCTACTAAAAATACAAAAATTAGCCAGATGTGGTGGTGCACGCCTGTAATCCCAGCTACTCTGTAGGCTGAGGAAGGAGAACTGCTTGAACCTTGGGGGCAGAGGTTGCAGTGAGCCAAGTTCACAGCACTGCACTTCAGCCTGGGTGACAAAGTGAGACTCTGTGAAAAAAAAAAAATTGGTAACTAGACACTATCAATTTAACAATTGCCTCAGGAATTAGTTTAGATGATGGGGAGCTAAAAACAATAATTGCTGTTCCCATACTGGAGTCCCATCTGGTCATTTTGAATGTTTAGGCCTAATTCTTATGTCAGTTTTGTCTCATATCACTTTTCCTTTGACAATATTGCCCATCACCACCCAATCTCCATGGGCTGGGAATGTAACTGAAAAATCCCTTCACTTCTTGATTCACATCTTACTCTTTTTTGTCTCTCTACTTTCTCTACTGTTTTTCCATGTCTAAATCACTGAGGCAAATGTAAATAAATGCATTTTTCTTGGGAAAGTGACTGCAATGAGCTTGCCCATTAAACAACCCTATTATTTTTCTCTCTCTTTAATGAAGATGGATAAATATTATACTGTAGCTTAACAACTTTATTAGCTATGTGAATTATAGCCCTTTCACTAGAAGTCAAGGTAATTATGTTTAAAAAAAAAAAAAAAGGAGCAATGGGTTTAAGGGAACTTTGGTAGGAACTAGAGGCAACACCCAATATTGGCATAAGTAATCCATGGTACAAAATCACAAAGCACCAACCAAAGCAACACATTTCACAGGTGGAGGGAGTAGGATGTGCTAGGCTGCTCTGAACTGGAGTGTGAAATAGATATTAGTCTCCTGGTGCTGCTGAATATGCACAAGGGAAAATGCAACTTAGAGACAACACTAAGCAAGCCTTTTAATTTGTCGTTTAGTACTTCAGCAGTAGGAAATACAGTATAACTGCTGGGTTGTAGTGAGTCCATGCTCCTATTACTGACAGAGCTTGGCCTTCATAACTAAAAATATTTAAAACCCTCCAGAAAACCCCAGAATTTCATGTACTCCTGGTGCATCATTCTGGACTAGAAAGTCCTCAACTGTGCACTGGCTTTTCAAGCGTATATATTGACATTCTTATTAAGCGATGAGTTAGAGAGTAAGAGGGATGATTTGATTATGTTCAAAAGTAGAATTAACATCCCTCAGCAAATCCCAGTACAGCCTCATGCCACATAATGACATTTCAGTTAATAATGGGCCACATATATGTAGGTGATCCCATAAGATTATAATGGGGTTGAAAAATTCCTATTACCTACTGACATTGTAGCCATTGTAGCATGGTACTGCAAGGTAATGCTCATGTTATACAACTCATGTTTGTGGTAATGCTGGTAAAAACAAACCTACTGTGCTGCCAGTCATATAAAAGTATAGCACATACAATTATGTACAGTACATAGTACTTAATGATGATAAACAACTATGTTACTGGTTTATGAGTTTGCTATTCTATACTTTTTACCATTATATTAGAGTGTACCTGTTCTACTTATAAAAGAAAATTAACTGTAAAACAGCTTCAGGCAGGACCTTCAGGAAGTATTCCAGAAGAAGACATTGTTATCATAGGACATGAAAACTCCATGCCCTGAAGATCTTCCAGTGGGATAAGGTGTGGAGGTGAAAGACAGTGATATTGATGATCCTGACCGTATGTAGGCCAGGGCTAATGTATGTGTCTTTGTGTCTTAGTTTTTAACAAAAAAAAAAAAAGTTGAAAAAGTGAAAAGAAATTAAGAATTAAAAATAGAAAAATGCTTAAAACTAAGGATATAAAGAAAATATTTTTGTACAGCTGTGCAATGTGTTTGCATTTTAAGCTAAGTGTTGTTACAAAAGCCAACAAATTTTAAAAAATTAAAAATATGTAAAACAAAAACATTACAGTGAGCTAAGTTTAATTTATTATTGAAGAAAGACTGTTATAAATTTAGTGTAGCATAGGTATACAACATTTATAAAGTCCACAGCAGTGTAATGTCCTAGGCCTTCATATTCATTCAGCACTCACACACTGACTCACCTGGAACAATTTCCAGTCCTGCAAGCTTCATTCATGATAAGTGTCCTATAAAGGTGTATCATTCTTTATTTTTTATACTGTATTTTTACTGTAACTTTTCTAGGTTTAGATATGTTTAGATATGCAAATATTGACCATTGTGTTACAATTGCCTACAGTACTCAGTACGGAAATATGCCATAAATGTTTGTAGCATAGGAACAATAGGCTATATACCATATAGCCTAGGAGTTTAGTGGGCTATACCATCCAGAATTGTGTAAGTACATTCTGTGAGGTTCTCACAATGATGAAATGGCCTAACAATGCATTTCTCAGTCCCTGTAGTTAAGCGACTGTACTTTAAGGAGCTGCTGAACAAAAGGGACACCTGGCTGCATGTTGAGGGCTTTTTAATTATGTGAAAGGAAATGAAGAGGTTGTGACCTGCTGTTGGGGGAAGAAGGATATAAAATTTTATTTAGGAGGCACATAATTTGAAGTCATGCCATTTGATTTGATTATTAATTTCTGCCATTTTGGCCTTTACTGAGGGAAACAAAGTGGCATTTTCTACTATTTCTTGTTGGTTGGTTCTTTCATATAATCTCTTTCGCTAAGAGTCCTCTAGAAAGTAATAAAGATTGTAGCACCTAAAATGTTTCTACTCATTTGTTACATAGAAATAAAATAATAAACCATTTTATGCAACAAGCTACAAGAGAAAAAAAAATGCATCATTGAGCAAGATCATCAGAATATCACAAAGAAAGCTTGGCTTTCCCAGGTGGTAGTCATTTGTTTCTCTTTTAAAATTAATAGCCAAACAGTTTAGAAACTTCGTCTTCCCTACATTCACAGGGTAACATTGGATATTGTACTGCAGTGTTAAAAAGAGGGTTTACCAGATAGTCCAAGACACTAGCGAAAGGGGAGATAAGTTTTGATCAGTTATAAGAGAAATAGAGGCTTTTTTTGTTAACCGCAACCTCTTTTACCCCTCATATTCCTCTAAATATTAATTATCTTTTCTGCATCTTTTCATTTCCATTGCTAAAATCTTGGTCTACATTTTTATTCCAACAATTCTCCATCTCCAATTTCTCCTCATTGAAATTCATTGTTGTCTAAGAAATACTACTAAAGTTCAGGACTTATTATGACATTATTATACTCAGAAATATTCAGTAGTTCTTCATTACTAATTTAACAAAGTTCACATTCCTTAGTCAAACCTTTGCATGATTTCATTTTGACTATCTGTCTATTCCCTCTCCCAGAGGATGCTACTTTTAATTAATTCAAACTAAAGTAATTATTTATTCCAATAATAATACATTTTATTGTATAGAAATTTAGGAGGAAGTTCTAAATCTACTCTCATCGAAGCCTTTCCTAATGTAATCACTACTCTTTCTTCACTCTAATAGCATTCCATTTGTACCATTTATAGCAGTTAGCACATTCTGACTTGAATTAGAGTTACTTATTTACTGAAAAGTGTGATTTAAACATGGCTGGTGATAAATAAATATTTATTAGATTAATAAATGAGTGAATGTACTTTCAAAGGCCTACCTTTAGACTAGGTCAATGGAAGAGACAGTCTATTTCTTTAATTGAAAGAGATTCTCTTGTGGTCAGCAGGGTCACTGAACAATGACAGGTTACTTTCCCAGGATCAGACATCAAGTTGAAATATTATTAACTTGTAGCAATACTGAATATGTGAAAGAACTTCAACATTAAATTGATGAAAATAATAGACATACTAATCATATTTGAAGATACAGGTATCACTCATAGTTTCTCTATTAATATAGATTAATAGCATAGCAAAATCAATATTACAAGGGCTTACAGCTGAAGTAGTTCTCATGATGCAAACTACACAAGATATTCAAAGTTTTTTAAAATTTAATATATGCATAAATATCCCTAGAGTTGACAACGTTACAGATACAGAGCTGTCAGTTATTCTTTCATTTTCTGGAAAATTTCACTTTGAAAATCTAAAACTGAGCTATAGGAGGGCCTTTTTAAAGAATGTAGCTATAATTTTTATTTTTGCTTTTAATCTGTTGTTATTCGCAAATAGCTTTTCTTTTGCAACTAATAGTCCTTGTGGGATATATTCCAACAGGGGGAAGAAAGATCAAAAGACATTTGTGCTAAAAGAATTGTAAACTTGTTTTCAGTGTTCAGTGCGTCTTCTCCCTAAAAGTACAAATTACCAGACAGTGGTAACAAATAACTCTGTGATTCTCAATCCAGTTGACCAATAGAGATCACATAACTTCTATTTTTTTAACTAGTGCTTACTGTCATGCAGAGGTTGAAATATGTGCTCCTCTTCAGAGCAAAGCAACATTTTCTCCTTCAGAGAAAAGTTATTTTAATATAATACATTTATGATGGCTTCAAAGTCATAACCTCTGGGATTCAACTATTGGCCATGTATTATGAGTTATTTCTTGCAGTACACCCAAGCACTCTTCTTCAAATTTCCATTTTTCTGTCATCATAACATTTGCTGAACACTCATAGAATGCATAATGCCATATGAAGAACCAAAGGGGTAGAAATGAAGGCAAATTAATTCTACCCTAACCTATTTACTTGATAACATATCTAAGAGAATACAGTACCTTTGATAAGGATATTAAAATAGGACTTTAATGCAATCCCTTCTAGTTAGCCTATTCTCTTGACCCAGACCGAATCCCTGCCCTCAAAGATCTCTCTTGCTCCCCACAAAACTGTGTCTATTAAAGAAAGACATATTCTTAAAGAAATAATATACACACTTTTCCTTAGGTGAGTGATCTTACTCACTTCCATATACAATGAGTGCCATGCATTGTGCCAAATAATTTTTATGGATTCTTTCATTTAATAGTTACAACTCTATGAGACATTTAGTATTTTTCATCATATTATACAGATAAGGAAACTGAATCACAAACAGCTTAAATTTCCCAGGGTCACACAGCTGGTAAATGGTCTAGAAATGGATTAAGTCCAAGTTTGTTCAGAGCTTGCACTCTCAGCCATTATGTGGCATCACCTCCCTTCCTAGGAGAAAGCTGTGGTTCGAAGAAAATCAGTCTGAGACACTCATTGGCTAAAGTGCTGCAGAGACCTTTGCTAACAGAATACTAGAGAGAGATTCTGAAAACTAAACCAATCACCAATCATGGGGTAAATTCTGAGACTAATGGAAAATTTGATAGCATAAGCACTAAGTTGAGGATCCTACCTCAACTCTTCAAGGGCTATACTCTTCCTTCAATTTACATAGTCATGTGGTTTTCAGGATAAACATGCGCAAGCAAAATATACCCCAAAGGCAACCTTGACATGCAGTCAATTTAAGAAAAAAAGAACAATTTAACATTTATCTGAAACTTTTCTTCTTCAATACTTTCCACAAACCATTATCTTTGGCACCCATTTCAACATAATTAGATAAACAATTACGACAAAACAAAAGCAATAAGAGTAGAAATGGCTCATGGCTTTTATTCCAGTACTTCAGAACATATTACAAGTATCTATTAATGCTCAGGTAATATGTATCAGAAATTGCAATGTACCAAGAATGAGAAATTGCAGTACGTCACGTACTTTGTAAAATCTAAACTGAGATGGAGATTTGATGTGATTGCACATCTGGTGTTTTTCTCTAGTGTATATGTTTGGGTGGGCAGGATTGGGCAAAAATGTTATCATTGATTTGTTCTGGAAAGGGAATATTATGCTTAAGTGTTGGTTAGTATGTGTGTTTATACATACCTACAGACAAATCTATACATCTCTCTAAAGTTCTGGTCTCTATCTACAGTATATCATGATAAAAATGTTTAGCTCCAAGTAAATGACTGCAATGCAAAAAAATAACTACAAACATATACTGGCAGTAACCGAATTTGTGAAATCCTCTAACATTATTGGATACAGCCTACTACAATAATTATCCCAAACTTCTGTTACGCTTAACAGCTTTTATGAGAACATTAAAGGAATGCAACAATGTTGTGTTTGCAGGCATCATTTCATGTTCCAAAGGCTAATCTAAATCTTGTTTTTTAAAGATTTGTAAATATTGCCCATCGCAAAGTGACTTAGAGACTATGAGCACTATGAAAGCAATTATGAAACAATACATTTAATTCATATTAATACAGAGTTTGACTTGCTGTTTGTGAAGACTGAATGAGATAATGCATTCGAATAGGCTTGACACAGTGCCTACCACATGATGGGAACTCAAAAAATTATGTTTCCTTTCTTACTTCAAGCTATGAGATGCAGCCTAGGCTATTATCACCCTTCTGAAAGTTAACGTGGATGAAGGACACATTTCTGTTACTTTTCTGGGATAGACAGCTCTTAATAAGTTACTTTATGTCACTCCTGGCATATGGTAGATAGGTCCTATAATCTCCTGGGTAGTCTTGATTTGAGGAAGGGGAGGGAGTAACTAGCTCTGATTTTCAGCCACATTTATTCTTCATCTTAGAAACCAAAAGAAAGTATACATAGACCAATGAATCTATGAAGGCCTGGATTTAAGGTGAATGTCAGGAGGGTAAATGAATAACACAATGGACTTATGTATTTGTGAAACAAACCAAATCTCTTTCACGTGTGACAAGTCACTGCACAGTTAAGCCTTTTTGGCCTTGTTCACCATAGGTAAACTGGTCGTTGTTATAGGCTATAGTAAAACTTACTTTAGAGGCAAATTTTATATCAATTTCTATTTTTGGTACTTTATGAATGTTCCACAGATTATTTACAGTGTTTTAAGCTATTTCTTGAATATAATATCTGGCTTGTTTTTCTTGCTTTTGGGTCCCTGACTAGTATTGACTTTTAACCTCATCTCAAACTCTATTATTTTATTTTTCTTATGTTCCAATACTGTCAACATCTCTTTGTTCTGGCTCTAGACTCTGTTATGCCTCTTCACTTCTGGTTTATATTCCTATTTCTGGGATACACTAATGCCTGAAGGCCAGTGTGACATGAACTTACCTGGATAAGATACAATACAGATTCCAACACAGTGTGGATGAGAAAAGCTGAAGAATTGGGTCTGATCTATGAAGTCGGAGTCTTCCTGATTAAAAGGAAAGATTGCAACTCTTGGTATAAAGGACTAATATCCATTGCTTCCATATCTTCTTTGAGTTTCTTTATTGATAGATGTATCATGTCTATCTTACCCAGGCTGAAAAAAAATGAGAATAATATTAGCTATAAGTAGTGGAGACACTTTAAAAAGTAGCAATTCATAATTTCATAAAGAGGAAAATAGAAGACTCTTGTTTTGCAGCCTATAAGATCTTTTCTAATCTTATAATGTAAGATAAGTAATGTCACTGAGCCATAAAATCTCAGTAGGACAGTTTCATATCCTATACACATGCTGTGCATCTTTTCTGCTTGCAGAGTTCCATTTCAAGCAAACTGGAGGTGCTGACTTAAAAGCCTGAGCCTGTGTGTTTAATCTACATTGTTGGGATTGTCACTCCAGTGGCTGGGGTATGCCCTTTTTAAGGAATTTCCTTTAACCTGAAAAAAGATTAATTGACACAAATACAATTTTTTCTCCAAAGAGAGATTGTTTTTCTTCTTAATCATGTGTTTTTGTATTTGTTTGTTTGTTTGTTTTTGACACAGAGTCACATTCTGTCACCCAGGCTGGAGTACAGTGGTGCAAACTCGGTTTACTGCAACCTCTGTCTCCCAGGCTCAAGCAATTCTCCCAACCCAGACCTGAAAGTAGCTGGGACTAAAGGTGCATGCCACCACACCCAGCCATTTTTTGTATTTTTTGTAGAGATGGGGTTTCACTATGTTCACTTACTTTTTTTCTTCCTCCTCTTAGCAAGCATTAATTAATTGAGGGCCTATGATGTGCCAGGCACTGTGTTAGGTATTAAAAGTACAGAGAAGAGTTAAAAATAAATTTGAAGTCTTTGTGGATAGACACACTGGCATAAGTACTTGAAAAACAAATACAACTAAGATGGAGGGGTGCATCAGGAAATGGATGCTGATCACTATAGCAAATATAAAGGGAATAAATGTAAAGAAATTGCCAGTTTGTGCTTAGAATTGAGGTGAATCTTGCCCCTTGGAGAAAGCTCTATGTCACGAGTCCTGAAAGAATAAGAATGTTGTATGGGATATAAAATCCAGTTGAAATATACTCATGAGACAGCAAATTATGCACCAAGAGCATTTTGCAATTAAAATCATAAAATCCTAAAGTTGAATTTACCTGTAATGATTATATAACTCTACTAAGTGATGAATAGAATTGTCTTTTCTGATTCAGCCAAGGTTTATCCAGAGCCTTTTTATGGGAGGCTCTTTAGTTACAAATCTTAAGGATAAAAAACTCCCACATAAATGACTCAACCAAAGAATTGTTAAATATTGAGACTCAATTTGAACATAATTTAGTCATTCATTTCAACAAACAGTATTATGCTGGAGAAGAAGATTATAGGAGGCATTTGGTAGGCACTTTGGGAGATTCAAGGAGCTTATATTCTATTAGGAGAGATAAGTCATATATTACTTAGATTGAACCACATAACTGCTCCTTATGTGAGTCAAAATGGTTGAATGTTAATGATTTCATAAAGTTCAACTTAATACTAAAAGGCAAATCACAAAGGAAAAAACATAACTAATGTAAAAGAGATGCAAAAATACTATCCTAATTGATCAGATAAAGGAGTAAATATTGTCACCTCGAAGGCAGAGGTGGCAAAGTAGTATTTTGGATAGCTTTTATAGAATATGGGTACAAATTTTATACACAGAAACAAAAATGGGTAGAACAGCAGGAACAAATGTATAGAGTTAGTAAAGTGCATCAAGTTTATAGTAAGCAACCTGTAGTTCAACTGGAATGAGGGGCATAGAGATGAAGGTAAGCCATGAGATATAACATTAGAATGAGCAATGGAAGCAAAACCATAAATAGTCTTGCACACAAAATGATGAGTTTTTAATTCAGTTCAGTAGATAATTAGGAGCCTTTGAGGGATTTGTTGTGGCAGGGTTGTACCAAATCAGAGCTGGATCTCAGAAGCTTAATTGTCAGTGATGCACACGATGTATTAATAGTGAATGGAATGAAAAGCAAAGGGAAGTGTCAAATATCAGAGTAAAAATGATTAAGAAGCTGGAAATTGTAGAAGATTCAGCCTTCTGATGAGGAACCAAGCATATGACAGCTGCTTATCCACAGACATTCTGACAAATTGGTAAGTATAGTTCGCCTCTGAAATTGCCAGCATTTTCTTTTCTGTCTTTTTTTTTTTTTTTTTTTTTGAGACGGAGTTTTGCTCTTGTTGCCCAGGCTGGAGTGCAATGGCATGATCTCGGCTCACCGCAACCTCCACCTCCCGGGTTCAAGCAATTCTCCTGCCTCAGCCTTCTTAGTAGCTGGAATTACAGGAATGCACCACCATGTCCGGCTAATTTTGTATTTTTTTTTTAGTAGAGACGGCGTTTCTCCATGTTGGTCAGGCTGGTCTCAAACTCCCGACCTCAGGTTATCAGCCCGCCTCGGCCTTCCAAAGTGCTGGAATTACAGGCATGAGCCACCGTGCCCGGACTCTTTTTTGTCTTCTTTTCTCCTATGTCTGGGCACTTACTTTTCTCCTGTGCTTGCCAATTTCTTCCATTAAAATTGGTTCTCATGTAAAAATTATTCTAATAATTCATTTACAAAGGGGTATAAATGAGCACTATAGCTTAGTTTGATACTTTTTCTGCTCCTCCTCCATCCGTGGCTCATAGCTCAAAACACCAATCTAGTTGATTTGGTTACACAGCTGACAGTGGCAATTTCCTCGGTAGTAGAAGAAATAGGGGATTACACTATATGGCTGTTATTTATCCATTGATGTCATTAAAGTATTAACTGCAATGTCATTGGATCCATGAGGAGACTTACCAGGAAAAAGAGAATAATACACAGACAGGGTTAGAGAATTATCTTAGTAGAGACCCTAGACTTCACTTTGGTCAACTATCCATTCAAACAATGATTGGATTCTAAAACATTCCTAACAGGTGGTCAGCCCGCCTCAGCTTGAATATGCTTTGGGATGAAGAACACTTTACCATCATAGGCAGCCAATTTCATCTCAATTATAATTATTATTACTGATCTTTCTTGTAAGTCTAAATTTGCCCTTCGACTCATTGGTCCAAAGACTATTCTCTAGGGTGACAGAAGAAGTTTACTCCCTCTTCCAAAGAATATCCCACTAAATATTTGAAAAGAGGTATCATGCAGCCACCAAATCTTCTCTTCCTACAATAAAGATCCAACTTATTTAACCCTAAATAGTATAATTTCAAGTTTTCTTATTCTGGTTACTTTCATTTTGAACATCTCCCAGCTAACCAATCCAAGACTCCTGAGTTTTATCTAAAAATCAAAGGGCACAAAGGTCAATTGCTCTCAAATCATTTATAAACATGTATTCTGGGGCTGTAATAAAAAGGCTTGCTCTACTTTTAACAAGAATATACTTTTATAGTTGCTTTATCCATAATAGCAAAAAACTGGAAACAACCCAAATGTCCATCAGTAAGACAATTTAAAAAATGGTATATTCATACAAGGAATACTATTCACCAGTAAAAAGTAGCAAACTCTTCATATATGCAACAATATCAGGTTAATCTCAAAAGCATTATGTTAAGCAATAGGATTTGGACACAAAAGAGTATTTAATGTTTGCTTATATTCATATTAAGTTCAGGAACAAGCAAAACCATAGATGGTGACAGAAATTAAAATAGCAGTTGCTTAGGTGAAAATAATTAATTGGAAAGAACAAGAGGGAGCTTTCTCAGGTGATGAATATATTTTATATTTTGAACAGAGTCAGTAATTACTTGGATGTACACATTTTTCAAAAGTGATGCATTTTATTACATGTAAGTTTTACTTCATTAAAGCAATATTAAAATGCATTAACTTGTACACACATTTGTCTGTTTTAATATTTAGGTTATCCTCAAAACACTTAAAAGAAAATTTGAGATTTCTTGTTTTAAAAATTTTCATAGTGACTTTTATTTTTCTATTTTTTAACAATTTCAATTTTTATTTTAGATTCAGGAGTACAGGTGCAGGTGTGCCACGTGAGTACATTGTGTGATGATGAGATTTGGCCTATCAATGATTCCATCACCGAGGTAGTGAGTATAATACCCAAGAGTTAGTTTTTCAATTGTTTTCGCCTTCCCTTCCTTCTCCCTCTAATAGTTCCTAGTACCTATTGTTGCTGTCTTTATGTTCATGAGTTCTTAATGTTTAACTGTCACTTATGAGTGAGCATATGAGTTTTTTGGTTTTCTGTTTCTGTGTTAATTTGCTTAGGATAATGTCCTCCAGCTCCACCCATGTTGCTGCAAAGGACATGATTTCATTCCTTTGTATTGCTGTGTAGTATTCCATGGTGTATATGTGTCACATTTTCTTTATCCGATACACCACTGATTAGCACTTAGGTTAATTATATGTCTTTGCTATTGTGAATAGTGCTGCAGTGAACATACGAGTGCAAGTGTCTTTTTAGTAGAATGATTTGTTTTCTTTTGGATAAATAACCAGTAATGAGACTGCTGTGTCAAATTGTAGGTCTGTATTACATTCTTTGAGATATCTCCAAACTATTACACAGCTTTACACAGTGTTTGAACTAATTTACATTCCCACAAACAGTGTATAAGCATTCCCTTTTCTCTGCAGCCTGGCCAGCATCTGTTGTTTTTTGACTTTTTAATAATAGCCATTCTGACTGGGGTGAGATGGTATCTTATTATGCTTTTGATTTACATTTCTCTGATGATTAGTGATGTGGAGCATTTTATTTCACACATTTGATGGCCTCTTATCTGTCTTCTTTTGAGAAGTGAAAGATCTCTACAAGAAGAACTATAAAGCTCTGCTGAAAGAAATAATATATGACCCAAACAAAAATGCAAAACATTCCGTGCTTATGAATTGGAAGAATCAATGTTAAATTAAATTAAAAGGGCCCTACTGCCCAAAGCAATCTACAGTTTCAGCACTATTTCTACCAAACTACCAATGTCACTTTTTAAAGAACTAGAAAAAGCTATTCTAAAATTCATATGGAACCAGGAAAGTGCCTTAAGAGTCAAAGCCATCCTAAACAAAAAGAACAAAGCCAGAGGCATCACATTACCTGACTTCAAACTATACTATAAGGCTACAGTAACCAAAACAGCGTGATATTGGTACAAAAATGAAAATGTAGACCAATGGAACAGGACAGAAAACTCAGAAATAAAGCCTCATGCCTACAGCCAACTGATCTTTGACAAAGCTGACACAAATAAGCAATGAGGAAAGAACTCCCTATAAATAAATGGTACTGAGATAACTGACTAGCCATATGCAGAAGAAAGAAACTGGACCCCTACTTTTCACCATATACAAAAATTAACTCAAGATGGAATAAAGATTTAAATATAAGACCTCAAACTATAAGAATCCTAGAAAAAAAACCTAAGAAACATCATTCTGAACATCAGTATTGGGAAATAATTTATAATAAGTCCTCAAAAGCAATTGCAATGAAAACAAAAATTGACAAACAGGACTTAATTAAATTAAAGAGATTCTGCACAGTAAAGGAAACTATCAACAGCAAACAAAACCTAGAGAATTGGAGAAAATATTCACAAACTATGCAACTAATAAAGATCTAATATTCAGGGCCTATAAGGAACTTAAACAATTCAACAATCAAAAATAAAAAACCTTATTAAAAAGTGGGCCAAAGACTTGCTCTATTTTTTATGTTTGGCCACTGAGAACTTTTAGATCCCCACTCCTCTGTCTTGCCTCCCCAACAACCTAGATAAGAAGACTCACTCAGCCTCTGCATGACAGGAGGAATTTTAGATAGCACAACCTCTATCTGAGCATTAGGAGTCTCCCACACCAGCTTCACACCTTAATAACAAAAGAATTCAGAAGGCACCTCCAATTCACTACCTTTGCTTGCATTCTCATTGCACCTCTGAGTTAGCCCTTCCACTTCAGCTTGTTGTGACTACTAAATGTATTTTATTGAAATTCATAGTTGAGTGTGTTGTTCCATTTGCCTCAACATATAAATATTCCTGGGTGGGTGTGTGATCATGCCCACTTCTGGGTAGACTAATGAAAACTGAAGAGTTCAGATTTTCATTTTTGAAAACTCCAGCATATCTTGCCACATTCTAATTTTAGTGAAGACAGCTTCCATTAGATGCAGACAATTCATGCACCCCCTTACAGCTCTAATATGTCTTGCTGCTAGTTTTCTCATCCTCATTATGTATGTACTATGCATTTTCTTCATCTGGCCTGGTGACTTGTAGTATCCAACCATTTTTGTATTACATCTATCCTTTTCCTTTTGCCTTCGTTCAGCTGATAGCTATGAGTATCCTATACTCAGGTTCATATATTTCAATATGTATTCCAATCCAGCTTTTCCTTATTCATATTCCTTACATTCCTTTGAATTTTCTATCACTCTACCAAAAATAAGCCCCAATATACCTTTCACAGATTCTGTAGATGCTCCTCAGAGACAAGATTCAGGAGGCATAGTCTGGAAAGAGAAACCGGCTCCTAAATAATGAATTTTTTTTTTCTCAAAATGTGAAAATTTGTCTTTCCTAACATTTAGTCATTCCTGTTTCTGCATTGCAATGCTATTTTGGTCTGGGTCTTGTGAATGGGTGTTCAGACTGTCATTTTAATTTAGCACCATCATTGCTATAGAGCAGCTGTCCAGAATTCATATTTCTAAAGGATTTTTTTAAAAACAACTATTTCTAAATAGATAGAAGTTCTGCATGCTACGATGACAACAAAAATCTCTGTGTGCTTGTACAAGTTTTCTCCTTTGGATTTCTGTATTTTCAAATGTTTATAATACTTTTCAGGTTCAAAATAGTTTTATGCAATGGTTTGCTTTACATACACCTACACACAAATACATATCCATGCACATAAGATTCTTCTCACCATTATCTACCTTCAGCATGGACCAGACATAAAAACATTGAAAACAACATCCTGTAGCATCACTTAGGCTGTAGGGCTGCCAGATGCGGTGGCACATGCCTGTAATGCCAGGACATTGGGACACCAAGGTGAGAGGATCACTTGAGCCTCATACATATGGAGGTCAAGATAAGCCTGGGCAACATAGTGAGACACCATCTCTACAAAAAAATAATTTTAAAAATCAGCTGGGTGATATAGTTTGAATATTTGTCCCTGCCCAAATCTCATGTTGAAATGTAATCCCCAGAGTTGGAGATGGAGCCTAGCAAGAGGTATTTTGATCATGGGGGTGGATATCTCATGAATGGCTTGGGCCATCCTCTTGATGATAAGTGAGCTCTTGCTCTGAGTTTATACAAGAACTGGTCATTTAAAAGTGTGTGGCACCTCCCTCTCCACTTTCTTGCTTCTGTTCTGGCCATGTGATATGCTTGCTTCCCACATGCCTTCCACCATAATTGTAAGCTTCCTGACGCCTCCCCAGATTCCAAGCCAATGCCAGCACGATGTTTCCTATAAAGCCTGCAGAACCTTAAGCCAATTTATCCTCTTTTCTTTATAAATTACCCAGTCACAGGTATTCCTTTTAATATGGTTTGGCTGTGTCCCCACCCAAATCTCAACTTGAATTGTACCTCCGAAAATTACCACATGTTGGATGAGGGACCCAAGGGGACATAATTGCATCATGGGGGCTGGCCTTTCCTGTGCTATTCTTGTGATAGTGAATTAAGTCTCACAAGATCTCATGGGTTTATCAGGGGCTTCTGCTTTTGCTTTTTCCTCATTTTTCTCTTGCCACTGCCATGTAAGAAGTGCCTTTCGCCCCCCGCCATGATTCTGAGTGTCACGCACGTCTGTGTGAAGAGACCACCAAACAGGCTTTGTGTGAGCAATAAAGCTTTTTAATCACCTGGGTGCAGGCGGGCTGAGTCTGAAAAGAGAGTCAGTGAAGGGAGATAGGGGTGGGGCCATTTTATAGGATTTGGGTAGGTATTGGAAAACTACAGTCAAAGGAGGTTATTCTCTGGCAGGCAGGGGCGAGGGTCACAAGGTGCTCAGTGGGGAAGCTTCTGAGCCAGGAGAAGGAATTTCACAAGGTAATGTCATCAGTTAAGGCAGGAACCAGCCATTTTCCCTTCTTTTGTGATTCTTCAGTTACTTCAGGCCATCTGGATGTATACATGCAGGCTTGGGCTCAGAGGCCTGACACTGAGGCCTCCCCAGCCATGTGGAACTATAAGTCCAGTTAAACCTCTTTTTCTTCCCAGTCTTGTGTATGTCTTTATCGCAGTGTGAAAATGGACTAATACACCTTTACAGCAGTGCAAGAACAGCCTAATATAGAAAATTGGTACTGAGGAGTAGGGAATTGCAGTAAAGGTACCTGATGATGTGAAGGCAACTTTGGAACTGGGTAATGAGCAGAGGTTGGTGGACTCAGAAGAACACAGGAAGATGAAGTTAAGTTCAGAACTTCTTAGAGACTGGTTCAATGGTAGTGACCAAAATGCTGATAGTGATATCAACAGTGAAGTCCAGGCTGCCAAGCTCTCAGATGGAAATGAGTAACTTATTGGGAATTGGAGCAAAGCTCACATGTGTTATAGCTGCATTCTGTTCATGCCCTAGGGATCTGTGGAAGTTTGAACTCCATAGTAATAATTTAGGGTATCTGGCAGAAAAAATTTCTAAGCAGCAAAGTGTTCAAGATATGGCTTGCCTGCTTTTAAGAATCTATGCTCAGATGCAAGAGCAAAGGAATGACTTAAACTTTGAACTTATATTTAAAAGGGAAGCAGAGTATAAAAGTTTGGAGAATTTGCAGTCCGGCCATGTGGCAGAATAAGAGAAAAACTTTTTTGAAGAGGAATTAAAGCAAGCTCCCCAGCAACCACTTGCCAGATATATTTGTGTAACTAAAAGGGAGCCAAGTACTAATATCCAAGACAATGGGAAAGACCTCAAGGCATTTTAGAGACTGTTGAGACAGCCCCTCCCATTACAGGACCAGAGGCCTAGGAGGGAAATAAGGTTTCATGGGCCAGGCCCAGGGCCTAACTGTCCTGTGCAGCCTTGGGACACTGCTTACCACATCCCAGCTGCTCTGGCTCCAGCCTCAGATCAAAGGGCCTCAGATACTGCTCATGGTCCCTGAATTTATAAGTCCATGAATTAAAAATATTCTGTGGGAAATGAGGGTTGCAGATCCCAATCCATGGCCTCTACTTTGCATCTGATTGAATACATGAAATCTCAAAAAATGTAATCTGTTTCCTCAGGGAGTTCTCTGACTAGATTTGTGATCATCTTCAAGTCCTATGTGGTTAACAGTCACCAAGATATATTATTTGTGGACCCTACAAGGTTAATCCATGGATCAACTGACAAAATTGGGAGAAGAGAGCCCATCTATTTCCTAGATAGCAAATGTGTGGATGCTTTGAACCATACTCACTTTGAGGTAGCCACAATTCAATTATCTTCTAAAGCCTAAAACTCTGTGTCTTTCATAAGTACTATCTTACCGTATGATGAACAGAAAACACCAACATTTTAAATCACAAATATTTATTAATGCCTTCCATGTGTGTAAAATATGGTAAAAGGCAATGCAATCCATATAATAAGTTTTGCCTTAGAAGTCACACTTCAAGAATGTGTTCCATAATAACCTGCGAATCTTTTAAGCTTTTTCTATTATCCTTGTTGATGTCAGATAGATGTACTAGATCAAGTAACGTTAAAGGCTTCAGAGGTGACTGCTAAAAATTTTCTTCTAATCCAAAAGGGAATCCCTGTCTAAAAATGAGTTTGGAAAGCCTCACTTATAATAAAAACAAGTTTATAGAAGTGACACTGAGATCATCCCACATCGCTAAGTAGATTTATTGGAGGGGAGAGAACTTGTGCTGCTTTCTAATTCCCCAAAACATGCTCTGGCTGATGTACTTAAAATTAGAATTGATTCAAATATTGCTGTGATCACATAATGTCAAAAGGCATAAAAATATTACTAAGGCCCTCCTTCCCTGTTCTCTGTCAGCCCAAACAAATTCCCAGCCTCCATATCAATTTATGCTGCATCCATTATCTCTTACATTAGAAGATACCAAACAGAAAAAAAGGAAAAACATATCTATTAGACTCAGCCCAGCTGGACTGAACTTCCAACATCTTTCCTTATATTTTGTTTAAAAATGACATTTGAGAATGCAGAAAATCATTTCAGGCAGTTCAATCCTTTCTTTATTTGTCCATTTATTTATTTGTTCAATTATGCATGTACTGTCCATCAAAACTTTGTTGAATGTCTTCTATTTGTCTGACTCTATGCTAAGTACTAAAAATACAAAGAAAATTTTTTTAAAAATGTAAGCACTGCTCAGGCAACTTCAGACCTCCTGTACTTAGTATTTAATATGTGTATCTGCCTGTACCCAATCAGGTTATTGGCAATGCATATTTTAATGAGACTTATACTCAACATAGTATAAACTCTGAAAGATACCAGGTTTTTAATACAGCCAATTCCTCTTTGCTGATGTTGACAAACTAAGATTGACTTTTAATGTACATTTCAATATACGATACGTAGAAAAGCCATTGGGGAAATATATAGTCTTAACTGCTTAGCTGAAAGTTACCATCATGTCTATAAGAAATCATTATAGTCAGACATTTCTATCTCATACATGGTTAAATGTCTAGGAATAATTTTACACAAATCTATAGTTTTTCTCAGAAGGAATTTATATGTATAGTTGTTAGTTTCATTATAATTATTACTATTATCAAGGACTCTCAGGAGGGAATCTAAAAGTTTTGGCTGCCACACATTAAGCACAGCCACTTCCTTTAGCCCTCATATCAGCTGAGTTCACAATGTTAATGTGGTAAAGTTTCTGTGGTAGTAGGACAGTTATTCTACCGGAATATTTCATGGTGCCAGTCTAAGAATGGCAGCTGAAGGACTCAGTAGGTTAGTTGGGTATTTTTTCCCCGTCACTCTCAGGCCCTAAGGGCTTGACTGAATGATTGCATCATTCTAAGTAATGAAGTCCCTGGAGAACCTGTAGAAGGCAGCATTTGAAGATTTAAGGTTTCACTGCTCAAGATGTGACTGGATTGCTGACACAGAAAACTGATTTTAGGCCACTGACCTTCTGGCTTGGTGAGTACAGGAATAAAAACGTGGAAGGCTAACAAGATCTACGTGTGTTCTGGGTGCAGTCAACTCCTAGTAACCAACATTTTAATTTTGACTTTTAACTCCACTGCATCCAAATAAATGATGTGTAAGTGATTACATAAAGTTATAGCATATTTTCTCCTCACTATTCACTTGGCAATGCTATAGTTATATCTTCACTATGGACAGCAACATGATATCTGTTTACTTACATTCCTAGAAGGATATCGGTAGCTTATTATTTACACATGATACCGGCATGTTACCTGAAATCCATGGGCAGAATTACAATTTTACTAGAATAATTTCGGATGGCATAAAAATTTTTCTCTGTGTTCTCTAAAACTGAACCATGGTTGTATAACCTTTGTTTTATTTCTAGGACCCAAACAGTTCCTGTGGTACTTCTCTTTCTTCCTTCTCACTAGTGACAGTTGTAGTATCTCATAGGACCGTTTTTCCAAAAGACAAATGTTAACACATCATTTCCCCATTTCTCTCCCTACAGCCTAGGTTTCTCATTGCCCTCTGGATAAAGTCAAATTTTTTAACATGGCATGCAAGGCCCAAAACATTACAATTCCTATCTTTGGAAGTGTATTTTAGGCCTCTCTGTATCTTGCTTTCTCCACTCAGGCCATAGTGATCTTTGTATGGTTTTTGGAATATATCATGCTTTTTCCAGCCACATGAACTGTGAACATTCTGTTCTCTTTACTTGGAACTTCCACAACATTCTCCTGATTAACTCTTGCTCACTTTTCATGAGTGACATCATTTCATGATGAAAATCTTCCTGAGCCCTCAGATAGGTAGTCTTCCTTTTTATATGGTTTCTTTAGACCCAGTACTTACAAGTATAGACCCAGTACTTATAATAACTTTGTGCCCTTGAACTCACTTTATAAAATATTTAAAACAATTTGCTCAATGTCTACTTTATAAGACTAAAAGCTTCATAATATCAGGGAATATACATTTTTGGTAAACAAGTGAATCTCCAACGCCTAGCACAATGTCTGATATCATTTTAATTGGTCTATTTCATATAAATACCATAGGACTCCAAAAATGAACTACATATTTATTTAAATCCAAGTCAATGTCAGCCCTGCCCCATGCCACCACACAGCAGCAACTACATATATCACGTCACATATCTATGTGTACGAAATATCTAAGGAAAACTTATATAAAATAATATTCTATGTAGCTGTTTTATAAATTTAAGACTTTTAGTCTCAGAAAAGTGAGAAGAAATAAAATGTAATGAGACTCTGTGTACTGTAGTGGTTAAGAGTGTAGATTCAAGAACCACACAATCTGAGTTTGAATCATAGTTCTGTCATTTACTTGCTGCATAAACTAAGGAAGGGTACTTAATATTGTTACACCTCCCTTTGGCTGTAAAGCACTCAATAATAGTACCTATCTTATACATTGCCTATGATGATCAAATAAGGTCTATTATTTGGCAAGAGGCAGATGCTCTCTAAGTTGCTTTTATCACATTTTTAGTATCACCCAATTTGGCATTTTGTCGTTATTATTTTATGGTTGTTTTGTAGGTTTTATTTCTGTTTTTATGTTTTGGAGTGGGTTGGAGTAGTCCTCATGGACCAATAAATCAGCTAATGATGTATACACAAATAAGTCATTCTGAAAGTTGTCAAAAACAAGGTTGTGGGAATTCCAGAAAAACGGAGAACTAATTGTAACGTGTTATTTCACATGGAAACATAAATAATCTGAAATATCTCAAGAAATTAATGACAAGATTTAAGAAGATAAAAAATTAAGAGATTTTACAAACTGCAGTACAGCATTAATGGCTAAATTGATCTCCAACTTAAAGACTTGAGGCTTAACATATATACATTCAAAACAAAATGACAGATACAAATTAAATAACATAAATGGAATGATAATCAGAGACATTTCAGGAAAAGTTTTATGTTTGCATAGCAATAAGGTAATTATGCCTAGTTACACCATCAAAACATTATTAACACAAATGGAAGAAAACCAAATGATAAAGAGAAATACAAGAGCCTTGGTCACAGTCTAGACATAGTTTCAATTAACTATGTTATTAATGGGAATGAGCTAAAAGTAACCAATACCTTACTCTCAACCACCTGAAACAGACCATTGGAGATCTCACACACACACACACACACACACACACACAGAGAGAAAGAAATTTGACTCACCTTTATTATTTCACCTAACTCTGGGGCAGAAGTACTAAACTGACCAGAAATGCAGGTGGTTATTTTCCAGTTGTATGGAAAGTATATTTTAAGCTAATCAGAGCTAGAGTTCACTTGTGCCATGCCCCAGTTAGTTTCTACTTTCATTCAGAACCCGCATATACAGGAATGTTGTTTGGGGAAGTACAGGAGAAATGGATTAACGTAAGTGCATACTGGAATGTGATTACAAGGAGAATATTGTAAACAAGGAAGAAGATTGGAAGAACACTGGGAGACTTTGTATTGTGGATGAAGATTTGCAAACACTGTTCAATTTAAAATGACATCTTATTCTCAAGTTTAGTAAAAAAAAAATGAGAGCTGTAACTAGATATTATCCAAATTTATTTGAATATGATCCAAATAAATAAATAAATTGCAAATTGATCTATGGCCTGAGTGAACTGAATTTCTTGTCTAGCTGTGAAATGAGAAAGATGCCAGCCCCTAAATAGACAGTAAAGGAAATTAGAGAAACCACATTTATCGTATCTTCTAATAAACATCATGCTTAGATTCACATCTACTGAACCAAGCTTGAATTTTTAAAAACTGATATGGCGCTTCTGAAAAGATCTGGAAGCAAGAGAGAAAGGAAACTTTACCATAATAACTCAGAAGAAAACATAGATCTCGAAATATTATTTTTGTGATAAGAAGTGCATGAATGTTTTAGAATATATATGCTTATTATCCTCAGTGGTAGACAATAAAATAGAGTTTCTTAGAGAGATTTAAGAAGAGAATAGATCAACATTAAAGTAGAAAGGCAAAGAAATTTGACTAAAATAGTAAAATAATACAGGGAAGTGCAAATTATAATAGGAATTTTAAAATTCGTATTATAGGTAGCAAATAGATGCAATATGAACAGAATAGACACAGGATAAAATCAAATCAGTAACATGAAGAACATTCCTCATACAAGAAGCGAGAAGACATTGACACAATACCTTGAGCAGTAATTCTAAATATCTTGGGGATTGTGGTCATGTTTCGGAAGTTAATAAAATAACTTTGGCTATTCAGGCTCTTTTTTGGTTGCATATGAATTTCAAAATAGTTTTCTGTAGTTCTGTGAAGAATGCCAATAGTAGTTTGTTGGGAATAGCATTGAATCTATAAATTCCTTTGGGCACTATGGCCGTTCTAACAATGTTGATTCTTCCTATCCATGAGCATGAAATGTTTTTCCATTTGTTTGTATTATCTCTGATTTCTTTGAGCAGTGGTTTGTAGATCTCATTGTAGAGATCTTTCACCTTCATTATTAGCCATCTTCCTAGGTATTTTTTTCTTTTTTCTGGCAATTATGATGGGAGTTTGTTCATGATTTGGTCCTTGGCTTGAGTATTGTTGGTATGTAGGAATGTTAACAATTTTTGAACATTGATTTTGTATCCTGAGATTTTGCTGAAGTTGTTTATCAGCTTAAGAAGTTTGTGGCTAATACATATGTGTATATATATATTGTATATTCATGTCATCCAGAAAAAAACAAAGCTTGACTTCCTCTCTTATTTAAATGTCCTTCCTCTCTTATTTAAATGTCTTTTTTTTTTCTCTTGCCTGATTGCCCTGGCCAGAACTTTCAATATTATGTTGAATAGGAGTGGTAACAGAGGGCATTCTTGTCTTGTGTTGGTTTTCAGGAAAAATGCTTCCAGCTTTTCCCCATTCGGTATGATGTTGGCTGTGGGTTTGTCACGTATGGCTCTTATTATTTTGAGGTATGTTCCTTCAGTACCCAGTTTATTGAGAGTTTTTAACATGGAGGGATGTTGAATTTTTTGAAAGCTTTTTCTGCATCTATTCAGATGATAATAATGTGTTTTTTTCTTTATTTCTGTTTCTATGATGAATCATATTTCCTGATTTGCATATGTTGAACCAACCTTGCATCTTGGGGACTAGGCCCTCTTGATTGTGGTGGGTAAGCTTTTTGACGTGCTGCTGGATTTAGTTTGCCAGTATTATGTTGAGGATTTTTGCATCGATCTTCATCAAGGTATTAGCCTGAAGTGTTGTTGTTGTTGTTGTTGTTGTTGTTGTTGTTGTTTGTTGTATCTCTGCCAGGTTTTGGTATCAGGCTGATGCTGGCTTCATAGAATGAGTTAGGGAGGAATCCTCCTCCTCGATTTTTTGGAATTGTTTCAGTAGGAATGGTACCAGCTGTTCTTTATACAGCTGGTAGAATTCAGTTGTGAATCCATCTGGTCCTGGGATTTTTTTGGTTGATAGGCTATTTATTACTGCCTCAATTTCACAACTCGTTATTGGTGTGTTCAGAAATTCAATTTCTTCCTGGTTCAATCTTGGGAGGGTGTATGTGTCCAGGAATTTATCCGTTTCTTTTCCTAATCTTTAAAAATTTGTACTGATATTATTCTCATTGGAAGATGTGGCACTGAACAGATAAAAATAAAAAACAACAGTTATGAATCACCAACGCCATCTCTCCCCTGTACCTGGCAGCAGTGGCAGCACGGTGCAGAGAGCATATCCGGGTGCTGGGGGAGGGAGAGCACAGCAATTGTGATGCAATGAATTCAGCACTGTCCTGTTAGAGCAGAAAAATCAACTGGACCAAATTCAGCTGATGCTCACCCATGGAGTAAACACTTAAACCAGCCCTCGCCTGAGGGGAATTACTGATCCCAGTCATCTGAACTTGGGTGCCTGCCAACCTTGCCACCAAGGGCTATGGCACTATGTGCCTAAAAGTAAAATATAAAGGCAGTCTAAACCATAAGGACTGCAAGTCTTAGGTGATTCCTAGTACTCAAGTAGGTGCAGAGATAGTGGAATATGGGAGCACATGACATAATGAGACACCAGCTAGGGTATTCAAGGGAGCACTGGCATCACCCCTCTCCTAAGCCCAGGCTGCACAAATCACAGCTCCAAAAGACACCCCTTCCTTCTGCTCCAGGAGGAGAGAGGGAAGAATGGGGAAGAATGTGGTTCACCTCTAGGATCCCAGCCCAGCCACAGCAAGATAGGGCACTGGTCAACTGTGAGGTCCCCATTCCAAGCCCTAGCTCCCAGATGAAATTTCTAGAAACATCCTGGGCCAGAAGAAAAACTGATGCCTTTTAAGAACGAACCCAGTCCTGGCAGCATTCATCACCTGCTAACTGAAGAGAGCTTTGTCCCTGAATAAACAGCAGTGATATATAGGTATTACACCGAGGCCCTTAGGTGAATCTCTGAGACTCGCTGGATTCAGGTGAGACTTGGGATATTTCCAACTGTGGTAGCTACAAGGCAAAACTCCTTCAGACTGAGGAAAGCAGAGAGAAAAGCAAAAGGGACTTTGTCTTGTATCTTAGGTACCAGCACAGCCACAGGGTGATAAAGAACCAAGTGGGATCTTTGGGTCCCTGATTCTAAAACTTGACTCTTGGATGGTGATATGGTTTGGCTGTGGACCCACCAAAATCTCATCTTGACTTGTAGTTCCCATAATCCCCACATGTTGTGGGAGAGACCTAGAGGGAGGTAATTGAATCATGGGGGCAGTTACCCCCATGCTGCTGTTCTTGTGATAGTGAGTGAGTTCTTATGTGATCTGATGGTTTTATTAGGGGCTTTTCCCTCTGTGCTTGGCACTTCGTCCTGCCATAATATGAAGGACATAATTGCTCCCCCTTCTGCCATGATTGTAAGTTTCCAAGGCCTCCCCCAGACATGCAGAACTGTGAGTCAATTAAACTTCTTTCCTTTATAAATCACCTAGTCTTGAACAGTTCTTTATAACAGCATGAGAATGGACTAATACAGTAAATTGGTACTGGCTAGTGGGGTGCTGCTGTACAGATATGCAAAAATTTGGAAGCCACTTTGAAACTGAGTAACAGGAAAAGTTTGGAACAGTTTGGAGGGCTAAGAAGACAGGAAGATGTGGAACAGTTTAGAACTTCCTAGAGACTTCTTGAATGGCTTTGACCAAAATGCTGATGGTAATATGGACAATGAATTCCAGGTTGAGGTGGTATCAGATGGAGATGAGAAACTTGTTGGAACTGGAATAAAGGTGACTCTGGCTATGTTTTAGCAAGGAGACTAGCAGCATTTTCCCCTGCCCTAGAGATCTGTGGAACTTTGAACTTGAGAGAGATGATTTAGGGTATCTGGCAGAATAAATTTCTAGGAAGCAAAGAATTCAAGAGGTGACTTGGGTGCTGCTAAAAGCATTCAGTTTTATGTATTCACAAAGATATGGTTTGGAATTGGAACTTATGTTTAAAAGGGAAGCAGAGCATTCAAGTTTGGAAAATTTGCAGCCTGATGATGTGATAGAAAAGAAAAATCCATTTTCTGGGGAAAAATTTAAGCCTTCTGCAGAAATTTGCATATGTAATGAGGAGCTGAATGTTAATCACCAAGACAATGGTGAAAATGTCATTAGGGCATGTCAGAGACCTTCTCAGCAGCTCCACCCATTACAGGCCAGGAGGTCTACTAAGGAAAAATGGTTTCCTGGGCTGGATTCACAGACCCCTGCTGCATGCAGCCTTGGGACATGGTGCCCTGCATCCCAGCTGCTTCAGCTCTAACCATGTCTAAAAGGGGCCAATATACAGCTCAGACTGTTACTTCAGAGGGTGCAAGCCCCAAGCCTTGGAAGATTCCATGTGGTGTTGAGCCTGTGGGTGCACCGAAGTCAGGAGTTGAGGTTTGGGAACTTCCGCATAGATTTCAGAGGATGTATGGAAACCCCTGGATGTCCAGGCAGATGTTTGCTGCAGGGGCAGAGCCTTCTGCTAGGGCAGTGCAGAAGGAAAATGTGGGACTGAAGCCCCCACACAGAGTCCCCAGTGGGGCACTGCCTAATGGTGCGAGAACAGTGCCACCATCCTCCAGGCCCCAGAATGGTAAATTCACTGACAATTTGCATGATGTACCTGGAAAAGCCACAAACACTCAACACCACCCTGTTAAAGCAGCTAGGAGGGGGACTGTACCCTGCAAAGCTACAGAGGCTATGGGAGGCCACCTCTTACATCAGTGTGACATGGATGTGAGACATGGAGTCAAAGGATATTATTTTGGAACTTTAACGTTTAATGACTGCCCTACTTGATTTTGGATTTTCATGGGGCCTGTAACCCCTTTATTTTGGCCAACTTCTACCATTTGGAACAGGTGTATTTACCCAATGCCTGTACCCCCATTGTATCTAACAAGTAACTACCTTGCTTTTGATTTTACAGGCTCACAGGCAGAAAGGACTTGTTTTGTCTCAGATGAGACTTTGGACTTGGACTTTTGGGTTAATGATGGAATGAGTTAGTTAAGACTTTGGGGGACTGTTGGGAATGCATGATTGTGTTTTGAAACTGAAAAGGGTATGAGATTTGGGAGCAGGCAGGGGAAAAGTGATAGGGTTTGGCTGTGTGTATCCACCCAAATCTAATGCTGAATGGTATTTTCCAATGCTAGTTGGGGGGAGCTGGTGGGAGGTGATTGGATTATGGCAGTAGATTTCTCCATGCTGTTCTCATGATAGTGAGTAAGTTATCACAAGATCTGATGTTTTACAAGTGTGTAGCACTTCTCCCTCTCTCTCCTGCTACCATGTAAAGAAGATGCTAAATGTCCTGAGGCCTCCCAGTCATGCTTCCTGTTAAGCCTGCAGAACTGTGAGTCAATTAGACCTCTTTTCTTCACAAATTGCTAGAATGAGTCAGGACTTTAGGGGACTGTTGGAAGGGCATGATTGTGTTTCGAATTGTGAGGACATAAGATTTGGGTGTGGCCAGGAGCAGAATAATGTGGGTTAGCTGTGTCCCTACCCAAATCTCATCTTGAGTGGTAGTTCCCATAATCCCCATGTGTCATGTGAAGGTGCCAATAGGAGGTAATTGAATCATGGGGAAGGTTACCTCATGCTGCTGTTCTCATGATAGTGAATGAGGTCTCATGAGATCTGATGGTTTTATAAAAGGCTTTTCCCTCTTTGCCTGGCAATTCTCCTTCCTGGATCATGTGAAGAAAGGTGTGTTTGCTTCCCCTCTGCCATGATTGTAAGTTTCCTTTGGCCTCCCTGCCATGTGGAACTGTGAGTCTATTAAACCTCTTTCCTTTATAAATTACCCAGTCCCAATCAGTTGTTTATAGCAATGGGGAATAAACTAATACAGACGGCGTTTTGGAACTGCCCCAGGCCAGAGACAAGTCCACTGCCTTGAAGGGCGAGTCCCAGGCCAAGCAGAATTCATGACAAGCTGACTGAAGAGACCTTGAGCCTTACGTGAACATCAGTGGTATTCTGGCAGTACAACTTGTGGCCTGAGGTGGTGGTGGCTATGGGATGAGTTGTCTCTACCTTTGGAAAGGGGAAAGAATAGAAGGAAGTGCTGCATTGTGTGGTTTGAGTGCCAGTTAAGCCGCAACACAATAGAACACCAGGTAAACTTCTAAGATTTTTTTACTCTAGTCCCTGACACCTGGACAGCACTTTTGGACCCCCCCACCAAGGACTTGGAGAACCTTGCCACCATGAAGGGTAGAACACAGGCCTGGCTGGCTCTGCCATGAACTGATTGTAGAGCAGCAGGGCCTTTAATGAACATAGGCAGTACCCAGAGAGTGGTTACAGCAGGCCTTGGGGTAGACCCAGTTCTGCGGTGGCTTCTGGTCTGACTCAGTGCAGTCCTAGTTGTGTGGGACACAGAAGTGCTCGTGTCACACTACCCCCAGCTTTTGGTGACTGAGGACATAGAGAGACACTGTACATTTGGGAGAAAGTAAAGAATGAGAACAAGAGTCTTTCCCTGGTAATCCAGATAATTCTCCCGGGTCATATTCAGGACCATCATGGTGGTACCTTTATGAGTCTGTAAAAATCACAATGTTACCATTTTTGAGGTGCTCCCTAAAATACATAAACTTTAGATCACAACATCCAAGTCCTTTTAAATATCTGAAAAGCCTTCACAAGGAAGATGGTGACAAATAAGCCCATGGAGTGAAGACTACAATAAATACTGAATTCTTCAATGCCTAGACACTGAAGAACATATACTAGCATTAACACTATCCAGGAAAACATTACCTCATTAAATGAACCAAATAAGACACAAGGAACTAATTCTGGAGAAACAGAGATACGTGACCTTTCAGACAGAGAATTCAAAATAGCTGTGTTGAGGAAACTCAAAGAAATTCAATATAACAAATAGAAGGAATTCAGAATTCTATCAGATAAATTTAACACAGAGATTAAAATAATTAAATAGAATCAAGCAAGAATTCTGGATCTGAAAACTGCAATTGGCTAATGGAAGAATGGATCAGAGTTCTCTAACAGCAGAACTGATCAAGAAGAAGAAAGAGTGAGCTTGAAGGCAAGCTATTTGAAAATACACAGTCAGAAAAGAAAAAAGCATAACATACAATGAAGCATGCCTAGAGGATCAAAAAATAACCTAAAAATAGCAAATCTAAGAGTTATTGGACTTAAAGGGAACATAGAGAAAAAACTAGGGTAGAAAGTTTATTCAAAGGGAAAATGGCAGAGAACTCCAAAACTTCAAAAAAGACATCAATATACAAGTGCAAGAAGGTTATAGAACACCAAGCAGATTTAACCCAAAGATTACTGCTTCAAGGTATTTAATAATCAAACTCCCAAAGGTCAAGGAAAAAGAAAGAATCCTAAAAGCAGCAAGAGAAAAGAAACAAATAACATGCAATGGATCTCCAATATGTCTGGCAGCAGACTTTTCAGTGGAAACCTTACAGTCAAGAAGTGAGTGGCATGAGATATTTAAAGTGCTGAAGGAAAAAAAGTAACCCCAGAATAGTATATGTAGTGAAAATATCCTTCAAACATGAAGGAGAAATACAGACTTTCCTAGACACACCAAAGCTGAATAATTTCATCAATACCAGATCTGGCCTACAAAAAATACTAGAAATACTGAAGGGAGTATTTCAAGCAGATAGAGAAGGACATTATTGAGCAATAAATAATCACACGAAGATACAAAACTTACTGGTAATAGTAAGTACACAGAAAAACACAGAATGTGTTTCAATAATAATAATATATAATAATAACACTGTAACTGTGGTGTATAAACTACTCTTATCCTAAGTAAAAAGACTAAATAATGAACCAATAAAAAATAATCACCTCAACAAGTTTTCAAGATTTAGTCAGTATGATAAGATAGAAAGAACAAACAGTTAACAATTGGGGTGGAATGAAGTTAAAGCATACATTTTTTAAAATTTCTTTTTATTTGTTTTATGGTGCAAAGTGCTAATGTTTTATTAGATTAAATTAATCTTATAAGATAGTATTTGCAAACCTCATGGTAACCTCTAACCAAAAAACATACAACGAATACAGAAAAATAAAAAGTAAGAAACTAAATGATGTCACCAGAGAAAATCACCTTCACTAAACAAAGACAAGAAAGAAAAAAAGGAAGAGAAGATCACAAAAAAAACCCAGAAAACAAATAAAAATGGCAAATGAAAGTCCTTATTTATCAATAATAACATTGAATGTAAATGGACTAAACTCTCCAATCAAAAGACATAGAGAAGCTGAATGAATGAAGAAAGAGCCATGGATTTGTTGCCTTTAAGAAACACACTTCACCTATAAAGACACACATGGACTGAAAATAAAGAGATGAAAATAGATATTGCATTGCAATTGAATTCAGAAAAAAAAAGCAAGATTCACTGTGCTTAGACAAAATAGATTTCAAAGCAAAAACTATAAGACGCTACAAAGAAGGTCACTGTATAATGATAAAGGGGTCAATTCAGAAAGATATCACAATTTTAAATATATATGCACCCAACAATGGAGCACCCAGATATATAAAGGAAATATTATTAGAGCTAAAGTAAGAGATAGGCCCTGGTACAATAATAGCTGGAGACTTCAACATCCCACTTTCAGCATTGGAAATATCTTCCAGACAGAAAATCAACAAAGAAAAATCAAACTTAATCTGTACCACAGACCAAATGGATCTAATAAATATTTATAGAACATTTTATCCAACAGCTGTAGAATTCACATTCTTTTGCTCAGGACTTGGATTATTCTCAAGGATAGACCATATGTTAGGTCACAAAAAGAATCTTCAAACATTCAAATAAATTAAAATAACAGCAAGCATCTTCTCTGACCACAATGGAATAAGAATAAAAATTAATATGAAGAAGAATTTTGGAAACTTTAAAAATGCATGCAAATTAAACAATATCCTCCAGAATAATCAGTGGGTCAATGAAAAAATTAAGAAGGAAATTGCAAAGTTTCTTGAAAAAAATGATAATGGAAACACAACATATCTAAACCTATGGGATACAGCAAAAGCAGTAATCAGAGTGAAGTTTATAGCCATAAGTGTCTAAATTACAAAAAGGAAAAACTTCAAATAATCTAATGACGCATCTTTAAAAACTACAATGGTAAGATCAAACCAAGCCCAAAATAAGTAGAAGAAATAATGAAGATCAGAGAAGAAATAAATAAAATTGAAATAAAAAATACAAAAGATCAATAAAACAAAAAGTTGAGTGTTTTTTTTTTTTTTGAAAAGTTCAACAAAACTGACAAACCGTTAGCCAGACTAAGGAATAAGGAGAGGATCCAAATAAATAACATCTGAAATGAAAAGGAGTCAATACAACTGAAAGTGCAGAAATTCAAAGGATCATTTGTGGTTACTAAGAACAATTATGTGCTAATAAATTGCAAAATCTAGAAGAAATCGACTAATTCTGAGATACATAAAACCTACCAAGATTGATTCAGGAAGAAATGCATAACCTGAACAGATCAATGAGAAGTAACAGGATCAAAGCCATAATAAAATGTCTTCAAATAAAGAAAAACTAAAGATCCAATGGATTCATTGCCGAATTTTACCAAACATTTAAAGAAGAACTAACACCAGTTATACTCAAAATAGTTCAAAAAATTGAAGAGGAGAGAATACTTTCAAACTTATTCTACAAGGCCAGTATTACTCTGATACCAAAACCAGACAAGGACACATATAAAGAAAACTACTGGCCAACATTTCTGATGAATATTCATGAAAACATTCTCAACAAAATACTAGCAAGCCAAATTCAACAATACATTAGAAAGATAATTCATGACCAGGTGGCATTTATCCCTGGGATGCAAGTATGGTACAACATTCACAAAGCAATCAATGTGATACATCATATCAACAGAATTAAGGGTAAAAACCACATCATCTTATAAATTGATGCTGAAAATACATTTGATAAATTTCAACATGTCTTTATGATAAAAATCCTCAAAAAATGGGCTTAGAGGGAACATACCTTAACACAATAAAACTGATATACAACAGACACACAGCTCCTATCATACTGAATGGGGAAAAACTGAGTTTCCTCTAAAATATAGAACACAACAAGGCTACCCACTGTCACCAATGTTCGACATAGTACTGGAAGTCCTAGATAGAGCAATCAGACAAGAGAAATACAAAAAGTTCATCCAAATTGGAAAGAAAGAATTCAAATTGTCTCTGTTAGCTGATGATATGATCTTATATTCAGAAACATCAAAGATTCCACAAGAAAATGATAGAAGTAATCAACAAATTTAGTAAAGTTTCAGGATACAAAATCAAAATACAAAAATCAGTAGCATTTCTATAAGTCAACAGTGAATAATCTGAAAAATAAATTTAAAAAGTAATCCCATTTACAATAACCACAAATGTAATCAAATGCTTTAGAATTTACCAAAGAAGAAAAGATATCTATAATGAAAATTATAAACAATGATGGAAGAAACTGAAGAGGACACCAAAAGATGGAAAAACATTTCATGTTCATGGATTGGAAGAATCTATATTATTAAAATGTCCATACTACACAAAGCAATTCACAGATTAAATGCAATTCTTATTAATACGTCAAATGACATTCTTCACAGAAATTAAAAAAAAAACTATCCTAAAATTTATATGGAATAACAAGAGATCCAGAATAGGCAAAGCTATCCTAAGCAAAAAAAGAACAATACGGGATAAATCATACTACATGACTTCAAATTATACTACAGAGCTATAGTAACCAATGCAGCATGATACTGGCATAAAAACAGACACATAGATCAATAGAACAGAATAGAGAACCCAGAAACAAATCCGTACAACTACAGTGAATTTATTTTTACCAAAGTTGCCAAGACCACACACTGGGAAAAAGACAGTCTCTTCAATAAATGGTGCTGCAAAACCCGGATATCCATAGGCAAAAAAATAAAATTAGGTCTCTATGTGTTGCCATATACAAAAATCAAATCAAAATGGACGAAACACTTAAATCTAAGACATCACACTATAAAATTACTACAAGAAAACATTGAAGAAACTGTCAAGGACATTGGAGTGGGCAAAGATTTCTTGAGTAATAACTCATAACCATAGGCAACCAAAGCAAATATGGACAAATGGGATCACATCGAGCTAAAAAGCTTCTGCACAGCAAATGAAACAATCAATAAGTGAAGAGATAACAGACAGAATGAGAGAAAATTCTTACAAACCACCTCTCTGACAAGGAATTAATAACCAGAATATATAAGGAGCTCAACCAACTCTGTAGGAAAAAAATCTAATAATTTGATCAAAAATGGGCAAAATATTTGAATAGAATTTTCTCAAAAGAAGACATACGAATGGCAAATAGGCATATTAAAACATTCTCAACATCATTGGTCAGAGGAATACAAATCAAAACTACAATGAGATTTAACTTTACCCCCACTAAAATGGCTCATATCTAAAAGATAATAACAAATGCTGGAAAGAATGTGGAGAAAAGGGAACCCTTGTACACTGTTTGTGAGAATGTAAATTAATACAACCACTATGGAGTTTGGAGGTAACTCAAAAAACTAAAAACTGAGCTACCATATGATCCAGTAATCCCACTGCTGGGTATATACCCCAGAGAAAATAAATTTGTATATTGAAGAGGTATCTCCACTCCTACATTTGCTGTAGCACTGTTTACAATAACTAAGATTTGGAAGCAACCTAAGTGCCCATCAACAGAAGAATAGATAAAGAAAATATGGTACATATACACAATGGAGTACTATTCAGCTATAAAAAAGATGAAATCCATCCATTTACAACAACATGGATGAAACTGGAGATCATAACATTAAGTTAAATAAGCCAGGCACAGAAAGAAAAACATGGCATGTTCTCACTTATTTGTGGGATCTAAAAATCAAAGCAATTGAACTCATGAATGTAGTGAGTAGAAGGATGGTCACTGGAGGCTATGAAGGGTATTGGGAAACTTGGGAGGAACTGGGGATGATTAATGGTTACAAAAAAATAGAAAGAATAAATATGACCTACTATTTGATAGCACAAAAGGGTGGCTAAAGTCAATAAAAACTTAATTGTACATTTTAAAATAGCTTAAAGTATGTAATTGGATTTTTTTGTAACTTTGTAACTCAGTGGATAATTTTTCAGGGGATGGAAATAATGAGTAAGTATATGTCATAAAACTGGTTATTCCAGAACAAATTTGTAAATTCCTAGCAACATATAACCTATCAAGACTGAATCATGAAGAAATAGAAAATCCAAAAAGACCTATATATAGTACGGAGATTGAATCAATAACCAAAAACCTCCCAATAAATAAAAGCCAGGACAAGATGGATTCATTAGTAAAATTTATTAAACATTTAAATAATTAGCACTAATCCTCAAACTTTTTCAAAAAATTCTAGAGGAGGTAACACTTCCAAAATTGTTTTCTGAGGTATTACCCTGATACTAAAGCCAGGAAATGGCAATACAATAAAAAAGTTACAATCCAATATGCCTGATGAGGAAACATGAATGCAAAATTTATCAACAAAATACTAGAACATTGAATTCATCTCTACATAAAAAAATTATATACCATGATCATGTGAGACTTATTCCTCAGATCCAAGGATGGTTCAACATATAAAATTATGTTTTATATGTTGTGATACACCACAACATGTGTGGTATACCACATCAACAGGATAAAGAATAAGAATCACAAGATCATCTAAATAGGTACAGAAAAATCAGCTGACATGAATTAACACCCATTCATGATAAAGACACTCAACCCTCTAGGAATACAAGGAAATTACCTCAACATAATAAAAGTCATAGAGAAAAGACCACAGCTAATACTATACTTAGTAAAACACTGAAAGCTTTACCACTAAGACACAAAATGAAATGAGTATGTCCACTCTTGCCACTTCTATAATGTAGCATTGAAAGTTCTAGCAAGAGGAATTAGGCCAGAAAAAGAAATAAAAGAAATCTAGATCAGATAAGGAGAAGTGAAACTATCTCTGTTCACAGATGACATGATTATATATTTAAAACCACTAAAGATTCCACAAAGAAAGCTCTTAGAACTAATAAATAAAGTTTATTAGGATAAAAAGTCAACATTCAAAAATTAATTGCATTACTATTCATTAACAACCAAAAATCCAAAAAGGAAACTGAGAAAAAAATTTATTTACAATATCATCAAAAATATATAAAATACTTAGGAACAAACTTAACTAACTTAGCAAAAAACTTATATAGTTAGAAATTTGAAACCCTGCTGAAAGAAATTAAAGACACAAATAAATGGAAAGATACCCCATGAACATGATTGGAAGATATAATATTGTTAATATGTCCATACTGCCCAAAGTGAGCTACATATTCAATGCAATCCCTATCAAAATCCCTGTGACAATTATTACAGACATAGAAAAAAGCAATGCTAAAATTTATATGAAACCAAAAGGACACCAAATAGTCAAAACTATATTGAGAAGAAAGACCAAAGCTGGAGACCAAATCACAGTTCCTGATTTCAAAACATATATAAAGCTACAGTAAGAAAAACAGTATGGTACTGGCATAAAGACAGACATATAGGCCAATAAAACAGAATACAGAACCCACAAATAAAACTACACATACATGGTCAACTGGTCTTTAACTTCAGTGCCAAGGAAACACAATAGGGAAAGGACAGTCTCTTTAGCAAGTGGTTCTGAGAACACTGGGCATCCACATGCAAAAGAATAAAATTGTACCCATATTTTTAGTCTGTATGCAAAAATCAACTCAAAATATAGGTTTAAATGTAAGAACTGAATCTGTAAAACTGCTAAGTGAAAATATAGGGGAAAAGCTTTCTGACACTGGATTGACAATGATTTGTTAGATATGGCATCATAAGCACAGGAAACAAAAACAAAAATATAAATAAATGGGACTACATCAAACTAAAAATTTCTGAACAGCAAAGGAAACAAAAGAATGAAAAGCCAAATTATAAAATGGAAGGCAATATTACAAACCATATGTATGATAAGGAGTTAATATTACAAATACAGAAACAACACCTATGACTTTATGGCATAAAAACAAATAACCTGATTTAAAATAGGCAAAGGACTTGAATTTGCATTTCCCCAAAGAAGACATACAAATGGATGACAGTATATGGTATATGAAAAGATGCTCAACACCATTAAATGATCAGGGAAATGTAAATAAAAGCCACAATAAGATATCACTTCACATCTGTTAGTATGACCATTTAAAAAATAGAAATAAAGGAAACAGAAATGAAATGTTGACGAGGATGTGGAGAAATTGGAGCCCTTGCACACTGTTCGTGGGAATGTAAAATGGTGTAGTCACTATAGAAAACAGTATGGTGATTCCTCAAAAAATTAAAAATAGAATAAAGAGATGATCCAGTAATCCCACTTCTGGGTATATATCTAAAAGAATTGCAATCAAGTTCTCTAAGAGATATTTGCCCTGTTACAATTTGAAACAACCACAGGTTTTTTTTGAGGTAATAATACAGTTACAGAGTACATTAAAGCATTAATCACAATAGTCAAACAGTACAAACTTAGAAGTCCATTGATTAGTGAATACACAAAGAAAATTTGATATATATGTACAATGGACTATTCAGCCATAAAAAGAAGAAAACCTTGTTTTATGTTACAACATGGATAAACCTTGAGGACATTAGGCTAAATAAAATAAGTCAGTCATGAAAGGACAAGTACCACATGATTCCACTCATAGTGAGATATATAATGTAGTAAAACTTATGACAGCAAAAAGTGGAATGGTGATTTGCAGAGACTGGGGGAGGGGAAAATGGGGAGTTAGTGTGCAATGGGTATCAAGTTTCAATCATGCAAGTTAAAAGAGTTCTAGGGAGCTTCTGTGAAACACTGTGTGAATAGTTATCAATACTTTACACTGAAAAATTTATGAAGAAGGTATATATTACTTTTATCACAACAAAAATGTCTACAAATAAAGACACAGAGGCAATAAATACAATTTAAAGGATTGAATTCTATAGACTACAGCTAATTAAACTTCCTTTCACAGATTCATGCAGTAAGTTTTGAAACTGAAACTATACAAAGTCAATAAGAAAATTTCATTGAGCTCAAGAAAGTACAAAATGGTCAAGCCATATTTTCTGGTCATGTTGCAACAAAATTATAAAGTAACAAAAAACACTCAAAGAAACAGAAAACTAACACTAACAGATTAAGTATCTCTCTCCAAAAATAACTAATGAATAAAAGAAAAAAATTTAAAAATGCAACTACAACTAATCTAGAAAATCAGAATACTATGAAGCAAAATGTATATGATAGATCCAAAGTGTTATTCAGTAGTATATTCATATATTTAAATGCATTAAATATTAAACAAAAAAGAATAAAGATAAATAAACTAACCCTTCACTGAGGAAGATAGAAAAACAAAATCACAAAGAAGACAGAATCCCTAAGGGAAAAAATAATGTAAATAAAACTATAAACAAATAAATTAGCAAATGAAAAGTGTCAAACTTATTAATAAATCCAAATCCAGTTCTCCAAAAAGATGAGAGAAGAAAGGAGTAGAGGAAGGCAGAGAGGGAGGGAGAGGGGGAGGGAAGGAAGGAAGAGGAAGGGAAGGGGAGGGGAGGGGAGGGAAAGGAAGGGAAGGGAGAAGGGAGTGAAGGTAGGGAGTGAGGGAAGGGGAGAGTAAAATAGATAATCTCTGGTAAATTAATTAGGAAAATATTAGACAATTGCACACAGCCAAAATCAGAAATGAGTAAAGGAGTTCATCAACTGACACAAAGAATATTAATAACTTCTAACAAACTAATTAGCTAATATTAATAATTTTGAATATCTTAATAAAATGAACATCTGGTGAAACAATTATCAAACCTGATTCAAAGAAAAATAGAAAATTATCTTTCATTATCAAATTATTACCTCAAAAAAACCTGTGGTTGTTTTCAAATTGTTACAGGGCAATTTTCATGAATAGGACATTTGTATGTCTCCATTTATCTAAATGTTTTCTAAATTTTATTTTTTCTGGGTACATACTAGGTATATATATTAATATTTATGGGGTACATGAGATGTTTTGATAAAGGCTTGCAATGTATAATAAGCACATCATGAAGGATTGGGTATCCATCCCCTCAAGCATTTATCCTTTGAGTTATACACAATCCAATTACATACTTTATTTTATTTAAGTTATTTAAAAATGTACAAGTTATTATTGACTATAGTCACCCTGTTGTGCTATCAAACACTAGGTCTTATTTATTTTTTCTAACTATTTATTTTATAACCATTAACTTTCCCTCTCTCCCCCAGGCCCCCACTACTCTTCCCAGCCTCTGGTAACCACCATTCTACTCTCTACATCTGTGAGTTCAATTGTATTAATTTTTTGATCCCAAATAAATTAGAAAATGCCATGATGTTTGTCTCACTGTGCCAGGCTTATTTCACTTAACATAATGATCTCCAGTTCAATCCATATTGTTACAAATGACGAATATCATTCTTTTGGATGGCTGAATAGTACTCCACTATGTATATGTACCCTATTTTCTTTATGCATGCATCTGGTGATGGACACAGGTTGCTTCCAAATCTTAGCTATTGTAAATACTGCTACAACAAATGTAAAAGTGCAAATATCTCTTTGATATACTGATTTCCTTTCTTTTGTATATGTACCCAGCAGTGGGATTGCTGGATCATATGGTAGCTCAATTTTTAGATTTTTGAGCAGCCTCCAAACTGTTCTCCATAGTGGTTGTACTAATTTGCATTCCCACCAACAATGTACAAGGGTTCCCTTTTCTCCATATCCTTTCCGGCATTTACTATCTCCTGTCTTGTGGATATAAGCCACTTTAATTGGTGTCAGATAATATCTCATTGTAGTTTTGATTTGCATTTCTCTGAGGATCAAAGATGTTGAGCAACTTTTCATATGCCTGTTTGCCATTCTTATGTCTTCTTTTCAGAAATGTCTATTCAAATCATTTGCCCCTATTTTTATCAGATTATTACGTTTTTTCCTATAGAGTTGTTTGAGCTCCTTATATATTCTGGTTATTAATTCCTTGTCACATGGGTAATATGCAAATATTTTCTCCCATTCTGTGGGTTGTCTTTTCACTTTGTTGATTGTTTCTTTTGCTGTGCAGAAGCTTTTTAACTTGATGTTATTCCATTTGTCCATTTTTGCTTTGATTGCCTCTGCTACTGCAGTGTTTGTCAAGAAATTTTTATCCAGACAAATGCCTTGGAGATTTTCCCCAATGTTTTCCTGTAGTAGTTTCATAATTTAATGTTTTAGATTTAAGTGTTTAAATCATTTTGATTTGAATTTTGTATATGGTGAGAGATGGGGGTCTAGTTTTATTCACCTGCATATGGATATACAGTTTTCCCAGCACCATTTATTGAAGAGACTCTGTTTCCCTACTCTATGTTCCTGGCACCTTTGTTGAAAATTAGTTGACTGTAGGTATGTGGATTTGTTTCTGGGTTCTCTATTCTGTTCCGTTGGCCTATATAACTGTTTTTAAGCCATAACATGCTGTCATGGTTACTATATCTCTGTAGTATAATTTGAAGTCAGGCAATGTGATTCCTCAAGTTTTTTTCTTTTTGCTCAGGATAGCGTTGGCTATTCTGTTGAATTCGGCTTTTGTGAGTTCATATAAATTTTAGGATTTTTTTTTCTATTACTATAAAAAATGTTATTGGTATTTTGATAAGAATTGCAATGAAAATGTATATGGCTTTGGGTAAATTGGAAATTTTAACAATATTGATTCTTCTAATCCATGAACATGAAATATTGTTTTATTTTTTGGCTTCCTCTTCAATTTATGTTATCAGTGTTCCATAGTTTTCATTATAGAGTTTTTTTTACTTATTTGTTTAATTCCTAGGTATTTAATTTTATGTGTGGCTATTGTAAATTGGATTACATTTTGATTTCTTTTTCGCATTGTCCACTCTTGGCATATAGAAATACTACTGATTTTTGGGTGTTGATTTTATATCCTGCAACTTTACTGAATTTGTTTATCAATTCTAAGAGTTTTCTTGTGAAGTCTTTAGGTTTTTCAAAATGTAAAATTTTGTCATCTGCAAAGAAGGATAATTTGGCATCTTTCTTTCCAATTTCAATGCCCTTTATATCTTTCTCTTGTTTGCTGTTCTACGTAGGACTTCCAGTGTCATGTTGAATAACAGTGGTGACAGTGGGCATCCTTGTTGTATTCTAGATCTTAGAGGAAACACTTTCAGGTTTTTCCCATTCACTATGATAGCAGCTGTGTGTCTGTTGTATGTCAATTTTATTATGTTAAGGTATGTTCCCTCTAGTCCTATTTTTAAGGGTTTTAATCATGAAGACATGTTGAATTTTATCAAATACTTTTTCAGCATCAATTTATAAGATTACATGATTTTTATCCCAGGGATAAATGCCACGTGGTGATGATGAATGATCTTTCTAACATATTGTTGAATTCGGCTTGTTAGTATTTTGTTGAGGATGTTTGCATCAATATTAATCAGAGATATTGGCCAGTAGTTTTTTTTTTTTAATGTGTCTGTGTCTTGTTTTGGTATCAGGGTAATACTGGCCTGATAGAATGAGATGAAAAGTATTCCCTCCTTTATTTTTCAGAATAGTTTGAGTAGGATTGGTATTAGTTCTTTTAGTTTGGTAGAATTCAGCATTGAAGCCATTGGGTCCTGGGCTTTTCTTTAGTGGAAGAGTTTTTATTATAGCTTTGATGTAATTACTTGTTATTTGTCTGTTTATGTTTTTTATTTCTTCCTGATTCAATCTTTGTAGGTTGTATGTGTCTAGGAATTTATCCATTTCTTCCTGGGTTTTGAATTTATTGGCATATACTCGTTCATAGTAGCTACTGATAATCATTTGCATTTCTGCAATATCAGTTGTAATGTCTCCTTTTTCATTTCTGTTTTTATGTATTTGGATCTTCTCTCTTTGTTCCTTAGTTATTCTGGGTAAAGTTTTGTCAGTTTTATTTAACTTCTCAAAAAAACAACTTTTTCTTTCATTGACCTTTGCATTGCTTTTTCATTTCAATTCCATTTATTTCTGCTCTGAATTTAATTGTTTTTTTCTATTACTTTTGGGTTTAGTTTGCTCTTGCTTTTCTACTTCTTTAAAATGCATTATTAGATTGCTTATTTGAAGTATTTTCTCTATTTGGTGTAGGCAATTAAAGCTATAAACTTCTCTCTGAGTACTCTTTTACTGTATCCCATAGATTTTGTTGTTTTGTCTTTTAATTATTGTTTGTTTCAGGAAATTTTTCAATTTGTTTCTTAATTTCTTCATTGACCCACTGGTAATTCAAGAGTATATTGTTTAATTTCCCTGTTTTGTATAGTTTCCATAATTCCTCTTCTTGTTGACTTCTGGTTTTATTCCATTGTGGTAAGATAAGATGCCTGATATTATTTCCACTTTTGTAATGTTTTAAGTGTTGTTTTGTGATCTAAAATATGGTCTATCTTTCAGAATGATTCATGTGCTCAGGAAAAGTATGTGTAATCTGCAGTCATTGGACGAAATGTTCTACAAATATCTATTAGATTCATTTGCTCTATAGTGCAGAATAATTCTGATGTTTTTTGTTTATTTTGTGTCTGGTAGATCTGTCTAATGCTGAAAGTGAGGAATAAATGTCTCCAGCTATTATTGTATTGCAGCCTATCTTTCCCATTAGCTTTAATAGTATCTTCTTTATATATCTGGGTGTTCCAGTGTTGGGCGCATATATGTTTACGATTGTGATATCCTCTTGCTGAGTTGACCTTTTTATCATTATGCAGTGACTTTTCTCGTCTCTTCTACATTTTGTCTTTAAATCTATTTTGTTTAATATAGGAATAGCGACTCCTGCTCTTTTTTGGTTTCCATTGGCATGGAATACCTTTTTCCATTCCTTTATTTTATCTCTGTGTGTGTCTTTATAGGTAGAGTGTGTTTTTTTATTAACAACAGATCCATGGGTCTTGTAATTTTAATCCATTCAGCTACTCTGTGTCTTTGATTAGAGAGCTTAGTGCATTTACATTCAATGTTATTACTGATAAGTAAGGACTTACTCTTGCCATTTTTTATTTGTTTTCTGGTTTTTTGTGGTCTTCTCATCCTTTCTTTTTTTCTTTCTTGTCTTCATTTAATGAAGGTGATTGTCCCGAGTGATGTAATTTAGTTTCTTACTTTTTATTTTTTCTGTATTTATTTTGTGTTTTTTTGTTAGAGGTTACCATGAAGCTTGCAAATATTATCTTATAACACATTATTTTACCTGATAACATCTTAACCCTGTTTGCATAAATAAACAAACAAGAAAAGGAAAACTAATAAAAACTCTATTCCTTAATTTCTCCCTGCTTTTTAACATTTTGTCATTTTTAT
This sequence comes from Homo sapiens, assembly GCF_000001405.40. NCBI lineage: Eukaryota > Metazoa > Chordata > Mammalia > Primates > Hominidae > Homo > Homo sapiens. The sequence continues at coordinate 99,776,244 of NC_000023.11, forward strand.
TTATATCTTATTGTACACGTCTTGAAAAGATGTAGTGTCTTTTTATTGGTTTATCCTTCAGTATTTCTACTTAGGATAAGAGTAATTTACACATCATAGTTGCAGTGTTACAATATTCTGTGTTTTTCTGTGTACTTACTATTACCAGTGAATTTTGTACCTTCTGGTGATTACATATTGTTCAGTAATATCCTTTGCTTTTACACTTAAGTACTGCCTGTAGCATCTCTTGTAGGATAGGTCTGATGTTGATGAAATTCCTCAGCTTTTGTTTGTATGGGAAAGTCTTCATTTTTCCTTTATGTTTGACAAATATTTTCACTGAATATACTATTCTAGCTTAAATGTTTTCTCTTCAGCACATTACATTTGTCATTCCACTCTCTCCTGGCCTGAAAGGCTTCTACTGAAAAGTCTCCTGCCAGGTGTATTGGGGATCCATTGTATTTTATTTGTTTCTATTATCTTGCTGCTTTTAGGATACTTTCTTTATCCTTGACATTTAAGAGTTTGATTATTAAAGATCTTGAGGTAAACTTATTTGGGTTAAATCTGCTTAGTGTTCTATTACAACCATCTTGCACTTGGATATTGATATCTTTCTCTAGGTTTGGGAATCAGACATTGTTGCTTTGAATAAACTTTCTACTTGCATCTCTTTCTCTACCTCCTCTTTAAGGCCAATAACTCTTAGATCTGCCATTTGGAGGCTGTTTTCTATATCCTGTAGACATGCTTCGTTGTTTTTTATTCTTTTTTCTTTTGTCTCCTCTGACTGTTCATGTTCAAAACAGCCTATTTTCAAGCTCACTAGTTCTTTACTCTGCTGGATCCATTCTGCTATTAAAAGTCTCTGGTGCATTCCTCAGTATGCCAATTTCATTTTTCAGCTCCAGAATTTTTGCTAGATTCTTTTATATTATTAAATCTCTTTGATAAATTTACCTGAAATAATTTTTGAATTCCTTCTCTGTGTTATATTGAATCTCTTCACAGTTCCTCAACACAGCTATTTTCAATTCTCTGTCTGAAAGGTCACATATCTCTGTTTCTTGAGGACTGGTCTCTGGTGCTTTATTTAGTTCATTTGGTGAGGTCATGTTCTCTTGGGTAGCGTTAATGCTAGTTGTTGTTCTTCGGTGTCTGGCCATTGAAGAGTTAAGTATTTATTGTAGCCTTCACTTTCTGGGCTTATTTGTATCTGTTCTTCTTCAGACGGCTTTCCAGGTAATTGAAAGGACTTGGGTGTTATGATCTAAACTCTATCTGCTTTAGGCAGCACCCTAAGCCCAGTGACACTGTGGTTCTTGCAGACTCATAGAGGTACTGCCTTGCTGGTCTTTGGCAAGATCCAGGAGAATTCTCTGGATTTCTAAGCAGAGATGCTTGTTCACTTCTCTTACTTTCTCCCAAACAAATAGAATCTCTCTCTCTCTCTCTCTCTCTCTCTCTCTGTTCTAAGATACGTAAAGCTGAGGGTATAGTAAAACAAGCACCCCTGTGACCACCACCACTATAACTGTGCTGGGTTAGACGTGAGGGCAGCACAGCACTGGGTCTTGCATAAGGCCTACTGTGACCACTCTTTGGTTACTGTCTATGTTTTCTCCAGGCCTTGGTGCTCTACAATCAGCTCATGACAAAGCCAGCCAGGCCTGAATTCTTCACTTCAGGGTGGCAAGATCTCCAGGCTCCATGTGGATCTAAGAGTGCAGTCCAGGAGTCAGGGACTAGAGTCAAAAACTTTAAAATTCTGCCTTGTGTTCTAGGGTACTGTGACTTAGCTAGCACTCACACTGCAGGACGCAGTCCTTCCCACTCTTGCTCCCTTTCCAAAGGCAGAGGAGCCTTACCTCCTAGCCACTGCCACCACAGGCCATGAAGAGTACTGCCAGACTACTGCTGATGTTCCCTTGAAGCCCAAGGTCACTTAAGTCAACCTGTGGTAAGTGTTGCCTGGCCTGGGACTCACACTTCAGGAAAGTGGGTTCCCCATTGGCCCAGGGCAGGTCCACAAATGCCATCCAAGAGTCAAATCCTGGAATTAGACACCCCAAGAGCCCACTTGGTGGTCTACCCAACAGTGGCCATGCTGACACCAAAGATGCAAGAGAAGTCCCCTTTACTTTTTCCTCTGATTTTTTTAATCAGGAGTTTTGCCTTGTAGCCACCACAGTTGGTAACGTGCTGAGTCTCATCTGAAGCCAGCAAGTATCAGAGGCTCACCCAAAACACTTGACTTAGTACCTGGGTATTGCTGCTGTTTATTGAGGGCCCAAGGGCTCTTTTGCTAGCAGGTGATAAATGCTTCCAGGGATAGGTCCTTCCCTTAAAGACAGCAGGTTTTCTTATGGTCCAGGGTGTGTCTAGAAATATCATCTGGAATCTAGGGCCTGAAACGGGGGGCTCATCTTTCTGACCAGCGCCCTATTCTGCAGTAGCTGTGCTGGTATCTAAGATACAAGACAAAGTTCTCCCTACTCTTTCATTCCCTCTCCTCAAGCCGGTGAAAGGGGTTTCTTTTGGAGCTGCAAGCTGAGCAGCACGGGGTTAGGAGAGAGGTGATGTCAGCAGTCCCTTGGCTGCCCCAGCTGGTGTCTCAATAGGTCACGTGCCGCCCCAGTCCACTGTCTTTGGGGCCCAGTTTATCACTAGGATTCACCTAAGAGTAGCAGTCCTTATTGCCTGGACTGCCTTTCAAGTTTACTTAGAGACCCAGAGCACTTTGGATCTAGGTGGCAAGGTTTGCGGGAACTTAAGTTTTGACCTCTGGATCAGCGATTTCCCTCTGGCTAGGGCTGTTTTAAATATTCCCTTCATGGGCAGGCACCAGCTGAGTTTGGTCTGGTATTGCTTTCTGATATATATGACAGCACTGAGTTCAGAGCCTCACAATTGCTATGCTCTTCCTCCCCTAATACCCGGAGATGCTCTCTGTACCACACCACCACTGCTAGGGGGTGGGTGTGCAGGGGTAGGAGCGGTGGCATCAGCCATTCAAGACTATTTTTTCTATCTCTTCAGTGCCTCTTTCAGTGATATGAAGTTAAAGCTGGGTACAATGTGTACTCATCTGATTCTTGGTTCTTATGAAGGTGTTTTTTTTTTTCCTCTGTACATAGTTGTTCCATTGGTTTCCTTGAAGGGAAGGATGATCAGTGAAGTCTTCTATTCCACCATCTTGATCCACCTCTCTCCCAATTTTCTAAATGGTAATTATTCTGATTTTTTCTAAGTGCTTTAGGCCATTCTTGCATTTACATAAAGAAATTCCTGAGAATAGGTAATTTATAAAGAAAAGATGTTTAATTGGTTCATAGTTCTGTAGGCTGTCCAGGAAGCATGGTGCCAGCATCTTCCCACCTTCTTGGGTGGCTTCAGAGAGCTTTTACTTATGGCAGAAGGCAAAGCAGGAGCATGCATATCACATGGCAAGAGCATGAGCAAGAATGAGAGCGGAGGTGGAGCTGCCACACACATTTAAACAACCAGATCTCACGAGTACTCACCATCACAAGGATAGCACCAAAACAAGAGGGATCCACCCCTATGACCCAAACATCTCCCACTAAGCCTCATCTTCAACATCGAGGATTAAATTTCATTATGAGATTTGAGGGTACAAATATCCAAACCATATCATTCCACTGTTGGGTCCTCAAATCTTATGCCTTTCTCACATATCAGAATGCAATTATGCCTTTCTAATAGTCTCCCAAAGTCTTAACTCATTTCAGCATTAACTCAAAAGTCCCAAGTCCAAAGTCTTATCTGGAGATGAGTTCCTTCCACCTATAAGCCTGTAAAATTAAAGCAAATTATTTACTCCCAAGATACAATGGGGATACAGGCATTGGAAAAATTCCCATTCTAAAAGGGAGAAATTGGCTAAAAGAAATGAGTAACATGCCCCAATCCAATCTATAACCCAGCAGGACAGTCATTAAATCTTAAAGCTCTAAAATAATATCCTTTGACTATGTTATCCCACATCCAGGGAACTCTTGTGTGAGTGGTGGGCTCCCCAGGTCTCTGGCAGCTCTGCCCCTATAGCTTTGCAGGGTACAAACACTGAGACTGCTTTCAGAGTTGAGTTTCTGCACCTTTTCTAGATGGAAGATGTAAGCTGTTTATGTATCTACCATTCTGGGGTCTGGAAGACAGTGGGACACTTCTTACAGCTTGACTAGGCAGTACCCCAGTGGGGAGTCTGTGTTGGGTCTTTAACCCCACATTTCTCCTTCACACTGCCCTAGTCGAAACTCTCTGTGAGGACTCCATGCCTGCAGCAGGCTTCTGCCTGGGCACCCGGCATTTTTATATATCATCTGAAATCTAGGTGGAGAATGCTAAGCCTCCTTAACTGTTGCACTTTGCACACCTACAGGATTAACATCAAGTAGGAGGCCATAAAGGCTCATGCCTTTTGCCCTCTGATACAGCAGCCTGAGCTGCATCTGAGGCCCTTTGAGCTGAGGTTGGAGCTGGAGCAACCTGAATGCAGGGAGCAGTGTCCAGAGTCTGTGCAGAGCAACAGGGCCCAGGGCCTTGCCCACAAAACTATTCTTTTCTTCTAGGCCTCTGCACCTGTGGTGGGAGGGGCTGCCTTGAAGATTGCTGAAATGTCTTCAGGGCCTTTTCTCACTGTCTTGGACAATAGCACTTGGCTCCCTCTAAATCACGCTAATATCTCTAGCAAGTTGTTGCTCCATAGCCCACTTGAATTCTGCCCTTGATAATGCTTTTTCTTTCTCTGCCATGTGGCGAAGTTGCAAATTTTCCACACTTTTGCACTCTGCTTCTCTTTTAATTATACATTCCAACTTTAATTCTTTTATTTGCTCCCACATTGGAGAATAGGTTGTTAGAAGCAGCCAGGCACAATCTTGAACACTTTTCTGATTAGAATTTTTTTCTGCCAGATATCTTCAGTCATCAAGTTTAAGTCCAAAGTTCTATGGAACCCTAGGGCATGAACACAATAAAGCCAAGTTCTTTGCTAAGTCATACCAAGGGTGACCTTTGCTCCAGTTCCTAAAAACTTTCTTATTTTCATCTGAGACCTTGTCAGCCAGGACTTCACTGTGCATATCACTATTAGCCTTTTGGTCACAACCATTTAACCAGTATCTGAGAAGTTCCAAACTTTCCCTCATGTTTATGTCTTCTTCTGAGCCCTCCAAACTTTTCAAACCTCTGCCTGTTACACAGTTCCAAAGTCATTTCCACATTTTCAGAAATCTTCACAGCAATACTCCATTCCCAGTACCAATTTTCTGTGTCAGACAATTTTTGCATTGCTATAAAGGAATACCTGAGACTGGGTAATTTATAAAGAAAGGAAATTTATGATTTATAGCCGGTTGTATGGAAAGCATAAGGCTGTTATCTGCTCACCTTCTTGGGAAGCCTCAGGGAGCATTTATTCATGGCATAAGGCAAAGTAGGAGCAGGAACATCACATGGTGAGAGCAGGAGCAAGTGGGTGGGGGTCCCACATGCTTTTAAACAACCAGGTCTCATGATAACTCACTCAATATAATAAGAACAGCACCAAGCCATGAGGGATCCAACCCCATGACCCAAACACCTCCCACCGGGTTCCACTTCCAACACTGAGGGTTACATTTTAATGTGTGGGAGGTCAAGTATCCAAACCATATCACTCAAATTCTACATTTCAGTTGGTTAGGGGAGGTTTATAGGGCACTACTGGCACTCAGTGATTACAAAATTTTATGACATTATGGTTTTCAAATCCCATGACTCTGAAATCCTAAGGTAAAATGACCTTCTGTATTCAACATTACATTAGCTCTGATTTTAACATGCTCTGATAGTATGGTGATCAGATTTTAACTCTTTCTGTGATCCATGACATTGGCTAGAACAGTGCTTTGAGGAAATAAACTGCTGGATGAATAAAAAGATATACTTTTTTGAATATGGAATAAACTATAGTCAAATAAAAAGAGTAAAAAGAGGCAAATAAATGACTGGGAACAATATTTGCTGCAAAAAAGATATGCAAAAAGTATTTCACTTACATTTTTTATCTTAGAATATGATTTTAAGAACAAATTTAAATATAAAAATACTATCACCTCAGCTTATAAAAGAGTGAAAGACATGAACAGATAATTCACAAAGTTAGAAACACAATTTCTTATCTCTAGTGTCCTAAATTTCTATAATGCGGTTACATTACTACATAATGTGATTTTAAATATTAAAATAAAGAAAAAACAACTGGAAGAACACATATTAAGTCACTGATTCGATGTATGGTTTAAGCTTCAAGGCTTTTTTTGTTGTTTTTGAGGATCATGTATACATTTGTAGAATACCGAGTCTACCACAATTGGCTGTTTTTAATTATTTCCCCATTAACTCATTATTCCCTTGCCAAATTATGTCACTTGACATTTTTTTACAAGTATTTACTTATAACGACACTTCATTTTTAAATATTTAAGTCTTTTTATAACATAAATATATACAATAACATGTTCTAAAAATGAACTGTGCATAAAGAATAAGGAAATAGGCAGTTCAAATAACAGGAATGTCTACTCTTGAGGGTACAACAGAAAAATAAATAATCAGGATTACCACTGCTATACTGAATCCCAAGTTTACTTTTAAGCTCAGAAATCAAAGTGAAAATTGAGCTGTTGATCATTATCAGAAAGAAAGGACAGTTCATGGAATAGCCTTTCAAAGACATTCTTCATTGTGTTTTCTCAGTGGGACAAAATAAGTGATGTGGCAGACAATGCTGTCAAAAGTATTGCTACAGAAAATGCACTAAGTGAATAAACAGAGCTTTTATTTACATCGGGTTGGAGAAATGTTGGGGAGAGGGGTTACTGTTTTATTTTATCTGAAGAAAAGCTGAAATAATAACATAAAACAGAGTGCACTGTAGGCAACTCTGTGCAGAGTTGCAATAATATGGTCAACATATGGGGAATTTCTGATGGTCTTCCTGAATTGATTTGAACTTAGACCCTATTGAATACTGAGAAAACTAGATCGATTTAATTTCCTTTACAGAAATATTACTTCTCTCCCGCAGCCTTCCACTTGATCTCCAGCACTTCATTATTTAAATATCTTAGTTTGTGACTGGGACACATGCTGGTTTCATCAAGTCATTGTGAGCCCCTTGTTATCCTCCCTCTACAACTCTCAACCTACTAATCAGCTTGATAAGCTACTGATCATCCTAGTACTCAGGATGACTCTAACTGCAGGTGTTTCACTGATGACAGCTCTTCTTTCCCCATTTCTTACTCACCAGCTCTATTAGGACAGATGCCTACTAAAAATGTTCTAAAAATCAAAGAAATTAGCCATGTTAAACAGTATTTGCATTCCTTCTTATTAGTCTACAGCAGTTCTCCAGAACTTTTTAGTTCAAAGTGTTATTCTCATTCATGTGCTTAAAGAAACTCTAGATCATGGAGAAAGCCCATGCAGAGCCCAGCTCATCATTGGTCTACTGGGGATAGTATATAAACTGTAAGCTATGAAACTCCGTCTTGCTGAGGAACTTGAATGATGCAGGATGTGATCTAAAGGTGCACTTCAACATGACAAAAATACATTTTAAAATGCCATTGGCATATTCTATCAACTACAACAATGCACATATTTAGAGTTCAAGATGTATGATGTACGTCTCAGGTTTTCAATTTCAAGTCTTGGACCCCCTTTCTAGTTCTTATGGAATAGTGTGGTTAGTCTCTCCAATTATCAGCTAAACTGACCTACCATCTTATAAAAGCCAGTAGCAATTCACAGCACTTTCTATTTGCTTAAACAAAACAAAACAAACTTACCAAAAGATTTATTGACTGTGCAAGACTATGTCAGTAATCTATTTGAACATGTCTGTCAAACCTGTCACTGGAGCTTGCTATTTAATATCTAACTGTGTCCCTCTATCTAATTTTCTGTCACTAATCTATTTTTTAAAGCAAAAACGGCAGTTCTTCAAAATTAGATAAATGAGTGCATTGCTTTCTGAATGCATGGCAAAAGATATGCTTTCTTTTTATCCTTCACAGCACCTGGCATAGAACATGGCATGTAGCGAATTCTCAAAAATAATGCCATACTATATTTTATATTGTCATAGAGTTTCAAAATGCATCAAATCATTTTCTAAGTTTATCATTGCTGTTGCTATTTTTAGTAACAATATATTACAGTTAATTGCTATTTTATTCAGAGGGTAGAGGGGGTGATGTGATTAATTGCCCAAATTCAAATGACTATCATGGCTGGATCATTAGATAGCCTGGATGAATATGACTGTCTGACTTCTAATGCAGTGTTCTCTTTAGAATAAAACTTCTTCAGCATTTTAAAAACCTACAATTCATGCATTCATGTATACAATAAATATTTATTGGGCACCTTCCATGCATGAGATGGTGAAGATGATACAAAGACAGATGTGAATGTGATGTTTGAATATTATTTATATTGCAAGCAGAGTATATATGATATCATATAACTTTGGAGGACAGAAGGGTGATAATGGCTTTATACCAGTTCTCTGACTAAATTGCCTTTACCGACCATGGAATGAACCGGCAAAATTCTCATGAGGGTTGCTTTGCAGTCATTACTCTGTCCTGAGAACCTCAGAAAAGATCTTAGTCTTTATTACAATCCAAGATCCAAATCCCGCTCTTTCATTTCATCTCCACTTCTCAACTGCTAGAACAACAACAAAGCCATGAATATTTGATTGAGTGTTTCTTAACAGCTTGAGTACTTTGTTATAAAGTTTCTCAAGACTCAGTGGTTTCACAAAGGGTAGATATATTTTCTTAACTAAAAGTGAATATAGCCAACAGAGGGCAGCTATTATCATGCATCCATACATATCCAGCTTATGTAATAATATTTATAAAAGCCCATTTTAAAACACAATTATTCTCACCTTTTGAGGGGAAAAAAAACACATAAAGTTTACCATCTTATCCATTTTAAGTATACAGTTCAGTGGTGTTAAGTATATTCACATTGCTATAAAACAGATCTCTAGAACTTTTTCATTTTGCAGATCTGAAACTCTATATTAATCAAACAACTGTCCTTTTTCTTCTCCCCAAAGGGAGAGGCAACCACCTTTTTACTTTCTGTTTCTATGAATCTGACTACTTTAGGTACCTCATATAAGTAGAATCATACAGTATTTTTCTTTGTGTGACTACCTTATTTAACCGACCATAATGTTCTGAAGGTTCATCTATATTATAGTATCTGTCCATCTGTCAGGGTTTCTTTTCTTGTTGAGGCTGAATGATATTCCATTGTATGTACATACCACAGTTTGTTTATCCATTCATCCACGGATGGACACATGGGTTGCTTATATATCACTGCTCTTGTGAATAGTGCTGCTATGAACATGGGTACACAAATTTCTCTTTTATCCTGCTTTCAATTCTTTTGATATATACTCATAAGTAGGATTGCTGTATCAAAGGATAGTTCCATTTTTTATTGTTTTAGGAACCTCCATAAGGTTTTCCATAGCAGTTGCACCATTTTACCTTTCCATCAACAGTGCATAAAGATTACAATTACTCAACATCCTCATCACTATTTGTTATTTTCTGGAAGTTTTTAATAGTAGCCATCTTGATGGATGTGAGGTGATATCACATTGGTTTTGATCTGCATTTCCTCCAGTGATGTTGAGCATCTTTTAATATGCTTATTGGTCATTTGCATATCATCCTTGGAGATATATTTATACAAGTCTTTTACACATTTCAAAAATAAAGATATTTAAAATTTTTTGCTATTGAGTTGTAAGAGCTCTTTATATTGTGGATATTAACTTTTTACCAGATTTATGATTTGCAAATATTTTCTCCCATTTTGTAGGTTGCTTTTTCAATCTGTTGATTGTTTCCTTTCTTGTGCAGAAGGTTTTTAGTTTGAGGTAGTCCTACTTGTCTATTTTTGCTTTTGTTGCTTGTGCTTTTGGTATCATATCAGAGAAATCATTATCAAATCCAATGTTATGAAACTGTCTTCTATGTTTTCTTTTAGGAGTTTTGTAATTTCAGTTCTTACATTTAAGTGTTTAATCCATTTCCAGTTAATTTTTGTATGTGTAAAATAAGAGTCCAACTGCATTCTTTTGCTTGTGGATATCCAGTGTTTTCAACACCACTTGTTGAAGAGACTGTCATTTCTCCATTGAGTGGTCTTGGTATCCTCATGGAAAATCATTTGTTTGTTGTCTGTTTGATTCCCATTGCCTTGGCCTGGGTGTCATTCTGCTTGTGACACACTGTTTTGTTACTATAGCTTTGTTATATGTTTTGAAATTGCAAAGTGTGAGTCCTTTAACTTTGTTCATCTTTTTCAAAATTGTTTTGGTTCCTTGGGGCTCCCTTGAGATTCCTCCTGAATGTCCATGGGAATTCTTTTCTCTTACCAAGAAAATTAATTAATTTTAAATTATTTTTTCTTTCAAGTAATCTATTTCATTTTATTTTTTCTAGGGAATTTTAGAAAGTAAGTCTTGTTCCTTGCTTCACTGACTATCCATTTATATGATATGTTGTATATGAAACACTCCAGATTCTCTACTGTGCAGAATGTTTGCTTGCGAAGAAGAGCAAATAGAGGAGCATAGATAATGCTTCATCAATGAGGCCTATAAAAATTGAGATTTTTACAAATTGCTGATCTCCCAAAATTTAGGACAGGGCTGGACATGTTGTAAATTTTCAAAATATATATTGAAAGAATAAACGAAGGCTGAAGACAATATGATGTGAAAGATGCCAGTTCACCTAGAAGTTACCAGATGCACCCTCCTCTATGTGTTTATTTATAAATTGTTATCAGCATAATCCATGTACATATTTTTGTCTTTGAATATTTATAAAGGGCTTATAATACAAAGCAACATACCCTACTCCACCTCTCTCCATCCTGTATTCCCACTCCCAGAGGAAACAACTGTCTATTCTTTTAGCTGTGTCTTCTGGCATGTATTACTCTACTTCTTTTTTGTTTGGTTTATACATATTTATCATTTAACTCTCACAGTGGGACCCATACCAAAATTAAAGACTGCTTTTCCAAATTATTTATTTAATAATTACATCTTTTCTTTTAGATTCAGGGGATATATGTGCAGGTTCATTACCTGGGTACATTGCATGATGCTGAGGATGGGGGTATAATTGATCCAGTCACCCAGGTAGTGAGCATAGTACACAACAGTTAGTTTTTGAACCCTTGACTCCTCTCCTTCCTTTACACTCTGGCAGTTCTCGGTGTCTATTGTTGCCAACTTTATGTCTATGAGTACTTATTTTTAGCTCCAACTTAAAGGTGGGAACACAGGGTATTTAATTTTCTGTTCCTGCATTAAATGGCTTAGGATAATGACCCTCAGCTGCATTCATGTTGTTGCAAAGGACAAGATTTCATTCATTTTTATGGCTATATGGTATTCCATCGTGTATTTACACCACATTGCTTTTATTCAGTTAACCATTGATGGGCAACTAGGTTGATTCCATGTTTTTGCTATTGTGAATAGTGCTGCGATGAACATGTGAGTTCATGTGTCTTTTTAGTAAAACCATTTGTTTTCTTTTAGATGTAAACCCAGTAATGTGATTGCCTGGTTGAATCGTAGTTCTGTTTTAGGTTCTTTGAGAAATTTTCAAACTGCTTTCCAAAGTGGTTGAACTAATATACATTCCCAACAATAGTGTATAACCATTCCATTTTCTTCCCAGTTTGGCCAGCATCTGTTATTTCTGGAATTTTTAGTAATAGCCATTCTGACTGGTGTGAGATGGTATCTCATTGTGGTTGTGATTTGTATTTCTCTGATGATGAGTGATATTTGTTGGCCACTTGTATTTTTTCTTTTGAGAAATGTGTGGTCATGTCTTTTGCTCATTTTTAAATTTTTTTTTAAATTCCTTGTTCAATTGTTTACACGACTTATAGATTCTGGATATTAGATCTTTGTCAGCTACATGGATTGCAAATATTTTCTACCATTGTGTAGCTTGCCTGTTTACTCTTTTGATAGTTTATTTTGCTGTGCAGAAAGTCTTTAGTTTAATTAGGTCCCACTTGTCAATTTTTGCTTTTGCTGCAATTGTTTTTGAGGACTCAGTGATAAATTGTTTCCCAAGACTAGTATCCAGAATGGTGTCTCCTAGGTTTTCCTCCAGGATTCTTATAGTTTGAAGTTGTAATTTTAAATCTTTGATCCACCTTGAGTTAATTTCTGTATATGGTTAAATTTCAGTCTTCTGCATATGGCTAGCCAGCAATCCCAGAACCATTTATTGCATAGGGAGTGCTTTCCCCATTGCTTATTTGTGTTAACTTTGTGGAAGATCAGATGGCTGTAGTCATGTGGATTTATTTCTGTGTTCTGTATTCTGTTCCATTGGTCTATGTGTGTATTTTGTAGCAGCACCATGCTCTTTTGGTTACTGTAGCCTTATAGTATAGTCTATAGTATAGGTAATGTGAAGCCTCTGATTTCCTTCTTTTTCTTAGAATAGTTTTGGTTATTTGGGCTCTTTTTGGTTCCACATGAATTTTATAATAGTTTTTTTTCTAGTTCTGAGAAAAATGATGTTGGTAGCTTGATAGAAATAGTGTGAAATTTTTAGCTTGCTTTGGTCACTATGGCCATTTTAATAATATTGATTCTTTCAATCCATGAAAATGGAACATTTTTCATTTGTTTGTATAATCTGTGACTTTTTTCAGCAGTAGTTTGTAGTTCTCCTTGTAGAAATCTTTCACCTCCTTGGTTAGATGTATTCCTATATTTTTTGGCAGCTGTTGTTAAGTGGGAATGTATTCTTGATTTGGCTTTCAGCTTGAATGTTATTGGTTTATAAAAAATAAACTGCTGAATATTATATGTTGATTTTGTATCCTGACACTTTACTGAAGATATCTACCAGTTCCAGGATCCTTTTCATGGAGTCATTAGGGTTTTCTAGGTATAGAATTATATTGTCAGCAAAGAGACGTGGCCTGATTTCTCTTTTTTCTATTTGGATGTCTTTTTTTTTTTTTTTTCTCTTGCTTCATTGTTCTAGCAAGGACTTCCAGTACTATGTTGAATAAGAGTCAGAGTGGGCATTCTTGTCTTGTGGGTTCTTGCGGGGGATGCTTCCAGGTTTTGCCCATTTATTATGACGTTGACAGTGGGTTTGTCATAGATGGCTCTTATTATTTTGAGGTATGGTCCTTAAATGCTTAGTTTCTTGAGAGTTGTTATCATCAAGGAATTTTACACTTCATCAAAACCTTTTTCTTCAACTATTGAGATGATCATATTGTTTTTGTTTTTAATTCTGTTTATGTACTGAATCATATTCATTGATTTGCATATGTTGAACCAATCTTGCATCCCAGGAATAAAGCCTACTTGATCAAGTGAATTAACTATTTTATATGCTGCTGGATTCAGTTTGTTAGTGTTTTGTTAAGGATGTTTTTATCTACATTCAAAAGGAATATTGGCCTGTAGTTTTGTTTTGTTTTGTTTTAATTTTGTTTTTCTCAGGTTTTGATATCAGGGTGATGCTGGCTTCATAGAATGAGTAAGGGAGGAATCCATCTTCCCTTATTTTTTGGAATAGTTTCAGTAGTATTGGTACTAGTTCTTCTTCATATATCTTGTAGAATTTGGCTGTGAATCATTTGTTCCTTGGCTTTTTCTTGGTTGGTAGGATTTTTTATGGCTCATTCAATTTTGGAACTCAAAATTATTCTGGTCAGGGTGTCCATTTCTTCCTGATTCTATCATGGAAGATTGTATATTTCCAAAAATTAATTCATTTCCTTTAGATTTTTCAGTTTGTATGCATAGAGGTGTTCACCACAGACTCTTAAGGATCTTTTGTATGTCTGTGGGAGCAGTGGTAATGACATCTTTGTCATATGTGCTTGTGCTTATTTGGATCTCTCTTTTTTCCTTTGTTAATCTAGGTAGTGGTCTATTGGTCTTGTTTATCCTTTCAAACAAACAACTTTTAGTTTTGTTAACTCTTTGTATGGATTTACATGTCTCAATTTCATACAGGCCTGCTCTGATTTTAGTTATTTATTTTCTTCTGCTAGCTTTGGGGCTAGTTTACTCTTATTTTTCTAGTTTCTCTAGGTGTGTTGTTTGATTGTTAATTTTTGAGATTTTCTAACTTTTTGAGATAGGTGAATAGTGCTATAAACTTTCCTCTTAACACTGCTTTTGCTGCATTCCTGAGGTTTGGGTAGGTTTTGTCTCTGTTTTTATTTATTTCAAAGAATTTTCTGACTTCTTCCTTAATGTTATTGTTTACCTAAAAGTCATTCAGGAGAAAGTTGTTTAACTTCCATGTAATTGTGTGGTTTTTGAGAGATCTTGTTAGTATTGGCTTTAATTTTATTCCACTGTGTTCCACGAGCATCATTGGAATTTTTTTTTTTAATTTATTGAGACTTACTTTCTGGCTGATAATGTGGTCAATCTTAGAGTATATTCTGTGTGCAGATGAGAAGAATGTGTATTATTTGGTTGTTGTGTGGAGTATTCTGTAGATATCTATTAACTTCAATTGGTCAATGTCAAATTTAAATCCATTATTTCTTTGTTAGTTTTCTGCCTTGATGCCTTAAAGTCTAATGCTGTCAGTGGGGTGTTGAAGTCTCCCATTATTATTACGTGGTTACCTAAGTCTTTCTGTAGATCTCAAAGTACCGTTTTATGAATCTGAGTGCTCCAATGTTGGGTGCACATATATTTAGAATAGTTAAGTCTTCTTGTTGAATTGAACCCTTTATCATTATGCAATGCCCTTCTTTGTCTTTTTTTACTGTTGTTGTTTTGAAGTCTATTTTATCTGATATAAGAATAGCCACTCTTGATGTTTTTGTGTTCCATTTGCATAATAATCTTTTATCCCACCCTTTCCTTTGAGGCCATGGGTGTCATTACTGCTGAGATAGGTCTCTTGAAGGCAGCAGATGGAAGGGTCTTTTTTTTTTAATCCAACTTGCCACTCTATGCTTTTTAAGTGGGATGTTTAGACAATTTACATTCAAGGATGTTGATATGTGAGATTTTGATTTTATCATAAAATTGTTAGCAGGTTGCTTTGCAGTTTCCATTGTGTGGTTGCTTTATAGGGTCTGTGAGCTATGTACTTAAGTGTGTTGTTGTGGTAGCAGGTATCATTTTTTTTCATTTCCATGTTTAGAACTTCCTTAAGGGTCTCTTGTAATGTTGGTTCAGTGACAACAAATTCCCTTAGTGCTTACTTGTTTGGAAAAGACTTTATTTCTCCTTTCCTTATAAAGCTTAGTTTGGCAGGACATGAGATTCTTGATTGGAATTTCTTTTCTTTAAGAATTCTGAAAAGAAGCTACCAATCTCTCCTGGCTTGTAAGGCCTCTGCCGAGAAGTATGCTTGTAGCCTGCTGGGGTTCATTGCATATGTGATCTTACCTTATTCTCTAGTTGACTTTAAGATTTTGTCTTTAGCATTGACTTGAACAGTATGTTAGTCTGTTCTCATGCTGCTAATAAAGACATCCCTAAGGCTGGGCAATTTATAAAGAAAAAGAAGTTTAATGGACTCACAGTTCCACATTGCTGCAGAGGCCTCACAATTATGGCAGAAGGTAAAGAAGGAGTAAAGGCATGTCTTAAATGGTGGCAGGCAAGAGATAGTATGCAGGAGGACTACCCTTTATAAAACCATCAGATTTCATTAGATTTATTCACTATCATGAGAACGACACGGGAAAAACCTGCCCCGATGATTCAATTACCTTCCACCGGGTCCCTCACAAAACACATGGGGATTATGAGAGCTATAATTCAAGATGAAATGTGGGTGGGGATACATCCAAACCATATCAAACAGTCTGCTGACTATATACAAACTGTTGTGTTGGTGATGTTCATTTTGTAAAATATCTTGCAATGGTTCTCTGGATTCATTGTATCAGGATATCTACCTCTCTAGTGAGATAGGAAAATTTTCTTGAATTATTCCCTCAAATATGATTTTCATGTTGTTTTATTTTTCCCCATCTCCTTCAGAAATACCAATAGTTCATAAGTTTAATTCTTTACATAATCCCTTATTTCTCAAACACTTTATTTTTAAAATTCTCTTTTCTTTATTTTTGTCTGACTAGATTAATTTGAAAAACCAGTCTTCAAGCTCTGGAACTATTTTTCTGCTTGGTCTAGTCCATTGATAAAGATTTCAATTGTATTTTGAAATTCTTTAAGTGAGTTTTTTTTTATTCCAGAATCTCTGATTGATTTCTTTTTAAGATGTTTACCTCTTCTTTCACTTTCCAGATTGCTTTAGAAGTGTCCTTGTTTTGATTTTCAACATTGTCTTGGATCTCAATGAAATTCCTTGCAATTTACACTTTGAATTCTTTTTTTAAAATTTTTTATTTCAAGCGATTTTTGAGTACATGTGGTTTTTAGTTACATGGTTCTTTAGTGGTGATAGCTGACATTTTAGTGCACCTGTCGCCCAAGCAGTGTACACGGTACCCAATATGCAGTTGTTTTTTTTTTTTTTTTTGACTGACAGAGTCTCGCTCTGTCACCCAGGCTGGAGTGCAGTAGTGTGATCTTGGCTCACTGCAACCTTTGCCTCCTGGGTTCAAGCGATTCTTCTGCCTCAGCCTCCTGAGTAGCTGGGATTACAGGCATGCGCCACCACGCCCGGCTAATTTTTTTTTTTTTTTGTATTTTTAGTAAAGATGGGGTTTCACTATGTTGGTCAGGCTGGTCTCGAACTCCTGACCTCATGACCTGCCTGCATCGGCCTTCCAAAGTGCTGGAATTACAGGCATGAGACACTGCGCCCGGCACTCAATATGTAGTCTTTTATCCCTCACCCCTCCCAACATTTTCCCCCCAAGCCCCTGGAGTGCATTATATTAGTCTTATGCTTTTGTGTACTCATAGCTTAGCTCCCACTTGTAAGTGAGAAGATATGCTATTTGGTTGTCCATTCCCAAGTTACTTCACTTAGAATAATGTCCTCCAGCTCTGTTGTGGGAAGTCAGGGACGCCGAATGGAGGGACTGGCTGAAGCCATGGCAGAAGAACATAAATTGTGAAGATTTCATGGACATTTATTAGTTCCCCAAATTAATACTTCTATACTTTCTTATGCCTGTCTTTACTGCAATCTCTGAACATAAATTGTGAAGATTTCATGGACACTTATCACTTCCCCAATCAATACCCTTGTGATTTCCTATGCCTGTCTTTAATCTCTTAATCCCATCATCTTCGTAAACTGAGGAGGATGTATGTCACCTCAGGACCCTGTGATGATTGCGTTAACTGCATAAATTGTTTGTAGAGCATATTGTGTTTGAACAATATGAAATCTGGGCACCTTGAAAAAAGAATAGGATAACAGCAATGTTCAGGGAACAAGAGAGATAACCTTAAACTCTGACCGCTGGTAAGCCGGGCGGAACAGAGCCATATTTCTCTTCTTTCAAAAGCAAATGGGAGAAATATCGCTGAATTCTTTTTCTCAGCAAGGAACATCCCTGAGAAAGAGAATGCATTCCTGAGGTTAGGCCTCTAAAATGGCTGCTTCAGGGGCAGCCATCTTTTACGATCGAAGCTGTAGGGATGAAATAAGCCCCAGTCTCCTGTAGCGCTCCCAGGTTTATTAGGACGAGGACATTCTCGCCTAATAAATTTTGGTCAGACTGGTTGTCTGCTCTCAAACCCTGTCTCCTGATAAGATGTTATCAATGACAATGCGTGCCCGAAACTTCATTAGCAATTTTAATTTTGCCCCGGTCCTATGGTCCTGTGATCTCGCCCTGCCTCCATTTGCCTTGTGATATTCTACTACCTTGTGAAGCACATGATCTCTGTGACCCACACCCTATTCGTACACTCCCTCCCCTTTTGAAAATCACTAATAAAAACTTGCTGGTTTTACAGCTCAGGGGGGCACCACAGAACCTGCCGACACGTGATGTCTACCCCGGACACCCAGCTTTAAAATTTCTCTCTTTTGTACTCTTTCCCTTTATTTCTCAGACCAGCCTACACTTAGGGAAAATAGAAGAGAACGTATGTGAAATATCGGGGGTGAATTTCCCCCGATACAGCTCCATCTAAGTTGCTGCAAAAAAAATTATTTTGTTCCTTTTTATTGCTGAGTAGTATTTTATGGTGTATACATACCATATTTTCTTTATCCGTTTGTTGGTTGATGGGTCCTTAGGTTGGTTGCATATCTTTGCAATTGTGAATTGTGCTGGAATAAACATGCCACATGCATGAGTCTTTTTCATATAATGACTTTTCCTTTGGGTAGATATCCAGTAGTGGGATTACTGAATTGAATGGTAGTTCTACTTTTGGTTCTTTAAGGAATCTTCATATTGTTTTCCATAGTGGTTGTACTAATTTACATTCCCTCCAGCAGTGTAAAAGTGTTCTCTTTTCACCATGCCAATGTCAGCCTTTATTTTTTTTTACTTTTTAATTATGGCCATTCTTGCAGGAATATGGTGGTATCTCATTGTGATTTTAATTTGCATTTCCCTCATGATTACTGATGTTGAGCATTTTTTCATATGTTTATTGGCTGTTTGTATATCTTCTTTTCAGAAATGTCTATTCATGTAGTTTACCCACTCTTTGATGAGCTTTTTTTTCTGATTTGTTTGAGTTCCTTGTAGATTCTGGATATGAATCCTCTGTCAGATGCATAGTTTGCTAACATTTTCTCCCACTCTGTGTGCTGTCTGTTTACTCTACTGATTAATTCTTTTGCCATGCAGAAGCTTTTTTAGTTTAATTAGGTTCCATTTATTTATATATTTATTTATTTGCATTTACTTTTGGGGTCTTAATCATGAATTCCTTGCCTAAGCTAATGTTCAGGAGAGTTTTTCCAGTGCTATCTTCTAGAATTTTTATGGTTTCAGGTCTTAGATTTAAGTCTTTGAGGCATCTTGAGTTGATTTTTTTATAAAGTGAGAGATGGGGATCTAGTTTTATTCTTCTAAATGTGACTTGCCAGTTTTCCCAGCACCATTGGTTTCTATATTAGTTAGGGACCTTTGCTGTAGAGCTGGTGTTATCCTTTGCTCATGTCACTACATTCAGATTCTTTATGGTGCCAGAATTCTTGTGCTAGTTCTTCCTCATCTAGAGACCCTAGCATTTGTGGGTTGTGTATTTATTTTCATTCATGTCTAAATTTTTATTTTTATTTTTCTTTCTCTATTTTTTTCTTTCCCTTCCCATTTGCGCTCCTCCCTGGGGGCTGTGACTCTAGAGAATTCTGGGTAGGGTCTCTTGGGTTTTCTTCTGTAGCCCCATGCACTTCTGGAGATGGGTTTTATACTGGGCTGTGCAATTCAACCTACAAGCCAGTAGATGGTGCTTATGGGTAAGAGCCAGTTTTGACCAATGTGGCTGCATATATACTTGATCACTGTTTACCAGGAGAAGTTCTCTGTTGCCTCAGAGAATGAACTGATTCATGATGTGGACAGTAGTCTGAGCTCCCTCCTCAGCCCTGGAGAGGTGGGGGGGTAAGATGGACAGGGCAGGAAAAGACTGGGCAGGTCCAACTACAAATTCCAAGATGGCAGGAACAAGCACTGGTGCCAAGGGACAATCCAATGACCAGCCACCAAGTACCCAGATGTGTGCCTAATCATGGAGGTGGGAAACCTCCTTGGCCCCAAGTTCTCTGCACAGGAATAGGGGGCAGCCTAAACTCCTAATCCAGGAGAGTGAGTGCTTCAGAAGCTTGGAGATCTGCCTGGGCATGGAGCAGAAAGGGGCCCCCTGCACCCAGATCTCTTCACAGGAGGGGTGGGGTGACTCAGGCTACTGAACCAGACAAGCAGGTGTTCTGAATGCTTGGATATCTGCCTGGGTTGAAACAGATAGGGCCCTCCTGCACCCAAATGGCTGGGCAGGAAAGGTGGGGCAGCTCAGGGGGTCAATCCAGCTGAGCAGACACTTTGAATGCCTGGAGAACTGCCTGGGCATGGAGTGGAGAGGGCCCCACTGCACCACTGTCTATGTGCAGGAAGAGTGGGACAGCTCAGGCTGCTGAAAAAGGTGAGTGTGCGCTCTGAATGCCTGAAGGCCTGCCTAGACATAAAGCAGAAAGGGACACCTCTGCACAGTATCTCTGCACAGGAAGGGTGGGGTGACTCAGGCTACTGTCCATGCAAGCAGGTGCTCCAAGTGCCTGGAGATCTGCCTACATATAGAGTAGAGAGAGCCCCACTGCACCATGATCTATGCACAAGAAGTGTTGGGTGGCTCAGGATGATCCAGATGAGAGAGTGCTCTGAATACCTAGAGATCTACCTGGGCATGGAGTAGAGAGGGCTTGTGGTACCACAATCCATGTCCATAATGGGTGAAGCCGCTCAGGCTGCTGTTCCAGGCAATCAGGCATTCTGAGTGCCTGAATTTTTGTTTGGGGGTAGGGCAGATAGGGCCTTGTAGCATCATGATCTCAGGGAAGCAGGCTAGGCACCTGGCAATGACACACACAGGCCAGTTCCAGGTCACCAAGCTGGCCCTGGCTGCAAGTCTCATCATCCAGGAGAAACTGTAGCTGTAGCAGCTCTCCTCCCACTACGGGTCTGCAATAGGAGATAGTACAATTCCGGTGCCTACTGCTGAGGCACTTTCCATAGTTCTGGTTGTAGAGGCCCCTAACTCATTCAAAAGTAGAGACTCCAATGTCTGGCCTGAGACTAAAATGCTTGCACAGTCATGCTGCCAGGTCACCAAAGAATGGGTGATTTTGTATGTGCCTGGGTTAAAACTGGGATCCTGCTTTCCATCCCAGGTTGGGGAAAATGCCTGCAGTTATTACTGGCGTCTTTCCTTCAGAACATCTCCAAGCCTCTCCTCAAACAAGCTCCAGGGTTTAGGAGGAACACTGTGCTCTCCCTCAGCCTGGGTTTCTCAGATCTCCAGGGGAAAGGTGAGTCACAGAGGGAGGCTCTCTGCCTCTGTTGTGTACTGGGACTTCACTCATTTTACCAGCCAGGTACTGTCACAGGGCTGTTTGCCCATGTTCTCCTCCCCAGGATCTGAGTTGTCCTTCATGATGCTGGTGGACTCCCATTTTCCCTCCTGAATTAAAGGTCACATAATTGATCTTTATACACTATCTTGCTATTTTTAGCTGAGCCATGCTAAAAGTGTCTAATCTGCAATCTTCTTTGAGAAAAACAAAATTATACTTCTAAATACCATGATGAAACTGTTATTTCTAGGCTTTTTGTTTTAAAAAATTATACGTCAACTTTATTCAATGGAAGACAAAGATTTACATTCTTCACACTCTCTAATCACGTGTGAACACATATGCATGTATGAACCTATGCACACACATACACACTCACATACACTCTTCTCCTTCCCTGTTCTTTTAATAGATTTCTTGGTTAAAAAAATAATTAAAAAAAACCTTTCATTGTTTATATTACTATAAACAAGTATATAGTAATAGAATTTTGCATTTCCTTTTCTGTTATCTCTAGATTTAATACTTGCATTTATTTATTTGCAAGTTTTCCTACATACTTTTATCTAACTTATCTCCAAACTCTCCACCAGAGATGTAATTCTTTCAATTCTTTTAGCTCATTATATAACCTATACATTTAATTACTTTTCTTGAAGGCAGTTTTTCAAGAATCTTTCATCCTCTGCTTCACTTTGGGCGGGAGGTTCAGTAAGTCTATTGCATAACCGTCTTTTATATCTCCCTTAAACATAATTCTAGGAATACCCATTCTTATTTTCTGTGTTGGATTTTTTATATCTTATGTTTTACTCTTTTTAGATAATTCTCTGTTTTGGAGGAGGATCACAATCTCTAGCAGATTCCTGAGAAGAGTATACGGGAGCCAAAAATTTGATACCTTGCATATCTGAGCACGCTTTTCTTCTATTCTAACATTTGATAAATAGGTTGGGTATAAAATTCAAGTTACTTTTTTTTAATCCCTCAAAATTTTGAAGGCATTGGCCTGTTATTATATCATAACTTGAAATGTTTCTATACACAAGTCTCAAAGTTACTTTCTAAAGCTTCTGTTAAATTTTTAATTTCTGTTGTCACATTTTGTGTATTTCAAGAACTCCTTTGAATCATCTTAATTTTTCCTTCTTATAGCCTTCTGTTCTTTTTTCCTATACTTGTAAGGATAGCAATAATGCTTTTTAAATGAGTATTTTTCCCATGCTCTACATTGTCTCTCTTTTTTTTATAAATTTCTGTTACCTATTGTATTGTTTTGTTCTGTGTTTCTTGCTATAGGTTTTCCTCAAATATCTAGTGACTATGGCTCTACACTCATATTTAAGAGTGAGTGCATAAAATACTTATCAGAAACTTTGTGCATAGATGATGCTTTAATGAATTAATAAATGGTTGGCTTCATGTATGACAATAGGATTGAGATATTTCTTTTGGGAATTCCCAAGAGTTAGCAACTGTATATCTCTTCTCTTAGGTTATTGAGTTTCTCCACAGCATAATCTTCTAATTCCTGTCCTGGACTGCATAAGCCTGTCTGCCAGAATTCTTGGGTCTTAATGGCGAAAAAGACTTGTGTCCTCATCATTTTTACCAAATTGCTCTGTAATCCGTGTGTTTGCATTCTGCTGTACTGGGAATTCTCAAGTCCTGAGTCTCTCCAGTTCATCTTGAGAGCAAGCCTTCATTCTTCTTACAGTTTAGAAGAGGCAATCCTTCAAATATGTGGAGTACGGAGGGCACCTGGGATCTATAGCCAATCCTCCTCCCACATTAAATGTTGTTATTCCAATTCTTGAGCATTTCTGTGGTTCTGTGGTCACACATTGGCTTTCTCCTGAATTGCTTTCATGCTACCCCATCACTTCCTGGCTTAAGTTTCAGCCTTCTCCGGTTTGCTAAATCATATGACTACCAGATTCAAAAATTTTGCTGTTACCACCTTCTTTTCTGTTCTCATTTCCTAAGTGGTTTATGTCCTGTATGGTCTTTCGTCCCAGCCATTTTAGTGAGGTGTGAGAAGGAAGCAGAGGTAAGTAGTTGACTACGATCCAGAAATATTTACACCAGAGACTCCAGGGTTTTTTTTTTAAGTAATTTTCTGCAGATTTCAGTATTTTATAGAAAATAATTTTCATCATGATACAAAAAACAAATATTTTCAAATTTGGTAGAAGTTGGCCCATATATTGTTTACAGAAATAGTTTGCTCTTCTTTGAACTTAATCTCTAATTTCATTTAGCCCAGGAAAATTACCTACTTTATCATAAAGTATCAGTTTCTATATCTATTAATGATTCAATGAGGACAGCACACCTAGTTTCAACTATCGAGCCTGTCAAAATAATTAGAATATGTTTTTGGTACTTAAAAATGCTACAGATCTTATTTCAAAAAAATAAATAAAGTTTACATGACAATTTCTTTGAACCGTATCTTGAATGTAAATGTTAATTTGATAGTTATTCATGTAAAACTACCAACTAAAAGTGTACGAAAGGGGTAGTATATTATTCTGTAACTGAAAATAGGGATGGGACCAAAAGTATGCTAGGTCCTTTCCAATAAAATGTTTTTCCTTACATCTTAAATGAATTGAGATATACAATACACCTAGAACATTGTACGAATTCAAAAACTATTGGTACCCCCATGCGTTTCTTTTTTCATTATTTACATTTGCTTACTGCCAACATTGCATTACACATTGTACATATAGTGAATAAAAAATATTTTATTTTACTTATTCTTACCATCTGTTGTGTTCAAAATCACTTGAGCTTTATTAATTCATCACAAGTGATTTAAATATGTAAACCAGTTTATCTTCTGAAATATCTTAAGATAAAAATTGAGTAGCAACCTATTACGTCATTTGTTCAAACATATCTCTCAAACAGTTTTTGCAAAAAATCTGTCTGTCAGGGTCAACATTGATTTAAAGAGAAATGTGCAACTTACCTTTCATCTTCATGCTGTATTCAAGTAAGAGGAGGGCTATATTAGCTAAGGTATCCAACAGAGCAAAATATTGTATAAAATTCACATCACCACATTTCCCACTATGCATTGTCATAGTCCATTTATGGTAAATTGAACAAAATTATTCAATATTTAAAACTGACTACCATCACTTTTTAAAATAGTAAAATAATTTGGAAATGATGCGTTAATAGAGAACTCCATTTGGTTTCATGCTGTAAATATAAAATATTCACATACACTCAATACATATACTAAAAGCACATACAGCCAAAATACATAACAAACATAGTAAGCCTTCTAATGCTACAAGATAGTCCTTGAACGTTATTAAACTCTATAGTTGAAACAAATAAATGGCCATTCTAAGTTATGATGGTGATATCTGATTTGCATTACTCTATCTTCCCATTTGAATTCCTGTGAAAACACAGAGCATGGTGTAGAATTTAAACAGCCCTAAGAATTACTTTTAGTAGATGAGCAGGACTAAGAGGCAAAAGCTCTTAGTATCTTAAGATGTTAAACATCTGTAAAAGTGGCATGGCCAAATAAGCATAGACAAGAAAAGACGGTTTACTCTCATTCTATATTGCCACATTAGTGACTCAAAGATGGGAATATAGACTAGAAACTGTGTTGGCCACTCTCTACCATTCTATTAGCTTTTAAAGTTAGTGATGTTACCCCTAGAAGGCCCCCTTAAGTACTTCTTGCTAAGTTCCTTAAGGAAACTATAGTTTTTTGTAATGCAATCGTCCAGTGGATGAAAGGGAATAATCAGTAACTAAAATTCTTTTCAAAAAGTTTCTAATATATGAGTCAAGAATATATGAATATTTTTAAAAGTACCCCATAACTGAAAATAAGAACTCAAGGATAGGTTTGTTTTAGTCATTCATAGTAATTAAACTTATAAAGACATATTTATATACTTATTAATTACAAGAAATAAAGTGATACATAAATGAATAATAAAATAATGAAATAATTATGTAATAATGGTAATTTAAATGTATAATCATAAATTATATTGGCATACATTGGCAAGTGCTGAGAGAATGTAGTAAAAATGCTAAATATTTCAACTTACATAAGAATAAATCAAATGTAATGTTCACCAATTTTATAATTATAAAAATATTGTTACAAATATAATTGTAAAATTTTGTAAAACAGAAAAAAGTAAAAGTAAGAAGTATTAAATTGGCCATTTTCTTAAGATAATACCAATATTTTTTTAAGAGGATGAAATATCAAAAGTATTCTGATACATTGTTTGTGGAACATAAATTGGTATAGGCTCACTGGAAAGAAATTTAACAACATGATTAAATAGGCATAACAATCACTGTGTTGATTAACTCATTAATTCTACATCCCAGAAAATTTACTATGAGTTCAAAAGTCAGAGCAATCACCTAGGATATATGTGCAATAATGTTCAATACAGCATTATTTATAATAAGATATAAATGATCAAATAAAAACAATTTAAATGTGAAACAAAAAAGAACCAGATGTAAAAACTATACTATGTGTTTGTACTATAATATATTGTTTACATTAAAATTATTTTTCAAAAAATATCTAATGCCAAGGAAATTTTTATGATATGATTTTAAATTAAAAATAGATTACATATGATGTGACCTCAATTTATTGAAAGAAAAAAATGTATATAGAAAAAATAATGAACAAAATGGGAAAGAGATACATTAAAGTATTATTAAATCTTACTAATATGTGGTGGTTTTACAGGTGGTTTTCATTTTCTCCCTTATAACATTTTGTACATTGCAAATTATCTGTAAGTGAATATCTATTACCTTTAAAATCAGAAGAAATAAGCTAAGTGGCCACAAACACTGATCTTTTATTAAAGATATATTACATGTATTCCAATGTTTCCTTGAAGCTAGTCCAACTGAAATAATCTAAAATCCACAAATGAGTATTTTCACATATTATTGCATTACAAATGGTGACAACCATTCATCTTTATTAATTTTGTCACACTTAAAAAATAGAATCTCTAGGTGTCTTTCTACTGCTCTTATCTTATTCTGGCCCATCTTCTGTTTGTTATAAGTCAAGTGGCAGGTGCTCTCTCATCAACAAAGCATTGCTTCTGAGATTGTAGGGGGAGGGAGACCAATAAATAAGGGTCATTAAATTTTCTTCGTAGGTTGTAGTAGCATATTTTCTTGAAATAAAACAGACTAGACTAGACAAGAGTAGAATAAAATATAAAGTTGAGTATAAAAGAGCAGAATGGAATAGAATAGAACAGGATATATCAGTAAGGGAATTATTGTTGCCAAAATCTTTTATTTTAGCTATATATGTGCTGATGTACTGAGTCTTGAGTTCAGATTTATGTTTGCACATGGGTCATGATTTTTTAAACATGGAGAAATGAGTTCTGTAGGATGAATATGGTTAACTGTAATTTATTGTATATTTTCAAAAAGCTAGAAGATAGGATTTTGAATATCCACAACATAAAGAAATGATAAATGTTTCAGGTGATACATATGCTAATTATCCCAATTGATCATTACACATTGTATACATGTATCAAAATATCACTCTGTATCCCACAAATGTGTATAATTATTAGGTGTAAACTAAATTTAAAAGGAAAAAGTATATGTGAAAAAAAATGCTTGAAAGCCACTATACCAAACAGTAATTTAAAAGCAGAAAAGATATTTTGCTAAACCTAACTAAAGTGTTCTTGCTACTTCTGCCATAAAATAAAAAAGATGTGGCCATTAAATATTTGCTTGAGTATCAAGAAATATGGTATTTCATTTCTTCCCTGTAGCTCACATTTCTATAGGAAAACAAACATGACTGAGGATTCCAGAACTGGACCTTCAAAAAAATGTGTGCTGCACACCACATTTTATTGATCCCTTATTTAAAACTCCCCCACCAGCCAATGCCTTCATCTGCAAACCAACTACAGTAACAGGCTTGGATTCAGCAAAATAGGAAATTTACAAATGTACACTGACTTTGAAAACATATACATGGCAAATTGAGAATTCAGCCCACCAGAAGTAAACTATAAATGCAAACATTCCCAACAGCAACTTTCAAATAAATAGGCTGCAAATTGGAAACATGAACACAGCAAACTTATGGACCTCAGATTGCAAATCACAGCAGCAATTCCCTGAAAATAAGGCAGTCCTCTTTTCTTTTGTATAGCATGTTACGTATCTTTTATTTTCAGAATCCTGGAGAACTGAATAATGTTTATAGAACCTTGGGGGAGACAGTTTTCATAGATCTGGAATTTAAAAAAAAAAAAAGCTATATTTGTGACGTTTTTGTGAATAGGTTTACATTTAGTTACCTACCTCCTCTAGGCAGTTCTCCTTATACTCTTCTGTGCCCCTTGAGGTCATTCACATGAGTGTGGAAGAGAAAATAAAAATTAGAAAGAAAAAAAAGCTGACCGGGCGTGGTGGCTCACTCCTCTAATCCCAGCACTTTGGGAGGCCAAGGCAGGCAGATCACCTGAGGTCAGGAGTTTGAGACCAGTCTGACCAACATGGAGAAACCCCATCTCTACTAAAAATACAAAAAAATAGCCAGGTGTGGTGGTGCATGCCTGTAATCCCAGCTACTTGGGAGGCTGAGGCAGGAGAAGCGCTTGAACCCGGGAGGTGGAGATTGCGGTGAGCCAAGATAGCACCACTGCACTCCAGCCTGGGCAACAAGAGCCAAACTCTGTCTCAAAGAAAAAAAAAAAAAAAGAGAAAGAAGAGAAAGAAAAGCTAACTGGCCTATTCTGTGGCTGTGGCAGATGGAGGCTTTGACCAGAAAAGCCTCAAGCTTTGGAACCAGACTCTGAAACTTTGGGTATATTCCCTAACCTTGCTGAGTATTAGCTTTTATGTTTTTAAAGTAGGAAATGATACCAACAGTATACCTACCTGGCAGACTTGACATGAAGATTAAATAAAATAGTGTATTAAGTATCCTCAGTATATATTAGTTATTATTATTTTTATTAGTGTTCTAAATTGTCTAACTAGACCACAGAAGAACATGGAAGAAACTATACCATGGTCACAGGCTTCTGCCTCATCCAACATTCTCACTATTTCAATCTTCCAAATAAAAAGGACAACTTTACTGAAACTGCAAAATGTTTCATTGTGTCATTCCCAACTTTCATCTTTTCCGGTTTGTTTCCAAATGATTTTATAATTCAAATTTTCTCTTTACTTGTTGCATTCTTTTCTTATTTTGTTATGTAATGTCTATAATATCATCTATGTTCTGCAATTATGTCTCCATTCCTTTGCACTTCTCATTGTCTCAGTAAGACTTTTCTTTCTTTGTTTGGCTTTCCTTTAAGATAATAAGAATGTGACTATGAACTCATCTTACATCCCTGTTAAAGAGATAAAAGTGCTAAAAGTGACAGAGGGGAAAAAAGCATCCCATGAAGAAATAATTGCACATAGAAAGAGCCTGTTTCAATTATCTATTGCTGTGTAACTAACCACTCCAAAATTTAGGGGATTAAACAGCAAGCTAGAACCTCACTGATTCTGTAAGTCAGGAATTCTGGCAAGGCCCAGTTGGACAAATTTTCTGTTTTTTATTGGCCTCAATCAAAATTATTCATGTACTCAGATGGCAGAAAGACTGGCCTAAAGGATCCAAGATGGCACCACTCACATGCCTGGTACCTTGGCAGAAATAGCTATAAAGCGAAACTCAACAGGCACTTTCAACCCAAGTGCCTACACATGACATCTGCATGTGGCTTAGGCTACATAACACGGGATCTTACAGTAGTCAGATCTCCTACATTACAGCTTGGGACTCTTAAGTGCAAGTGTTCCAGCAAACAAAGCAAAAGCCTCATTACCTTTTATGACCTATCCTCAGAAGTCAGGCAGCACCACTTCCACTACACTCTATTGGTTGTTTAGAGCTGCAGAAAATTCAGCCATAATTGATAATACTCAAATAAAAGAAGAAGAAAAAATCTCACATGTGGTTGATTGAAACAAAACAATAGAGTGTGACAAAAGTAAATCACATTTAATGAAATAATTTCTACATTTAATTAACCATATTCTAAACTACAGAATCTCTATACAGGCAGTGTGATGTAATGTAAAGCTTTGTAATTAAAGGCAGAATATAATTTCATGTTCTGTCTGCACATCAGGCAAGTCATAACTTCTGGGACCCTCCTCCCAGGCCCACGGAGCCTTGCTCATTGTTAGCACAGCAGTCTGAGATCAAACTGCAAGGCGGCAGTGAGGCTGGGGGAGGGGCGCTCACCATTGCTGAGGCTTGAGTAGGTAAACAAAGTGACCAGGAAGCTGGAACTGGGTGGAGCCCACCACAGCTGAAGGAGACTTGTATGCCTTTGTAGACTCCACCTCTGGGGGCAGGGCATAGCCGAACAAAAGGCAGCAGAAACCTCTGCAGACTTAAATGTCCCTGTCTGACAGCTTTGAAGAGAGTAGTGGTTCTCCCAGCATGCAGCTTGAGATCTGAGAATGGACAGACTGTCTCCTCAAGTGGGTACCTGACCCTCGAGTAGCCTAACTGGGAGGCACTCCCCAGCAGGGGCAGACTGACACCTCACATGGCCGGGTACCCCTCTGAGAGGAAACTTCCAGAGGAACAATCAGGCAGCAACAATCGCTGTTCAGCAATATTCGCTGTTCTGCAGCCTCTGCTGCTGATACCCAGGCAAACAGGGTCTGGAGTGGACCTCCAGCAAACTCCAACAGACCTGCAGCTGAGGGTCCTGACTGTTAGAAGCAAAACTAACAAATAGAAAGGACATCCACACCAAAACCCCATCTGTATGTCACCATCATCAAAGACCAAAGGTAGATAAAACCACAAAGATGGGGAAAAAACAGAGCAGAAAAACTGAAAATTTTAAAAATCAGAGCGCCTCTCCTCCTCCAAAGGAACGCAGCTCCTCACCAGCAATGTAACAAAGCTGGACAGAGAATGACTTTGATGAGCTGAGAGAAAAAGGCTTCAGACGATCAAACTTCTCTGAGCTAAAAGAGGAAGTTCAAACCCATTGCAAAGAAGTTAAAAACCTTGAAAAAAGATTAGACGAATGGCTAACTAGAATAACCAATGTAGAGAAGTCCTTAAAGGACCTGATGGAGCTGAAAACCATGGCACGAGAACTACGTGATGAATGCACGAGGTTCAGTAGCCGATTCAATCAAATGGAAGAAAGAGTATCAGTGATTGAAGATCAAATGAATGAAATGAAGCAAGAAGAGAAGTTTAGAGAAAAATAAAAATAAAAAGAAATGAACAAAGCCTCGAAGAAATATGGGACTATGTGAAAAGACCAAATCTACCTCTGATTGGTGTACCTGAAAGTGACGGGGAGAATGCAACCAAGCTGGAAAACACTCTGCAGGATATTATCCAGGAGAACTTCCCCAACCTAGCAAGGCAGGCCAACATTCAAATTCAGGAAATACAGAGAATGCCACAAAGATACTCCTCAAGAAGAGCAACTCCAAGACACACAATTGTCAGATTCACCAAAGTTGAAATGAAGGAAAAATATTAAGGGCAGCCAGAGAGAAAGGTCGGGTTACCCACAAATGGAAGCCCATCAGACTAACAGCTGATCTCTCGGCAGAAACTCTACAAGCCAGAAGAGAGTGGGGGCCAATATTCAACATTCTTAAAGAAAAGAATTTTCAAACCAGAATTTCATATCCAGCCAAATTAAGCTTCAAAAGTGAAGGAGAAATAAAATACTTTACAGACAAGCAAATGCTGAGAGATTTTGTCACCACCAGGCCTGCCCTACAAGAGCTCCTGAAGGAAGCACTAAACATGGAAAGGAACAACCGGTACCAGCCACTGCAAAAACATGCCAAATTGTAAAGACCATAGAGGCTAGGAAGAAACTGCATCAACGAATGAGCAAAATCACCAGCTAACATCATAATGACATGATAAAATTCACACATAACAATATTAACCTTAAATGTAAATGGGCTAAATGCTCCAATTAAAAGACACAGACTGGCAAATTGGATTAAGAGTCAAGACCCATCAGTGTGCTGTATTCAGGAAACCCATCTCATGTGCAGAGACACACATAGGCTCAAAATAAAGGGATGGAGGAAGATCTACCAAGCAAATGGAAAATAAAAAAAGGCAGGGGTTGCAATCCTAGTCTCCGATAAAACACACTTTAAACCAACAAAGATCAAAAGAGACAAAGAAGGCCATTACATAATGGTAAAGGGATCAATTCAACAAGAAGAGCTAACTATCCTAAATATATATGCACCCATCACAGGAGCACCCAGATTCATAAAGCAAGTCCTTAGAGACCTACAAAGAGACTTAGACTCCCACACAATAATAATGGGAGACTTTAACAGCCTACTGTCAACATTAGACAGATCAACGAGACAGAAAGTTAACAAGGATACCCAGGAATTGAACTCAGTTCTGCACCAAGTGGACCTAATAGACATCTACAGAACTCTCCACCCCAAATCAACAGAATATACATTCTTTTCAGCACCACACCACACATATTCCAAAATTGACCACATAGTTGGAAGCAAAGCTCTCCTCAGCAAATGTAAAAGAACAGAAATTATAACAAACTGTCTCTCAGACCACAGTGCAATCAAACTAGAACTCAGGATTAAGAAACTCACTCAAAACCACTCAACTACATGGAAATTGAACAACCTGCTCCTGAAGGACTACTGGGTACATAACGAAATGTAGGCAGAAATAAAGATGTTCTTTGAAACCAGTGAGAACAAAGACACAACATACCAGAATCTCTGGGACACATTCAAAGCAGTGTGTAGAGGGAAATTTATAGCACTAAATGCCCACAAGAGAAAGCAGGAAAGATCCAAAATTGACACCCTAACATCACAATTAAAAGAACTAGAAAAGCAAGAGCAAACACATTCAAAAGCTAGCAGAAGGCAAGAAATAACTAAAATCAGAGCAGAACTGAAGGAAATAGAGACACAAAAAACCCTTCAAAAATTAATGAATCCAGGAGCTGGTTTTTTGAAAGGATCAACAAAATTGATAGACCGCTAGCAAGACTAATAAAGAAGAAAAGAGAGAACAATCAAATAGATGCAATAAAAAATGATAAAGGGGATATCACCACCGATCCCACAGAAATACAAACTACCATCAGAGAATACTATAAACACCTCTACACAAATAAACTAGAAAATCTAGAAGAAATGGATAAATTCCTCGACATATACACCCTCCCAAGACTAAACCAGGAAGAAGTTGAATCTCTGAATAGACCAATAACAGGCTCTGACATTGAGGCAATAATTAATAGCTTACCAACCAAAAAAAGTCCAGGACCAGATGGATTCACAGCCGAATTCTACCAGAGGTACAAGGAGGAACTGGTACCATTCCTTCTGAAACTATTCCAATCAATAGAAAAAGAGGGAATCCTCCCTAACTCATTTTATGAGGCCAGCATCATCCTGATACCAAAGCCTGGCAGAGACACAACAAAAAAAGAGAATTTTAGACCAATATCCCTGATGAACATCGATGCAAAAATCCTCAGTAAAATACTGGCAAACCGAATTCAGCAGCACATCAAAAAGCTTATCCACCATGATCAAGTGGGCTTCATCCCTGGGATGCAAGGCTGGTTCAACATACGCAAATCAATAAATGTAATCCAGCATATAAACAGAACCAATGACAAAATCCACACGATTATCTCAATAGATGCAGAAAAGGCCTTTGACAAAATTCAACAACCCTTCATGCCAAAAATTCTCAATAAATTAGGTATTGATGGGACGTATCTCAAAATAATAAGAGCTATTTATGACAAACCCACAGCCAATATCATAATGAATGGGAAAAAACCGGAAGCATTCCCTTTGAAAACTGCCACAAGACAGGGATGCCCTCTCTCACCACTCCTATTCAACATACTGTTGGAAGTTCTGGCCAGGGCAATCAGTCAGGAGAAAGAAATAAAGGGTATTCAATTAGGAAAAGAGGAAGTCAAATTGTCCCTGTTTGCAGATGACATGATTGTATATGTAGAAAACCCCACTGTCTCAGCCCAAAATCTCCTTAAGCTGATAAGCAACTTCAGCAAAGTCTCAGGATACAAAATCAATGTGCCAAAATCACAAGCATTCTTATACACCAATAACAGACAAACAGGGACCCAAATCATGAGGGAACTCCCATTCACAATTGCTTCAAAGATAATACAATACCTAAGAATCCAACTTACAAGTAATGTGAAGGACCTCTTCAAGGGGAACTACAAACCACTGCTCAATGAAATAAAAGAGGACACAAACAAATGGAAGAACATTCCATGCTCATGGATAGGAAGAATCAATATCGTGAAAATGGCCATACTGCCCAAGGTAATTTATAGATTCAATGCCATCCCCATCAAGCTACCAAGGACTTTCTTCACAGAATTGGAAAAAACTACTTTAAAGTTCATATGGAACCAAAAAAGAGCCCGCATTGCCAAGTCAATCCTAAGCCAAAAGAACAAAGCTGGAGGCATCACGCTACCTGACTTCAAACTATACTACAAGGCTACAGTAACCAAAATAGCATGGTACTGGTACCAAAACAGAGATATACACCAATGGAACAGAACAGAGCCCTCAGAAATAATACCACACATCTACAACTATCTGATCTTTGACAAACCTGACAAAAACAAGCAATGGGGAAAGGATTCCCTATTGAATAAATGGTGCTGGGAAAACTGGCTAGCCATATGTAGAAAGCTGAAACTGGATCCCTTCCTTACACCTTATACAAAAATTAATTCAAGATGGATTAAAGACTTAAATGTTAGACCTAAAACCATAAAAACTCTAGAAGAAAATCTAGGCAATACCATTCATGACATAGGCATGAGCAAGGACTTCATGTCTAAAACACCAAAAGCAATGGCAACAAAAGCCAAAATTGACAAATGGGATCTAATTAAACTAAAGAGCTTCTGCACAGCAAAAGAAACTACCATCAGAGTGAACAGGCAGCCTACAGAATGGGAGAAAATTGTTGTAATCTACTCTTCTGACAAAGGGCTAATATCTAGAATCTACAAAGTACTCAAGCAAATTTACAAGAAAAAAAACAAACAACCCCATCAAAAAGTGGGCGAAGGATATGAACAGACACTCCTCAAAAGAAGACATTTATGCAGCCAAAAGACACATGAAAAAATGCTCATCATCACTGGCCATCAGAGAAATGCAAATCAAAACCACAATGAGATACCATCTCACACCAGTTAGAATGGCGATCATTAAAAAGTCAGAAAACAACAGGTGCTGGAGAAGATGTGGAGAAATAGGAACACTTTTACACTGTTGGTGAGACTGTAAACTAGTTCAACCATTGTGGAAGTCAGTGTGGCGATTCCTCAGGGATCTAGAACTAGAAATACCATTTGACCCAGCCATCCCATTACTGGGTATATACCCAAAGGATTATAGATCATGCTGCTATAAAGACACATGCACATGTATGTTTATTGTGGCACTATTCACAATAGCAAAGACTTGGAACCAACCCAAATGTCCAACAATGATAGACTGGATTAAGAAAATGTGGCACATATACACCGTGGAATACTATGCAGCC
Organism: Homo sapiens; assembly: GCF_000001405.40. NCBI lineage: Eukaryota > Metazoa > Chordata > Mammalia > Primates > Hominidae > Homo > Homo sapiens. The sequence continues at coordinate 99,811,008 of NC_000023.11, forward strand.
ATAAAAAAGGATGAGTTCAGGTCCTTTGTAGGGACATGGATGAAGCTGGAAACCATCATTCTCAGCAAACTATCACAAGGACAAAAAAACTAAACACCGCATGTTCTCATTCATAGGTGTGAATTGAACAATGAGAACACTTGGACACAGGAAGGCGAACATCACATACTGGGGCCTGTGGTGGGGTTGGGGGAGGGGGGAGGGATAGCATTAGGAGAAATACCTAATGTAAATGACTACTTAATGGGTGCAGCACACCAACATTGCACATGTATACATATGTAACAAACCTGCACGTTGTACACATGTACCCTAGAACTTAAAGTATAATAAAAAATATATCTATTATATATAAAAAGAAAAAAAATAAAACCTCTGGGACCCTCCAATGTTTCATCCATAGTTGGAGATTTTAGGAAGTTTGCTTGGCTAACTCTGAAATACATACCAACTTCTTTGAAAACAGATGGCTATAAATGTATGAGATAATGCGCTCTTCATAACAACTGTGTTAAATGGATTTTTAATTATCACTTCTATTTTACAAAATACAAGAAACAGGGGTTAAAAAACATTAAGTAATTTACTCAAAGTTACTTAAAGCAAGCAGAGCCAATATTCTATCCTAGATCTATGACTCCTAAGACCTTTGAACACTATTTGACTGTACAATGCCTACTTCCTTTACCATTGTGATGATTCTGGATGTGATCATTTAAGAAATGGCTTTGTAAACCATAAAGTGTTCTGTGAATGTACAGCATCATTATTAGTATTGATTCCAACAACTGAGAGAGCTATAATTGCCTGTAATAAGATTGATTATGCTTCACGATATAACCAATAAACTAGCTAAACCTCAAATTCTAATCCCCAAATGTTCGTACAAAACATGACTGAAAACAAATGAAATCATATTGATCAGCTCTAAAAATAATAGAACCTGATTATAACATTTGTCCTGTGGCAGCTGCTTTTATCCCCCTATTTCTCATCATATATCACACAGAGAAAAGACCCTTTTTCTCGTGCCTGCCATCATTTATCCTTTAGGAAAAAAAGACCTCTCTTCTCTATCTCCTCAAACTTGAAAGATAAAACAAGATATAATGAAGAAGTGTGAAGAGCAGAGAATTAGTGAGTCTACTCCTTTTTCCTCCTTTTGTAAGACGGTTTGATTTGATTCAATATCAGCCCAGAAAGATGGAGGATATTTCTTTTGGTGGGGTTCTGTCAACAGAAATTAGACAATCTAATTTAAGGAAAATAGGAAGGAAAAAATTCAAACTTACTGCTATTTTACAATCCAAAACCCAGTATGTAGAATGAATATCTTTGAATCATTGGTATGTAAGGTTTTCAAAACACTGAAGCTGTCCCTTTATCAGGTCTAGCATTTCCCCTAGAAGCAAATGATAAAATATGAAGAGTAAAAACTGTTTCAATATCATTATAAAGTACAGATTTGTAGTTCTGTACATTCAAAATAGAAAATAAAAAATTAAACTTAAGGATTTAATCTGATTTAGGCCTAATGAACTTTGCTCAATAGTGTGTTACCAACATCTAGCCATTTCAAAAAATCACATCTTTACCATTTTATTATTTACATAATTAAGTCTCTCTTCATCTCACAAGTCTACAGAAACCAGTACTGGTGGTTACAAGTTAAAGTGTCCACTCATTTTCTCTCATAACTTATCTCTGACCTTGTCAAATTTCCTCTCCAATAATATGCGTCATATAAATGTATAGTACTTAATATATAAAATGTCAGGCATATACATAGAACTTTATAGTTTCCTTAACACTTTCATATGTACTGTTATATTTATAATTAAGCATATTTTAAATGGCCGTTTTTAAGTGGTCATCATTAAAACACAGAGTATCTACTCTGTACTTAGAAAAAGAAGCAAATTTTAGATCACTTACTTTTTGACACTTATCTTTAGTGACTAAGACAAATATTTATCTAATTTCTATCTGCAACAAGTTTTTCAATTGCTTTAATCACCGTTCTCTGATCTATTATTTATACCTCGGCAAGTTTTTTTAATCAATCAGCTTACTTCTTTTTTTTTGTACAAATAGTTTTATCTTTAAAAAATCATTTCATAGATCAAAATACCATAGGAACCAACTTTTTAAGTCTTAGATGTTTTTCATATATCATTTACTGGTGTTAAAAACAGATTTCTTACCTCTTTATTTGACTTCACATTGTCTGCATCAGCTCTGCTCTCTCAATCAACTCTGCCAACTATAGAGGTCAGGAACAATAACATGTAATCTTTAGCTTTTCTGAAGTTGAATTTCCTGTGTCTAACTATATTTGATCTTTTAGTAGAGGCTTTGAAATGGGGTTAGCATAATAATTTGTTAGTTTATAAATAAAGGCATGTGGTCAATTTTTGGCATGTCATGAGTTGTTTTTGCTGAGAACAGGATGTGAGTACACTGGTGAGAGTAACTTAATTGTATTTGAATTTTTCCACATCCCATTGTGCCTAATACACCACTTGCCACATAATCAGTACTCAATACATGCCTGCTAAATTTTAATTATGTAAATAATGAAATAATTTAAGATTATAATTTGGATTTATTTTTTAAATGTTGAACTGAATTCCTGAATTAGCCAATGTTTGGTGCTTAGTCTGGAATTAAAGACCCCCAGATTATTTCAAAAGCTCTCCCATAGAGTAATAATACACATTTGGCCATAATAAACCTTACTTATTACATCAGTGTTAGGCATATAACGTTTAAATCTCTATCATAATTTCAGATCTTTGGTCAAGACCTGCTACCTAAGCGAAAACAATTTTTAATATAAGAGCAGGCTTAGTGACAAACTTTCATTCATACCTTAAAGTGAATACCATTAAAATGGCAAAAACTGATTTATATGCTAAGTTTCCAACACAGACAAAGTTTTCCAATGGCTCCAGAGTGCCCAATTATGGAAAGAAATGGGAAAAAAGCATAAATACATGAACAACAACAAAAAAAGCCTTACTCCTGCCAAACTACAAAAAAAGACACATGGGAAAACTTGATATTTAAAAAAAACAACAACAAAAAGAATGGATGGGCTATAATGCAGCACTTTTAAAAGGAAATTACAGTAAGGCACTCAAGCAACTAAATATAAAAAATTTCAAGAAAGAAAGTCAAAACTACTTCGAGTTGTTTATTTTTTTATTTTTTGGAAGCACAAAACTCATAGGGTCTATAAAACAATAACACAATTTAAAAAAGTAGGCAACAATATGATGAATAGAACACTCCCAGGTCACACCTCAATGTTTTATTATTATTATTATTATACTTAAAGTTCTGGGATACATGTGCAGAACGTGCAGGTTTGTTACATAGGTATACACATGCCATGGTGGTTCACTGCACCCATCAACCCATCACCTACATTTGGTATTTCTCCTAACGCTACCCCTCCCATAACCCCCCCACCCCCTGATAGGCCCTGGTGTGTGATGTTCCCCTCCCTGTGTCCATATGTTCTCATTGTTCAGCTCCCACTGATGAGTGAGAACATGCAGTGTTTGGTTTTCTGTTCTTGTGTTAGTTTGCTGAGAATGATGGTTTCCAGCTTCAACCATGTCCTGCAAAGGACATGAACTCATCCTTTTTATTGGCTGCATAATATTCCATGGTGTATATGTGCCACATTTTCTTTATTCAGTCTATCATTAATGGGCATTTGGGTTGGTTCCAAGTCTTTGCTATTGTGAACAGTGCTGCAGTAAACATACGTGTGCATGTGTCTTTAAAAACAAGCTGGTACAAAAAGAGGAAATTCACTAGTCCTGGAATATCTCAGAGATAAGATGACTGTCAACTACTCCAATATTTATGTCACTTTTCAACAGATTGATTTTTGACTTGGATTGTTTTTATGCAATTAAAAATCATAATTACCTTAAAATATTTCTACCCTACATGCAATGTTTAGCATTTAATGAAATGTAATGTTGAGAGGAGGGAAGCAGGGAGAGATGGTGGAATAGAACACTCCAGAGATCATCCCCCCTGCAAGGACACCAATTTAACAACTAGCTATACAGAAAAAAAAAAAAAAGACCTTCATAAGAACCAAAAATCAGATGAAACCTCATAGTACCTGGTTTTAAATTCCTTTCATTAAAAGAGGCACTGAATAGATAGAAAAAAATAGTTTTGAATTGCAAATGTCACCACTTCCCCACCCACCTCAGGACCACTCCCCCCCATCCCCTGACAGTGATGGTGTGGTGCAGAGAGTGTCTCTGGATTCTGGGGGACAAAGACAATGACAATTGTGAGGCACTGAACTCAGTGCTGTTCAGTTAGAGCAGAACGCAAAACCAGATCAAATTCAGATGAGACCCGCCTACAGAGGGAGCATTTAAACCAGCCTTAGTTAAAGGGGAATTGCCGATCCCAGTGGTCACAACTTGAGTTCCCACAGACCTTTCCACAAAGTGGTAAACTGCTCTGAGTCTCTAAGTGAACTTGAAAGGCAGGCTAAGCCACAAGGACTACAACTCTTAGGAAAGTCCTAGTGCTGAACTGTGCCCAGAGACAGTGGACTGGGGGGAGGGTGATGTGACCTGCTGAGATACCGGGTTGAGGCAGTCAAAAGAGTGCTGGCATCATCCCTCCCCTAACCCCAGTCTGCTCAGCTCACAGCTACAAAAGAGACCCATTACTTCTGCTTGAGAAGATAAGAAAAAAGAGAGGGGAAGACTTTTTCTTGCATCTTGGATACCAGTACAGCCACAGCAGAATAGGGCACTGATCAGAGTTATGAGGTCTCTCTTCCAGGCCCTAGCTCCAAGATGACATTTCTAGACACAACCTGGGCCAGAAGAAAACCTGCTGCATTGAAGGGAGGGACTCAGTTCTGGCATCATGCATCACCTGCTAACTGAAGAGCCCATGGGCCCAGAATAAACAGCAGTGATAACTAGGTACTATGTCGAGGGCCTTGGGTGAGCCTCTGAGACCTGCTGGCTTCACGTATCAGCATGGCCAAAGAGAGGTAGAGCACCAAGTTGGCTAATGTGGTCCCTGATTCCAGGAATTGACTTTTTTTTTTTTTTTTTGAGACAGAGTCTCGCTCTGTCGTCCAGGCTGGAGTGCAGTGGCATGATCTCGGCTCACTGCAAGCTCTGCCTCCCGGGTTCATTCCATTCTCCTACCTCAGCCTCCCGAGTAGTTGGGACTACAGGCACCCACCACCACGCCCGGCTAATTTTTGTATTTTTAGTAGAGATGGGGTTTCACCATGTTAGCCAGGATGGTCTCAATCTCCTGACTTCATGATCTGCCTGCCTTGGCCTCCCAAAGTGCTGGGATTACAGGTGTGAGCCACCGCTCCCAGCCAGGAATTGACTCTTAAATGATGTCTCTGAACTGCCCTGGGCCAGAGGTGAGCCCACTGCCTGAAGAGTGATTCCCAGGCCAGGTAGCATTCACCACAAGCTGACTTAAGAGATTGTGGTCAAAACACATGAAAAAATGCTCACCATCACTGGCCATCAGAGAAATGCAAATCAAAACCACAATGAGATATCATCTCACACATCTTTAGAATGGCAATCATTAAAAAGTCAGGAAACAACAGGTGCTGGAGAGGATGTGGAGAAATAGGAACACTTTTACACTGTTGGTGGGACTGGAAACTAGTTCAACCATTGTGGAAGTCAATGTGGCGATTCCTCAGGGATCTAGAACTAGAAATACCATTTGACCCAGCCATCCCATTACTGGGTATATACCCAAAGGATTATAAATCATGCTGCTATACAGACACATGCACACGTATGTTTATTGCGGCACTATTCACAATAGCAAAGACTTGGAACCAACCCAAATGTCCAACAATGATAGACTGGATTAAGAAAATGTGGCACATATACACCATGGAATACTATGCAGCCATAAAAAATGATGAGTTCATGTCCTTTGTAGGGACATGGATGAAGTTGGAAATCATCATTCTCAGTAAACTATCGCAAGGACAAAAAACCAAACACCGCATATTCTCACTCATAGGTGGGAATTGAACAATGAGAACACATGGACACAGGAAGGGGAACATCACACTCTGGGGAATGTTATGGGGTGGGGGGAGGGAGGAGAGATAGCATTGGGAGATATACCTAAGGCTAGATGATGAGTTAGTGGGTGCAGCACACCAGCATGTCACATGTATACATATGTAACTAACCTGCACATTGTGCACATGTACCCTAAAACTTAATGTGTAATAATAATAATTAAAAAAAAAAAAAGAAAAAATGCTCAATATCACTAATCATCAGTGAAATGAAATAAAAATTTAAACCACAAAAAAAAAAAAGAAAGAGATTTTGGTCCTTAAGAATGCATCAGCGGTGGTCTGGCTGTACTCCTCATAGCCTGTGGTGGTGATGGCTATGAGGAGAGGTTCCTCTGCCTTTGGAAAAAAGAGAGAAGAGTAAGAGACAGGGCATCCTGTGGTTTGAGTGCCACAGCTCACCCATAGTACAAAAGAACACCAGGTAGAATTCTAGGTTTTTTGACTCTAGTCTCTGACTCTTGAAGGGCATCTCTGGACCCATCCAGAGCCTGGGGGAACATGCCACCTGAAGACAAGGATATACACCTGGCTGGCTTGGCCCCCTGATGATTGTAGAGCCCAAGGGCCTAGAGCAAGCACAGATTGTAGCCAGGGAGTGATTACAGCAGGCCTTGGGTGAGACCCAGTGCTGTGCTGGCTTTAGGTCTCACCCAGCACAATCATAGTGGTGGTGGCTACAGGGGTGCTTGCGTCACTCCACCCCAAGATTTAGGAGGCATAGAACAGAGAGAGAGAAGCTATTTGTTTGAGAGAAAGTAAGGGAAGAGAACAAGAGTCTCTGCCTGTTAATCCAGAGAATTCTCAAGAATCTTGTCCAATACCATCAAGTTGGTACCTCTACATATCTTCAAGGTTTACTTCAAAGCCCACAGGTTTACTGGGCTTGGGGTGCCCCTTAAAGCAGATAGAGTTTTGATCACAACACCCAAGTCCTTCCAAATATCTGGAAAGTTTTCCCAAAAAGGATAGCTACAAACAGGTCCAGGCATGAAGTCTAAAATGAATACCTAAATCTTCAATGCCCAGACACTAAAGAACATCTACTAGCATCAACACGATCCAGAAAAACATGACCTTATCAAATGAACTAAATAAGGCACTAGGGATCAATCCCAGAGAAACAGAGATATGTGACATTTTAGACAGTGAATTCAAAATAGCTGTGTTGAGAAACTCAAAGAAATTCAAGATAACACAGAGAAGGAATTTAGAATTCTATCAGATACATTCAACAAAGAGGTTAAAATAATTAAAAAGAATAAAGCAAAAATTCTGGAGTTGAAAAATGCAATTGATGTACTGAAAAATATATCAGCATCTTCTCAGAGCAGAATGGATAAAGCACAAAAATGAATTAGTGAGCCTGAAGACAGGCCATTTAAAAATACACAGTCGGAGGAGACAAAAGAAAAAAAAAAACATGAAGCACAACTACAGGATCTAGAACATCATCTCAAAAGGGCAAATCTAAAAATTATTTTCCTTAAATATGAGGGAGAAACTTTATTCAAAGGGATAATAACAGAGATTTTTCACAACCTAGAGAAAAATATCAATATCCAAGTGCAAGAAGGTTATAGAACACAAAGCAGTTTTAACCCACAGAAGAATAACTGAAGAAATTTATTAATCAGTCTCCCAATGATAAAGGATAAAGAAAGGATTTTAAAAGCAATAGAAGAAACAAGTAAACAAATAGCATACAATGAAGTGCCAAAGCATCTTGCAGCAGATTTTTCAGTGGAAGACTTACAGACCAGGAGAGAGTGGAATGACATATTTAAAGTGCTGATGAAAAAAACCTTTTATCCTAGAATAGTGTATCTAGTGAAAATATCCTTCAAACTTGAAGGAGAAATAAAGACTTTCTCAGACAAACAAAAGTTCAATTTCATCAACACCAGAACTGTCCTACAAGAAATGCTAAAGGGAGTACTTAAATCAGAAAAAAAAAATAATGTTAATAAACAATAAATCATCACCTGAAGGTAAAAAAAAAATTCATTGTTAATAGTAAGTATACAGAAAAACACATAATATCATAACATTTAACCGTGGTGTGTAAACTACTCTTATCCTTTGTAGAAAGAATAAATGATGAGCCAATCAAAAATAATAACTACAACTTTTCAAGACGTACACAGTACAGCATGATATAAAAAGAAACAATATACTAAAGGAAGGGCAAGAGGGCCTACTAGACACAGCCAGCTGGAACAGTTCCCACTAAGGGACTGAGACAACTGGCATGCTTTTAACAGATCTTCAGAGTAAAGGTGCTAAGAGTGGAGAGAGGAAAGATACAGAAGCTGGACTGAAGAGAGAGAAAGCTGGAAACACTGCATGGGGCTACTATGCACTGGGACTTACTTTTGAACCACAACAGCTTCAGGAGTACGAGTGAGTTGAACTGTCAAGGACCAACCAGCTCTCACCATGGGCCCCTGGAACCCTGACAGGAGGAGACCCCTCAACCATCACCGACATGTGAGTTGGCAGAAAGAGCTGCTTAGAGAAGTGGTAAGGGCAGCAAGTCAGTGGATGTGGAACCCAGAGGATTTCTTGCAGGAATGTTGGTAGCAGAGCATGGCCAACAACAGCCATACCCCTATGCTTGACTTGATCCCATAGAAGACTTTAGCCCTAGGAGAACTGTCAGACCTAATCTCTGCAGGGCATTCCTGCCCATCAGACATGACTGGTCCGACTTGAGAGCCCCTTGGTCTGCTGGCCTCTCCTGGGGCCCCAGCCTGGCCTGCCTGCTTTCAAGGCAGTCCTGGGTGCCATGAGGGCCTACACCATATTCTCTGCACCGATAGATTCTGCCTGACCAGTGGAGAGCTCCAGTGAGGTGGTCTCTATGGCAACACGCTAGCCCACTTGCCCCCTCCCCATATTGCAGCTTTCCCAGGGCGCATGGCAACTCCCCACATCACTTTTCTGGTGTGTGTCTGCACTGGCAGGTTTTGCTTTCTTTGCCCCACTAGGATACGGGAGTGTAGTCCACATCCCACCCCCCACAACCGCCATTGCAGACAACGTCTTGGCAGGCACAGGGACAGCAAGCCCTGCCCCTGCCAGCACCCTGTCCTTGGGCTAACACTGCACAGAAAACAGCAGATCCTACCCCAGATTGAGTATCACTCCCGCTTGTGGGGTAGACAAGGCACCCAGAGCTGCACTGGCCAGCACCCCACCCCAAAATCAACACCACATCCAGCACAACCACATACACAGTCTCAAGTAGGGGCCCCACGACCCCCACAGCTGCATTGCCTCCAACACTGTGGTGAACACCCACAGGGAGGCAGGCACCCCAGCACCTGCTAGCACTCTGCTGAAGCTGCTGCACCTCACCACCTCTCCCCAGTGTTGTGGGTTGCAAACCTAAAGGAACCAGATAACAAAGTCAGAGTAAAATGCAAGTCCCCCAGAGTTAGAGCACATAATCCAGGAGTTGGAAGCTGAGTCTTGGCCCCTGAAAATCTTCCAGAAACAAAGCCAGTTAGCTAAACCTACCTTATACCACAATCAAAACCTCGAGGTCATCAAATATGATAAAAGAAAAAAAACATTCAAAGGTTGGCAAAGTCCAAAATTGAAGATAGATAAGCCCACAAAAATGAGAAATAAACAGTGCAAGAACCCTGAAATCTCAAAATGCCAGAGTGCATTTTTTTCTCCAAATGACCACATCACCTTTCCAGCATGGGTTCTGAAACAGGCTGAAATGGCTGAAATGAAAGAAATAGAATTCAGAATATGGATAGGAATTAATATCATTGAGCTACAGGAGTACGTTGAAACCCAATGCAGAGAAGCTAAAAATCATGATAAAACAATTTATGAGGTGACATAAAAATAGCCAGTATAGAAAAGTGTAAATGTAAATACACCCAACACTGGAGCACCAAGATACGTGAAGCAACTATTATTAGAAATAAAGAGATAGACAGGCCCCAGTACAATAATAGCTGGAAACTTCAAATCAAATGGATCAGACACTTACATCTAAGCATCACACTATGAAACTACTGAAAGAAAACATTGGGGAAAATCTCCAGGACATTTATGGGGGCAAAAATTTCTTGACAAACACAGCAGAAGCATAGGAAATAAAAGCAAAAATGGACAAATGGAATCACATCAAGTTAAAAAAAACTTCTGCACAGCAAGACACAATCAACAAAGTGAAAAGACAACCCACAAGAATGGGAGTAAATATTTGCATGCTACTCATGTGACAAGGGACTAATAACAAGAATATATAAGGAGCTCAAACAACTCTATAGGAAAAAAGGTAATAATTTGATTAAAATATGGACAAAAGATTTGAACAAACATTTCTCCAAAGAAGAAATAAGAGTAGCAAATGGGCATATGAAAAGGTGCTAGCATCATTGATCCTCAGAGAAATGCAAATCCAAATTACAATGAGATATCTTCTCACCTCAGTTAAAATGGCTTACATCCACAAGACAGGCAATAACAAATGCTGGCAAGGATAAGGAAACGCCCACACACTGTTGGCGTAAATGTAAATTGGCACAACGACTATGGAGAACAGTTTGAAGGTTGCTCAAAAAAACTAAAACTAGAGCTACCATATGATACAGCATTTCCACTGCTCGGTATATAACCAAAAGAAAGGCAATCAATATACCAAAGGCACTCCCATGTTTGTTGCTGCAGTGCTCACAATAGCTAAGATTTGGAAGCCACCTAAGTGGCTTGATTCATCCATCAAGAGATGAATGAATAAATAATATATGGTATTTATACACAATAAAGTACCATTCAGCCACAAAAATGAATGAGATCCTGTCATTTGCAACAACATGGATGAAACTGGAGATCATTGTGTTAAGTGAAGTTAGCCAGATACTGGGAGACAAATATTGTATGTTCTCACTTATTTTGGGAATCTAAAAATAAAAAAAAAAATACCCATAGACATAGAGAGTAGAAGGATGATTATCAGAGGCTGGGAAGGGTAGTAGGGGGTTGGCGGGAAGGTGGGGATGGTTAATGGGTACAATAAATAGTTGAAAATAATTAATAAGACCTACTATTTGATAACAAAGCAGTAGTATAGTCAATAACTTAATTATATTTTAAGATAACTAAGAGAATATAATTGGATTGTTTGTAACACAAAGGATAAATGGATGAGGGAATGGATACCCCCATCCTCCATTATTTGCTTATTTCACATTGCATGCCTGCATCAAAACATCTCATGTACCCCATAAATATATACACCTAATATGAAAATAAAGTATTCTGAAAAAATCACATGTAATGAAAAATACTGTGAAACAGAAGCATCGTAGGAACCTATTAAACATTAAATCTTATCAAAAGTGAGAGTCCATTAATAAATAAATATGATTTGAACAGTTTTTGGGGATCATCTTTTCTTGGAATATTTATCTTTAGGAAAAGCATAGTAAATGAGAATTTAATCAGAAAATCTGCAAAAATATGAATACAGCTAAAGTCTTTTATAAACCCCACATAAGCCAGTGCTTCTCAAACTATCTGCAGTTAAACAGCATTTTTTTTCAAAATCCCTAATTTGTTCTAGACCAATAAATTTGTAAAGCACAATAAAAATAAATAACTAGAAAATCGTAAGAGAAAAAATAAAGATTTGAAAAGACGTGCCCACATCTTTTATGTTCAGATTCTACAGACTTAAAATTACCCTATCAAATTGCTATAAAATTTTCTCAAGCTTACTTTAAAATTCTCTACTTAGCTTGTTGCAGACCAAAAACAAACAGCACACTGTCAACTGTGGGCACCTCACTGTATGCATCACTTATTATCCTTAAAACAAAAATGAAGAGAAATTTTTAGTAAACATATACTAAATGAAACAGAAAGCCAAAAAAAGTAGATCAGGTGAAAACAAATTTTACCTACAGAAAATATTTTGTGTTATAATAAAAGGAATATTTATTGACTTAAGTGTAAAGAAACCATTTGTTTCACATGGTGCACAAAACATCCCCTATAAGTACACTACACAAAATATTTCCAAAATCTTCTCTAACTGCTATACACTACTATGTTAACCATATTTGCAATCAATCAACTATTTGGATTAAATGATAAATTTTAATGCTAAATTTCATCTTTTAAAATAAGATTTACATTTCATTAATACAATAAAGACTTACTGATGACCCACTATATGCCAGCCACTATGCTAGGCACTAAAGCTGTGTGTGTCAAATCTGACTTTAAGTAATGTTGGTGGAACACTAAACTTAATTCTTATGAACTATTTTTCTGCCAAAGATATGGCAGGTGAGGCCATCTACCACAGTTTCATTATAATAAAGTATGAGTTGGCTAGGTGCAGTGACTTATGCCTGTAATCCCAGCACTGTGGGAGGCCAAGGTGGGCAGATCTCTTGAGGTCAAGAGTTCGAGACCAGCCTGGCCAAAATAGGGAAATCCCCCACCTCTACTAAAAATACAAAAATTAGCTGGGCATGGTGGCGCACGCCTGTAATCCCAGCTACTTGTCAGTCTGAGACAGGAGAATCGCTTGAACCTGGGAGGCAGAGGTTGCAGTGAACCGAGATCGCCCCACTGCACTCCAGCCTGGGCGATAGAGTGTAACTTCGTCTCAGATAATAATAGTAATAATTAATAATAATAATAAAATGTGAGTTATTGCAAGCCTTGGGCTGGTTTAAAATTTTTCCTTCAGAGAACACAACATATTAAGCCTATAATATCTCATTTCTCTCTCATCAGACTTGCAAAGAATTAAAATAGTTTTAATACACTTCTTGCAAGAATGCAGGGAAACAAGCACTCATGTACTACTGGCGACTCGGCAAACTGTTAGCACTTCTTTAGTGGCAATCTAACAAAAATTTTCAAAATTTGACATGCATATACTGTTTGACTCAGCAATTTTACCTCTTTCAATTTATCCTCTAAATATCCTTGCACATACGCAAAAGATTTATATCCAGAAAACCAACTAAATATTCATCAATAAAGGAATGGTTTATTCATCAATAAAGGAATGGTTTAATAATCACACACACACACACACACACACACAGAGAGAGAGAGAGAGACAGAGAGAGAGAGAAACAAGCATTTATAATGAAATACTAAGTAACCAGTAAAAAGAATGAGGTAGCTAGCTGTGTACTGACATAAGAAAATCACTGACATGGTTAACTGAAAACAAATGATTTGCAGAGAACTACAATACAGCATGATTGTATAAGTGCATGGGAAATTTCTGGAAGCATATCCAAGATATTATTGGGAGAGTTAAAGGAGTTATCTGAAATGGGAAGGAAACTCTCTTTTTGTCATCTGCCCTTTAATTCTATCTGAACTTTTTCACTATGCCCATGTTTTTGAATAATATAAAAAATAGAAAAAAAGTAAAACTCAATATCTTGACCAATGTTACCTACCATTTGTAATTCATAAAAAGATATGTACCTCTCATTGAGGAGTAATAAAAATAATAGTTCCTTTAGCAATCAAATCTTTGTGCTTCCTTTTGTTTACTTGTCTGTAAAAGTACTTATATATTCTTGAAAATTAGAAGGCTTCACTAGTGTCTCATATTAAACACCAAGTTGACAAACTCAACATATTTTTATGTTTTATAAAACAAACCCTATATAAAGATTTGGAAAATACTGATGGGGGAAAACCTTGAAAAAATACCTTCAAACATTTTCATGAACTTCCATTCTCATGTTCTAAAATTAATAATACACATATAGGAAATTAAAAATGTATTATTGTTACTATCAATTGATACCAATTGAATGAACGTAATGCTGAAATTTTCTAGAAATGCATACATACCATTGTTTGCACATAACTATGCATTGACTATTAGCATAATAGTACCCAAATACTGCATGCATCCTGCATTTACTTAGGAAACCTAAACTAGCTCTTTTAGACAACAGGGAAGGAAAAAACACACCACAAATGTTTCTTCTCATTTACGTTTAGGTCCCAGTAAAATAGTCTCCCATTCTGAAATTTGGTACTCTAAAGATATCCACTGGGATTACTACTGGGTTTTGGTGTAGATTTCCTACTGTCATACTGTCTTATTGTATCAATGACAGTATTTAAATATCTTAATTTCCTCCTCTAAGAAACTGAGCTGTGCTTTCAAAAGCTTTGATGAATATAACTGACCCTAGATCTAGCCCATAGTAATTTTGTTAAAAGTTTACCTTAAGAATGGACTATATTTCAGAGGGTCAGGCAAAATATATCAAGGGAAAATTGCAGAATTACAAGGAAATATCATCTTGTGGAGTTTCATACATACAAATAAAGTTATAAAAGCACACTTTGAGAGGAGAGAATAGCTTGATAGGCTGAACTTCTACGAAGATTTTAGTATCTTTCAGTGATAGAAAAGAAGTTAGAAAGCTTAAAATATCCAGTAAGGAAGACTTATTTGGGTCAATGTCACAACAATATGTGAGCTTGGTTTGGAAGGTTGGAAAAATTTTAATCTAGTAAAAATCATATAGAAACATTTTTCTCATCAAAAAACAAAAAGATGGATAAATCAGTAAATTATTTATGGTGATAAATAGCCTGAGATGTGGGAGTAAACAATCGAATCAATTGTATCTTAACACATTAACGTGTTAAGAAACACATTAATATCATCTAAGACATTCAGTAAAATGTATATGTTTATATAGATGATAAAAGTGTTAATGACATGGTCCCTTAAATCAAGAAGATATGATTTTTATTCAGGAGACAAAATAAATAAAAGTGGAACAAAACATAACACCAGACAGAATATGATCAAATATTAAACTCTATTGTCCAGTCAATACATGTTATAAGAAATTCCAGGAGAATGGCGTGAACCCGGGAGGCGGAGCTTGCAGTGAGCCGAGATCCCGCCACTGCACTCCAGCCTGGGCGACAGAGCGAGACTCCGTCTCAAAAAAAAAAAAAAAAGAAAAAAAAAAAGAAATTCCTAAAGGTGCAAGTTTGAAGGCTGGAGTATTGAGGAGGTGAAACTCAAGTTGATATTATTAAGATAGATATTTTCTTGATAAGAAAGGAAAGGGAGAAGAAGAATGCTCTTCTCCATTTCACATCCCCCGCAACAGACACACACACACACACACACACACACACACACACATACATACACAAATGGTCTTATATTTTGTTTTCATATTCTATAAAGTTTGTATTAATAGCATAGGGATAAATGAGAAACCAGACATATAAAAGATATTAATTTCTGATTCCCAAAGTAGCTTTTAGGACCTCTAAGTTCTTTGGGTAAGAAGAAAAGTGAGAGAAATGGAAGTCGGTGTGCTAACAAAGTTTAGTTGGTTTGTGACATAAGACATAAAATACAACTTTACAACCTAGTTCATCAACACTGCAGGTACTGGACAAATTGTTTACAAATATCCTTGCAGTTCCAATGGAAGAACTGTGGGTGTCTTCAGCACAGGATTCTGTAATTACCTTTAAGACCAAGAGTAACTGTGAGTGGACGAACCAGTTTGGAGAAAATGCCTTCAAAATCTTAAACAACTACAAATTATTATTTCAAATATTTTGAAGACTCACATATATATGCAATTATGTATGCATATATTTATAATACAGTACTGAGTATATGCACAACAATAATTATATGTTCAGCAATAAATCCAAGTTTATCTATAACACACACCTACATATGCATGTTATTTTCATTTTTATATTTCTACACTTCAGAAATTTACCCATGAGCTGAATCAGAAGTGTCAAAGCATAGTAATAAAAGCTACTTACAAGCAGCCTAATTACCATCTCTAGCTATGCCCTGAAACTTAAATCAGACGTAACAAAGACACATTATTTAATCTGATTAACACTAGCATCTATCCCCAGAGCTCTTCTGTTAAAAATCTCTTTCTGTCAGGCCTGTATTTACCATTGTCAATCAGACTACATTGTTTGAATGTCATTTTATTTTTATTTTTTTAAAAATTGTATACCATTTAACATGTTTTATTTCAACATACTAGATCTTTTAATGCTTCTTAGAATTCAAAATGAATTATACAAAAATCTTTGTATTTCATGTCATATTATATAAGGAAATCAAATTTGGAAGAATAATTCATGCTGTTTTAAATTTTTACATTACTTATACATTTTAATAGCTAATCAACTCTTAAGCATACTTTTTTGTTTTATTATTTTATTTTATTTTTTATTTTATTTTATTTTATTTTTCCTTAAGTTGTTGGAGTACAGGTGGTATCTGGTTACATGAGTAAGTTTTTTAGTGGTGATTTGTGAGATTTTGGTGCGCCCATCACCTGAGTAGTATACGCTGCACCATATTTGTTGTCTTTTATCCCTCGCCACTTTCCCACTCTTTCCCCCAAGTCCCCAACGTCCATTGTATCATTCTTATACCTTTGCGTCCTCATAGCTTAGCTCCCATATATCAGTGAAAGCACACGATGTTTGGATTTCCATTCCTGAGTTACTTCACTTAGAATAATAGTCTTCAATCTAATTCAGGTCATTGAAAATGCTATTAATCCATTCCTTTTTATGGCTGAGTTGTATTCCATATATATATATATCACAGTTTCTTTATCCATTCATTGATTGATGGGCATTTGGGTTGGTTCCACGATTTTGCCATTGTGAAGTGTGCTGCTATAAACATGCGTGTGCAAGTATCTTTTTCAAATAATGACTTCTTTTCCTCTGGGTAGATACCCTGTAGTTGGATTGCTGGATCAAATAGTAATTCTGCTTTTAGTTCCTTAAGGAATCTCCACACTATTTTCCATAGCAGCTGTGCTAGTTTACATTCCCACCAGCAGTGTAAAAGTGTAAAAGTGTTCCCTGATCATCGCATCCATGCCAACATCTACTGTTTTTTGATTTTTTGATTATGGCCATTCTTGCAGGAGTAAGGTTGTATTGCATTGTGGTTCTGATTTGCATTTCCCTGATCATTAGTGATGTTGAGCATTTTGTCATATGTTTGTTGGCCATTTGTATATCTTCTTTTGAGAATTGTCTATTCATGTCCTTAGCCCATTTTTTGATGGAATTGTTTTTTTCTTGTTAATTTGTTTGAATTTGTTGTTGATTCTGGATATTATTAGTCCTTGGTCAGATGTATAGATTGTGAAGATTTTCTCTCACTCTGTGGGTTGTCTGTTTATGCTGCTGACTGTTCCTTTTGCCATGCAAAACTCTTTAGTTTAATTAGGTCCCAGCTATGTATCTTCATTTTTATTGCATTCGTTTTGGGGTTTTTTGGTCATGAAATCCTTGCCTAAGCCAATGTCTAGAAGGGTTTTTCCAATGTTATCTTCTAGAATTTTTAGAGTTTCAGGTCTTAGGTTTAAGTCCTTAATCCATCTTGAGTTGATTTTTGTATATGGAGAGAGATGAGGATCCAGTTTCTTTCTCCTACTTGTGGCTAGCTAATTATCCCAGCACCATTTTTTGAGAATGGTGTCCTTTCCCCACTTGATGTTTTCGTTTGCTTTGTCAAAGATCAGTTGGCTATAAGTATTTGGGTTCATTTCTGGGTTCTCTATTCTGTTGCATTCATCTATGTGCCTATGTTTATAGCAGTGCCACACTGTTTTGGTGACTATTGCCTTATAGTACAGTTTGAAATCAGGTAGTGTGATGTCTCCAGATTTGTTCTTTTTGCTTAGTCTTGCTTTAGTTATACAGGTTCTTTTTTGGTTCCATATGATTTTTAGAATTGTTTTTTTCTAATTCTGTGAAGAGTGATGGTGGTATTTTGATGGGGATTGCATTGAATTTGTAGATTGCTTTCAGTAGTATGGTCATTTTCACAATATTGATTCTACCCATCCATGAGCATGGGATGTGTTTCCATTTGTTTGTGTCTTTTATGATTTCTTTCAGCAGTATTTTGTAGTTTTGCTTGTAGAGGTCTTTCAACTCCTTGCTTAGATATATTCCTAAGTTTTTGTTTTGTTTTGTTTTGTTTTGTTTTTTGCAGCAAGTGTAAAACGGGCTGAGTTCTTGATGTGATTCTCTGCTTGGTCGCTGTTGGTGTATAGAAGAGCTACTGATGTGTGTACATTAATCTTGTATTCAGAAACTTTGCTGAATTATTTTATCAGTTCTAGGAGTTTTCTGGGGGAGCCGTTAGGGTTTTCAAGATAAATGATCAGCAAACAGGGACAGTTTGACTTCCTCTTTACTGAGTTGGATGCCCTTCATTTTTTTCTCTTGTCTGATTGCTCTCGCTAGGACCTCCAGTGCTATGTTGAAAAGGAGTGGTGAGAGTGGGCATCCTTGTCTTGTTCCCATTCTCAGAGGGAATGCTTTCAACTTTTCCCCATGCAGTATTATGTTGGCTGTGGGTTTGTCATGGGCTTTAGTTACATTAAGGTATGTCCCTTGTATGCCAAATTTGCTTAGAGTTTTAAACATAACGTGATGCTGGATTTTGTTGAATGCTTTTTCTGCATCTATTGAGATGATCATGTGATTTTTGTTTTTAAGTCTCTTTATATGGTGTATCACATTTATTGACTTGCATATGTTAAACCACCCCTGCATCCCTGGTATGAAACCCACTTGATCATGGTGGATTATCCTTTTGATATGTTGTTGGATTCGGTTAGCTAATATTTTGTTAAGGATTTTAGCATTTATATTCATCAAGCGTATCACTCTGTAGTTTTGTTTTTTGGTTGTGTCCTTTCCTGGTTTTGGTATTAGGATGATGCTGGTTTCATAAAATGAATTAGGGAGGGTTCCTTCTTTCTCTATCTTGTGGAATAGTGTCAAAAGGATTGGTACAAATTCTGTTTTGAACGTCTGGTAGAATTCTGCTGTGAATCCATCTGTCCTGGAATTTTTGTTGGTAATTTTTTAATTACCATTTCAATCTCGCTGCTAGTTATTGGTCTGTTCAGGGTATCTAATTTTTCCTGATTTAAGCTACGAGGATTTTAATTTTCCAGGAATTTATCCATCTCTTCTAGGTTTTCTAGTTTATGTGTGTAAAGGTATACATAGTAGCCTTGAATGATCTTTTGTATTTCAGTGGTGTCAGTTGTAATATTTCCTGTTTCATTTCTCAGTGAGGTTATTTGGATTTTCTCTTTTCTTTTATTGGTTAATCTTGCTAATGGTCTATCAAATTTATTTATCTTTTCAAAGAACCAGCTTTTTGTTTCGTTTATCTTTTGTACTTTTTTGTTTGTTTCAATTTCATTTAGTTCTGATCTGATCTTGGTTATTTCCTTTCTCCTCCTGGGTTTGGGTTTGGTTTCTTCTTGTTTCTCTGGTTCCTTGAGGTGTGACCTTGGATTGTCTATTTGTGCTTTCTCAGACTTTTTGATGGAGGTGTTTGGGGCTATGAACTTTTCTTCTTAGCACTGCCTTAGCTGTTTCCCAGAGGTTTTGATAGGTTGTGTCATTATTGCCATTCAGCTCAGAAATTTTTTAAATTTTCTTCTTGATTTTGTTTTTGACCCAATGCTCATTCAGGAGCAAGTTATTTAATTTCCATGTATTTGCATGGTTTTGAAGGTTCCTTTTGGAGTTGATTTCCAATTTTATTCCACTGTAGTCTGAGAGAGTGCTTGATATAATTTTAATTTTCATAAATTTATTGAGTCACCTTTTATGGCCTATCATATGGTCTATCTTGGAGAAAGTTCCATGCACTGTTGAATTATCTCAATAGATACGGAGAAGGCTTTTGATAAAATTCAACAGTCCTTTATGTTAAAAACTCTCAACAAACTAGGTATTGACGGAACATACCTCAAAATAATAAGAGCCATGTGTGACAAACCCACAGTCAACATCATACTGAATGAGCAGAAGCTGGAAACATCCCCATTGAAAACTGGCATGAGTCAAGGGTGCGCTCTCTCACCAATCTTATTCAGTGTAGTATTGGATGTGCTGGCCAGAGTGATCAGGCAAGAGAAAGAAATAAAGGCATTAAAATAGTAAAAGAAGAAGGAATCTATCCTGTTTGCGATGACATAATCCTATATCTAGAAAACCCTGTAGTCTCAGCCTAAAAGATTCTTAAGCTGATAAACAACTTCAGCAGTCTTGGGATAAAATATCACTGTGCAAAAATCACTATCATTCTTATACAACAACAACAGTCAAGCTGAGAGCCAAAGCAAGAATGCAACCCCATTCACAACTGCGACAAAAAGAGAAAAGTACCAAGAAATATAGCTAACCAGAAAGGTCAAATATCTCTACAAGCAGAACTACAAACCACTGTTCAAAGAAATCAGAGATGACAAAAACAAATGGAAAAACAGTTCATGCTCATGGAGAGGAAGAATCAATATAGAGAAAATGGCCATACTGCCCAAATCAATTTATAGATTCAATGTTTTTACTATTAAGCTATCATTGACATTCTTCAAATAACTAGAAAAAAACTATTTTAAAATTCATATGGAACAAAAAATCCAAATAACCAAGGCAATTCTAAGCAAAAAGAAAAGAGCTGGAGGCATCATGGTACCCAACTTTAAACTATACTACAAGGCTACAGTAACCAAAACAGCATAGTACTGGTATAATATCAGACTCATAGAACAATGGATCAGAATACAGAACCCAGATATAAGAGGGCGCACCTACAGCTATCTGATCTTTGACAAACCTGACAGAAACAAGCAATGGGGAAATGATTCCCTATTCAATATGTGGTTTTGAAATAACTGGCTAGCCATATGCAGAAGATTGAAAGCATGCCCCTTCCTTACACCATATACAAAAATTAACTCAAGATGAATTAAAAACTTAAATGTAAAACCCTGAACTATAAAAACCCTGGAAGACAACCGTGGCAATATCATTCAGGACAGAGGCATGGGCAAAGATTTCATGACAAAGACACCAAAAGCAATTGCAACACAAGCAAAAATTGACAAATGTGATCTAATCAAGCTAAAGAGCTTTTGCACACAAAAAGAAAATACAAACAAACAACCTACAGAATGGGAGAAAGTGTTCACAAACTGTGCATCCAACCTAGGTCTAGTATTAAGCATCTATAAGGAACTTAAACAAATTTACAATAAAAAGCAAACAAACCCACTAAAAATTAGGCAAAGGACATGAAAAAATACTCCTCAAAAGAAGACATCCATGTGGCCAACAAACATGAAGAAAAGCTCCACATCACTGATGATTAGAGAAATGCAAATCAAAACCAAAATGAGATACTCTCTCACACCAGTCAGCATGGCTATTACTAAAATGTCAAAAAACAACAGATGCTGGTGAGGTTTTGGAGAAAAATGAACACTTTTACACTGTTGTTGGGTGTGCTGAATTAGTCCAACCTTTGTGGAAGACAGCATGGTGATTCCTCAAATATCTATTAAGACAGAAATACCATTTGACCCAGCAATCCCATTACTGAGTATATACCCAAAGGAATATAAATCTCTCAATTTTAAAGACACATGCGTGTGTATGTTCATTGCGGCATTATTCACAATAGCAAAGACATAACATTTACCTAAATGTCCATCAATAATAGATTGGATAAGAAAATGTGCTACATTTATACCACGGAGTACTATGCAGCCACAAAATAAAAGGATCATGTTCTTTGCAGGAACATGTACAGAGCTGAATGCCATTACTGTTAGCAAACTAATGCAAAAAAAACAGAAAAACAAATAACACATGTTCTCACTTATAAGTGGGACCTAAATGATGAGAACACAGAACAACCCACACTGGGGACAATCAGAGTATGGAGGATGGAAGGAGGAAGAGGATCAGGAGAAATCACTAACAATTAGTAGGCTTAATACCTTGGTAACAAAGTAATCTGTATAACAATCTCCCATGACACAAGTTTACCTATATAACAAACATCCACACGTACCCCTGAACTTAAAATAAAAGTTAAAAAAATTCTGTGAAAAAAGAGAAACAGCAAAAAGTTAAAAGCAGGGAAATGAAGTTAAGGCACAGAATTTTTATTAGTTTTCTTGTTGCTTCTTTTATTATGCAAATAGTGTGAAGTTGTTAGGTAAAATAATGAGTTATAAGATGGCATTTTCAAGCTTCATGGCAACCTCAAACCAAAAAACATACAATGGATACAGAAAAAATAAAAAGCAAACAACCAAATCGTATCACCAGAGAAAATCACCTTCACTAAGGAAGACAGGAAATACAGACAGAAGGAAGAAAAGACCACAAAACAACCGGAAAACAAATTTTAAAATGGCAAGAATAAGTCCTTACTTATCAAAAATACCATTAAGTGTAAATTGACTAAACCCTCCAATTAAAAGAAATGGAGTGGCTGAACAGTTTTTTTAAAAGCACGACCCATTGATCTATTGCCTACAAGAAACACACCTCACATATAAAAACACACATAGACTGAAAATAAAGGGATGTAAAAAGATATTCCATGACAATGGAAACCAAAAAAGAGAATGAGTAGATATACTTATATCAGTCCAAGTATATTTCAAGATAAACACTATAAGAAGAGACAAAGAAAGTCACTATATAATGATAAAGGGGTCAATTCAGCAAGTGGATATTACAAGTGTAAATATCCACACCCAACACTGGAGCACCAAGATATGTGAAGCAAATATTATTAGAAATAGATAGACAGGCCCCAGTACAATAATAGCTGGAAACTTCAACACCCCACTTTCAGCATTGGGCAGATCTTCCAGACAGAAAATCAACAACCACAAAAAAAAATCAGACTTAATCTGCACTATAAAACAAATGGATCCAATATGTTTTTGCAGAACATTTTATCTAAGTGCCAGAGAATACACATTTTTTTTCCCTTGGCACGTGGATCATTCTCAGGGATAGACCATATGTTATGTCACAAAACAAGTCTCAAAACAGTCAAAAAATTGAAATAATATCAAGCAACTTCTCTGAACACAATGGAATTAAACAAGAAATGAATAACAAAAGGAACTTTGGAAACTATAAAAATACATGGAAATTAAATAGTATGCTCCTGAATGATCAGTGGGTCAATGAAAAAATTAAGAAGGAAATTGAAAAACTTATTGAAACAAATGGTTTTATGGCCTGTCATATGGTCTATCTTGGAGAAAGTTCCATTCACTGTTGAATAGAATATGTATTCTGCAGTTCTTGGATGAAACGTTCTGTATGTATCTGTTAAGTCCATTTGTTCCACGGTATAGTTTAAATCCATTGTTTCTTTGTTGTCTTTCTGTCTTGACAATCTGTCTAGTGCTGTCAGTGAAGTATTGAAGTCCCCCACTGTTACTGTGTTGCTGTCTATTTTATTTCTTAGGTCTATTAATTGTTGTATAAATTTGGGAGCTCCAGTGTTAGGTGCGTATTTGGTCAGGATTGTAGTATTTTCCCATTGGACAAGGCCTTTTACCATTATATAATGTCTCTTTTTGTCTCTTTTAACTGCTGTCGCTTTAAAATTTGTTTTGTCTGATATTGGAATAGCTACCCCTTCCCGCTTTTTGTGTCCATTTGCCTGAAATGCCTTTTCCCACCCCTTTAAGTTTATGTGAGTCCCTATGTGTTAGGTGAGTCTCCTGAAGGCAGCAGATAGTTGGTTAGTTCTTATCCATTCTGCTATTCTGTACCTTTTAAGTGGAGCATTTAGGCCATTTACAAGCAATGTTAGTGTTGAAATATGAGGTACCATTGCATTCATCATGCTTTTTGTTTTCTGTGTATTTTTGTTTTTTGTTTTTGCTTTTTAACTTGTATTTTTCTTTTATAGGTCCTGTGAGATTTATGCTTTAAATAAGTTCTGCTTTGAAGTGTTTCCAGGATTTGTTTCAAGATTTAGAGTTCCTTTTAGCAGTTCTTGTAGTGGTGGCTTGATAATGGCAAATTCTCTCAGCATTTGTTGGTCTGAAAATGACTGTATCTTTCCTTCATATATGATGCTTAGTTTTGCCGAATACAAAATTCTTGGCTAATAATTGTTTTGTTTGAGGAGGCTGAAGACAGTGCCACAATCCTTTCTAGCTTGTAGGGTTTCTGCTGAGAAGTCTGCTGTTAATCTGATAAGTTTTCCTTTATAGGTTACCTGGTGCTTCTGTCTCAAAATGCTTAAGGTTCTTTCCTTTGTCTTAACTTTGTATAGCCTGATGACAATGTGCCTAGGTGAAGATCTTTTTGTGATGAATTTCTCAGGTGTTCTTTATGCTTCTTGTATTTGCATGACTAGATCTCTAGCAAGGCCAAGGAAGTTTTCCTTGATTATTCCAACTATGTTTTCCAAGCTTTTAGAATTGTCTTCTTCCTCAGGTACACCGATTATTCTTAGATTTGGTGGTTTAACATAATCTCTGGCCTCTTGGAGGCTTTGTTCATATTTTCTTATTATTTTTTCTTTGTCTTTGTTGGATTGGGTTAATTCAAAGACCTTGTCTTCGAACTCTGAATTTCTTTCTTCTACTTGTTCAATTCTATTGCTGAGACTTTCCAGAGAATTTCACATTTCTAAAAGTGTGTCCAAAGTTTCCTGAATTTTTTATTGTTTTTTCTTTAAGCTATCTATTTCCTTGCATATTTCTCCCTTCTCTTCTTGTATCATTTTTTGGATTTCCTTGCATTGGGCTTCACTTTTCTCTGGCCCCTCCCTGATTAGCTTAGTAACTAATCTCCTGAATTCTTTTTCAGGTAAATCAGGGATTTCTTCTTGGTTTGGATCCATTGCTAGTGAACTAGTGTGATTTTTGGGGGGTGTTGATGAGCCTTGTTTTGTCATATTACCAGGGTTGGTTTCCTGGTTCCTTCTCATTTGCGTAGGTTCTGTCAGAGCGAAGATTGAGGGCTGAAGCTGTTGTTCTTATTTTTTTGTCCCACAGGGTGTTCCCTTGATGTAGTACTTTCCCCCTTTTCCTGTGGATATGGCTTCCTGTGAGCCAAAGTGCAATGATTGTTGTCTCTCTTCTGGGTCTAACCTCCCAGTGAGTCTACCCGGCTCCAGGCTGGTACTGGGGGTTGTCTGCACAGACTCCTGTGATGTGAATCATCTATGGGTCTCTCAGCCATGGATACCAGTGCCTGTTCTGGTGGAGGTGGTGGAGGGTACAATGGACTCCGTGGGGGTTCTTAGCTTTGGTGATTTAATGCTCTATTTTTGTGCTGGTTGGCCTCCTGCCAGGAGGCGTTGCTTTCCAGAAAGAATCAGCTGTAGTAGTGTGGAGAGGGACTGGTGGTGAGCAGGGCCCTAGAACTCCCAAGACTAGATGCCCTTTGTCTTTCGTTACCAAAGTAGGTAGGGAAGGACAATCAGATGGGGACAGGGCTAGGTGTGTCTGAGCTCAGGCTCTCCTTGGGTGGGTCTTGCTGCGGCAGCTGTGGGGAATGGGGGTGAGATTCCCAGGTCATTGGAGTTGTGTACCTAGGAGGATTATGGCTGCTTCTGCTGAGTCATGTAGGCTGTCAGGGAAGTGGGGGAAAGCCAGTGGTCACAGGCCTCACCCAGCTCCCATACAAACTGAAGGGCTGGTCTCATTCCCACCATGCCCCCCACAACAGCCCTGAGTCTGTTTCTAGGTGGAGGGTGAGTCGGGCTTGAAAACTTGCCGGAGGCTTCCTGCCTCCCAGCTGCAAAAGAAAAGGGCTTTAGTTCTTCCCCGATCTGTGAAGTCTGCAATTCGGAGTCATACCCTCCCCTGAGTTCTGGCCAGGAGGCTTCTCGCCCCATTCAAGTTGTTACAAAGTTCAGCTAGAGAAGTCCTTCTCCCTGTGGAGTTTTACCGCCTGCTCCTCTGGCCACCATCCTGATAGATCTCTGTGATGCCAAGCAATAATAGGCTGCTTGGGGATCCAGCAAGCTCCCAGGGTCCTTCTGCTGCTTCCTCTACCCCTGTATTCACTCTGCTTGGCTGTCTAACTCAACTCAGCTCCAGATAAAGTTGGGAACTTCTCTCACAAACAGACCTTCAGGTTCTCCAGTGGGGGTGTGTGTTCAGGAGAGGGGTTTCTCCCTTTCCCACTTCCAGAGTTGGAGCACTCACAGTATTTGGGGTGTCTCCCGGGTCCTGCAGGAACAGTCCACTTCCTTCAGAGGGTCTGTGGGTCCTCTCAGGATTGCTGACTTGTTCCTGCGGTCAATCTTGAGCTAAAATTCACAATGCAAGCTTCCGCATGATGCTCTGTCTGGAGCTGCAATTCTGTCCTGCCTCCCATCTGCCATGATGCCTGGTCTCCTCTGAATGTCATTTTAATTCTCTTTATATAAAATATCACAAACCAGACCTAAAATTTCTCTCAAGACCTTTTCTCCATTCTAATATTTTCTTTATGGTTGGTGGCACTACAATTATTACAGTTTTATCCGTTTCATAAACTTGCAGTTATTTTGTATTTCTCCCTATTCTTAACTCCTTATATCTCTTTAGTAACAAGTCTTTTATGTTACTAACCTTTAGATTCACTGGAATTTCACATCACTTTTGTTGGTTCTTTTCTTTCCTCTCAGATATTTTCTTTTCACTCAATTTTCTAGACTTGTCTCTTTCTGCCAATCTATGGAATGCAAAGGTAAACAAGACTTTCAAAATGTCCTCAAAAGACTAACAGGAAAAAACATGTGTGTATGAGTAAGTGTATGTGTGTGCCTGGAGATCTACTGAGTTTACTATCCTGCGTTAATTAACTAGAAAATCTGAACAAAAATATATGAACAATTGTCTTTCAACTTGAACAAGAAGCATAGGAGAGTTGACCTCTCAGAGTAGTGAAATCCATGAGGTGAGCCTTATGATTATTTGAAGGCTATTTCCAGGCTGCAGCACACGGACTGTAATATGGTTTGGCTATGTCCCCACCCAAATCTCATTAAATTCCCACATGTTGTGCAAGGAACCCAGTGGGAGGTAACTGAATTATGGAGGCAGATCTTTCCCATGCTGTTCGCATGATAGTGAATAAGTGTCATGAGATCTGATGGTTTTATAAGGGGCAGTTTCCCTGCGCAAGCGTTCTCTTTGCCTGCTGCCATCCATGTAAGACATGACTTGCTCCTCCTTGCCTTCCGCCATA
This sequence comes from Homo sapiens, assembly GCF_000001405.40. Taxonomy (NCBI): domain Eukaryota; kingdom Metazoa; phylum Chordata; class Mammalia; order Primates; family Hominidae; genus Homo; species Homo sapiens. Next base: position 99,838,225 of record NC_000023.11, read on the forward strand.
ATTGTGAGGCCTCCCCAACCATGTAGAACTGTAAGTCCTTTAAACCTCTTTTTCTTTGTAATTTACCCAATCTCAGGTATGTCTTTATCAGCAGTGTGTAAATGGCCTAATACAGAGTGATAACCTTTACATAGCAAGGCAATCTTACTGGGTTGATTAGAAGGATATTAGAGTTGGGAGAAGTCAAGATAGCTAGAATTTTAGGAATAGAGTACTAGAGAAAAGGAAACTGCAGAGAGAGAGAGAGAGAGAGAGAGCACTTTGAAGACCTCCAGATGGGTCTCTGAAAGTCTGCCTTATTACTGCTTTGTGCATGCATAAGAAAAAAACTACTTCAGGCCAGAGAAAGAATTATTGTAAAGCATTAGACTGAACCATTCTCAGAGCTCACACAGAAGCTGAGGATAATATATGTTTCAAATATTCAGAATTAGAAGACCTTGCAATCATGCAGCATCAAGTAGAGTCCTTGGAAGGGCAAAGTCTTAGTATGGGGGCTAAATGAGCTCTGGAATGAAAGATGGAAATAATCTGCTTTAACAAAGATAAGAAGCACACCTCAAAATGATTCAACTAAACTCAAGGACTTTGCATACCAGAGCAAAGTTCACCATTATTTAAAGAAATATAACAAAATCCAGCACCTAGCAATGTAAAGTTCACAATATCTGTCACCCAATTAAAAGTTAAAAAGCAGGAAAAAAAAAAAACCGAAAAGTCTGACCTATAACAAGGAAAAAATCAATCGATATAAACAAAGAAATTATGGTGATTATAGTACTATTCAGTAAGAATATTAAAACAGCTAATACAAAAATGATCCAAGTATTCAAGAAGACAGAGAAAAATGTGAATATGAGGATAAATATTAAAGTTTTTTAAAGATATGAATTGAATAGATAAATATAATATTTGAAATGAAAAGAACACTGGATAGAATTAAAAGCAGATGAAACACAGTAGAATAAAAATTAAGTGAACTTGAAAACATAGCAATAGAAATGGTCTGAAACAAAGCACAAAGACAAAATGACTGGGAAGAAATGAACAAAGCATTACTGACCTATGGAACAATATCAAGTAGCCTAAAATACATATTAGAGTCCCAAACAGAGGAAAGAGAATGAAGGCCAAAGAAATACTTGAAGAAAAATGGACAGTATTTTCCCAAATTGGATGAAAAATATAAATCTAAAGAGATCAATGGCTCAATTAAACACAAACATAAAAACCATGAATAAAAGCACATCATGACACAGAACTTTCAACCAATAATACTATACACAGCTAGTGGTTCTTCAGAAATGAAGAAGAAATACAGATGTTCACATAAAAACAAAAACCCCTAGAACTGCCTTACAAAAAAATGCTAAAGGGAGTTATTTGAATTGAAATGAAAGGACACTAAGTAAAAACATAAAAACATGAAAGCATAAGACTCACTGATAAAGGTAAATATATAATCAAATTTAGTATATTTCAATATCATAATGGTGATGCAAAATCACTACTACAAAAGCTAAAAAACAAAATTATTAAAAAGTATAGTAAAACAATTTGTGAATGGATACATCCTATGGTTTGAATGATGGTGTCCTTCCCAAAATTTTTGTTGAAACTTTATCCCCAATGCAACAGTATTAAGAGATATGCCCTTTGGTGGGTGCTAGAGTCATGAGGGCTTTTCCCCTCACGAATGGGATTAATATTGTTGTAAAAGGGATCAAGATTGAAAAGAGAGCTCTCTTATTCTTCCACCTTCCTCCATGTGAGGATACCTTGACAATGTGCCATCTTAGAAGCAGAGAGTAGCCCTCACCAGACACCAATACTAGTGCCTTAATCTTGGATTTCCCAGCCTCCAGAACTGTAAGAAATAAATTTCTGTTGTTTATACATTACTCAGTCTGTGCTATTTTGTAACAGCAGCAGAAAAAGACAAAGACAAGGCATAATATGAAAAGATGTAAAGTGTGATATTAATAGTGTACTACGCAGAGAAGAGGGAAAAGTAAAAATGTACAGGATTTAAGTTAAGTTGTTGTCGGCTTAAAATAGAGTGTAACAACTATGAAATGTTGTATGTAAACCTCATGATAACCACAAAGGAAATACCTCTAGTAAATACACAAAAGACAGAGAAAAAAATCAAAGTATACCAATATAAAAATTATCAAACCACAAAGGAAGAAAAAAAACAAGAAAGGAATAAACTACCAAATAGTCAGAAAATAATTAACAAAATGACAACAGTAAGTCCTTACTTATTAATAATTACTTCAAATGTAAGTTGATTTAAAAAACAAGACCCAACAGCATGCTGTCTACAAAAGACTCACTGTAGCTTTAAGAATACACATAGTCTAAGGGATATTAGACCAATATCCCTGATGAACATCGATGCAAAAATCCTCAGTGAAATACTGGCAAACCGAATCCAGCAGCACATCAAAAAGCTTATCCACTACAATCAAGTGGGCTTCATCCCTTGGATGCAAGGCTGGTTCAACATATGCAAATCAATAAATGTAATCCATCATATAAACAGAACCAAAGACAAAAACCACATGATTATCTCAATAGATGCAGAAAAGGCCTTCAACAAAATTCAACAGCCCTTCATGCTAAAAACTCTCAGTAAACTAGGTATTGATGGGATGTTTCTCAAAATAATAAGAGCTATTTATGACAAACCCACAGCCAATATCATACTGAATGGGAAAAAACTGGCAGCATTCCCTTTGAAAACTGCCACAAGACAGGGATGCCCTCTATCACCATTCCTATTCAACATAGTGTTGGAAGTTCTGCCCAGGGCAATCAGGCAAGAAAAAGAAATAAAGGATATTCGATTAGGAAAAGAGGAAGTCAAATTGTCCCTGTTTGCAGATGACATGATTGTATATTCAGAAAACCCCATCCGTCTCAGCCCAAAATCTCCTTAAGCTGAAAAGCAACTTCAGCAAAATCTCAGGATACAAAATCAATGTGCAAAAATCACAAGCATTCCTATATACCAATAACAGACAAACAGAGAGCCAAATCATGAGTGAACTCCCTGCTTCAAAGAGAATAAAATACCTAGGAATCCAACTTACAAGGGATGTGAAGGACCTCTTCAAGAACTACAAACCACTGCTCAATGAAATAAAAGAGGACACTAAAAAATGGAAGAACATTCCATGCTCATGCACAGGAAGAATCAATATTGTGAAAATGGCCATACTGCCCAAGGTAATTTATAGATTCAATGCCATCCCCATCAAGCTACCAATGACTTTCTCCACAGAATTGGAAAAAACTACTTTAAAGTTCATATGGAACCAAAAAAGAGCCGGCATCGCCAAGACAATCCTAAGCCAAAAGAACAAAGCTGGAGGCATCACGCTACCTGATTTCAAACTATACTACAAGGTTACAGTAACCAAAACAGCATGGTACTGGTACCAAAACAGAGATATAGATCAATGGAACGGTACAGAGGTCTCAGAAATAATGCCGCATATCTACAACTATCTGATCTTTGACAAACCCGACAAAAACAAGCAATGGGGAAAGGATTCTCTGTTTAATAAATGGTGCTGGGAAAACTGGCTAGCCATATGTAGAAAGCTGAAACTGGATCCCTTCCTTACAGCTTATACAAAAATTAATTCAAGATGGATTAAAGACTTAAAAGTTAGACCTAAAACCATAAAAATCCTAGAAGAAAAACCTAGGCATTACCATTCAGGACATAGGCATGGGCAAAGACTTCATGACTAAAACACCAAAAGCAATGGCAACAAAAGCCAAAATTGACAAATGGGATCTAATTAAACTAAAGAGCTTCTGCACAGCAAAAGAAACTACCATCAGAGTGTACAGGCAACCTACAGAATGGGAGAAAATTTTTACAATCTACCTATCTGACAAAGGGCTAATATCCAGAATCTACAAAGAAGTTAAACAAATTTACAAGAAAAAATCAAACAACCCCATCAAAAAGTGGGCAAAGGATATGAACAGACACTTCTCAAAAGAAGACATTTATGCAGGCAACAGAAACATGAAAAAATGCTCATCATCACTGGCCATCAGAGAAATGCAAATCAAAACCATAGTGAGATACCATCTCACACCAGTTAGAATGGCGATCATTAAAATGTCAGGAAACAACAGGTGCTGGAGAAGATGTGGAGAAGTAGGAACACTTCTACACTGTTGGTGAGACTGTAAACTAGTTCAACCATTGTGGAAGATGGTGTGGCGATTCCTCAGGTATCTAGAACTAGAAATACCATTTGACCCAGCCATCCCATTACTGGGTATATGCCCAAAGGATTATAAATCATGCTGCTATAAAGATACATGCATATGTATGTTTATTGCGGCACTATTCACAACAGCAAAGACTTGGAACCAACCCACATGTCCATCAATGATAGACTGGATTAAGAAAATGTGGCACATATACACCATGGAATACTATGCAGTCATAAAAAAGGATGAGTTCATGTCCTTTGTAGGGATATGGATAAAGCTGGAAACCATCATTCTGAGCAAACTATCACAAGGACAGAAAACCAAACACTGCATGTTCTCACTCATAGGTAGGAACTGAACACTGAGAATACTTGGACACAGGAAGGGGAACATCACACACCGGGCCTGTCGTGGGGTAGTAGGGGGAGGGATAGCATTAGGAGATATACCTAATGTAAATGACGAGTTAATGGATGCAGCTCACCAACATGGCACATGTATACATATGTAACAAACCCACACGTTGTGCACATGTACCCTTGAACTTAAAGTAAAATTTAAAAAAAGCTAGAAAAAAAAAGAATACACATAGTCTCAAAGTGAAGGGATAAAAAAAGATATTCCATGAAAATGAGACAGAGATAAGAGATGGCTACACTTGTATCTGACAAAACAGACTTTCAGTCAAAATCTATGAAAAAATACCAAAACATCACTATATAATGATAAAGTGGTCAATTCACCAAGAGGATATAACAATTGTAAATATATATCCATTCAACATTGGAGCACCTGAATATGTAAAATGAATATTAAAGGTCACTACAGTACTCCACTTTCAGCAAATGATAGATTATCCACACAGAAAATCAATAAGCAATCAGTGGACATGAATAACACTACAGATGAAATGAACCTAATGAACTTAAAGAACATTCCATCCAACAGGAGCAGAAAACACATTCTTCTCAAGTGCCCATAAAATATTCTGCAGGATCAAATGTTAGGATATAAAAAAGTCTTAACAAATGTAAGAAGATTGAAATTATATCAAGCATCTTTTCTGAATAACAGGAGAAATTTTGAAAAATTCACAAGTATGTGAAACTTATATAACACATCCCCCAAACAACAAATTTTTCAGAGAAGAAATCAGAAAGGGAAATAAAAAATAATCTTGAGACAAATACGAAAATACAATATACTAAACCTTGACAGATGCAGCAAAAGCAGTTCTAAGAGGGACTTTTTAGTGATAAATGCCTACATTAAGAAAAGAATTGTGGTACAACTCTACAACAAAATGCTATTCAGCAGTTAAAAGTGATTTACTACTGACACATGCTACAACATGGATTAACCTCAGTACGACCATGGTGTGCAAAATAAGGCAGACACAAAAGCCTGTATACTGTATAAATTCTCCCAAATCAAATTCTTTAAAAAATACATAGTGACAAAAAGTGGGTCTACAATTTGAAGGCACACAGCTTTGGGGAAGATAGTGACTGCAAAGGAGCACAAGAGAACTTTTGACATGATAGAAATGTGATGTAAAATCATTGTATATGATTGTAAGATTTTATGAAGCTATACACGTACAGTTAATGTTATTGTATGTGGTTGTACATAATACAATAAAGTTGAAATTCTGAAAATTAAAACAAGTCAGGATGGAAAGAATGATACAGTAATATCTAACAGTTTTTTAAATTATCTCATCTATGCTGGATATCATGCCAGGTATTCCAAGTGTATTATTCTATTACATACCCACAATAGCCCTGCAAGAGAGAAGTAATACTATTTTATTTACAGGTAAAAATAAGAATTTATAGAAATTAAATAATTACACTAAGCCATACATTCCATAATCTTTAGACCCAGAATTTGCACCCAGATTTGTTTGCTATCAAAGGTCATGCTATTCATATTTTGCTAGTATATCTCTAAGTATAAATTAAGAATAATAATACAGCATATTGTATTATAAAGTAAAACAAGAAAAGAAAAATATCTAGTCAAACAAAGAAACCAAAAAAAATGTTTAATAAAATGAATGCATAAAATTATCAGAAAGCTCACCTCACATTTAGGCCCTTTTATCTACCACAATTAAGTTCAAAAGCAACTTACTTATTAGCAAGATTTATAAAACAAAATCTACACAAATGCATGAACTTGTCTTTATATGTCTTAGTATTTTGCAAAGTGTAATATAGATTCTTGGTAAACATTGAAGATCAGTAATATTACAATAATAAAAACTAAGGACATATATGAGAAAAAAATTCTGCCAGCAAATGAAGACATTTTCAAGGTAAGTTATGAATAAAACTAGCAAACACTTCAATTTCTTTTTGAATTAAGTACTTAGACAGGAAAACGAATTTTAAATGTAGGTGACTGCGAATAAATGAAATCTCTTACATAAACAACTATTAGCAAAAAGCTAAAGTCCTTGGAATATCTGAACTTGCATAACTGAACTATTCCTGTCTGAATACTCATCGGGTGGTGAGAAAATTGATTAACATAGTTATTCGACCATTTATACTAATTTGATAAGGCTCCAGAAGGGTATAAAATTAAAATGTGGTAGTCTTAAAACAGAATATCACTAAAAATAACGATGGGGGAATTGACAAGTTTCTTTAAGATCCCTCTGCCATTCTAATGTCCTCTCCATTCCAGTTTCATAGATTACGGGAGACAAAAAGAGAATTTGCAGGATCATCAGAAAATACTAACCTTGAATTGGAATAAAGAGAACAACAAAATACAGAAGTAGGGCTGAAAGACCTTAACTGCGGATATCCATAAGAATCCAAGAGACTACTTACAAAGGCATACCACAATGAGGATTTCTCTGGACATGTCCACATATAAAGAGGCACTTCCTCAATATGTGGAATTGAGTCCCAAGAGCAACAAACACCTGATTACTTCTTAAGATTCTTGATTAGCAGATTCCACATTAGCTTCCCATGTGAACTGTATTGGTACAATAACATATGCCAAACCAAGCTCTAATATATTCCCTCTAGGGTCTTTTCAATTTTTTGATTTTTTTTTATTTCTCTCTTTCTCCCTGGGGAAACAAATTAGGTTATGAGTGTGTTTCTGAGCTAGATCTTTACAACAAAGACATGGTTATTAACTTTTAATCAAAACCCCATAATTGCCGGGCGCGGTGGCTCCCAGCACTTTGGGAGGCCGAGGCGGGCGGATCACGAGGTCAGGAGATCGAGACCATCCTGGCTAACACGGTGAAACTCCTACTCTACTAAAAATACAAAAAAAAATTAGCCGGGCGTGGTGGCGGGTGCCTGTAGTCCCAGCTACTCTGGAGGCTGAGGCAGGAGAATGGCGTGAACCCGGGAGGCGGAGCTTGCAGTGAGCTGAGACCGCGCCACTGCACTCCAGCCTGGGCGACAGAGCGACACTCCATCTCAAAAAAAAAAAAAAAAAACCCATAACTGTGAATGGCATCCCAGTAGCTATAAGGATAATTTAAGTTAGTATATTGATGGAATATAACACAGTCGTGCATTGCTTAACAATGAGGATACGTTCTGAGAAGTATGTCGTTAAATGATTTCATTATTGTGCAAATATCATAGAGTGTACATACACAAAACTAGATGGTACAACCTACTACACACCTAGGATATATGGTATAGCCTATTGCTCCTCGGTGACAAACCTGTACAGCATGTGACTGTACTGAATAACAGAGGCAAATATAACACAGTAGTATTTGTGTGTCCAAACATATCTAAATACAGAAAAGGTACAGTAAAGATATGGTATAAAAGATAAAAACTGGTACACCTGTATAAAGCACTTACCAGGATAGGAGCTTGCAGAACTGGAAGTTGCTCTGGGTAAGTCAGTGAGTGAGTGGTGAGTGAATGTGAAGGGCTATGACATCACCGTACAGTACTGTAGAATTTATAAACACTGTACACTTAGGCTACTAAATTTATTTCAAAATTAAGTAATTGTGCTACAGTGTTATGATAGCTACAACATAACTAGGCAGTAGGGCAGTAGAAATTCCCCAGCTCCATTATAATCTTAGGGGACTACTGTCCTATAGGTGGCCCACTGACATTCAGGACTGTATTTATAATCAAGATTTTTTTAAAAAGTTAACTACATTCAAGGAACACATATTCCCTCTCAACCAAAATCCAACAGAAGTCCCTCTTTAAAAATCTGAATCTATTGTATTTAAGGGGAAAAGTAAGTTCTGCTGCTTGAAGACAAAAGACAGTAATTGGAACCATAATTATAAAGCCCAGCCAGCTTTGCACCACAATTAGACCCCTGAATCCCAAGAGATCTAGCTGAAGCACTCCAAATGCTTATCAAGATACAAATATGTTTGATGGATTTATGTCCTAGTAAATTCTAAATCTAACTAGATTTACCTAGGAATTAGATCTAAAAATAATAAAAAAATAACATTCCTTAGAGCATTAAGACAGTGTTTCTTTCCTCATGAGTTTTGATAGTTTGGTCAAGTTGGATTCACACTATGATATACCAGGTTTACACCTCAGGAAAGGAGCAGTTGGTTATTTTCCACAGAGCAGTCACATTAGGCCTCCTGGGAAAATGAAATATTTTACTAATCTTTATAACATAGTACAAGCTGTATTTTAATTTTAAACTATTCCTTGATGACATTTGGGTAAAAAGACAAAAATAAGATAAAGAGCTTCATAAACTCTAAGATACTATATAGGTGAAAATTGTAGTCACTGTTATTGTTTTTGACACGTTTACTGGTCAAAGACCATATCTATGCAATCTTTTTCCCTACCTCACTCCTGAGAACAAAACAGGTTCCATGTAGAATTTTAATACTTACACACTGCAGTATGTTTTTATTGGATTGGCTGTGTTTAACTATGTTAACTGCTCTATACCCTGAGGCACAAGCACCTAATTTATTTTAAAAATTACTTAAGCATAAGTAATAGGTATGTAGTCACAATAATAAAAATCAAATAAGTAAATTTAATAAATTGACATATGCTTTAAATTAAAATATATGGGCATGTTACTTATTAAAAAAGTAACACAAATGATAAATCCTTGAGGCGATGGATACCCCATTTACCCTGATGTGATTATTACACATTGCCTGCCTATATCAAAATATCTCATACACTCCATAAATATGTACACCTACTATGTACCCATAAAATTTAAAAATTAAAAAAGGAAAGGATTTTATATTTCATGTGATTAATATTTAGATTCTATTCTTGAGTCCTGCATAGTGTGACTAAGTTCATCTGTTAATGGCCAACTGTTCTATTACAGAAGATATCCCTGTTAGTGACTAATTATTGCACTGACCATGTGTAGTAATTGGTTTAGCATTTCAAACGCTTGGAAAAAAAAGCTTGTTTTTTGTTATAGCACTCTCACAGGACGTAGCATTTCCCTCGTTCAGTCTAACTTTCAGGTTATTTCAAATTACAGCTTTATAGAAGTATATACTATGTCTGGCGTCAGAGACGGTCAGCCAATCATTTTGCAGTAATAGTTTCTTGGCATGTTTTTTGGTCACAAAGGATATTTGTTTCATGTGACTTTAAATGAAATAAAACAATTTCAAGGTCTAGAGTGCAGGTTTCTTTCTATAATACAGCATGAGACACTGGTCTGATTCATGCTAAAGGAAGTTGGTAGCTGTACCTACCAGGGACCATAAGAAATATGTGCTGTAGGACAAACTTACCTATATATTAGTGCCATGTAGTACTGTACATCTATATCACCATCACCCAGAAAGAACAACTGGAAACTCTGAGGGTGGAAAAGGAAAAAGGGACAGAGAATTGTGTCTTAATATAGAACAATAACACAGAAAGTAGTAAGATTATATAGATAGTTGTTTTGGTCACCTTAGGTCACTTACAACGACCTCATATACATGTCTGTAGCTATGTCAGAAGAAAAATAAGAATTGCACTACAGCCACGAAGAACAAAAAACATAATTTTCCCTATTCACAATGCTTTTGAGTAGTGCTGTATCCCCAGGCTTCCCTGTTTTATTTATTTATTTATTTATTTATTTATTTTTGCAAGGCTGAATAAGTTTTTCCTAACAGCAGCAGGTTTTTTCATGAACCACTAGATGCTAAACTGTGGGCAGCTTCTTATAACTACCCAGGTCATACAGGGCTAGCTGTGTGCTGGGTCAACAAGCAAGGTTATGTTCAGCTCAGTGAGTAGCTAGATGGTAGTGTCATAAATCAGGAGTTCTGGGGCTTTCTGCTAGAGTCAATATGACCTCTTGCAACTGAGGTCTATTCCCATTCAGATACAGACTAAACTCTGATAAGTCACAGATCCCCAAAATATCATGAGAACTTTACAAACAGTCTCTCATTTCTAACCTCATTTTCTGGTAGAGTTTTCTTTGAACTCTTTTCTCATTACTAAAGTAAGGACTTTTAAACTGGAAAATAGTCAATACTTTGGATCCTGGGGTGTACTTGGGAGGCTGAGAAAATTCATAATATGTATTTTAAAATTTTTCTGAACCTTTTCTACCCCAAGATCCTTTACTTAAAAGAAGGTAATCCCTCCAAAAATAAGCTACCTACTCATAGTATCCTTTCAGCTTATTCAAATGGTGTAATTTTGAAATATTCAACAAATAAATGATGGCTACTATTTTTGAGTATACTATCACAGTTGGCTAGGACTGTGTCATCAACAAATCCCAGCCTCATCTCTTCTTCTAATTTTCCAAGTAGTACTTTTCTTTGGAAATTAAGATCAGAGTTAAAAGAGGTCTAGAAAGCAACACAGTTCACCCAACATTTGTATATGAGAGCACCTTAAAGACATTTTTTGGTGTTTGGAAACTCTAACACTTAGAAAACATTAGTAAGGGAGTGGTGGCATAAATTCATTACAAGCACACTTTACTATGTTTCTACTGGATATAGTTTTTGAAAAATATAAATATAGTTTTTTTATAAATACAAAACTCACTCTTCACACAGATTAGCAAGTACTATAGCTTTGATTCAGCAAGTTTTATATTTCAGTAGAGAGAAGCCATCACAGGTAAAGTTTCGTCTGCCTCACAACACTAAGAAATCTTGCAAGATGACACAAAAGTAAAATAGAAACTCTATCTTAATGCTTTTTGGCTTGAACGTGTATGCATCTTTCTCTATAAAGAATGTCATCTTACTTATGTGTTGCTCCAAATGTGTCTTTGTAATTTCCTTACACACATGACAGAACTTATCACCATCTGTTGAACCTAGAGGACACATCAAAAACTGAAGAATATGTGAATACACTTATAAAAGTACATCAAAATATACATGTATATGGATATTCATTGCAGTATTATTCATAATGGTAAGCCATCTAAATATTTATCAACAGTGGAATCATTAAATAAATTATGATATTTATACTTTGTTATGCTTTGGATCTATGTCTCACCAAATCTCATGTTGAATTGTAGTCCCCAGTATTAGAGGTGGGGCCTGGTGGGAGGTGGCTAGATCATGAGGGTGAACTTCTCATGAATGGTTTAGGACTACCCTCTTGGTGCTGTTCTTGTGAGATCAGTTTGTAAAGTAAAATGATAAACAGCTATTAAATATATACATATATACAAATATATGTATATACTGATATAGAACAATTCTCAAGATAATTTTGATACCTTGTGCAGTGTGAAAATCAGTCTGCAAAATGCTATATTTAGTTTTGCAAAAAGTTAAAAAATATTATATACACAAAATTTTCTCACCATATGTTTGTATTGCTTTAAAAAATAATTCTATCTGAATAGACTTTTCTCAAAAGAAAACATACAATTGGTCAACAAATATATGAAAAAAATGCTCAACATCACTAGTCATCAGGGAAAATGCAAATCAAAACCACAATGAGATATTATCTCATCCCAGTTAGAATGTCTATATCCAAAAAGATTAAAAAATAACAAATGCTGGGAAGGATGTAGAGGAGGAAACTCATATACTGTTGGTGGGAATGCGAATTAGCACAGGCAACATAGAAAAGAGTAGAAAGAGTACTCAAAAAATTAAAAATAGAACTACCATATGATCCAGCAATCCCATTACTGGATATTTATCCAAAGGCAAAGAAAACAATGTATCAAAGAGATACCTATACCCCCATGTTTATTGCAGCATTATTCCCAATAACCAGAATATGGAATCAACCTAAGTGTCTAACAATGGGTGAATGGATAAAGAAAATTTGGTATATGTACATAATAGAATACTACTCAGCCATAAATAGAATGAAATCCTGTCATTCTTAGCAACCTGTATGAGCCCAGAGGACATTATGTTAAGTGAAATAAGTAAGGCACAGAAAGATAAATAGCACATGTTTTCACTCATATGTAGAAGCTAAAAAAGTTGATCTCATAGAGTAGAATTACGGTTGCTAGAGGCTTGGAAAGAGAGAAGGAGGGAGAAAAGGCAGAGATTGGTTAATGGATACAAAATAAGAAATAAATTCTAGCTTTGGATAACACTGTAGGGTGGCGAGGTAAACTATAATTTACTGTATTTTTTCAAAACCCTAGAAGAGAGGATTTTGAATGATACATGCTTTAAAAGTGATAAAGGTTTGAGGTAATTGTTATTCTAATTACCCTGATTTGATCATTACACATTGTATACGTGTATCAAAATATCACACTGTACCCCATAAATGTGTACAGTTATGAATTACTTATTAATCATGTGTCAATTAAAAATAAATAAATGACACTATATTAAGATGAGCTATATGGATAATTAAATTATAAAATGTTTTTCTTTGCGATTTTATACGTTAAAAATAACATTAATAACCGATATTTTAAAATACATTAACAGTCACTGAGGAGTCCCACTAGGCCAGAAATCCAGTGTACCAGATTATAGGGATTTCCTTTTAGGAAACTTGAATGTATCTGCAAGTCATAAACAGTTGAATACATTTCCTGGATTTTCTGAACAAGTCCCAGAAAGACTCCTTCAGCAGTCTCTAAAGGCTAGCTGTTAGTGGGTAGAAAAGATGGTGCAGATCTCATCCTGACTCAGCACATGCTAAGAGCTAAACTGTCTGTCAAAAGGAATTCTTTATAAAATAAAATTTAAAAGCTGAGACTTAAAGTGTACACTAATGACCTGGTAATTGTCTTAATGACTTTTCAATGAAGTGTGAAATTCTCTGTTAACATGTCAACAGAGTGTGAAATATTTTACAAGCATGGCTTTATTATAAAACTGTGTACTTGCTGTGTAGTCTACTAGTAATCCTTGTTGCTTATCCAGTAAATATTTCTGGTTATATTCTGAGCACTTAGCCAATTAACATTTATATTGGCTGGTAATCTTTTTTCCATTTTTTCATTTGACTGTTTGTACTGTTTGTCTATTTGTTAAATCTGGGGACCAGAGAAGACTCTCCTAGTTTTCTTTGATGACAAATATCTCACTTGGGTGACTCCAAGAGAAAAAAACAGTTTCAGGTACAGAAAAATTAAAATGCTTAACCAAGTTATCCAGTAATGATATTGAGATAATAAATCAGACTTCCTGACCTCCATTCTTGCACACATATCATGACTTCATTCTAGATATCATAGGATAAGGCAAAATTAATAAATAAAACAAAAAATGCATTTTATTTTTATATTATGCAATTAAAACATGAAGAAAATTGAATAAATGATATAAATATTATTTGCTGCCCCATTGTCAGGATTTTGCATGATACTTCTTTAGTAAATGGGATTTTAGCAGAAGTGACAACATGCAAGTTGACAGCAGATCTTTTACATGCAATCATATTGTTTGATTTTCTCTCCCCTGCCCTCCACTATGAGACTAGCATGTCCAAGATAGGAGCTATTTTTCAGCTGGTGTTCTAGAAAGAGAAGACATAAGGAGCATAGATTCAAACACTCATAGACTTGCAAAAGAGAAATATTTTGTGCTGTAAGACACTGAAATTTGGGGGTGTGGTTAACTCCAGAAAAAGCTAAAAGACATACTTGCTTACTATTGTTTTAGATGGTCAAAGTTTATTTAGTTTTATGCCTATGTTTATTATTCCCTTATAACTGTTTCTTTGATACTTGTCCTTCCTTCTGGGATCACTTTCCTTCATAAAGAGAAGCCCGTAGAAGTTCCTTTAGTGAAAAAGTTATTAGTAAACTTCAAAGTTTGTTTGTTGGAATATACCTCTATTCTGCTATAATGTTTTAGAGATTCTTTTGCTTAGGTATAAAATTCTAAGTCAACAGTTACATATTGTCTTGACTCTTGACTCTTTAGATATTATTTCACTGCTTTCTGGCTTACAGTGCTGCTATCGAGAAGTCATCTGACAATCTTATTGTCCTAATTTTTTTTTTTTTTTGCCTCCCTGGCTTCTTTATTGTTTTCCTTAGAATCCTAAAATTTTAGTATCAAATGTCAAATTGTGGATTTGTTTGCATTTATCCTTCTTGGAATCCATTAGCCTTTTGAGACATTGAAACTGAAGATTCACATTTCTTATCAATTCTAAAAAATGGTCAATTATTTTTCCAATATTGCCTTTCCCCAACTTCTCTATTATCTTTATCTGCTTCTCAAATTAGATGTGTATTGAATCTTCTCACTCTAGCATTTATGACCCTTAATCTCTCTTTCATATTTCCATCATTTTTTCTATCTACTGCATTGTCTCATGATTTTCATATCTAATCTGCAGCTTTTTTATTGTTTCTGTGCCTAATTAGTGATTTAACTAGTTCATTGAATTTCTAATTTCATATGTACATATATACATGGGTATATTTCTGGAGTCCTATCTGGTTCTTCAAATCTGCATAGTCATTTTTTTAAAGTCACCTACTCCTTTGTTATACGTTTAATACTTCCTTTTATTTCTTCAAAAATAATAAGCAGATGTATTGTTTATTCTATATATGTTAACTTCAATAGATGCAGTTTTTCTAAATCTGCATGATATGATTTATTTTCATCAAGTTCTTTTTAAATTATTTATTTTTTATATTTATAGATTTACGGGGAACAAGTGCAGTTTTGTTACATGGATACATTGCATAGTGGTGAAGTCTGGGCCTTTAATGTACCCATCACTTGAATAGTGAATATTGTACCCAATAGATAAATTTTCAACCCTTACACCCCTCCCTCGTTCCCATGTTTTGGAGTCTCTAATGCCCCTTATTTTACTCTGTATTTTCATGTATACCCATTGTCTATCTTCCATGTATAAGTGAGAGCATGCACATTTTAACCCAAATTATATTTCCAGAAATCAGAAGCTCCAGAGACAAATCTTGCTCCACTGCTTCCTTTCCTCTCTAAATTTGTATTTTCTCATTTTTTTCTAGCCTTAACTGATTTAGCTTACTTTCTGACCCATTCAACCATGTATTTACAATGAATTTTATCTGCCTTCCATAAATTTTAGATGTTCTACACCAGGAGTCTTCCCTGTGTATCTGATATGCCATAGTTAGAGAATCAAAAGACTTAACAATAACATTCAATATTAAAAATTTCTATATTCCTGGGTTAAACCTCACTTACTCAGGATATGTTTTTAAATATATTAATGTAGCTAGATTACTAATATTTTACTAAAAGGTCTGCATCTGTTTTCATAAACTAGATTGGTCTCATTTTGGCTTTTATCTGTAGGTTATAATAGTTTCATAAATGAGTTGTAAAATGTTCCTTCTTTTTTTTTACATGCTTTAAAACAATGTTCAAAAGATAAGAAATAAATATTCATTAAAACTTTGGTAGGCCTCGAGGGTTTTCTTTGGGGAGTTTCTGATGACTCATGGATTCACTCAGTTCCTATTTATTCTTGATTTGGTTTCAAAATATTAAATATTCTATACATTTGTACATTTTGTGTATATTTTTAAATAAACTGGCAAAAACTTCACATAGTATTATCTTCTTATTTTAAACATCTGTGATTTATTTATACCTATGTTTCTTAATTATTTTTATACTGGTCTTCAGTGACTTCTCTTTTTTTCTTCATCAATATTTCAAAATGTCTACTTTATTACTATTTTCAAATATACACCTTTATTTTGTTCATTCTCTTTTTTATTTGTATTAATCACATTATAAATTCTTGTTCTTTCTTTTATCACTTTAGTCCTTTTTCTTTGAGTTTATTTTCATATTGTTTTTCTAACTTCTTGAATTGCATGATTAATTCTCTGTATTAAAACTTACTTTCTGTTGCATACACTTAACATTATCCACTCCCTTTTGAGTACAATTTTAATTTCCACAAAGTTAGATGTGAAGTATTTTTATTGTTTTAAAATTACATTTTTCTTATTCCATATATGCTATTTCCTTTGACCCATGAATTATTTAGAAGTGTTTTCTTTTCAAATGAATAACAGTAAGTTGGTCATATTTTTATTTTTTTATTTCGAATGTAAGTGCATTATGGTCAGAGAATATATTTGTTGTGCGTTGAGACTTGATTTATAGCCTAATATTTGGTCAATATTTATAAAAGTTCCATGTGTGTTTGAAAATAATGTATATTTCCTAATTGTGGGATATAGGATTATATGTATATTCATTAAATAAAATTCTTTAAAATGTGGTTAAGATTTGGTCGATTCAATGTTTTTAAAATACTTGATCATTCAATTAAGGGAAGAACATTACAATATTTCACGATTGTAATGGATTTGTCAATTTCTCCTTGTAGCTTTGTCATAATTTTAAAAATATATGAAGCTATATGTTTATTTGCATTTATATATTCCAAAGTTATGGTATCAGCTACATACAAATCCAGAACTATTATGTCTTTGAGCAGAATGTGACCATTTGTCATTATGTAATAATCTTTTTTATCTCTAATAATTATTCCATATAGTCTATTTTATTTTATACTAATATAGTTACATCAAATGTATTTTTTAGTGCATGCCTGATACACCTTTCCCATCCATTTGTTTTCAACCTTTCCACATTTTTAAAGTTTAAGTGTATCATTTATAAACAGTATATAACTGGATTTTTTTTTATCTACCTGATGATCTGCCTTATATCTGTATAAATCCATTTATACATATTCATTAATGACATGTTGATTTATTTTTCCAATCTGATTTTGTAATTTTTATTTTTCACGCTATCCTTTTTATTGTTGTTTTCCTCCTTTATGCCTTCTATTGAATTGATCAAGCTTTGTTCAGGCCCTTTTTTCTCCTCTCTTAGTTTACAACCATTTAATAAACTTCTGAATTTTTTGTGATTAACCTTAAATTTTTAACCGTCATATTTTACCTTAAATATTTAAAGCTAATGCACACCTTTAAGTTCCTCCAAAATAATAGATACCTTTTAGAACTATTTGATTCTATTAAGTACCCTTCTATCTTTCATCCATTCTAGTTTTTCTCTCCTTATGGAGCTATTAGGTATGTTATAATTTTCCAATCTGTCTTCCATATCTCTTCAACTTCTTTCATATTTGTCATATTTTCATGTCTCTGTGATGCACTGTAGGTCATTTTCAATTATCCACCTTCTGAGTAAATAGTTTTCTATTTAGGTTTTTTTCATTTTGCTTGTCCATTGAATCTCATTTTTTTAACATTCTATGTAGTATTTTATTTCAAATTTGACTATTATTTTTTCATAATGTTTTCTTCTTTCCATGTGGTTTCTATTTTTTTAATTTTTTTATTAACCTGCACTTAATTTATGTTTTTTCATATTGACCTATTATCTCATGTTCTGTGCTTATCCTCCTAATTTGTTGTGACTGCTGACTTTAACTGAAGATACATTATTGTTTTGTGCATATTGTCATTTTTCATTTCCTTGTTTTGAGCTCATTTTCAGCAGGGATAATTTTTCTATAGAAAATTCATGGGAAATGAGTGTTGCTTCTTCTTCCACACGTCCTTGGGATATGTCTGACCTGAGATTTATCTCCATGTATTTTTTTTTTTAATTTTGGTGACTCTCTAACTTTATGGAAACAGTACCTTCACTCTTTAATAGTGTATGTAGTTCATCTTTATAGTTTCAGTTTCTCAATGTTTAGTACATTTTTCCGCCAAGAGTCTAAGGTAAGGCAAATAATTTTGTCCTCTCTCAGGAGCATTGGGAAAAACTTTTCTAGTTTCCCTGTCACTTAGAGTACAACTCTTCAAAACTCAGTTTTATTCGGGGGTCTTAGGTCCAAGCTCTCACCTCATGGAGGATTAAGGCTTAATTTCTGTCTATGCATGATATAAAAACCCAAGCCCCTAATGTTAGCACTTCTAAGTTTGACTAACAACCCTCTTGTATACTTCCTAAGTCAATGTCTTTCCTCTGCCTTTGAATCTTCTAAGACATAAATACATTTATGTCTAACATTTCCTTTTTTTTTCATATTCAGGGGCAGAATATGACCCAGTTGTATTTCCCCCTGTTGTTTCTCTGTGCCTTTCAGGAAGACTCAACTTAACCTGCTTCTTAAGTTGGTCCATTTTCTTTTCTGACATATGTAGAACTGGTATTTTTTATTGAATTTAAGTGTTCTCTTTCCTTTTGTTTTCTATTTGATTTCTGATACATATATTTGTTTTAATAACATATTCATCTAAATTTCATTTTTCACATAGTGAAAGATATGAAATCAACAAAAGTTGGGCCTGTCAAATGTATCTACTCTTCAGACAAATCATGTCCACCTCCACCTTCTACACTTAAATAATAGTACTCAAGAGATGTTCTCCCATCAGATCAATGTCTAACCCAGGTCTGAACTTGAACGATCATTATCCTGTTTCAATCCCCTTTAACATGTCTCATTTTTGATATGCATTTCTTTTGAGTCCTAATTCATTAAATTTCTCAAACTTCTTCTCTTGGAATACATGTTATAACTAAATTTTTACCTCAAATAAGTGTACTGCCTTGAAACTCCCCTAATAATTCCTTAATACTATTTTTCACAGATCTTTCTACTTTTGTCTCATCAAAAATGTCCAGATTTTCTGTAATCACTTGGTATAGCTGCCCTTAACTGTAAATTGCTTTCCCCATTACTCTTCCCACCTTCCACCCAGATTCTTTATCTGCAAGCTTTCAATAATCTCCTGGATTCTGGCCCCCTACTGGAGAATCATATACCTGATTGTTGTCTGAGAACATTCATCTTTTCCTCTGCTAGCTTCTACTGGGATCTAGTCACTCTTTCTGGTCTGGTTAAAACTTGGATACTTTCTACTTAAGAAATTTGCTATGCAGAGAAGTTAGATATGAAGCAATCTTTATTTCCCTCTTATATCGTTCTATTCTGGCCATTGAGAATTCAGTTTTCCTTTCACAAAAATAGGGTCTGTTATGCTAAGAGCTTTATCTACCTTCTAAGTAAATCTTTTAATTATTTTTATTTTTCTATTGCCCTTATTCTGTTATTAAAATTGAAGCATACTTTTCAAATAACTCTAAATCCTTCTTGATTCCCTAGACAACTCTAATTCCCATAGACACAATCCCAGGAATGAGCTTTATTAGTTTCCCTCATATATTTTTATTTTTAATCATTTCATTAACTTGTTTCTCTACCTCAAACTATGAAGGCATGTTTTCTTTACAATTCATTTGTTGGTTTAGTAATAAAACCTACCGCTTTTCTTCAGGTAAAGTCTCAAGTTGTGTCTGTAATCTAAAGTCATAATTTAAATGTAAGAAAATAATATATCTAGACTCGATTTAAGACCATTTGATGGGAAGATGGCAATTGAGTTTTAGTGTGGGCCCAATATATGAATTCAAGGTTACCACTATCACACTTTCCTTCTTAACCCCACGTACAGAAAACAATTTGGAGAAGTCAGTGTGGCACTCTAGCCTCCATGAGTTTGGTACTAACACCTTAAAGTTAGAATAAAACACACTAGTCTTCTGAAATGCACATGCATTTAGTATACTTGCTTGTAAAGAGCTGAGAAACAATGAAATAGAAGTCAATAATCTTTGTCTAAACAGCTGATATCCAGAAAGACTCTTCTTTGAATTCTTGATTCAGCTATTCTTTCTTACTAAGGCCTCTGCAATACTCATGCATCTGCTGAAGATCACATGAAGCCCCATACATATGCTTCAGCCAATGTTTGTATACTTCAGAGTCAAATAGGCATAGACTGAAAACCTCCCACCATCACCATTTGACCAAAACCATCTGTAATATACCATATCAGACTAAACCTCCCTGGCCTGCTTCTTGGTTGAGGCTTGTGGCTGGCCTCACATTGCTGCCAACCCCTACATTGCAGAAATGCTCGATTTTCCTTAAGGTGGAAGAGACTCACTTTTCACTCAAGGCAGCTATTTTAATAAAAAGCATAACTTGCATCTGGATAAAGCTGCCTAAACTGTGGTGACTCATGGTATTGAACATGCATTTTTGCTTAACAAATTATTATTGGATTATTGTCTTAAATTTGGTACATTTATTACATTACAGTTTCTGCTTAGCAGGAACCTAGGCATGGTTTGAATGGGTCATCTGTCTCAGGGTGTCCCACAAAAATGCAATCAAGATGTTGCCTGAAGCTGCGGTCTCGTCTGAAAGTTTAACTGAGGAAGCATCCACTTCCATGTTCACTCCTATGGTCATTGGCATCATTCAGTTCTTTGTCAGCTGCTGGAATCAAGGCTTCACTTACTTGCTGACTGTTAGATGAAAGTTGCCCTCAATTTCTTGCCACGTGGACCTCCCCAACATGGCAGCTTGCTTCATTAAAACATGCAAGACAACAGCCAATAGGGAAAATGCTAGCAAAATGAAAGTCACATGTTTTTGTAACCTAATCAAGGAAATGACATCCTATCACTTTTTGTATATCTATTTGTTAGAAACAATTGCTAGGTGCAGCTCAAAATCATGGAATGAGGGAATACACAAGGGTATGAATATTAGAAGGTAGGGATCATTAAAAGGGTGGCCCAATAAAAGCCATTACAAACTGCCAAAGTAAAATGTCCAGTCAACACACTGAAGTTCAAAGCCAAAGTTGTCTACCCTGGTCATAAATATGTTATTTTGGTCGACAATTCTGTTGTCCCAAAATTTATCAGGGATCTCAGTCTAACACACCAAAATTGGGGTTTAAGAGAGCTCTAGTTTGTATTTTTCTGTCCACAATCTGAACATGTGAAGAGAAATGATTGTAAGACAGATAGCACTCAAAATGTTACTTTTGTTACTATTATAGCTTATATTGGAAAATGTAGCTTATATCTGTCATCAAGTTGATTTCCTATTATTGAATTCCACAGGTTTCTCTACCCAGTCTTGGTGCTGTTAGACTAGCATACATTTCTCTCACAGGAGCAGGCCCCTTTAGAGTATTTGAAGGATCAGAGCAGAAAACCTGCTCTCTGTAGATATGTTCACTTCTAAGAAAATAATAGAGGAAATGCTAGGGATGTATAGGCTCTGTTTATTTAAACTTAACAATAAAATTAAGCTAATCTTCCTCTCCTGAAAAGGAATAAGAGAGGTTGTTTTCTTCACTATGAAGCTTTCTTCATTGTAATGGAAACTTTAAGAAATAAAGTTTTTCCACTTAACAACAGTAGATAAAAGGAAGAATTATTTTACAACTTAGGCTAAAATTTTCTGTTAATCTGTGCCACACCTTTACATTCTGTGACTAAAGATAGAAAATAAAAAACTGTCTTAATCAAAGAAAAACAAAAGATTTTTTAAAAAAAATCACTGGGACCTAGAACAATAGATTAAAAGTCAAGAAACATGTGGTCTATTCCAACACCATGCACAAGTTAATAAACTGCCAAAGTTTCAGGTTCCTCAATATAAGGGTAAGTATGAACTCATTTATAGGGATACAAATGATTTACATTAGATAAGTGATTCTCAGTGTAGAAGAGGAGGCATTACTTTCTAGGTAGGGAAGTGACTTCTTTTTCCCATAATATGATAAATTGGATATCCTGAACAATCTTCCTTGTGAAAATAAATAGAAAACCAGAATAGGCTTGCAGTCACTTATTTTAAAAATAATGCAAGTTAAATGCCTTTCCACAATAAAAACTTCAACGTTTGATGACTTCACTGGCAAGTTCTACCAAATGTTAAAGTTCCAAATAATTATAATATCAAATAAGCTTTTCCACAACAGCAAAAAGAAGGAAAACTCCACAACCAATGTTATGACCTAGATGGACCTGGATATCAAAGTAAAGACAGTTTGAAAAAGAAAAGGCAGAAGCCCATTTTACTCATTTATATAATGGGAAAATCTTAAAATATTAGCAAAACAAAACAATAATACAATTTAAAAAATGATATGACCACGTTAGATTTATTCTCAGATCAAAAGATTGGGTGAATATTAGAAGCCCTATTGATCAATATAGTAAGATGTAATATGTTTCATTACATTATAACATTTATGAAGAAAATAATATGAATATATCAACATGTGAATAAAATTGAAAAACATTGAACATCTGTTCACAAAAAAATTAGGGTAGGAAGAGAAGGAAACATTTTTAACTGATGAAAATATCTACAATAACTAAGCTTAGAACAAACTTAAGAGTGGAATATTATACTCTTCATAATCAGGATCAAAACAATAATTCCTAGTTTTAATATTTCTATTCAGCATTTTACTGGAAGTCCTAGCCAGTGCACTAAACATTTTAAGACAAATTAGAGGAGGGGTGGGGCAACAATGCAGAATAGAAAGCTCCGCCAATCATTCCCTCTCCACCCCTTGGTAGGTAGATTAACTTCACATCACTGAAGTGGTGGGAAAAACTCTTAAATTACTGGCTAAACACTCCCCCATTTTCCAGAAGTGGTGGCATGGTGCAGAGAGCATTTCTGAATGCTAGGGGCAAGAGAACACACCAATTGTGAGGCATTGAACTCAGTGCAGACCTTGTTATAGCAGAAAGTAAAACTGGACCAAACTCAGCTGACACCCATTCCAAATTGAGTGCCCGCAAGTCTTGACACCACGGGCTAAAGTGCTTCAGGGCCTCATATAAACTTGAAAGGCAGTCTACACCATGAGGGCTACAACACCTAAGGGAGTGCTAGTCTTGAAATGGACCCAGAGCCAGTGGATTTTGGGGGGTATGTGTACTACTGAGACACTATCTGGGATGGCTAAGGGAGTGCTGCCATCACTCTTCCCCAAACCCCAGGATGCACAACTCATGATTCCAAAAGAGACCCCTCCTTTCTGCTTGAGGAAAAGAGATGAAAGAGTGCAGAGAACTTTGTCTCATATCTTGGATACCAGCTCAGCCACAACAGGATAGGGCACCCGTCAGAGTCATGAGATTCCCTCTCCAGGCACTAGTCCTTGGATGATATTTCTAGATGCACCCTAGGCCAGAAAGGAACCCACTGCCTTGGAAGGAAGAACCCAGTCCTGGCATAATTCATCACCTGCTAATTGAAGCATCCTTGGGCCCTGAATAACCAGCAGTGATAACCCAGGTGCTATGTTGAGGGCCTTGGGTGAGACTCTGAGTCTTGCTGGCTTCAGGTGAGACTCAGCGCATTTCCAGCTATAGTGGCTACAGGGTAAGACTCCTTTCACTTGAAAAAAAGTTCAAGGAAAAGTAAAGATGACTTTGCCTTGCACTTTAGGTACCAGCTCAGCCACATGGGGGTAGAGTACCAAACAGGCACTTGGGGTCCCCAGTTTCGGGACTTGGCTCTTAGATGGCATTTCTGGACCTGCCCTTGGCCAGAAGGGAGCCCACTTCCCTAAAAGATGAGCCTCAGGCCTGGCAGCATTCATCACAAGCTGAATGAAGAATCCTTGGGATTTAAGGGGAGATTGGCAGTAGTCTGGCAGTACTCCCTGTGGGTGTAAGGTGGCGATGGCCATGGGGTAAGGATCCTCTGCCTTTGGAAAGGGGAAAGAAAAATAGGAAGGACTGCATCTTGTTGTTTGAGTGTCAATCAGCCACAATACAATAGAACACAGGGTAGATTTCCAAGGTTTATGACTTTAGTCTCTGGCTTCTGGACAGTACATCTTGACCATCCTAAGGCCTGGTGGAACTTGTTGCCCTGAAGGGAAGGACATAGGCCTGACTAGCTTTGCCACCTGCTAACTGTAGGGTGCCAGAAGTTTGAACAAACATGGGTAGTAGCCAGGGAGTGATTACAGCAGGCCTCAGGTGAGACCCAGTACTGTGCTGGTTTCAGGTCTGACCCTGCACAATCTTATGGGTGGTAGTCACAGAGATGCCTGTGTCATCACACCTACAACTCCAGGCTACTCAGTACAGGGAGAGAAACTTTGATTGTTTGGCAGAAAGTAACAGAAGAGAACAAATATCTCTCCTGTGTAATCCAGAGAAATCTTCAAGAACTTGTTCAAGATTATCAAGGTGGTACATCTAAGAATGTGGAAGAATCACAGCATTACTGGGCTTGGGGTCCCCACTAAAGCAGAAACAGCCTAAATCACAAAATCTAAGTCCTTTCGAATATCTGGAAAGTGTTCCCAAGAAGAATGGGTGAAAACAAGCTCAAACTGAGAAGACAACAATAAATACCTAACTCTTTGATGCCCAGACACAGATGAATGTCTACAAGTATAAAAATGATCCAGGAAAATATTTCCTCACCAAATGAACTAAACAAGGCATGAGGGATCGACTATGAAGAAACAGATATGTTGCCTTTCAGACAGAGAAAGCTATTCAAAATAGCTATGTTGAGGAAACTCCAGGAAATCCAAGATAACACAGAGAAAGAATTCAGAATTCTATCAGATAAATTTAACAAAGATATTGAAATAACTACAAACAATCAAGCAACAATTCTGGACTGAAAAAAATGCAGTTAGCCCACTTGATCATGGTGGATAAGCTTTTTGATGTGATGCTGGATTTCGTTTGCCAGTATTTTATTGAGAATTTTTGCATCAATGTTCATCAAGGATATTGGTCTAAAATTCTCTTCTTTGGTTGTGTTTCTGCCAGGCTTTGGTATCAGGATGATGCTGGCCTCATAAAATGAGTTAGGGAGGATTCCCTCCTTTTTCTATTGACTGGAATAGTTTCAGAAGGAATGGTACCAGTTGCTCCTTGTACCTCTGGTAGAATTCAGCTGTGAATCCATCTGGTCCTGGACTCTTTTTGGTTGGTAAGCTATTGATTATTGCCACAATTTCAGAGCCTGTTATTGGTCTATTCAGAGATTCAACTTCCTCCTGGTTTAGTCTTGGGAGGGTGTATGTGTCGATGAATTTATCCATTTCTTCTAGATTTTCTAGTTTATTTGCGTAGAGGTGTTTGTAGTATTCTCTGATGGTAGTTTGTATTTCTGTGGGATCGGTAGTGATATCCCCTTTATCATTTTTTATTGCGTCTATTTGATTCTTCTCTCTTTTCTTTATTAGTCTTGCTAGCGGTCTATCAATTTTGTTGATCCTTTCAAAAAACCAGCTCCTGGATTCATTAATTTTTTGAAGGGTTTTTTGTGACTCTATTTCCTTCAGTTCTGCTCTGATTTTAGTTATTTCTTGCCTTCTGCTAGCTTTTGAATGTGTTTGCTCTTGCTTTTCTAGTTCTTTTAATTGTGATGTTAGGGTGTCAATTTTGGATCTTTCCTGCTTTCTCTTGTGGGCATATAGTGCTGTAAATTTCCCTCTACACACTGCTTTGAATGTGTCCCAGAGATTCTGGTATGTTGTGTCTTTGTTCTCGTTGGTTTCAAAGAACATCCTTATTTCTGCCTTCATTTCGTTATGTACCCAGTAGTCCTTCAGGAGCAGGTTGTTCAGTTTCCATGTAGTTGAGCGGTTTTTGCTTCAAAGAGAATAAAATACCTAGGAATCTAACTTACAAGGGACATGAAGGACCTCTTCAAGGAGAACTACAAACCACTGCTCAATGAAATAAAAGAGGATACAAACAAATGGAAGAACATTCCATGCTCATGGGTAGGAAGAATCAATATCATGAAAATGGCCATACTGCCCAAGGTAATTTATAGATTCAATGCCATCCCCATCAAGCTACCAATGACTTTCTTCACAGAATTGGAAAAAACTACTTTAAAGTTCATATGGAACCAAAAAAGAGCCCACATTGCCAAGTCAATCCTAAGCCAAAAGAACAAAGCTGGAGGCATCACGCTACCTGACTTCAAACTATACTACAAGGCTACAGTAACCAAAACAGCATGGTACTGGTACCAAAACAGAGATATAGATCAATGGAACAGAACAGAGCCCTCAGCAATAACACCACATATCTACAACTATCTGATCTTTGACAAACATGAGAAAAACAAGCAATGGGGAAAGGATTCCATATTTAATAAATGGCGCTGGGAAAACTGGCTAGCCATATGTAGAAAGCTGAAACTGGATCCCTTCCTTACACCTTATACAAAAATTAATTCAAGATGGATTAAAGACTTCAACGTTAGACCTAAAACCATAAAAACCCTAGAAGAAAACCTAGGCATTACCATTCAGGACATAGGCATGGGCAAGGACTTCATGTCTAAAACACCAAAAGCAATGGCAACAAAAGCCAACATTGACAAATGGGATCTAATTAAACTAAAGAGCTTCTGCACAGCAAAAGAAACTACCATCAGAGTGAACAGGCAACCTACAAAATGGAAGAAAATTTTTGCAACCTACTCATCTGACAAAGGGCTAATATCCAGAATCTGCAATGAACTCAAACAAATTTACAAGAAAAAAACAAACAACCCCATCAAAAAGTGGGCAAAGGACATGAACAGACACTTCTCTAAAGAAGACATTTATGCAGCCAAAAAACACATGAAAAAATGCTCACCATCACTGGCCATCAGAGAAATGCAAGTCAAAACTGCAATGAGATACCATCTCACACAAGTTAGAATGGCAATCATTAAAACGTCAGGAAACAACAGGTGCTGGAGAGGATGTGGAGAAATAGGAACACTTTTACACTGTTGGTGGGACTGGAAACTAGTTCAACCATTGTGGAAGTCAGTGTGGCGATTCCTCAGGGATCTAGAACTAGAAATACCATTTGACCCAGCCATCCCATTACTGGGTATATATCCAAAGGACTCTAAATCATGCTGCTATAAAGACACATGCACATGTATGTTTATTGCGGCACTATTCACAATAGCAAAGACTTGGAACCAACCCAAATGTCCAACAATGATAGACTGGATTAAGAAAATGTGGCACATATACACCATGGAATACCATGCAGCCATAAAGAATGATGAGTTCATGTCCTTTGTAGGGACATGCATGAAATTGGAAATCATTATTCTCAGTAAACTATCGCAAGAGGAAAAAACCAAACACCACATATTCTCACTCATAGGTGGGAATTGAACAATGAGAACACATGGACACAGGAAGGGGAACATCACACTCTGGGGACTGTTGTGGGGTAGGGGGAGAGGGGAGGGATAGCATTAGTAGATATACCTAATGCTAAATGATGAGTTAATGGGTGCAGCACACTGGCATGGCACATGTATACATATGTAACTAACCTGCACATTGTGCACATGTACTCTAAAACTTAAAGTATAATAATAATAAAAGAAAAAAAAATAAAATTCAATTCTATGTCACCTAAAAAAAAAAGAAAAAAATGCAGTTAGCATACTGAAGAATAAATTCAGAATCTTTAATAGCAGAACCAATCAACCAGAAGAAAGAATTAGTAAGCTTGAAGACAGGCAAATTGAACATACACAGTCAGAGGAGACAAAAGAAAATAAGGAAAGACAATAAAGCACACCTACAGGATCTAAAAAAAAAATAGCCTCAAAATGGCAAATCAAATAGTTACTAGCTTTAAAATGGAAGTAAAGGGAGACATAGGTGTAGAGAGTTTACTCAAGGGGATAACAGAGAACATCCCAAACCTAGAGAAAGATATTAATACCCAAGTATATGAAGGTTATAGAACACCAAACAGATTTAACCCAAAGAAGACTACTCCAAGGCACTTAATAATCAGACTCACAATGGTCAAGGATAAAGAGGGATCCTAAAAGCAACAAAAGAAAATAAACAAATAACATATAATGGAGCTCCAATGTATCTGGCAGCAAACATTTCAGTGTAAACCTTACAGCCCAGGACAGAGTGGCATGACACATTTAAAGTGCTGAAGTGATATGGTTTGGCAGTGTCCTCACCTAAATCTCATTTTGAATTATAGTTCCCATAATCCCCACATGTCATGGGAGGGACCCAGTGGGAGGTAATTTAATCATGGGGGAGGTTACCCTCATGCTGTTCCCATGACAGTGACTGAGTTCTCATGAGGTCTGATGGTTTTATAAGGGGCTATTTTTCCCTTTTGCTTGCCATTTTTCCTTGCTGCCACCATGTGAAGAAGGATGTGTTTGCTTCCCGTTCCACCATGATTCTAAGTTTCCTGAGGTCTCCCCAGCCATGCTGAAATGTGAGTCAATTAAACCTCTTTTCTTTATAAATTACCCACTCTGTGGTATGTCTTTATTAGCAGTATAAGAATGAACTAATACAGTACATTGATGCCAGGAATGAGATGCTGCTATAAGGATGCTCCAAAATGTGGAAGTGACTTTGGAACTGGGAAACAGGCAGAGATTGGAACAGTTTACAGGACACACAAAACAGACAGGAAAATGTGGGAAAGTTTGGAAGTTCCTAGAGACTTGTCCCAGCAGTAACCCACGGAACTTCCCTAACATCTGCCATACTTCTCCTCACATAACAAAAACTGAATGGCTTTGACCAAAATGATGATAGTGATATGGACAATGAAGTCCATCGTGAGGTGGCCTCAGACGGAGATGAGGAATTTGTTGGAAACTGGAGTAAAGTCACTTTTGCTATGCAGAGACTGGCAGCATTTTGCCCCTGCCCTACAGATCTGTGGAACTTTGAACTTGAGAGAGATGATTTAGGGTATCAGGCAGAAGAGATTTCTTAGTGACAAAGCGTTCAAGAGGAAACAGAGCATAACAGTTTGGAAAATTTGCAGCCTAATGATGCAATAGAAAATAAAAATCCATTTTCTGGGGAGAAATTCAAAGCAGCTGCAGAAATTTGTATAAGTAACTAGGAGCCAAATGTTAATCACCAAGACAATGGGGAAAATGTCTCCAGGACATGTCAGAGATCTTCATGGCAGCCCCTCCCATCAGAGTTCTGGAGGCCTAGGAGAGAAAAATAGTTCCCTGGGCCAAACCCAGGGCCCCCCTGCTCTGTGCAGCCTTGAGACATGGTGCCCTGTGTCCCAGCTGCTGCAGCTCCAGCCATGGCTAAAAGGAGCCAACATACAGCTCGGGCCATTTTTTCAGAGTGTACAAGTCCCAAGACTTGGCAGCTTCCACATGGTGTTGAGCCTGCAGGTGCACAGAAGTCAAAAATTGAGGTTTGGAAACCTCTGCTTAGATTTCAGAGGATGTATGGAAATGACTGGATGTCCAGGCAGAAGTTTGCTAAAGGGGCAGAGCTCTCATGGAGAGTCTCTGCTAGGGCAGTGCAGAAAGGAAATGTGGGGTCAGAGCCCCCACACAGAGTTAACACTGGGGCATTGACTAGTGGAGCTGTGACAAGAGGCCCACCGTCCTCCAGGCCCCAGAATGGTAAATCCACCAACAGCTTGTACCATGTGCCTAGAAAAACCACAGACACTCAAAGCCAGCCCATGAAAGCAGCCAGGAGGGGAGCTGTACCCTGCAATGCCACAGGGGTGGAGCTGTCCAAGGCTGTGGGAGCCCACCTCTTGCATCAGTGTGACCCAGATGTGAGACATGAAGTCAAAGAAGACCATTTAAAAATTTTAGGACTTAATGACTGCTCTATTGAATTTCCAATTTGCATGGGGTGAGCTGGCCCTTTGTTTTAGCCAATTTCTCTGATTTGGAATGTGTGTATTTACCCAACGCATGTACCCACACTGTATCTAGGAAGTGACTAACTTGCTTTTGATTTTACAGGCTCATAGGTGGAAGGGACTTGCCGTGTCTCAGATGAGACTTTGGACTTGAACTTTCAAGTTAATGCTGGAATAAGTTAAGACTTTGGGGGACTGTTGGAAGGGCATGATTGTGTTTTGAAATGTGAGGACATGAGATTTGGAAGGTACCAGGGGCGGAATGATATAGTTTGACTGTGTCCCCACCCAAATCACATCTTGAATTGTAGTTTCCATAATCCCCACGTGTTGTGGGAGGGACCTAGTGAGGGGTAATTTAATCACTAGGGTGGTTTCCCTCACACTGTTCTCATGATAGTAAGTGAGTTCTCACAAGATCTGATGGTTTTATAAGGGGCTTTTCCCCCTTTTGCTAGCCATTTCTCCTTGCAGCCACCATGTGAAGAAGGACATGCTTGTTTCCCCTTCCACCATGATTGTAAGTTTCCTGATGCCTCCCCAGCCATGCTGAACTGTGAGACAATTAAACCTCTTTCCTTTATAAATTACCCAGTCTCAGGTATGTCTTTATTAGCAGAATGAGAACAGACTAACACATGAAGAAAATGAACTTTTACCCTAGAATAGTATAATAGTATATCTACTAAAAATATCCTTCACACATAAAGGAGAAATAAAGACTTTTCCAGACAAACAAAAGCTGAGGGATTTCACTAATATTAGGCCCATCCTACAAGAAATGCTACAGGGAGTACTTCAACTAAAAAAAAGTACATTAATGAGCAATAAATAAATGATCACCTGAAGGTACAAAACTTACTGGTAATAGTAAGTACACAGAAAAACACAGACTATTATAACACTGTAACTGCAGTATGTAAACTACTTTTATCCTAAGAAGAAAGAATTAACAATAAGCCAATAAAAAATAATAACTACAATAACTTTTCAAGACACAACAGTACACTAAGATATAAATAGAAACAATGCAAAGTTAAAAAGTGGGGGGACAAATTTAAGGCATAGAGTATTAGTTTTCTTTTTGTGTGTCTGTGTGTTTGTTTATGCAAACAGTGTTAAGTTGTTATCAGCTTAAAATAATTGGTTATAAAATAGCATTTGCAAGACACATAAAAATAAAAAGCAATAGACTAAATCATAAAACCAGAGAAAAACACCTTCACTAAAGGAAGACAGGAAGGGAAGAAAGAAGGAAGAGAAGACCACAAAATGAGTAGAAAGAAAATGGCAGGAGTGAGTTCTTATTTGTCCATAATAACATCGAATGCCAATGGACTAAATTCTCCTATCAAAAGACAGACTGGCTGAATGGAAGAAACAAACAAGACCCATTTACCTGTTGCCTACAAGAAACACACTTCAACTATAAAGACACACATAGACTGAAAATAAAGGGATGAAAATAGATATCCCATGCCAATGGAAACCAAAAAAGAACAGGAATAGCTATGTCTAATCTATGTCAGACAAAATAGACTTTAAGACAAAAACTATAAAAAGAGACAAAGAAGGTCACTATATATGATAAAGGGGTCAATTCAGCAAGAAGATACAGCAATTTTAAATATATGTACACCCAACACTGGAGCACAGATATATAAAGCAAATATTACAGCCAAAGAAAGTGATAGATCCTAATACAATAATAACTGGAGATTTCAAAACCCTACTTTCAGCATAGAACAGCTCTTCTGGACAGAAAATCAACAAAGAAATACAGGCCTTACTCTGCCCTGTAGACCAAATGGATCTAATAGATATTTACAGAAGATTTTATCCAATGGCTGCAGAATACACATTCTTGTCCTCAACACATGAATCATTCTGAAGGATACACCCATATGTTATGTCTCAAAACAAGTCTTACGACACTCAAAAAAAAAATGAAATCATATATAGCATCTCCTACGACCAAAATGGAGTAAAACTAGAAATCAATAATAAGATGAATTTTGGAAATTATACAAATACATGCAAAATAAACATTATGCTCCTAAATGACCAGCAGGTCAATGAGGAATTTAAGGAATTAATTGAGAAATTTCTTGAAACAAATGATAGTGGAAATATAGCATACCAAAACCTATGTGATATAGCAAAAGTAGTACTAAGAGGGAAGTTTACAGCTATAAGTACCTACATCAAAAAAGAGAAAAACTTCAAATAAGCAACCTAATAATGCATCTTAAAGGACTAGAAAAGCAAAAGCAAACCAAACCCAGAATTAGTAGAAAAAATAATAAAGATCAAAAAAATGAAAATGAAATGAAAAAAGTACAAAATATCAACGAAACAAAAGCTGACTTTTTGAAAAGTTAAACAAAATGAACAAACATTTATCTAGACTAAGAAAAAAGAGAGATAATCCAAATGAATAAAACCAGAGATGAAAAAGGAGCCATTACAACTGATACTGCAGAAATTCAAAGAATTGTTACTGGCTACTATGAGCAACTATATGCCAATAAATTGGAAAATCTAGGAGAAATGGACAAATTCTTAGAGACATATGACCTGCAAAGATTAAAATGGGAAGACATTCAAAACCCGAGCAGAGTAATAACACATAACAACATCAAAGTCAAAATAAAAATTTTCCCAGTAAAGAAAAATTAAAGATCGGATGACTTCATTGCTGAATTCTACCAAACATTTAAAGAAGAACTAATATCAATACTCAAAGTATTCTGAAATACATAGGAGAAAATACTTCCAAACTCATTCTATGAGGCCAGTATTAACCTAATACCAAAACATATATTTAAAAAAACAGGGAAATATCCCTAATGAATATTGATGTTAAAATGCTGAACAAAATATTAGCAAACCATAGTCATCAATACATTAGAAAGATCATTCTATTAATGTGAAAAAGCACTTGATAAAATTCAACATACCTTCATGATTAAAAACCCTACAAAAATGGGGCTAGAAGAAACATACCTCAACATAATAACAGCCATATATGACACAACGAGTATCATACTGAACGGGAAAAAACTGAAATCCTTTCCTCTAAGATCTGAAAAATGACAAGGATGCCCACTTTCACCTCTGTTATTCAACATAGTATTGGAAAGCCTAGCTAGACCAATCAAACAAGAAAAAAATAAAGGCCATCCAAATTGGAATTTAAGAGTCAGATTATCTTTGTTTACAGATGATATGATCTTATATTTGGAAAAACCTAAACATTCAACAAAATAAGTATTAGAACTGATAAACAAATTCAGTAAAGTTATAAGATACAAAGTCAACATACAAAAATCAGTAGCATTCTATATGCCAACAGGAAACAATTTGAAAAAGAAATCAAACAAGTTATCCCATTTACAATAGCCACAAATAAAGTTAAATACCTAGGAATTAACTTAGCCAAAAAAGTGAAAGATCACTATAATAAAAACTATAAAACGCTGCTGAAAGAAATTGAAAAGGACACAAAAAAATTAAAAGATATTGCATGTTCACAAATTAGAAGAATCAATATTGTTAAAATGTCCATACTACCCAAAGCGATCTAAAGAGCCAATGCAATTTCTATCAAAATAACAATTACATTCTTTATAGAAATAGAAAAACCTATCCTGTAATTTATATGGAATCATAAAAGACCAAGAATAGCCAAAGTTATGCTAAACAAAAAGGAAACTGGAAAAATTGCATTAGTTGACTTCAAATTATACTACAAAGCTATAGTAACTAAAACAGCATGACACTGGCATAAAATCAGACACACAGACCACTGGAACAGAATAGAGAACCTAGAAACAAATCCAAACACCTAGAGTGAACTCATTTTTGAAAAAGGTGCCAAGGCCATAAACATATACACCTAATATGTATCCACAAAAATTAAAAATTAAAAAATGAAATAACAAACATACACACTGGGAAATGACAGTCTCTTTAATAAATGGTTGGTGCTGGGAAAACTGTATATCCATATGCAGAAGAAAGAAACTAGATCTCTACCCCTTGCCATATACACAAATCAAATTAAAATGGATTAAATGTTTAAATCTAAGACCCCAAACTATAAAACTACTACAAGAAAACATTGGAGAAATTCTCCAGGACTTTGGAGTGAGCAAAGATTTATTGAGTAATACTCCATAAGCACAGGAAACCAAAGCAAACATGGACAAATGG
Organism: Homo sapiens; assembly: GCF_000001405.40. Classification (NCBI taxonomy): domain Eukaryota; kingdom Metazoa; phylum Chordata; class Mammalia; order Primates; family Hominidae; genus Homo; species Homo sapiens. Next base: position 99,872,630 of record NC_000023.11, read on the forward strand.
GATCAAACCAAGTAAAACAGCTTCTCCACAGCAGAAGAAACAAATCAACAAAATGAAGAGACAACCAACAGAATGGGAAAATATATTTGCAATCTTCCCACCTGACAAGGGATTAATAACCAGAATATATAAGGAGCTCAAACAACTCTGTAGGAAAAAATCTAATAATCTGATAAAAAAAAGGGCAGAAGATTTGAATAGACATTGCTCAAAAGAAGACATACAAATGGCAAATAGACATATGAAAAGGTGCTCAACATCACTGATCATCAGAGAAATGCAAACCAAAACTACAATGAGATATCATCTCACCTCAGTTAACATGGCTTATATCCAAATGAGAGGCAATAAAAAATGCTGGTAATGATGTGGAGAAAAGGTAACCCTTGTAGACTGTTGGTAGGAATGTAAATTAGCACGACTACTATGAAGAACTTTAGAGGTTTCTCAAGAAACTAAAAATAGAGCTATGACACAATCCAGCAATTCCACTTCTGGGTATATACCCACCAAAGAAGAAATTAGTATATCGAAGAGATATCTGCACTCCCATGTTTGTTGCAGCAGTGTTCACCATAGCTAAGATTTGGAAACTGTTTGTCCATCAACAGATGAATGGAAAAAGAAAATGTGGTACTTTTACACAGTGGAGTACTATTTAGCCATCAAAAAGAATGAGATTCAGTCATTTGTAACAGCATTAATGGAACTGAGGGTTATTATGTTAAGTGAAATAAGCCAGGCACAGAAAGAAAAACATAACATGTGCCCACTTATTTGTGAGATCTAAAAATCAAAACAATTCTATCCCTGGATATGAGAGTATAATGGTTATCAGATTCTGCAAAGGGTAATGGGGTTTGGGGGGCAGATTTAGGTGATTAATGTGTACCTTAAAAATAGTTTAAATGAATAAATAAGGCCTAGTATTTGATAGCACAACAGAGTGATTATAGTCAATGATAATTTAATTGTACATTTAAAAATAACTACATGAGTAGAATTACGTTGTTTGTAACACAAAGGATAAATGCTTGAGGGGATGGATACTCCATTTTCCATGACATGATTATTATACATTGCACGTGTGTATTAAAACATCTTATGTACCCCAGAAATACATAAACCTTTTATGTACTCCCCCAAAATTTTTAAATTTCAAAAAGTTACATTATTTTAAAAATATAAAAGTTACATTATTATTATTTTAAAGTTACATTAAAAGTGTACAGATTGGAAAGCAAGAAACAAAACTCTTATTATTTGTTTACATGAGAAACAGAAGAATATACAAACTATCACAATTAGTGAAATAATTATCCTGTATTTTACATGTAAATCAATATGTACAATTATATTTTATATACCATCAACAGTTGGAAAATGTCATTTCTAAAGCTATAATTGCAATAATAAAATAACAAAAATAAAAACCACAGCAATAATAATGTACCTAGAAATAAACATAATAAATTTTAAATTTAAGTAAAATATTAATATTTGTTGAAATTTATTTCTAACATATTAATAAATTAAAATGCATACCAAATTCATATACAGAAATACTTGATATTATAAAGATGTAATTTCTCCCAAAATTGATCTATGGATTCAATATGATTCACTCAGAAAACTTGAGTTATTCTAAAATGTATATAGAAGAATATAGGATACACAATAGCCAAATCAATTTTAATAAAGAAAATATAAGTTGACAATGCCCTATCAGATATTATTATAAATCTACAATAATTTAGATGGTTAAGTGACAATCCAGTATATAATTAGAAAGAGTACACTGTCCCAAAACATATGCATGCATATACATAAGCTTTAGAAGACAGCATTAGAGATTAGTGGAAAAAGCATTTTTCAAGATTGAGTCAGCACCCAATTACATGAAGTCAATCTGGTGGGTCATAAAAAAACTAAAAAATATGCAAAAGGTTACCAATAGAGGAAACTAAATAAAGTGTATTTGGAATCTCTCTGTATTTTTTTTTAAACTGTATTTGAATCTACAATTATCTCACCAAAAAAAGAATTAAAACTAGAATATAAAACAATGTAGTTTATCACACATAAGTATAAGCGATATTTAATTTAAGAATAAATTTGAGCCTGTATATGTATAAATGAGGATCAGTGCTGGATTACAATGAGAAATGCATTACTTACTATAATATGAGCCATGGACAAAAACTTGGAAATGGCTAGACATGTAATAAGTTTTCTGAGACAAGTGTTAATTAATATTGCAAAAATAATAAAAAATAGATTTTTACTTCACATCATACACAAAATTAATTCCAGATACATTAAGAACTTAAATATAGAGGCAAAACTATTTAAATTTTAGAAGAAAATATAGGAGAAATTTTAAACAGAAGCAAAAAAGCTACAAGCTATAAAAAATTTAATTCAATTAAAATTTAAACTTTACTTCTCAAAAGATATCAAAAAGGAAGGGATAAGACTGGACAAAAATAATCTATTTATAAATTATATGATAAATAATAATTACAATCCAACATCTCTCTCTCTCTCTCTCCTGAAAATCAATAAAGATAAGCAACTAAACAGAAAATTGCAACAAAATATATAAACAGATTTTTTTAAAGAATAAACACTAACAACATGGATGAGTCTTATAGGATAAAGTTTTTTTTTTAATTTCCAACTTTCATTTAAAGTTCAGGGGTATATGAGCAGGATGGGCAGGTTTGTTAGATAGGTAAACGTGCATCATGGTGATTTCCTGCACAGATCATCCCATCGCCCAGGTATTAATCCCAGCATCCACTAGCTATTCCTCCAGACTCTCTCCCTCCTCCCACCCCCTGCCCTCCAACAAGCCTCAACGTGTGTTGTTCCACCCCATGTGTCCATGTGCTCTCATCATTTTGCTCCCACTTATAAGTGAGAACATGCGGTATTTGCTTCACTGTTCCTGTGTTAGTTTGCTGTGGATAATGGCCTCCAACTCCATCCATGTCCCTGCCAAGAACAAGATCTCATTCCCTTTTATGGTTACTTAGCATTCCATGATGTATATGTACCACATTTTCTTTATCCATTTTATCAGTGATGGGCATTTTGGTTGATTCCATGTCTTTGCTATTGGGAATAATGTTGCAATGAATATACACATGCATGTGTCTTTATAATAGAACAATTTATATTCTCTTGGGTATATATTCAGTAATGGGATTGCTGGGTCAAATGGTATTTTTGCCTCTACGTCTTTAAGGAATCACCACACTGTCTTCCACAATGGTTGAACTAATTTAACACTCCCAGCAACAGTGTAAAACTAAATAATATACTGTTTAGGAATACATGAAAGTGTGACATTTTACATAGAGAATCAAGGAAACTATAAACACAAAATTCAAAACAGTGATTTCTTTGGATTTGAAAGAGGGAAATGCAATTCAGTAGGAAGAGATAGGAGGCTTCAATTGTTTTTATAATTTCCTTTTTCTGAGTGAACAGTTTTTACTTTACCATTATTCTTTAAACTGTACATATATGGATAACACGGTATGTACATGTTATATATTTATTAAAATATTACAAATATATATAATGTATGAGATAAATGCATAGATTAGAAAGCTCCCCCAATTTGTCCCCACATAATTAGTCATTAGGTGAAATAAAAATTTTAGTTTTAATGAATGGTGGATGAAACCTCACAAAATGCATATAAAAGGTAAAGTACTGTGCTGCTATAACTAGGGAGCTTTTTAATAGTCTTAAACACAAGTAAAATATTGTTCATGACCCTGGGAAATGTGGGAGATGTTTTAGGTCAGACTCATGCTGGAATTGCTTTCTCCATCAAAAATCAGTAGGATAGAACTCTTCCCATATCTACAAGGCAGCTGAGCTATACATAAGGCAGAAAAAAAGATATGTAGCATTAAAAATAGTGAACACATCAGACAGCCATAAAATCACACCAAAGAAGCAGAAAAACTGTTCTGGTATTAAGGAGGTACATGCTACCTATGAATGCTTAATATCCCCTTGAGGAAAAAAATAGAATAGAAATACCATTTTTATTCCTTAGAAATATAATAGAAATTCTATTTCTACCTTTTAGAAATATAATAGAAATTCTATTTCTACCTTTTAGAAATAGAATGAATAAACATCCAACATTTTTAAGAGAAGAGTCTGTGTAAATAAGAAAAGAGAGGCAGAATTATCTGTGCTTTATATTAATACTTTGTTATAATTAAGAGGCTAGACTAATAAATCTGGCAAGGAACTCAAAAGGAAAAGGACTGAAGTATATTCAAGGATTACAAATTCAGGTCTAAAATTGATCCATGACATAAACTTTTCTTGGCCTCACATGTCTAGAAGGTGCTCCAATGGCTAATGAAGAGAAATAATTTTGTACAAAAAATAACATTATGTACTATTTGTAGATTTCCACATATATGTAATGATGTATGCATGTGAATATTCATTTTAACTTGAATTCAGTAAATTAAATAATTCTCTAACTTTATATTGTGGATTTCGTGATTTTTAATTTTTTTTTCACTTCTTAAAAAATATAGTGACTTTATTTCCACTATTTTATAGTCCTCAGTATTGCAGCTTATAAGAATCCTCATCTATTTGTCTATTAATAATAGACAAACAAAGAGCCAAATCATGGGTGAACTCCCATTCACAATTGCTACCAAAAGAATAAAATATCTAGGAATACCACTTACAAGGGATGTGAAGGACCTCTTCACAAAGAACTACACACTACTACTCAAGGAAATAAGAGAGGACACAAGCAAATGAAAAAACATTCCATGCTCATGGATAGGAAGAATCGATATCATGAAAATGGACAAACTGTCCAAATTAATTTATAGATTCAATGGTATACCAATCAAGCCACCATTGACTTTCTCACAGAATTAGAAAAAACTACTTTAAATTTCATATGGAACCAAAAAAGAGCCCGTATAGCCAAGACAATCTTAAGCAAAAAGAACAAAGCTGGAGGCATCACACTACGTGATTTCAAACCATACTACAAGGCTACAGTAACCAAAACAGCATGGTACTGGTACCAAAACAGATATATAGACCAATGGAACAGAACAGAGGCCTCAGAAATAATGCCACACATCTGCAACCATCTGGTCTTTGAAAAATCTGACAAAAACAAGCAACGGGAAAAGGATTTTCTATTTAATAAATGATGTTGGGAAAACTGGTGAGCCATATGCAGAAAACTGAAATGGGACCCCTTCCTTACACCTTATACAAAAATTAATTAACTCAAGATGGATTAAAGACTTAAATGTAAGACCTAACACCACAAAAACCCTAGAAGAAAACCTAGGCAATACCATTCAGGACATAGGCATGGGGAAAGACTTCATGACTAAAACACCCAAAGCAATGGCAACAAGAGACAAGATTGACAAATGGGATCTAATTAAACTAAAGAGCTTTTGCACAGCAAAAGAAACTATCATCAGAGTGAATAGGAAAATTACAGAATGGGAGAAAATTTTTGCAATCTATCCATCTGAAAAAGGGCTAATATCCGGAATCTACAAAGAACTTATGAAAATTTACAAGAAAAAAACAACCCCATCAAAAAGTGGGTGAAGGATATGAACAGACACTTCTCAAAAAAAGACATTTATGCAGCCAATAAACATACAGAAAAAACCTCATCATCACTGGTCATTAGAGAAATGTAAATCAAAACCACAATGAGATGCCATTTCATGCCAATTAGAATGATGATCATTAAAAAGTCAGGAAACAACAGATGCTGGAGGGGATGTGGAGAAATAGGAATGCTTTTACACTATTGGTGGGAGTGTAAATTAGTTCAACCATTGTGGAAGACAGTGTGGCGATTCCTCAACGATCTAGAGCCAGAAATACGATTTGACCCAGCAATGCCATTACTGGTCATATACCCAAAGGATTATAAATCATTCTACTATAAAGACACATGCTCAGGTATGTTTATTGCAACACTGTGCACAATAGCAAAGACTTGGAACCAACCCAAATGCCCAACAATTATAGGCTGGATAAAGAAAATGTGGCACATATACACCATGGAATACTATGCAGCCATAAAAAAGGATGAGTTCCTGTCCTTTGCAGGGACATGGATGAAGCTGGAAACCATTATTCTCAGCAAACTAACACAGAAACAGAAAATCAAACACCACATGTTCTCACTTATAAGTGGGAATTGAACAAAGAGAACATATAGAAACAGGGAAGGGAACATCACACACTGGGGCCTGTCAGGGGGTGGGGGGCTAGGGGAGGGGTAGCATTAGGAGAAATACCTAATGTAGATTATGGGTTGATGGGTGCAGCAAACCACCATGGCACGTTTATACCTATGTAACAAACCTGCACATTCTACACATGTATCCCATAACTTAAAGTATAATAATAAAAAATAAATAAATTTTTAAAAAAGAATTCTCATCTATAAACACAAAAATATTTCAAGAAAGTATGTTACAAAATAGTACATATAAGCAATAATTTGACAGAATCTTATTAACTCTAGTAATTCATACCCCCAAAAATGGATTTTAAAATTCAAAAATAACATTTTGCCTTATTTAACATATGTTACAACTTATCATTTAAAATATTATTATTTATTTAAATATTTCATCAATGATACTGTGTAGATAAAATATTACACAAAATATACTGTAGAAAATGTTTTGGTCTTTGATCTGAACAATAAATAAAAACATAGGCACTTCTATGCAGAGACAGGGAAGCAATCACTAGTCAGAACAATAAACTTGTATAAGCAACATATGAAAATATGGCAATGATAAATCCTGGCATTTTAAACTGACAAACACTTATGTGAAAGTCTGCAGCTTCAATATTTTCACTCAAGTTCAAAAGTTACATGTTTTCCTGGCCCATACTGAAACTTCACAAACACAATATGGTTGTCAGGGGCATTTCAATCTTCAGTTGGCTATTGCAGAATCATACTCATTATTTTCAAATACTAAAATTAAATAACAATTATGATACCACCTAGTAAATCAAATACAAGAAAAAATAAACTCTCTTTCTCATTGTTACCATGAGACCACAACAATATAAATTAGTGATTCTCATTTAGTAAAATTAACTAACACAAGAAAATAACACTGGAGTGGCAGAAAATTTCAAGAGAAGTCAATTTTTCTAGACAATTTTTAAAATTTAGCCAAATCTCAGAAGAATAAATATAACTCAATTTCACATAAACCACCAAATCACAAATAACAAAGTAATTATAACCAATAGGTTTATAAACACCTGAATTACAGATAAATCAATCTTTATTTTGGGTAGTAGGAGGTATTATTGGGTTTTAGGTAGTATTATGTAGGAGGGCAAACCAAAAATAACAAAATGGTCAAATTCCAGAAACATGATTTCATATGAAAAGAGGGGATAAATTAATGAATAATGACCACCAGCTGGTAGGAAAGATCAGAATCAATCATCCTACCATATCATCCATAAAAAAAAATATATCATTTATTTTCCCTCTTCACATAAATATGAAATTGAAGGGTGTAGAGGTTCTCAAATGGATACTACTCATAAAATCAATTTTAATGATTTAACATAGAAATTATGGTAGGTGGGGGAGAGGCCAAGATGGCCAAGAGGCAACAGCTGTGGTAGAAGGCTCCTACCAAGAAGAAAGAAAACGGGGAATAAATTTTGCACTGGCAACTGAGGTATCCAGGTTCTCTCATTGGGACAGACTAGTCAGTTGGCATGACCACAGAGAGCAAGGAAAAGCAGGGTGAAGCAATGGCCCAACTGGGGGTCACACGGAGCAAAGGGAGCTCCCACTCCCAGCCAAAAAGGTAGTGAGTGATTGTGTTAACTCACCCTCGAAATCATGCTTTATCCATCAATCTGTGCAGCCCACAGATCAGGAGATAACCCTTGTGAGCCCATGCCACCAGGGCCTTCAGTCCCAAGCACAGAGCTGTGCAGATTCTCTGCAGCAGCCACTCCACTGGAAACTGCCTACGACTACCAAGTTTCTGGAGGAAAGGGTGGCCATCATCATTGCAGATGCCTGCTATCTAACACAACTGAGCTCCTGGTGGGAGGGGTGGCAGCCATCACCGCAGCTCCAGTCTGCTGTTTTTCCTCTGCCAGTGCTGGGGAGACTGTGTGGTTTGGAACCAGGAGGAATTCCCCACAGCGCAGCACAGCAGCTATGGCAGATTGTGGACAGACTGCCTCTTTAGGCTGGACCTTGACTCATCCCTCCTCACTGGGTGGGGCCTTCTTTGGGAATCTCAGCAACTCTAGCCAGGGGTTTACAGAGGGAACTCTAATCTTGGGACAGAGCCCCTGGGGGGAGGGGTGGTCATGGTCTCCACAGATCAGTGGATTTAGTCTTTACCCCTGTTTGCACTGAAGAATCCAGGCAGTCCAGATGAGTGGGATTCCTCCCAGTGCAGTGCACTCCCTCAGCAAAGGGGCAGCCAGAGTACTTCATTAAGCGGGTCCCTGATCCTGTGCCTCCTGACTGTGTCAGACTCCCAACAGGGGTTGCCAGATACCTTACACAGGAGCATTGTTGCAGGCATCAGGTTGATGCCCCTCTGGGACGGAGCTCCCAGAGGAAGGAACAGGCAGCCATCTTTGTTGTTCTGCAGCCTCTACTAGTGACCCCTCCAGGTGTGGAAGGGACCCAGGCAAATAGAGTCTGGATTGGACCCCCAGAAAACCACAGCAGCCCAACGGAAAAGGGGCCTGACTATTAAAAGAAAGACAAATGAACAGAAAGCAACAACAGCAACAGCATCAAAAAAGAAGTCCCCACAAAAACTCCATCCAGAGTTCAGCAGCCTCAAAGACTGAAGCTACATAAATTCATGAAGATTAGAAAGAACCAATGAAAAAATGCTGAAAGCTCAAAAAGCCAGAGTGTCTCTTCTCCTGCAAATGATTGCAACACCTCTCCAGCAAGGCTACAGAACTGGGCTGAGGCTGAGATAGATGAATTGACAGAGCAGGCTTCAGAAGGTGGGTAATAACAAATTTTGCTGAGCTAAAAAAGCATGTTCTAACCCAATGCAAAGAAGCTAAAAACCATGATAAAACATTACAGGAGCTGTTACCCAGAATAACTAGTTTAGAGAGGAAAATAAATAACATACTGAAGATGAAAAATACAACATGAGAACTTCACAATGCAACCACAAGTATGAAAAACTGAATAGACCCAGCAGAAGAAAGAATTTTAGAGCCAGGAAACTATCTTGCTGAAGGAAGACAGGCAGCAAGATTAGAAGATAAAGAATGAAAAGGAATAAACAAAACCTTCAAGAACGATGGGATTATTTAAAAAAAAAAAACCTATGACTGATTGGGGGTACCTGAAAGAGACAGGGAAAACAGAACCAAGCTGGAAACATATTTTAGGATATCATCCAGGAGAACTTCCTCAACCTAGCAAGACAGGCCAACATTCAAATTTTTCAGGAAATCCAGAGAATCCCAGTAAGACACTTCATAAAAAGATCAACCCCAAGGCACTTAATCATCAGATTCTCCAAGGTTGAAATGAAGAAAAACATGTTAAGGGCACCAGAAAGAAAGGCCAGGTTATGTACAAAAGGAAGCCCATCAGACTGACAGAAGACCTTTCAGCAGAAACCCTACAAGCCAGAAGAGTTTGGGGGCCAATATTCAACATTCTTAAAGAAAAGAATTTTCATCCCAGAATTTCATATTTGGCCAAACTAAGCTTCATAAGGGAAGGAGAAATAAGATCCTTTTCAGACAAGCAAATGGTGAGGGAATTCATCACTACCAGGACTGTCTTGCTAGAGCTCCTCAAGGAAACACTAAATATGGAAAGGAAAAACCATTACTAGCCACTTCAGAAACAAACCAAAGTATAAAGACCAATGACACTCTGAAGTAATGACATCAAGTCTGAAAAAAAAAAAAACACAGCTAGCATTATGATGACAGGATCAAATTCACACATAACAATAGTTACCTGAAATGTAAATTTGCTAAACATGCCAATTAAAAGACACAGAATGACAAGTTGGATAAAGAGTCAAAACCCATCAGTGTACTGTATTCAAGAGACCCATCTCACATGGAAAAAAACACATAGGCTCAAAATAAAGGAATGGAGGAAAACTTATCAAGCAAATGAAAAGCAGAAAAATGCAGGGGTTGCAATCCTAGTTTCTGACAAAACAGACTTTAAACCAACAAAGATCAAAACAGACAAAGAAGAGCATTACAAGATGGTAAAGGGTTCAATTCAACAAGAAGACCTAACCATCCTAAATATATATGCACCTAATATGGGAGCACCAAGATTCATAAAATAAGTTCTTAGAGACCTACCAAGAGACTTAGGCTCCCACACAATAATAGTGGGAGACTTTAACACCCCACTGTCAATATTAGACAGATCATCGAGACAGAAAATTTACAAGGATATTCAGGACTTAGACTCAGCTCTGGATCAAGTGGACCTGATAGATTTCTACAGAATTCTCCATTGAAAAACAACAGAACATACATTATTCTCAGTGCCACATGGCATTTATTCTAAAATCAATCACATAATTGGAAGTAAACACTCCTCAGCAAAAGCAAATGAACTGAAATCAAAACAGTTTCTCAGACCACAGTACAATAAAATTAGAACTCAAGATTAAGAAACTCACTCAAAAACACAAAACTACATGGAAACTGAAAAACCCACTCCTGAATGACTGCTGGGAGATAATGAAATTAAGGCAGAAATCAAGAAGTTCTTTGGAACCAATGAGAGCAAAGAGACAACATGACAGAATCTCTGACACTCACCTAAGGCAGTGTTAAGAGGGAAATTTATAGCACTAAATGCCCACATCAAAAAGCTAGAAAGATCTCAAATTGACACCTAATATCACAACAAAAAGAACTAGAGAGCCAAGAGCAAACAACTCCCAAAGCTAGCAGAAGAATAGAAATCACCAAGATCAGACCAGAACTGAAGGAGGCAGAGACACAAAAAACCCTTCAAAAAATCAATGAACTCAGGAGCTAGGTTTTAGAAAAAAATAAAATAGATGGACCATTAGCTAAACTAAAAGAGAGAAGAATCAAATAGAAACAATAAAAAATGATAAAGGGTATATCATCACTGATTCCACAGAAATACAAACAACCATCAGAGAATACTATGAACAACTCTATGCAAATAAACTAAAAAATCTAGAAGAAATGGATAAATTCCTGGACACATACACCCTCCCTAGATTGAACAAGGAAGAAGTTGAATCCCTGAATAGACCAATAACAAGTTCTAAAATTTAGGCAGTAATAAATAGCCTACCAACCAAAAAAAGCCCAGAACCAGATGGATTTACAGCTGAATTCTACCAGAGGTACAAAGAAGAGCTGGTACCATTTCTTCCAAAATTATTCCAAACAAATGAAAAGGGACAGACTCCTCCCTAACTCATTTTATGAGGCCAGCATCATCCTGATACCAAAACCTGTCAGAGATACAACAAAAAAGAAAACTTCAGGCCAATGTCCCCGATAAAATCAATGAAATAATCCTTAATAAAATACCAGCAGAACAAATCCAGCAGCACATCAAAAAGCTTACCCAACACTATTGAGTCAACTTCATCCCAAGGATACAAGGCTGGTTCAACATATGGAAATCAACCAACATAATTCATTATATAAACAGAACCAAAGACAAAAACCACATGACTATCTCAAGAGATGCAGCAAAAGCCTTCAATAAAATTTAACATCCCTTCTTGTTAAAAACTCTCAATAAACTAGGTATTGGTGGAATATACCTCAAAATAAGAGCAATTTATGACAAACTCACAGCCAATATCATACTGAATGGGCAAAAGCTGGAAGCATTCCCCTTGAAAACCAGCACTAGACAAGAATGTCCTCTCTCACCACTCCTATTCAACATAGTATTGGAAATTCTCAGAGTAATCAGGCAAGAGAAAGAAAGAAGGGACATTCAAGTAAGAAGAGAGAAAGTCAAACCATCTCTGTTTGCAGATGACATAATCCCATATCTAGAAAACCCCATTGTCTCAGTCCAAACGTTTCTTAAGGTGATAAGAAACTTCAGCAAAGTCTCAGGATACAAAATCAATGTGCAAAAATCACAAGCATTCCTATGTGGCAACAATAGACAGAGAGCCAAATCATGAATGAACTCCCATTCACAATTGCTACAAAGAGAAGAACACAACTAGAAATACAGCTAACAAGAGAAGTGAAGGACCTCTTCAATGAGAACTACAAACCACTGCTAAAGAAAATCAGAGATGACACAAACAAATAGAAAAACATTCCATGCTCATGGATAAAAAGAATCAATATCGTGAAAATGGTCATACTGCCTAATCTATAGATTCAATGGTATTCCCATTAAACTATCATTGACATTCTTCACAGAATTAGAAAAACTACTTTAAAATTCATATGGAACCAAAAAAGAGTGCATATCATCAAAACAGTCCTAAGCAAAAGAACAAAGCTGGAAGCATCACATTACCAGACTTGAAACTATACTACAAGCTTACAGTAACCAAAACAGCACAGTACTGGTACAAAAACAGACACACAGAACAAAGAAATGGAATAGAGATCTGAGAAACAAGACCGCACATCTACAACCATCTGATCTTTGACAAAGCTGACAAAAACAAGCAATGAAGAAAGAATTCCCACCATTAATAAATGGTGTTGGGAGAACTGGCTAGCCATATGCAGAAAACTGAAACTGGACCCCTTCCTTACACCTTATACAAAAATTAATTCAAGAGGGATTAAAGACTTAAATGTAACACCCCAAATTATAAAAACCCTACAAAGCAAATCTAGGCAGTACCATTCAGGACATAGGCTCAGGCAAAGATTTCATGATGATAACATCAAAAGCAATTGCAACAAAAGCTAATATTGACAAATGGGATCTAATTAAACTAAAGAGCTTCTGCACACAAAAGAACCTATCAACAGAGTAAACAGACAACCTACACGATGGGAGAAAAATTTTGCAATATATATCCATTTGATGAGGGGCTAATATCCAGAATCTGCAAGAAACTTAAACAAATTTACAAGAAAAAAAACAAACAACCCATTAAAAAGTGGGCAAAGAACATGAACAGACATTTCTCAAGAGAAGACATTCATGAGGCCAAGAAACATGAAAAAAAGCTCCACTTCACTGATCATTAGAGAAATGCAAATCAAAACCACAGTGAGATACCATCTCATGCCAGTCAGAATGGTGATTATTAAAAAGTCAAGAAATAACAGATGCTCGTGAGGCTGAGGAGAAAAAGGAACACTTTTACACTATGGTAGAAAAGTAAATTAGTTCAACCATTGTGGAAGACAGTGTGGCAATTCCTCAAAGACCTAGAGGCAGAAATATCATTTGACCCAGCAATCCCATTACCGGGGATATACCCAAAAGAATACTACTCATTCTATTATAAAGATACATGCACATGTATGTTGATTTCAGCACTATTCACAATAGCAAAGACATGGAATCAACCCAAATGCCCATCAATGATAAACTGGATAAAGAAAATATGGTACATATACACCATGGAATACTATGCAGCCATAAATAAGAATGAGATCATACCCTTTGCAGGAGCACGGATGGAGCTCAAAGCCATTATTCTCTGCAGACTAATGCACGAACAGAAAACCAACCACCACATGTTCTCACTTGTAAGTGGGAGCTGAAGAATGAGAAAACATGGACACAGGGAGGGGAACAACACACAATGGGGCTTGTGGAGGGGGGGGGGGGAAGAAGAGCATCAGGAAAAATAGCTAATACATGCTAAGCTTAATACCTAGGTGATGGGTTGATAAGTGCAGCAAACCACCATGGCAAACGTTTACCTATGTAACAAACCTGCATGTCATGCGCATGTATCCCAGAACTTAAAAAAAAATTAATTTTTAAAAAATATTGTAATGTGAGAACACAACACGGGAACCACTCAAAATACACCTTTCTATGCAAAATTTAGTTTGGATATATTTTAGCATTTTAAATAAGCATTTTGCAACCGAGACCAAATAACAATCATCTCTTCAGGTTTTCCACTATGTACTAACATCAGATCTATGTAGGAACAAATGTTATTCTTGTTTGTCTCCTTCATATCAAATGTCCTGAAGCCTTTGTGCTTCTCTGGAACAAGGCTAAGTTTTTGAAGGCACATTGCAGTATAAAAATCATCAATAGGTTAGAGATGGACCCAGTCAGTGATATGGTACAGCCTCAGAGCCAGGTGGCTGGACTAGAGGAATCCGCCCTCCCCCTTGCATAGGGTGAGTAGAGGACAGAGTAAACAACTTCTAGAATGTAGTATTTCAGCTTCTTATCCCCATGAGGTCCAGCATTGTGGATCACATCACCTATAAACAGATCTTTGGCTTTTTTTCTTGAATAAGCTATTCACGTAATTCAGTATGTAATGGGTGTTCACAAAAACATCATCTTTGCCCTTGAAAACAAGCTACGTGTCTGGGCAGGAAGTACTTACCCAGCGAGAAACAACACTTCTTTCAGAGACAACTTGAAGAAAGTGTCTCTATAGCTCCGCATAAAACTATCTTGGGTGCTTCTCATTCTCAAATTTCAGCATATCAGAAAAGTCCGGGTGGTTGACCTCTGGGGGTATCTGACCCAGCAAGAAAACTTACATCACCCTTTGGTTTCCCACGTTGGTTTCTCTGACCCAGGAATCCGGAATCACTTGCCTTCTGGCAAAATGCGGAGTGAGGTACTTAATCACCAGAAATAAGAAGTGCTTCTTTGCACACTTATCTGGCTGATCTAAAAGCAGTGAATCATTGCAGCATCTCAAATACATCAGAAAGTCATCACATCTGTCCAGGAAATTGTTAAAATCTGTAACCACTGACGTGAACCTCAAGTCAGGTTCACAGTAATTCAGATGGCTTATACTGAAAAACCCGTACACTTCCCCGTCTGGTTGGCCAACATACTCAGGATGGGATTGTACCACTTGTTCAGCTTTTCTTGTTCTCTGTTCCAGTGTGCCTCGAGAGGTGTAGCAATCTTCCAAAGCTTCTCTTTGGGTATTATTATTAACCCACCTTACATTTATTATTATTATTATTATTATTATTATTATTATTGGCTACTGCTTTTGGAGGCTTCCACAATCAAATAAATGAAGACATTTGCCATCATCAGGTTACCCAACAACTTTATTCTTCAACGTTCAACACTCATGTCTCATATCTTGTCCAAGACTAGTTCCAGCTCGGTGGTGCGGGGGTGGGGGCACGGGGTGGGGGTGGGAAATCGCTGCCATACCCACTTTTCCCACGCCGCTCCACACCGCTCAGCCCTGAGAAGGCCACAGCTCAGCCTCTATGGGCGGTCGGGCGGTGGGGACAGCTCTAGTTCACCTCACCTTGCCTCCAGCACTCGCCACTGCAGCCGATGTGCCTCAGTCCGGGTTCCGTCTTCAGCTCCTGGCACTGGTGCCACTGGCACCCTGGGGTACCTCGCCCGGCCCCCTTACTTTTTTTTTTTTTTTTTACTTTTTGAAATAAAGTACTGGTTAACAACCCTACTAGGTACGTTGGTACATGGAATAGACATTCTCTTCGAGAATGGTAACAACAACAATTCTTAGAAGTGATAACTTTATGCCAGGAGACACAAAAATTCCCCCAAGAAAGGTCTCAATCAATAGCCTAATCTTCCATCCTAAAAGCCTAAGAAAAGAAAAAATCCAAAGCAAGCACAAGGAAGAAAATAATAAACATTAGCATGTAAATAAATGGAACAGAGACTAAAAATAGATAAAATCAATGAAAACAAAGGTTATATTTTTGAAAAGCTCAACAAAATTTACAAACGTTTAGCTACACTGACCAAGAAAAACAGAGAGAAGATTCAGATTACTAGAATCAGAAATAAAAGGGGACATGACTACCAACATTATGAAATAAAAAGCATTGGCTGGGCGCAGTGGCTCACGCCTGTAATCCCAGCACTTTGGGAGGCCAAGGCAGGCGGATCACTAGAGGTCAAGAGTTCGAGAACAGCCCGGCCAACATAGCAAAACCCCGTCTCTACCAAAAATACAAAAATTAGCTGGGCATGGTGGCACAGACCTGTAATCCCAGTTACTTGGGAGGCTCAGGCATGAGAATGGCTTGAACCCAGAAGTAGAAGTTGTAATGAGCTGAGATTGCACTACTGCCCTTCAGTCTGGGCAACAAAGTGAGACTCTGCCAAAAAAAAAAAAAAAAAAAAAAAAAAAAAAAGAAAATACAATATGCAATTGTATACCAACAAATCAATAAATTAGATAGTTTATGTAAATGGATACATTTTCCAGAAAGACACAAACATACGAAACTGACTCAAGAAGATATTTTTTTAAAAGTCCAAATAGAAATACAGCAAATAAAGAGATCAAATTAGTAATGAAACAACTACCAAAAAAAAAAATCCCATGCCAATATTTCACTCATAATTTCTTCAAACATGTAAAAGATTACCACCAATGCTTCTCAAACTTCTCCAAAAAGGTAGAATAGGAGGAAACACTTTTCAATTCACTTTATCAGGCCAGTTTTACCCAGATACCAAGACCAGACAAACATTACACACACACAAGCTAAAGACTAATATCCTTTATGAATATAGATGCAAAAATCCTTGACAAAATATTAGTAAACCAAACCCAACAACATATAAAAATAATTATACAAGATTATACAATATAACCAAGTGAAATTTATCCCAGGAATTGAAAGTTGATAACATTTGTAGACCAATCAATATAACATACTGTTTCAGTCTGTGCTGCTATAACAAAATACCACAGGCTGGGTAATTTATAAAAAACAAAAACATATATTTTTTCGTAGTTCTGAAGGCTGCAAGGTACAAAATCAAGGTGACAGCATTTAGTATCTGATGAGGACTGCTGTCTGGTTCCAAGATGGTGCCTTGTTGCTGCATCCTTCAGAGGAAATGAATACTGTATCTTCTCATGGCAGAAGGGAGGGAAGGGACTGAAGGGCAGGAGAGTGCCTCCATCAAACTTGAGCGTTTTATAAGGCTGCTAATCTTATTCATGAGGGTGGAGTCCTCATGACTTAATCACCTCCCATAAGCCACACTTATTAATATTGCTGCATTGGGAATAAAGTTTCAACATGAATTTTGGAGGAGACACTATCTTTCAAACCAGAGTGTGCACCGTATTAATAGAATAAAAGGCAAAACCACACGATCATCTCACTAGATGGAGAAAAAGCATCTGACAAAATCCAATGCCTTTACATGAAAAAAAAAAAATTCAATGCACTAGGAATAGAAGAGGACATCCAGAACCTGTTACAAGGAATCTATGAAAGTCCCACAGCTAACATACTTAATGATTAAAGACTGGAAGCTTTTGCCCTAAGATAAAGTATAAGATAAGGCCATCAATGGATGAATGAGTAATGGAACTGTAGTATATGTACACAATGGAATACTATTCCACCATAAAAACAGGCAGGAAATCCTGCCATTTGCAACAACATAGAAGAACCTGAAAGACATTATGTTAACTGCAATAAACCAGGCAAAGAAAGACAAATATGACATGATCTTATTCATATGTGGAAACTAAAAGAGTTTATTTTATAGAACTTGAGAGTAGAATGGTGGTTACCAGAAAGGGGGATTTGGGGGAGGAGGTTGAGGTGATGTTGGTCAAAGGATTACAAATTGTATTTAGATAGGAGGAATAAGTTCAAGAGATTAATTGTGCTACATGGTAACAATAGTCAATACAGTATAACTCTCAGCATTGGAAAATGTTAAGAGAGTTAATGTTAAGTGTTCTCATCACAAAAATAACTTATGATGTAATTTGAACATTATGTTCAAGTTATCACAAAAATAACTTATGAAGTAATTATGAACATTAACTAGATTTAGTCATTCAAGAATGTATATATTGCTCAAAACATCACTTGTGCATAATAAATACATGCATTTTTTCTGTCATTTAAAAGAGAAAAAAAAGAACAAGACAAGAATGTCCACTTTTACCACTGCTACTCAACATTGTACTGAAGGTTATAGCCAAGCAATTAGATAATACAATGAAATTAAAAGTATCCAAATTGGAAAAGAAGTACAACTATCTCTGTTTACAAATGACATGATCTTATATATGGAAAATCCTAAGAAATCCATTAAAAATATAAGCTAATAGGCAAGTTCAGCAAAGATTTTGTATACAAGATGAATATAAAAATTCAAATTTATATCTATGCAGTAACAATGAGCAATCTGAAAAGAAATTAAGAAACAATTATACTTGTGATAGCATCAGAACAATAAAATACTTAGGAATGAGCTTAACAAAACCAGAACAGGATTTGTTTGCTTACAACCATAAAACATCATTGTGTGGATGATGGAACAAATATATACAACAAAGTAGGGTGGAAAAGATCACAGTGCACAAAATAATACAAATGAGATAAAGAAGTTCCTTTAGTTTCCTATATGCCTGGGTCAGTCGCCACCTAGCCCTGCTCTATTCTATTTCTCATCCTTTCAATTTTCTATACTTCCATTCATACATCCACTTTTTTCATTCATGTAACAAATGTTTCTTGAATGCCCACTATATACCAAACATTATTCTAAGCATCAGTTTTATATTGGCGAACAAAACAAAGGTCCTTACTCCTATGAAAATTACTTTCTAGTGGTAGGAGAGAGACAGAAAATGATAAGCATCATGTAAATTACACAGGTGGGAGAAAGTAATAAGTGCTAAGGAAAAAGAAGAAAAACTAAATGTGAAAGAAACTGGTAGTGTGGGGTAAGGGTCAGGTAGATGGGTTGGCGAGTTAAGACGACATTTAAATAAAGACTTCTTCAAGGAGGTGAAGAAGTTGGTCCTGGAGATATGGGTTGGGGTGGAGATGGAGAGGGCTTTCAGACAGATGCAACAACCAGTACAAAGTCCTTAATGCAGGGATACGCCTAGAATATTCAAGGAGTATCAAGGATGAAAATGTGGGTGGAGTGAAATGACTTGAAATAAAGTAAAGAGAACAAATAGTAGGACATTAAGATAGAGACATAACATAAGGGTCGTAAAGATTGTGTAGGACCTTGTACTTATTGATATGACTTTGTTATAAACCCTAAGTGAAATGCAGATCCATTGGAGAATGTTGATCAAAGGAGTAATGCAATATAACTTAACTTTTTAAAGAATAACAATTCATACTGTGTTGAGAATAGACTGTGGGTCAAGAATGAAAGCAGAGAGATAAGTTAGATACTATGACAATAACACAAATGAGAAATTGTACCTTAGATTAGAGATACAGCACTGGATATGGTGAGAAGTGGACAAATTTAAATCAGTGCTATTTGCTGATGGATTAGATGTAGGGTATGAAGGGACACTTCCAAACTCATTTTGTGAGGCCAGCACAACCATAGTACCAAACCACACAAAGATAAAACAAGATAAGAAAATTACAGATCAATAACCCTGATGAACATAGGTGCCGAAATCATCCACAAAACACTTGCAAATTAAAATCAATAGCACATTTAAATGATTATATACTATGACCAAGTGGGATTTATCCCTGGGAAGCCAGGATGGTTTAAAATTTGCAAACTAATAAATGTGATACACCACATTAACAGAATTAATAAAACGCATATTATCCTCTCAATAGTTGCAGAAAAAGTATTTGAAAAAATTCAATACCCTTTGATGATAAAAATGCTCTACAATCTATTAGTAGATATAGGCACCTCAACATAATAAAGGTCATATATGACAAGCCTACAGCTAACATCATACTCAATGTTAAAAAAAAAAAAACCTGAAAGGTTTTCCTCTAAGATCAAGAACAAGACAAGCTAGAATAGGCAAATCTACAGACAGAAAGCAGATTAATTTTTGCCTGGGGCTGGGTAGGGGGATTGTAGGAAGATGGTGAGTGACTGCTAATGAGTACGGGGATTTTGGGGGGAGTGTGATAAAAATGTAAAATTGATTGTGATGATGGTTACAGAACTCTGTGAATATATTAAAAACCACTGTATTGTACATTTTAAATGGGTGAATTTTGTGGCAATCACTTCACACATGTTAGGATAACCAGTATCCCATTATCTAAAAAGAGAGAGAGAAAGGGAGAGAGAGAGAGAGAGAGAGAGAGAGAGAGAGAGAGAGAGGTATAGGTGAAAATGTGGAGAAATTCAAACTTTTTCACACTGTTGGTGGGAAAGCAAAATGCTGCTGCCACTATACAAAACAGTATGTAGGTTCCTCAAAATATTAAAAATAGAATAATCAGATGATCCAACAATCCTACTTCTGAGTACATATCCAAAAGAACTGAAATGAAGATCTCAAACAGATATTTGCACTCCTGTGTTTATTGTAGCATTATTCACAATAGCCAAGATATGGAAAGAATCTAAATATTCATCAACAAATAAGTGAATAAAGAAAATATGGTAAAGACACACAGTGGAATACTATTCAGGCTTATAACAGAAGGAAGTTCTGCCATTTGCAACAACATAGATGAATCTGGAGGAGATTATGCTAAGAAAAATAAGCCAGTCAGAGAAGGGCATATACTGCATGGTTCCACTCATATGAGATATTTAAAATATTCAAACTCATACAAGCAGAGTAGAATGGTAGATGTCAGGAGCTTATGGGGGAGACAAAATGAGATTTTGCTCAATGAGCATAAAGTTTCTGTTATGCTGAATGAGTAAGTCCTAAAGATCTGCTGTATAACATAGCACCTATAGAAAACAATAGAGTATTGCACACTTAAAATTTTATTGAGTGTAGATCTCATATTTAGTGTTCTTACCACACTCATACACACAAAGGACACTAGAAAACTTTTGGAGGGGATGGATACATTTATTATTTTGATTGTAGTAATGGTATCATTGGTGTATGCATATGTCCAAACTCCATGAAATTATATACATTAGACACATGCAGTTTTTTTGTGTATCAACTATACTTCAATAAATCTGTTTTTAAAAAAGGAGGAATCAAAGTTGCCCTGCTATTTCTGGCCTGATAAGCTAGAAGGATGGATGTTCATAAAACTGTCTATTCTATTATTTTAATAAATCTCCCTTTTTCTAAAATAAACCTTGCTCTTCTTTGCCTATGTCACATGTTACAAGGTGGACTATTTTAAGTTCCACCAATCTGGAAAATGAACAAGGGAGTGAAGACTCTTCCGTCTAAGAATTCCTTACATTTACCTCATTCCCAACAGATTCCTCGCTTCTCTAACCTCCTGAATAGAATGGAGTTGACATCAATTAGATAATTTGAGAGACTCGCCGTATCGACTAAGCAAAGAGTTTAAACGTGTTGGAGACACGATTCCACCGAACTGAAGAGAATCACACATCTGTTTACATTGAGAAAGCCTCCTACTGCTAATGCTTCCTGAGACTTTTCCATCAGAGGACATGGACCAAGAAAAGCAGTGGAACATAAGCAGTGTCCAAAATGTGCTGTGTCCCTTAGGCATTTACCAGCCTGAGTGAAATAGAAATAGCAAAAGAAAAATGCTTCTACATTTCAGAAAACTGTATTTCATTCCAGTGTAAGGGCCAGAATATAGTCTGTTCCACTGCTTTATTTCAAAAGATCTAAATGATAAGACAGGAGTAGTTCTTTAATGTTTAATGACTATCCATGTTTCAAGTCTAAGCATAATAATGAGCTCTCTCCAAAATGCAAAATTTATGTAATCATAACTTCTTTGGAAAGAATAATTAAGAAAATTCAAGACATTATATTAGCAGCTCTTTCATAATAGGGGAAAAAGTAATATAAGGAAAAAAAGGCAGAAATTACTGAACTTTTTTTTTAAAAAAAGGACAAATGTAGAGGGTTTTCAAAGCAATGTTAACAATATTGCCCTTTATTTAACATAATGCATTGCTATTTCAAAAGGCATTCATGATTGTGCTATTATCTGAAAGAAGAAGAAACTGAGGCTCCAAGAAGTTATATGACTCTCCTGCTTAAGGTCATTCAACTAGATAGCAAACAAAAAATGACAAGAATCTAAGCCCTAAAAATTGTGCTTACAGTTTTTTGCTATTATATCAATGTTACCTTTCAATTTTACAACTAAAACGAATGAGGAAAGCAGGTAGAAGAATAGAGCTTTATTTCTCCTTAATGGTATCAGAAGGAAACTATGTAGGTTTCAAGTTATTGTATGATTATACATAATAAAATTCACTTACCTGTGGAGTAATTTATGATTGACAACCAATTCATCAATTAACGAAAACAGAGGTAATATTCTAGCAAAGGAACATGGTTTCTAGAAAAATCAATAGGTTACTGTAGCATCTTACTGGGAACAGAGGTGCAGAAATATCTATACTGCAGACACTTTGGAAAACAGTACAATGTTCACAGGCCTGAAATTGGTACGGTAGTTTCAACTATCAGAATCAA
Organism: Homo sapiens; assembly: GCF_000001405.40. Classification (NCBI taxonomy): domain Eukaryota; kingdom Metazoa; phylum Chordata; class Mammalia; order Primates; family Hominidae; genus Homo; species Homo sapiens. The sequence continues at coordinate 99,895,243 of NC_000023.11, forward strand.
TCTGATCTGATGGCTCCTGCTAGTGATTGATAGTCACTGTAACTCTTCTCACAAAGTACCAGTTTTGGGGAGATGTAAAACACAATGCCTGGCATTGATTTGGCAGGAAAGTATGCCTTTCTTTTGCTGAGCACAGCTATCTTAGGTACACTGCAGACACAAATAGCAATTGCAAAGTCATCATGATAATTTGCATGAGTGCTTATCTTTAGAGATGTTTTGAGAACATCAGTAGGTGGGAAGTGACTTCATTTACCCTACATGAGAACTAAGAGAAAGGTGGCCTTTAGGTATCTAAGATTTTCAAATATTGTGTAGATATAAGACACAGATACCAAATAAATATTTGGATTTGGGGATTTAAATAAGTTCATGGAAAAAGGGAATTAAAAGGTAAAAGTAGAAACTATAAATTATATTTTTCAACATAAGGTTCATGAAGTTCTAGATACTTTTGTAAGTGATAACACCAGCCATTTAGTTCATCTCTAAAAGCTGAGGGTCCTGGGAATCTAACCATGTTAATGTGATCTTATTTACATTATTAACTGAAGAAATATGGGTGCCTTTTACAGACTTTTTTAATATTAGGAAACAAATGAAGTCAGAAGAAGACAAATTATGACTTTAAGGTGGATGCTTAATGACTTCCCATCAAAACTCTACCAAAATTGCCATTGTTGGATGAGAGAAATGAGCAGGAGCATTGTACTGGTGGAGAAGGACTCTCTGGTGAAGCTTTCCTGAGCATTTTTCTGCTAAAGCTTTGAATAACTTTCTCAAAACACTCTCATAATAAGCAGATGTTATTATTTGACCAGCCACAAAGTCAACAAGCAAAATGCTTTGACCATACCCAAAAACTGTTGCTACAACCTTTGCTCTTCACGGTCCACTTTTGATTTGAGTGAATCACTTCCACCTCTTGGTAGCCATTGCTTTAATTAGGCTTCATTGTCAGGATCATACTGGTAAAGCCATGTTTCATCTCTTGTTATAATTCTTTGAAGAAATGTTTCAGGATTTTGATTTTACTTGTTTAAAATTTCTATTTAAAGCTCTGCCTTTTTTTTTTTTTTTTTTTTTTTTTTTGAGACAGAGTCTTGCTCTGTCGCCCAGGCTGGAGTGCAGTGGCGGGATCTCGGCTCACTGCAAGCTCTGCCTCCCAGGTTCACGCCATTCTCCTGCCTCAGCCTCCCAAGTAGCTGGGACTACAGGCACCTGGCACCAAGCCCGGCTAACTTTTTTTTTTTTTGTATTTTCAGTACAGACGGGGTTTCACTGTGTTAGCCAGGATGGTCTCGATCTCCTGACCTCGTGATCCGCCCGCCTCAGCCTCCCAAAGTGCTGGGATTACAGGCGTGAGCCACCGCGCCCGGCTGAAGCCCTGCTCTTCTCCTCAGCTATGCTGGGTGCAACAATTTTGGCACCCATCAAGTGGAAGGTTTGCTCAACTTTAATTTTTCACTCAGAATTGTGTGAGCTGAATCATGTGAGATGTCTGTGGTACTGGCTATTGTTTCTGCTATTAATTTTTGATTCTCTTCAATTAGGGCATGAGCAAGATGAGTGTTTTCCTCACAAAATTTGTAAAGTTGGATGGCAAATTTATGTGGATGGTCTGCTGCTGCAGGCTTCATGTTCAACATTACATTGTCCCTTCCTAATATGAGTTATCTATTTGTAAACTGCTGATTTCTTTGGGGGATTGTCTCCATAAACTTTTCATAAAGCATCAATAATTTTACCATTCTTCCACCCAAGTTTCACCATAAATTTCATGTTTGTTCTTGCTTCAATTTTAGTAGAGTTCATGTTACTCTAATACGGTCTCTTTTCAAATTGCATTATCCTTCTTAATGCCTCAAACTAGGTACTATTCAAAAATATTCTAACTAGTTAGTACAAGTTAGTTTTGGTGCATAAATATTTTAAAATCCAAGCATAGTTTTTTCTATAATATGCATTTTCCATGAAGTTTTTGAAGATCCCTTATATTACAGTAGACTTCTTCCACTGCATTAGTTTCACAGGCTCTCCTTTATAAGAAAACAATACAACTGATTCTATCAGTAAAGCAGATTTTTTTTTTCAATTAAAAGAGAGACAGTTCCCTGATTCATCCACATTGCCTCCCAGATCCCCCTAAAAATTATAATACATATTTTTTAAGGAGTTGGCTGAGATTACAGGTATAGTCTCTGGCCAGGGAACAAAATAGGGCTAATTGCACTGTGAAGGGAGCAAACACTTGGCATCAGCTTTATTAATGATGTATCAATAGGGCTATGTGTCCACACTTAAAGCATAAGTTCAAACATACCAAGGATGTCATTCAACTACAAGGAGAATAGATTCCTGCCAGCTGTTGATACTTTCTCTTTCAAATGTCTAAAAAAAATTTTTTTTGATGACTTTTTGCTAAACTCTTTGTGATACCTCCTCCAAAAAGAAAATGATGCCAAATGGAAGTAAGACTCTAATTTGACAAATGGTAGGACTTTCTGGTCTTTTAAGAAAATAAGGAAGACCTTTGAGAGTTTAGAATCTTAGAAAAGTTTATGGAAAAATATTGTGAATTCCCTTCCTATTCTGAGATAATGTGAGCATGTCTTGGTTTAAGGCAATGTTTTCGACAAAATTTCCTTTCAAGATCCATTCTAGTACTATAAATCCATCGTTCTACTTGATATAATATCAATATTCTACATAATGGGGTTATGGTTTTGACTCTACAAACTCTCGTCAAAGTGACAACAAGAATAGCTTTTGAAAAATGAAACATTTTTAATGCAGAACATTTGATTTGGACAAAGTAAATTATATCTATTTCCATATTAGCCAGTCTGCTTCACATGCAGAAAAATTCTATTCCTTGGCCACTGGCAATTACTAGAAAAGAAGTCACTTGAAGAAATCAAGAAGGTCACAAAGCTATAAGAAATCTAAGAAAATGTACTTCTAGGTCAGAGTAAGCCTTGGGGTTTACTGCTCCAGACAGGTAGCTAGGTGTAGAAACGTCAGGTTCTACATACATGAGCAAAAGTAAGACTGTCAGATGGCATTAGAATTAAGTGAAAATAAAGAAACAGAGTTTTACCCTTTTCATGAAAGAAAAAACCATCCATCTTGTTTTTTAAATGGTATTACCATTGAAAGCATTTGAAATCCCATCTAATTTAAGCCTCAAATGAAACTGAGACGTTTGCCTTTTGTCAAGTTCAGAAATGCATTGTCTTCTCAAAGGCGCAATAAGAAGGAGACAGCGTAGAATCTCTTTCTCTTTTAAAACTATGTAAATTGAGAATAAACAATTTTTTAAAATGATGGTGCTGCTTTTGGGCTGTGAATAATTTTCTTACAACTGCTGAGCCATCTGTTAAACAGAGAGGTCTTGCTTGTTCAAAAAGATAAACGTAGTTTTTCAAAATTTCAATAGACAGGTTTTGTTTGAACCCTCCAAGCAACAAATACTCCAATAAATAAAAGTCCATGGTATTCATGGGCCGATTAAGTAGAAAGGAAAATAAGCTATCTTTTGAAAATTATATTAAACACTGCTTTCCATACAGAAACGACAACACAATCACACCTCTGAGGTCTTTCAGCTGAACCATCTATGGCCAAGTAAGAGAATGTTATGTTTTGGTGTTCCTCTTGACCTTGAAAAACTAGTCCTTAAGTGAAGGAACCCGGGGGGACTATACAATCAATGGCGTAATTCCTAGATACACAGCCTTCTGACTATCAAATTCTTTATGTAGCAATCCCAATTTCAACACAACAAACTACCCTCTTGTTACTAGCTCAATGTGTACTAAAATAAGACTATTTTCATTTAGTTTTAGTGCATTACTTTTGACTCTCCAGCTTTTGTCACTTGCAGGGTTATCCATTGCTGTAGAAATAGTGCATAACTATGGCACAGTTACATTCAAAACTATAAGATGTTTAGTGTCTTAGTTCTATGCATTATTACATTGTTCATTACAAAATAAAATATAATTCTAGTTGAGTCAGTAGTATCTGTTGAGCAGCTGCAATTTCCTCGCTAACCACATGCTCTACTCTTAAATAAAATGACATATACTCTACTTAATTCAGAGCCCAACTTTTATAGTCCTTTGAGTTTCAAATTAATGAGATTTAACTATATTTATCTATTATCAGCCAATATGGCGGTTAGCACTATGTTAAAAAGAAGACAATCCTATAATCAAGCTGTCCATCTAAAGAAGAGCAAATTTGTTGTATATTAGCAAGAAAATATATCAGCTGCCTTCATTAGATTAGAGACAGAAATGGTCAGGGCTAAAAACAATACAAGGAAGTGAAATGCATTCCCGCAAAAATACATACTTTTCCAACAACAATTATATTTTCTATCTTGATCATTGTGCTCTCCTATGCTTCTCAAACTTAGAATGAATCAAGTTAAGGACACAGAGAGTATCAGAAGGAGAGCATCAGAAATCCAGGGTCTGGTGAAGGGAAGGAGAGATAGAGGAGAACAAAATCACTTGGTGACCATCCAGCAGGCCCGAGACAAAAACTCCTTGTCTGAGAAATTTAGAAGTAATTAGACTTACCTATTATCTAAAGACACCTAGTTTCAGGCCTGTTTTCAACTTAAAATTTATGAGTAACTAGAATTTATACACATCTCCAGAATGCATGCATGCCGGAAACGCACTGTGCAACCCTTGCCAATATTAAGGCACCAAAATGTCTACAAATATAATCATTTATCTTGCAAATTACCCTCCAGGTCCTGCTTAAAGGTCCATAAATACCCCCAGGGAAAAATCCAGGGTGGTGCTCTCAGTCCCCTTGCTGAGGCACCCCACTGCACTCCTGCAGTGTTCTATCTCTTTAATAAAACTTTCCTTTTTCAAACCTATACTGTTATTAAGTTCTTCTTACCAATCCACAAGTCAATTACTTCCCTATGCTGGGACTCTGACACCACACCCAGCAGTATAAAGTCATAGAAGGCAACTAGGACAATTTCCAATGAAGCGTTTTTAGAGAAAAGTAATAGGCTTTTGTTGGCTCATTGAAATATGACATTTTTTAAGTTCTTAGGCTAACAAGCATTTGAGAGTACAACTAAGAATTTGTTAGCAGAGGGGACACAATTATGATTCCCATGTTTCTTAATCAATGAATAACATGGCGGCATGAGATAGAGAACTACTGAAGGGCATATTTTTTAGATAGAGTCTCGCTCTGTCACCCAGGCTGGAGTGCAGTGGCACAATCTCTGTTCACTGCAACCTCCACCTCCTGATTCTTCTGCCTCATCCTCCTGAGTAGCTGGGATTACAGGCATGTGCCATCACTCACAGCTAATTTTTTGTATTTTTGGTAGAGACAGGGTTTTACCATGTTAGGCAGGCTGGTCTCGAACTCCTGACCTCAAGTGATCTGCCCGCCTCAGCCTCCCAAAGTGCTGGGGTTACAAGCATGAGCCCCCTCGCCTGGCCAAAATTTTTTTTTGTTCCATCTTGTTTTCATTTCGGAATGCCTGCCACCAACTTGGTGACTTGAGTCACAGTAGGTGCTCAGAAAATGGTTGTTGAATGAATAGATTAAAGGCATAGAAAAGAAAATCAATGACGATGGTAAGAGATGGGAAAAATAGGAAAGAAAGAAAGACAGAAACCCCAGTTTAGTTTGGCCTATCAAAGAAAAATGAAATAAGCCACGTGGACCTTCACACCTCCTGAACAGTGTCACAGTATTTTTATCATCATCCTGTAACCACCCAATAGGTTCACCTTGCCTGCTGCCTAGACAGAGCCCATTTATCAAGACAGGGGAATTGCCATAGAGAAAGAGTAATTCTAGTGGAGGTGGCTGGGGGGGTAAAATGGACTCTGTGAGGGTCCTTTCCTTTGGTTGCTTAATGCACTATTTTTGTGCTGGTTGGCCTCCTGCCAGGAGGTGGTGCTTTCAAGAAAGCATCAGCTGTGGTCGTGTGAAGAGGAACAGGCGGTAGGCAGGGACTCCCAAGAATGTATGCACTTTGTCTTCAGTTACCAGAGTGGGTAGGGAATGACCATTAGGTGGGGGCAGGGCTAGGCGTGTCTGGGCTCAGACTCTCCTTTGGCGGGTCTTGCTGCAGCTGCTGAGGGGGATGGGGTGTGGTTTCCAGGTCAATAGAGCTATGTTCCTAGGAGGATTATGGCTGCCTCCACTGTGCCATGCAAGTTGTCAGAGAAGTGGGGGAAAGGCATCAATCACAGGCCTCACCCAGCTCCCACACAACCCAAAGGGCCGGTCTCACTCCCACCGTGCCCCCCACCCCCCAGGCCCTGCAACAGCCCGAGTCTGTTTCCAGGCAGTGGGCAAGCAGGGCTGAGAACTTGCCCCACGCTACCCAACTTCCAGCTGCAAAAGCAAGAAGGGCTTTCATTCTTTCCCAACCTGTAGGGTCTGCACACCAGGTTCATGCCCTCCCCCAAGCTCTGGACAGGAGACTTCTCAATCACTTCAAATTGTTACAAAGCTCAGCTGGAAGTTTCCTTCTCCCTGTGGCTTTTTCCCAGTGCCTCAGGCCTCCTACCTCCCCAAGGACCCCTGTGAGGCAGGGCAGAAATGGCTTGCTAGGGGCCCCAGTGAGCCCACAGGGCTTTTCCCGCTGCTTCCTCTACCCCTGTGTTTCACTTGGCTCTCTCAATTGACTCCGATCCAGGTAAGGTCAGAATCTTCTCCTGTAATCTAGACCCTCGGGTTCCCTAGTGGGGGTGTGTGATCTGAGGTGGACAATCCCTCTTTCCCACTTCCATGGTTTGGACACTCACAATACTTGGGGTGTCTCCCAAGTCCTACAGGAGCAATCCACTTCCTTCAGAGGGTCTGTGGGTTCTCTTGGCTGTCCTAATGTATTCCTGCAGTTTTTCTGAAGCAAAAGTTCACAATGCAAGCCTCAACATGCTGCTCTGTCCATCTGAGTGGGAGCTATAATCTAGTGCTGCCTTCCATCTGCCATGATCCTCTGTCGTTGTTTGCTGACGATATGACTGTTTACCTAGAAAGCCACAAAGACTCCTCCAGGAAGCTCCTAGAACTGATAAAATAATTCAGCAAAATTGCCGAATACAAAATTAATGTACACAAATCAGTAGCTCTTCTATACAACAGCGACCAAGCAGAGAATCAAATCAAGAACTCAACCCCTTTTACAATAGCTGAAAAAAAAAGATACTTGGGACTATTAGGAATATACCTAACCAAGGAGGTGAAAGACCTCTACAAGGAAAACTACAAAACACTGCTGAAAGAAATCAGATGACACAAACAAATGGAAACACATCCCAAGCTCATGTATAGGTAGAATCAATATTGTGAAAATGACCATACTGCCAAAAGCAATCTACAAATTCAACCAGTTTTCATCAAAATATCATCATCATTCTTCACAGAATTAGAAAAAAACAATCCTAAAATTTATATGGAACCAAAGAAGAGCCAACATAGCCAAAGCAAGACTAAACAAAAAGAACAAATCTGGGGGCATCACATTACCTGATTTCAAAGTATACTATAAGGCCATAGTCGCCAAAACAGCATGATACTGGTATAAAAATAGGCACCTAGACCAATGGAACAGAATAGAGAACTGAGAAATTAACCCAAATACTTATAGCCAACAGATGTTTGACAAAGCAAACACAAATATAAAGTGGGAAAAGGACACCCTATTCAACAAATGGCACTGGGATAATTGGCTAGCCACATGTAGGAGAGCGAAACTGGATCCTCATCTCTCACCTTATACAAAAATCAACTCAAAATAGATTAAGGACTTTAAGACATGAAACTATAAAAATTCTAGAAGATAACTTTGGAAAAACCTTTCTAGACATTGGCTTAGGCAATGACTTAATGACCAAGAACCCAAAAGCAAATGCAATAAAAACAAAGATAAATAGCTGGGACTTAATTAAACTAAAGAGCTTTTGCACAGCAAAAGGAACAGTCAGCAGAGTAAACAGACAACCCACAGAGTGGGAGAAAATCTTCACAATTTATACATCTGACAAAGGACTAATATCCAGAATCTACAACGAACTCAAACAAATTAGCAAGAAAAAACAAACAATCCCATCTAAAAGTGGGCTAAGGACATGAATAAACAATTCTCAAAAGAAGATACACAAATGACCAATAAGCATATGGAAAAATGCTCAATATCACTAATGATCAGGGAAATGCAAATCAAAACGACAATGTGATACCACCTTACTCCTGCAAGAATGGCCATAATCAAAAAGTAAAAAAATAAAAGATTTTGGTGTGGATGTGGTGAAAGGGGAACATTTCTACACTGCTGGGGAGAATGTAAACTAGTACAACCACTATGGAAAACAGTGTGCAGATTCCTTAAAGAACTAAAAGTAGAACTACCATTTGATCCACCAATCCCACCACTGGGTATCTACCCAGAGGAAAAGAAGTCATCATACAAAAAAGACACTTGCACACACATGTTTGTAGCAGCACAATTCACAAATCCAAAAACGTAGAACCAACCTAAATGCCCATCAATCAACAAGTGGATAAAGAAACTGTGGTATGTGTGTGTGCATATATATATATATATATATATATATATATACACATATATACATACACACACACACACACACATATATACACACACACACACACACATATATATATATATATATACACACACATATACATATATATATATACACACACATATATATATATGATGGAATATGGCTCAGCCATAAAACAGGATGAATTACTGGCATTTGCAGTGACCTGGATGAGATTGGAGACTATTATTCTAATGACTTCATTCTAAATGAAGTCACTCAGGAATGGAAATCCAAACATCGTATTTTTGCATTCATAAGTGGGAGTTAAGCCACGAGGATGCAAAGGCATAAGAATGACACAGTGGACTTTGGGGACTCAGGAGGAAAGGGTGAGAAGGGGGTGAGGGATAAAAGACCACAAATTGGGTGCAGTGTATACTGCTTGGGTGAAGGGCTCACCAAAATCTCACAAATCACCACTAAAGATCTTACTCATGTAACCAAACACCACCTGTTCCCTAATAACCTACAGAAATAAATTTTTAAAAATTTCATTAAGAAAAGGAGAAAGAGTAATTCACTCAGAGCCAGCTGTGGGGGAGACTGGCGTTTTACTATTACTCAAATCTGTCTCCCTGAGCATTCAGGGATCAGAGTTTTTAAGGACAACTTGGTGGGTCAGGGGAAGCCAGTGAGCTGGGAGTGCTGATTGTTTAGGTCAGAGATGAGAGTCGAAGCTGTCTTCTTATGCTGAGTCAGTGCCTGGGTGGGGGCCACAAGACCAGATGAGCCAGTTTATTGATCTTTGTGGTGCCAGCTGATTCATCAAGTGCAGGGTCTGCAAAATATCTCAAGCACTGATCTTAGGAGCAGTTTAGGAAGGGTCAGAATCTTGTAGCCTCTACCTGTATGACTCCTAAACCATAATTTCTAATCTTGTGGCTAATTTGTTAGTCCTACAGAGGCTGTCTAGTCCCCAGGCAAGAAGGATGTTTGGGGAAAGGGCTGTTATCGTCTTTGTTTTAAAGTATAAACTAAGTTCCTCCCAAAGTTAGTTCGGCCTACACCCAGGAATGAACAAGGACAGCTTGGAGGTTAGAAGCAAGATGGAGTCGGTTAGGTCGGATCTCTTTCACTGTCTCAGTTACAAATGTGCAATGGTGGTTTCAGTCCCCAAATGATTTTTAACTGAAAAGTAAATCATTTTTCCTTCCCTCAATGTGTATAAACAGTACTCAAGGGATATTCTAATTCCTTCATAAAATATTAGTTTTTATCAATTATAATAAATGTCTGTTGTTTAGAATTTACTCCCAATAATCCATTAAAATTTCTAATCTTCCCTATGTGTTAGTCTTAAAGATTAAATTCAGTGACAGAATGATAAGGAATCTGCATTTCCAATTTAACTTTTTCAATTGAAATTGGGATTCAGACTTTTGGTAAAAAGCAAAGCTCACTGACCACTGTCACCATTCTGACAGGCAGTAGCTATCTTCCATGAACCAATGTCTCAACTAGCCTGACATATTCTCTGTAAAAAGCCCATTATACCTTCAGTAAATAGTTTATAAATTGGAAAACATAAATCTTCAATCAGTGAATCTGGCTCAAGCCTTCCTAGAACCAAAAGAAAAATAAAATGTGAATGTGTCTATGTGCTTACATTTTGAATTAAATACACCTCCCTTTAAATTATCCCTATTGAAGTAATAGCTAGCCAATTTTTCTACATATACTAAGTGTGTTTATGATTATTTTCCTTAAGAATATATAAAAAGTATCAGGTAAGAGAAACCTGCAAACATTACAGATATATAAGGAAGCATAATCTGTGAATTTGTTCCTAACCATATTTTCATCAAAGCATTTGACCACAGCAAGACATCAAGCTTTGCCTTATGTCAATAGTTTTTAAAACCAGTAATCTAAAACAAACAAAAAAGTTGCAGAAGAAGGAAAGTATTAAATAAGGAAACTGAGAGGAGATGTTCAATGGCCTCAAAGCATAATAATTAAGAACACACCTTGAATAAAACAGTCCTGAGCCAGAATATCAAATATGACATTGACTAGGTTTAAAATTAAAACAAGGTGTCTACTTATATGTCCTTTCTATCTCCATTAGTGAGCTGGGGACAGTGATGTCTACTTTGCAATTTAAGATATATATGTATATAGAAAGGAGCAGATAGAGATGTATAGATACATATCACAAAATGATTGGCACCCAGTGGATGTTCAATTAATAGTAGTTATTACTACTACTACTACTATGACTACTACTACTGCTATTGTTATTACCACAGCCTGTTTGTTATACCTGGTAGAGAATAAGTAACATAGAAAGCAAATGGTATGTCCAAAAGGAGCAGTTAATAAATTTGAATCTATGCACATTCAATCCTTGTGTTTAACCACTTGATTTATTTCTCTAATTTAACTGATTACATTTTAATATCTTATGCTGGTATACCCCTTTATAATTTTCACAGGGCTTTCAAAAACTCCTGTCTTATTCTGTTTGTATTTCTATCAAGGAACACCCAAGGCTGGGTAATTTGTAAAGAAAATACATTTATTTGGCTCACAGTTCTGCGGGCTGCATAAGAAGCATGGCACCAGCATCTGCATCTATTGAGGGCCTCAGACTGCTTTTCCTCTTAGCAGAAGTCGAAGGGGAGCAGGCAAAGGAAAGACGCCATGTGGAGAGTTCATAGGGTGAGAGAGGAAATGAGAGAGAGGAAAGAGAAGGATCAAGACCTTTTTAACAACCAGCTCTCATGGGAACTAAGAGTGATAACTGAAGGAGGGCACCAAGTCATTCATTAGGGGTCTGCCCCCATGACCCGAATATTTCCCATTAGGCCCCACCTCTAACAGTGGCGATCAAATTTCAACATGAGGTTTGGAGGGGTTAAATATCCAAATCATAGTGCACCAATTGCTATTTGAATTATTTTCAACAATTTTTTGGTCTATTTTATCACACTGACCAAATATTATTCTGAGGCAGCTGCAGTATTATACGTAGCATTCTCAAATTATGAAATAACAGAGATGGAAAATTATTTAGGTTGGTGGCTCATTTGACATCAAAAGAAAGCGAGGCCTAAGAAGGTTGAAATCGCTTGCACAAAGCTACTTAGAAATAAATGAAATTCTAAAACTTTTGCAATAAATAAAACAATTAACAAAAGATATCATAAGGAAATATTCAAAGTTCAACCAGTACAGCAACCATTCTAAATGATATTTAATACAAAAACAAATTCAAAACAACAAAAAAAAATGTGGGCAGTTTCTCAGCACATGCTTGCTATGCAATGTGGACCTGAGACTAAGTATGTCAATATCCATAGCACAAGCACCGCATCACCCCAGAACACAGATGAGTACATTCTGTGTCAATCCCACATATGTTTCCAGAGCCACATTTTGAGCTATGTTTAAAGTCATTGATGATCTTTAAATTGTGCACACTGCATTACAGGATGTAGAGAGATGTTTCATAAACATCTGACTTATTTTGACTTTCGATATTGATGTAATTACATTTTGAGGAGAGTTTCTTATTCCTATAGTATAGAAATGCCAACCAATAATTCTCTTTTGGGGCATGACTTTATAATAGAGCACTCTTCAATTTTTTTTAGTTGTCTGATCCTTCCAGTGATACAAAATATTCATGACATGTTTACCTCATTCTCTTTGGTTTAACCCCGGGAAAAAAAATCACCAGAATTGATACAAAGCTATCATTCTTTTCAAATTCAGTTTTTAAAATTGTAAGTAAAATATTATTCACAACAGAAACCAATGTAGATAACATTACCACATTATATATATAAACATTTAGGTGATTAATTCATAGACTACCTAAATACTCTTAAATATTAAAATTTACATAGTAGAATATTTACAGTTTTCACTTCACACCAAGCACTAGGTTTAGCATTGTAATATTGTTATCATGATTAATCCTAATGATCACTCTCTTAGACAAGTGTTTTTTTTTAAATTATATCTTGACATTTTACAAATAAACAAACTGAAAGTTTAAGTAATTTGATCATAGTCACATAATAGGAATGTGAACCAAGTTTGGACTGACTCTAAATTTTATTCTCTTTTCACTATGGTATGCTTCCCCTCTAAAAAACACATTCAAATATTGTTTATAAAAATTTAAGAAAAGCAAATGCTTCTCAGGATTGCCCCAGATCCGATATCAAATAAAAGTAAAATTTTGCTGTGGTACACACTCTCATTATGGCCAGAACACTCCTCCATCCTGTTCTCTCTGTAGATGCCACAGAATATTTGGTGGTTGTATACATATCAGAGGCAGCAGTCACAGGAGGGACACTGGAGATTGTCCATCCCTGGCAAGGATGAACAATAAAATACCAGCAAAAGGAAAAGTCACTTGCATTGCATAGCAGTTCTACCCTTCTCTTATATAGCCTTTCCTTTACCACTCCCATACATTGTGTTTTTACTTTATTTCTTTTCTCTTCCTCATTTGCCTGCTCAGACACATCACATTTACCAGTGAACTCCCTCCAAATAAAAGTAGAGAGTATTGAGATAAATACATAAAACCATAGTAAAATATGAATAACATTCTCTACTCTCATTTTATCCTGATATTTTACTATCCAATAGTGACTGGTATATGTGTTTCTGATTCAGTTCCTAATATACATGAAATCCCAATTTGCATGAAGAAAAATATCTTTCGAATAATCTCAGCAAATGTTCTGCAAGCTCCTAGTAGGGTACCAGGTACACAGTGGTTCCTCAATAAATATATATTCATAAAGACAGTGATGATGCATATAATAATTTTGATGGACTTGTTACATTTCAAGGCAGCTGTAGTTCATGACACTAGAGTACCATTTAAGTTATCTCAGTGACTACTAATCAGTGTCTCCTATTAAAAGCATATTGTTTATTAAGATAAAGTTAATGTAAGAAACTTTAAAGTGCTACTTTGCACATTTAGATTTTCTTGGTGTTTAAAACTCTACTTTAGCTTTACCTCTAAGGAGTCTAAAATGTGAGATGACAGCTGGCACAGGATTTCAGAGAAAACAGATCAAATAAAATGAGAATGTTCCCAGCATGTTGGACTTTTCACCAAAATTAATGTCAACAATCAGCCAAAATTGTGAAATATATCAGAACACACATCTGATGATTCACAGGGAAATTAGCACCACTCAAGATTTCCTTGAGCAACAATTCCTGTTACCCAGCCTCAAACAGTACACACCAGTGTGTACTCTGACACTCTGGGAAATCACTAATGGCATCTAGGACCTCTCCAGCATCATATATTAGGGCAAAGGCAGGCCCCAATGAGCTAGCCTCCAAGAATATACCTGGGTTGCTTGTTCATAACATTCTCCACTTCCAACATATATTTAAGGGTTTCTTAAGTTCCCCACTTAAGTAATTTTGGAATTTACTCTTAAAGAAAAACATTTAACAATAATTTAAACCAATGTGCTTTTAGATTATATGATCTGTCCAGGAAGTGAAAAAATCATTATTGGCAACAGTTTTTGGCTGGGTTTAAGAAAGGAATACGTTGACATTTGCACATATATCAATGCATAATATTAAATTGTTATGATTCAAATTCACTGATCAGGAAAGGCTATGAGTAAAAAGAACTTCTGGTGAGTCAATGTCAGCTCTCTTTTGTCTGGTATTCTGGAGAATGGGAGTTCACTAACAATATAAAACTTCTCCAAGCTAAAGAGCTCTTTCATGACTCTCAAAAGTAAGCTGGGATTCTTTCAAGATCAAACATTCTCCTAAAATCTTCACAACTTCGTGAACTTAAAAATGGCATGAAAAAAATTTTTATTTCCAGTCTTTTTACAACCCTGAAATTCCAGAAAAATGTTAAATATGATATTAAACATTCATAAAATATGTAAAGATATTCTATTGTTGAGGTTGAGATTAAAAAAGAAATGGAAATAGTTCTCTTATCACTAGCAAATAAACAGCACTGCTATAATGCAATTAACACAGGCATTAAAATATTTGCTATTTTAATAGGTAAAAAGCAATATGCTAGTTAAATGAATTTAGACACTCATGCATAGTATTAAGTGATGCTTTTATAATATTTGCAAAACCTTAAATTGGAGCATTTTTTCTCTAAAATGTAGATGCCCTTGCATTATAGCTTTTCACAGAAACCTTGTTATTTATGAGCATCTGGTTACCTTCTCCCATCTCTATAGTCTGCCTGGACTTGGCATAATTGTGATACGAACATAGATGGCAGATGCCTTGACTTTTGATGTAGTTAATCATGACTGGAGGCATTCCAAGACATTGTTCCTGAAGAAATGTGGCAGTGTGTGGGCTCTTGTGTAATGGTAAACAAAGCAATGAAGTTCCTGCACAGTTTCTCTGCTTATTAAAGATTTTGGGGTATATTTCCTCTGTCTTTAATTGCTATTAAGTAGACCTCTTTTGACAATATTGAGAGAAAGAAAAAGCTGTCTTCTGCATACTATGTTTAATGCTGCTCAATAATTAATCATAGAAAATCAATTGCCTGTATTTTATACCTGATTGTAGAAATTTGGTGGAATTCTTTTGCATGTGAAATGTTGATAAATCATCAACTCAACAAGTATCTGTTCTCGTTTCTGACAGTGAGAAAAACCTTACAAATTAGAAAATAGAGGAAAATATGGTGAGTGTGCTTCCCAAAATTAAAACAAGAAAAGCAATCAACTTCAGAGTATTCTTGTTTATGTAAAATCTCATTTTCTTTCAACAATTTTACTTAACCAGTTAAAATATTTATTCTTTCTCCCAATGCAATCATTCTCTCCACTAATTGGCAGAACACAGTACCATCAATGCAGCCAAAAACAGAGGTTTTACTCTGACTTTCAGGCTTTTCTGTGGAAGTTAGCAACATTCAATGTCAAATTGATAATAGAATAGAAGAGAATGGAAGATTATAACACCAAAGCCAGAGACAATATTCTTGGTAGAATGAATTCAAAAAGCAAATGTGTACTAAACAAAGTGGAGACATTCCTCCTAAATCATTGGTGTTGATAGGCATTATTTCAAGCTTAGCCTTTTCATACAGCAATCATCCTGCAAGTTGCCTTTTAGAGCATTCCTTATCTCATACAAAGCTGTGTGAATTCAAAGACTGAAACAAACAAACAAAAATGGTCCAGAAAAACTAATGTAAAATAGAAGATCAGCATGCAGAGATACCACTTCAGTGTGGAAGCATCTTAAAAAGAAGTGTCAGTAGCCCAGAAATGAATAACAAATATTGCTCAGTGAATCTGGCCATTAAACCAGGAGTTGTCAAGTTCAAGAAGTTTCACATTTTTCAAAAATTGTAGCAATTTGCCCTAATATTAAACTGCTAATTGATTTGGAAATTTTTTCTTCCAGGTTGCATCTCTCTTTCCATGTGATGTACAGCTCTTTGTGTTTCCTTTTTTCATTTTTAATAAATGCTCTGATACAAAAACAATACAAAAAACATATTGTTTCCATTGATCTTTGCTGCACCAGCCTAATATTTCTTTCTGTTCTTTAAATATTGAGTGTTTTTAGAGCTCTCCTCCTACTTGTCACTTTGCTTCCTCCTAGAAGCAACTCATTTCTCTGTCATCTTCTCCAGTTGCTTGTTCAACATTTGCTAACATTTTCCTCTTTGAAAGATATAGCCACCTTCAGGATTCAAATTAAAGGCAGCATCACGTAAAGAATAGCCAATCTTGAAGGCTATGACCTACACATTTTTGCCTGGTAAATTCTGGAGTATAAATTCATATATCTACAAATGCATTTAGTAATTTATATAGTCTTATCTTCTGAAATATAACTTTATACATTGCTTGGAATTTAGGGTAGAGTTTGTATGGCATGCCTAGCAGGGCAATAGATGACACAACTTCACTACAGACAACAATATTGCACAGGATAGGTGGTCTCTTTTCACTTCACAAACTAATTAATTCACAAACCTTCTAATTGTCTTTCAAGAAACAAATGGTTATAAAACAATGTCTTTTGCTTAATTTTCTCATAATAAAATATATTATCTAATTAGAAACTTTTTTGCTATATCTATTTTCTTGAAATTTGTACTTCCTTCACATTGTGCACTTGCAAGAAAGTGAAACAATAAAGCAATTAGGTGGGGAAGAACTATGAATTCTAATATTGCTATATTATTATGTATTCCATAGCTCTTTATTCACTAGCTTCCCTGGAATCTGGCTAAGAACTAAGAACTAATGCTATCCCACTTTTGAGAGGAAGTGGAACACAAGTTTCATTCCCTCTGACCTGGCCTACTCAGTAAACTATACCCCTGCAGTGGGAATTAGAATGTATTCCCCATCCTGCCTGCCACTACACACACATATATCAAGCATGAGTAGCTCTTTTTCTCCCCTCCATGACACTAAACTTATATTTAACTAGGTCTGCCACACATTGAGAGAAAGATTGTTTGGTTTTGAAGTTGGACTTGCCTTTACCAAATATGTCAGTAGTTCATCTCTGTTTCTGAAATTGGATTTGCATAACTCCCCCTCTGTTACCATTAAATTAAACTGCTAAGACATAACACATATTGAATTCTGTTCAGAGACATTCTGTCATTACTAAAAGTGTGATCCTCTCTTTAAAAGGTAAAAGAAATCATATGCGTGAGTGTGTACACGCGAACAAAACGTGTGTGGGAGTAAAATGTGAACTGCAGAGGTTGCCTGCCAGCAGCCCATTAATTGAAGCTTCCCTTGTTTTTCCAAATTCGAAATAATTCCCATCTGCCTTGGCTTACTCTGAGCATGAAATCCAAGTCCCTTAGCAGGAGATCGGGGGAGCTACAGACTAGATCACTGAGGCAGTTTATGAATGTTAGTTTTGCCCCATGGGGAATATGAAACAGAGGTTTCAAAGTACTCTGCAATGCTTGCTTGTCCCTGAAACAACATGCAATTGCAGATAAGATGATAATCTGCTGCACTGATTACCAACTACACATTTGCACAAGTGGGTTGGTTATGTGCAAATATTTTCTTTCAGAAACAGTGCAGGTGCCCTGTAGCCTTTTGCTACCCTGACTAAAAGTATCATTAAGTTCTGTGCCGCTGTTATGATTTAATTCCTGTACATAGCAGTCTGTCACCTCCATTCATATAGAGTTCCTCAATTTTATATTCCCAGGGCTATCTTATAAAATTGCACCACCCCTCCCTTCAGCCACCCATTTGCTTTTCCTTGATAGAAAGATGGGATCTCACTCCTGAGTCAGCGGCTTTTTAAATTATTATTTACCCCACTGCACATTCAGGCTTTCCGTAATAATAGCTCTTCAATTGCTGTACACAGAGTAAATCCGTACTTTCTGCTCATTTCTTTTTGGGGCCCTATCTCCATTTATAACTTTTCTAAACTTAATACAAACAGATAATGATGTACCATCATTTTATTGCTCATGACAGGTGAGTTTTTAGGACCTCTGGTCTTTCAACTTTCTCTTTTCATCAGCATACTCTATATAATACCTCTTCCATCCAAATTTTTTTATTTCATAGTCTTTTGCCTATATAAGTTTATTCTGAAATAACACACCATACCGATTATATATCTACTTAAAACTAGGTTCTACTTTTGATCACTCATGTTTACCATATGTATTTCTCTCATATTCTGCAACTTTTCATCTTGAGCTAATTGTTCAATTTATTTAAAAAATATGTTTTTCTGTGAAGAATAATGCCTCAGAAAGTATTATCTTAAAAAAATGAAGTCCATCAGTAACATGCCCAGAAATTGTCAGAAGTCATGCACAACTGTACTTCTCTCTGTTTGAGACGGAATCTGCTGCTAAAGGACATCCATGGAAGTAGGAAGAGGAATATCCTGAAAATTACAGCGAATGGTTAACTGAAAGAAAGACAGATTGGTAAGCCATCTGTGGCCTGACTAGCTTTGGGAAGAAACTAGATCAGCTGGCTATCTGTCGTTGCTCTAATTTACAATTCCCAGAAAATAATCACACTGCCATTTCTCGGCCTGTTCTCATGTCTCTGCCACCTAATATCCGCACAACCATAGGCAAGTAACTTAACCCAGATATTCTCTGTGCCTCTTTGTTTTTGTAAATAAAGTGCTGATAATGGTCATTCGTACCTCACAATGTCACGTGCGGGTTTACTGAGATAAAATATGGCACGACTCTAAAAACAATGAATAATGTACCTGACAAAATGTCTACCACACTGTTAAATATTAGGTGCTCACACTGTCTTGGTTACTCTTACTGTCTAATATTTAATGTGAAGTAGTCTGTTAATCTTGTGGCATTTGCGTTTTTGCTTTACTGGATATTATATTTTTGTTAATAAATTGTTTCTTCTCCAATTAAAATCAAGATAGGCATCTTCCTAAATCACACACCTTGGCAGGCTTCACTTTTTATTTCACAAATCCTATGCATAGATGCTTATACAAAACATTAGTACTTTATGTACAAGTCTATTCAACACTTATGCCTATCACCCACCAAGATATGAAGAATTCAGTCAATAATTAAAATTGAAAGCCTATACTTATCCTTTGTATGTGTGGGAAGAGGGTGGTTTTCATCCGGACAATTCAAATCAGTCTTCTTATTTATATTAAATATAAGCCACTCTTTTTACCCATGAATATCAAGCAGACCATACAGATTTCCAATCAGAGAAAGAAGTACTAAGCCTGCTTCAGTGTACAGGATTTTTTTCAGTCCCTTTCTGCAGTCTATTCCACTGTTTATCATATTCTGTTCTTTCTCATTTGACCAGCCAGACATTGAGTGTAACACCGTTGCTTGTTTCACCATATCTGAAAACCAAAAACCAAACACAAACCAGGCATGTCTCTTGTAGATGACTATTTAGCATGGTCTAGCAGAGTGAGTCACCTAAGCTAACAAATAGCTGCCATCTTTATGCACAGCAAACAATGACTATCTTTTACTCATTTATCATCCAATTCCATAAACAATATTAGGCTCACAATGCATGCTACAATTAGATCGTTTAAATATAGAAAGAATGTGCCTACCACCTGCCTTCAAAGACTAACACAATAACCACATCATCTAATCCAGCTGCTGTTTTCTGTTCATGAGTTATTTAAAAAGAAAACTCCAGCATGATATAAAACATGCTTTAATCACTATACCTAATTATCAAGAACAGTAAATAACTTTCACATTAATTGACTTCAACATAGCAAAGTTAATAATTAATCATTACAGACTGAAATTCCAGCATGATATTGTCAAACAGGACAAAGGCCCAGAAACTGTGACCTTACCCACCACTGATTCCACCCACATTTCCCACGGGTGTTTTGGAGAAAATGTCTGTCACTAGACATCAGCTGTTTAAGGTGAGATTTCACTGGGCTTTAAGCTAATGCTTGTAATATATTCTGAATTAATTGGATGAATAGCATTAAATATTAATAAAATATTATAGTTTAGTTGTCTTAATCTTATTAATCTTCCAGTCCATAACTCATTCTCTCTGCCTGTCTCTCTACCCGACTCGTTTTTTTTTTGTTTGTTTGTTTGTTTGTTTTTGTTTTTTTTGAGACAGAGTCTCACTCTTGTCGCCCAGGCTGGAGTGCAGTGGCGTGATCTCGGCTCACTACAACCTCCGCCTCCCGAGTTCAAGTGACTCTCCCACCTCAGCGTTCTGAGTAGCTGGGATTACAGGCACCTGCCACCACGCCAGGCTAATTTTTGTATTTTTAGTAGAGACGGGGTTTCACCATGTTGGCCAGGCTGGTCTTGAACTCCTAACCTCAGGTGATTCGCCCGCATGGGCCTCCCAAAGTGCTGAGATTACAGGCATGGGCCACCACGTCCAGCCCTGACTCTCATTTTTACTCTTACTACATCTCCTTTTTTTCTTAAGAATCAGAAAACACTTTTATTCGTAATTTACTGAATGTTTCTGTTTTATGTCTTAAATGACAAGCTGTTCCGTAGACTGCATTAACTAATCCAAAGGGTTCAATGACTACCTTTGGAGCTTTCTCCACGTAACTGAAAGAACTAACCCAGGAACAGGTTTTGAGCAGGAATGTCAAGGGTTAGATAGTTGTACTATTTTTTCAAAATGTAGGTATTTTTCTATTGTGATATGCCTCTCATTCCTCAGTGAGATGGAATTTTTAAAAGCTTAACGTAATATAGGTGTACTTTTAACGTAAAAGCTTTTGTTTATCTAACTACCCTAGTTGGCCTTCAATTCTAGCTGGATGATGATCTGTACATAAATAGCTGGAAAGAGAAATAGGCTACATTTTACTCAGATTTACTGTATCCCACAACACAATTATAATTGAGCTTATTCTAAATCATTTTTCAATTATAATTTAATTTTTCAATCATAAATTTTTTTGAGATGGAGTCTCGCTCTGTCACCCAGGCTGGAGTGCAATGGCACAATATCGGCTCACTGCAACCTCCACCTCCCGGGTTCAAGTGATTCTCCTGCCTCAGCCTCTTGAGTAGCTAGGATTACAGGCGCATGCCCTCACGCCCGGGTAATTTTTGTCTTTTTAGTAGAGACAGGGTTTACCATGTTGGTCAGGCTGGTCTCGAACTCCTGACCTCATGATCCGCCTGCCTCAGCCTCCCAAAGTGCTGGGATTACAGGAGTGAGCCACTGCGCCTGGCCTCAATCATAACTTAAAAATAGAGACTGGCATGAGGAGATTTGATAGTCTCCTAATTGTAAGCCCCCTGGCTTGGAAGTAGTGTCAAGGCTTTAATGATCAAATACTTGGAGATATAATGATATTACACTTTATTGTCACCAATTGGACATCTGTATCTTTCTCCTACATTTTTCAGGTCTGTATTTCCTGAATAAAGCCTTGGCATTGTACAACAATGACTTTTTCTCAATCACTTTCAGTTCAATAAGTTGCTTTCATTGTTTTCTTTATTTCCTTTCATATAAATTCCAGTAGGAGAGTATGAGAAATCTATTATATAAAACCAAGTTTTTAATGTTTCTGTTCAAAATGTTTGAAAACTTCAGAATTGAAAGGGGATGGGGAAATGGGTAATGTTACTTTAGGAGGCCTAAGGCCTAAGATATATAGAAAAAATATAAGCTAGCTTGAGGAAGTTGTTGTAGTATATCGGCTATTTTTTATAAAGGAGTGCAGAGTGAAGATGAGAGAAGCTTAATAACCCATGCTTCAGTGTTGGAAGGAGGAAATAAGTGAGCTGACAGCATAAATATTAAGAAAATTGACAATAATCTCAGACTTTTGAAACTGAAGGAACTCATGATGGAGTGATGCCTGATCAATGGCTATTCTATTATAATAAACTTTTCTTCATTTTTACATTCTGGCTAACATCATTTATAAAAGAGGCCCTGGTGAGGGAAGATAGGGTTAGATAAGGTCACAGCTAAGAGTAATTAGAATTAACAATAATCAAAAGTTTGACAATTGAATTATGATGCCAGAAAATTCAGAACCAGAAACAGGAGAGTGACTTGTAGGGGCTAGACAGTCTGCAACTCACAGCTACTTTCAAATGACAAGAAGCTTGATGGAAGGCTTGCATGCTTTGGATGACATCAGAATTAAAACATTGCATGTAAGTATTAGAACATAAAGCGAAGCCCCTCCTTTTTAGATGAGGAAACTGAAATCCATTGAGAAAAAGTCATTTCTGCAGGTGATTCAATTAGCTACTGGCAAAACCAAGATAAGAACTCTCTCTTGACTCGCAATCTAGCACTCTTTCTACATTACACAGGAAATTAAAAAGTTGAAGTTAGGCAGAATTCATTCATTTTTTCCAGGTGGTATTATTTGTTCAAATTATACTTTGCTGTTCCTTTTAATAGTAATAAGCAATTAGTTGATTAGTATTTAATCTACATTAGGGTGGTGTGATAGTTAATATTAGGTGTCAACTTGATTGGATTGAGGAATGCCGGATGACTGATGAAGTATTGTTTCTGGGCGTGTCTGTGAGGGTGTTTCCAGTAGAAATTGACATGTGAGTCAGTGGACTGGGAGAGGAAGATGCACTCTACATGTGGGTGGGCACCATTCAATCAGCTGCAAGGGCAGCTAGAACAAAATAGGTGGAGGAAGCATGTATTCAGTTTGCTGAGCTTCCTCTCTCTCTTTCCTCTCTCTCTTTCTTCCAGAGCTAGATGCCTTTTCTCCTCCTGCTCTTAGACATCAGACTCCAGATTCCCAAATTCTTTGGCTTTTGGCACTAGCATCAGTGGCCTTCGATGGGTTCTCGATGAGGCCCTTGGCCTCAGACTGGGGTCTGCATTGTCGGCTTCCCTGGTTGTGAGGCTTTTGAACTTGGACTGAGCCATGCTACTGGCTTTTCTAATTTCCCAGCTTGCAGATGGCCTGTAGTGGGACTTTGCCTTTGTAATTGTATGAGCCATTTCTCCCTAATAACCTCCTTTTCACACACACACACACACACACACACACACACACACACACACACAGAGAGAGAGAGAGAGAGCGAGCTATACATATATATATATATCCTATTGGTTCTCTCCCTCTGGAGAACCCTG
This sequence comes from Homo sapiens, assembly GCF_000001405.40. Classification (NCBI taxonomy): domain Eukaryota; kingdom Metazoa; phylum Chordata; class Mammalia; order Primates; family Hominidae; genus Homo; species Homo sapiens. The sequence goes on from NC_000023.11 coordinate 99,918,464, forward strand.
ACTGCTACACTACGACAGGTGGGGAAAGAGAGAGGTCAATGTTACATAATTGAAAGAGCACTAAACTAGGGAGACCTAGGTTCTAGTTCCAGGTATTTACACAAACTAGCAGTGTGACCTTAGAAAAACTACTTAACCTCACTAGATCCAACCTTCCAAATTACAAACCAAGAGGCTTGAACTAAACAGTATCTGTGATAGTTAGTTTTGGGTTTCTCAATGTCAGGAACTACATCCTTTATTTCTGACATATGCCTTCTCCTTCCTTTAGTAGTAGTGCCTAGTCTGGGGCTCTGTTTTACTGGTTACTGAGTCAATGCTGACAGAAATAAGGATTAACAGTTATCATACGATGTCAAGGGATGCAGATAATCAAGAAATCCACTGATTCCAAAGGTAGGTAATTTGAGGTCTAAAATAATACGTAAATGCCTTATGTTCAACAAGTACAGGGGGAAAGATTGAAGCTTTGCTGAGGAGGGTGTTCTTTCAACACATCTCTGCTTCTGATCCTTTATCTTTAGCATTCTCTGTATTGGTCAAGAATGTTTGGTTTCGGGTGTCCAGAATCCTACTTGAGAAAGCTTGAGCAGAAAGGGGAGTTTGTTTGTTCCTTTAACTGGGAAGTCTAGCAGTGGAGTTCACCTCTAATATGACTATATCAAGGACACAAACAAGATTAGGGCCCTTCCATCTCTACTTTCTGCTTGTTGCTACATACTGGAATAGCTGGCCATTTCCACAGACCAGCTCTTCCAAATATGAAGGATGTGGACACCAGTATTTCAGCCCTCCCATACTCACTATTTGCAATCTGAGAGACAAAAAGGCCATACTACCAGCATCAGTGAGAAAAATCCCTGGGGAAGACTTTGATTGGCTCAGTTGGAATCACTTTCATCTCTTGTATAGTTATCATGGCCAATGGCCAGTAAGATAGAGTATTATTATTGTCACACCCTGGCCACATGAGGAAATTGCTTTTGTTTCTTTAAGCCTTGGTTTTACTTTTTTAATTATATAATGAACTTAATTGCTCTTACCACCCAACCTGAGAACCATAACAATGACAGTAACGTACATCCACTTTTGTGCTTCTCTGCTAGTTCATCTCCTACTTCCCTCTACCTAAGAAGACACTACTTGATTTTTATTTTATCATTTCCTTATGTTTTCAAGTAAGTTTTATCTCATACTTATATATTACATATTACAGGATTATACTATTAATGAGATCAAACCTCTCTGTATACATTTATTAGCCATATGTATTTTTTATCATTTGCGAGATGACTTTTATTGACTTTGCCCATTTTTCTGTTCATGTTCTTTGTTGTTTTTGTATTGATTGATCTATGGGAGTTTTATTTACATTGTGAGTAGCAGGTCTATGACAGCTATGTGTTGCAAATGTCTTCTCTCAGTTAGTAGGTTGTCTTTTCACTATATTTAAGGTATATGTTAATGAAAGTTCATTGTTAATATATTTAAAATAATCATTATTTTACTTTATGGTTAGTATTTTATATGTTTTCATTAAAAAATCTTTCATCTTCCTTAAGGTGATAGTTATTTAAAGTTCACACAAATAGTACTAATGTTTGCTTTTGGCATCAAACCACTTAATTCACATGGAGTTTATTTTTTGTATATAGTTTGAGGTAGAGATTTATTTTATTTTTTCCATGTGGATAACTCCAGATCTATTTATTGAATACTTCATCCTTTCATCACAGATCTTCCCCAACATCAGTGTTAAATTGCAAAGTTTCCAGTACGTATGATATACCTAGTATTTAACTACTTGCCAATAAATAATTTGAAAACTTTCCTCCAAACATATAAAAGCTGGATTCACTTTCTATATATGAGGCACTTGCAATAAATGAGAACATTTCAACAGTTCATTCAAGTGGAAAAAGAAAGGTTCTGTATGTAGTTTCCACTCCATCATTTATCAGGTAGGTTTGTGCTTCATAAGGTAAAGTCATGTGAAAGGAGTGATCGAGACAGTGAATTTTCTTTGTGTTTGTGCTGCTAACCACAGTCAGTTCATGAAATATTTGGAAGAAGATAAACAAGATAAGATATTTAATTTTGTTGAATGCTGTCAGATGGCTAGGTCATAAAACTTGCTAAAGAAATTCACTGAGCATGGACTTTGGAATTAAAAGAGCTCTAATGGGCTAAAATTTTTGGATCCCCATGGTTCATAATATTGTACTTTCTCACTGATGTGACAAGATATCTGACTGCACTAAACTTGAAACTTCAGGGAAAAACAAACGCACTGCTGATACATTCAAGGAAGTATGTATTTGAACTTGAACTGACCATGAATTTAGCAAATATTATCGGAAGATTGTATGCATTTAATATTACAGAATGGCACTAAACTCATTTTTTAAATGTAGAGCTATTTGTAGAAAGAAAGTTGCAATTTTGAAAGAGAGGCAGGAGTTTTAATAAATATAGGTCATGCTTCAAATTTCTTTAGCTAAGAAAGAAAATAAAGTTAAAAGACAAATGCAGAAAGGTATGTATAGCATATATTTGCAATTCATGATATACAACATGTTCATATTTTAATATACTAAGACCACCTATATATCAACATGATAAAACATCAATAGAAAAAAATGGACAAAAGATATGAAAGGGCAATTCACAGTAGAAGAAATACAAATGGCAAACATGAACATGAAAGTATATTTAATCTTACTAGTAAGAAAAGAAGGCTTTTGAAATATGAAGTGTCATTTTCTTCAATTGGAATAGCTAAAATTTAAAAGGTTGACAAATTCCAGTGTAGCTGAGAGTAGAGATAAATAGGACCTCTCATGAATCATTGATAGGAGTGGAAATTAGTATAACCTTTAAATAGGGCAGTTTTGGCAATACTTACAATGCACATACACTCTGATTCAATAATCCCATTGAGAGACAATTCTCCCGTCCATGGGTCTCTTGCATTACTACCTATCTTGACAGCGAGGCACTGACAATTCTTTGTTCTTGACCACTTTTCCAAGGATGTTTATGTAGTGGAAGATGGAGGTATTGCCTCCCTCTAGTATAAAGGGACAGATTTTCTTACAACTTGAGATGACAGAGATAGTGTCTCACCCCAGAGCAAACAGGAAGCATGATTACTGCCCATTATAAGATTCAGGTTCCCTAAACTCTGGGTTTTTCTCCTATAATATAATTCACTATGCATGAAAGTGTCACCTGGTCCTCTTTCAGTCACTCTGGAAATTAGTACTTAAGGAATTGGTACACGCACGTACACACACACACACACACACACAATGCTGATACTCTGGGCTACTGTGAATGTTGTGAATAGTAAACTGTTCTCTATCTTTCACCAGGGAATTTTATGTCTTCTACCAACATCCATGAAACTGTGGGAGGCTAACATGTTTCCTTTGCAAATAAGGCAAAATCTCAGATTCTTCACCCTTATTGCTAGTTATTACTTTGAGAACTTTATCTTGATATGGTACTAGCACAATAATTCAAAGATAATTGCAAAAATATGTTTATGGCACTAATACTTCTATTGCAGAAAAACTGAAAACAACCTAAATGTCCATGAAAATTGCTCATTAAATAAGTCATTACCTGCCAATGATAGAATACTGTGAAGCCATAAAAAATGAATATATCGTCCTATAGTTATTGAACATGATAGATATCTGTGACAAGATATTAACTATAAAATCAAGTTATTGAACAGTGTAGTATAGTTCTATTTTTGTTAGTAAATTAATTTCTTTCTGGCTTCCTCTCTTTCACACACACACAAACACACACACACACACACACACACACACGTCCCACACGCATTTCAAGATAGATATATATCAATATGTTAGTAATGGTTAACTCAGAATAGTGGATTATAGAATGATTTTAAGTTTTTCTGCTTATCTATATTTTCTGATTTTCCTAAAATTATCATGTGTTATTTGTACATTTAAAAAATAAATGATTCATGCTAAAAAAATTCTGCAGCTGCCTTTGGAATTCATATCTCAGGAAGTATCTGAATTATCACACATCTGACCCATTAGTGAAGCTCATTTCAAAGAGGAACTGATTGAGCTGAAAGCAAACTACACCCACTACATAGGCATAATATCTGTCAAATTTTGGAGAGGAAAATATAATTGCACAAATAATTCTAAAACTTCTGGCTATGTGACCAAACTCTGGGCTATGTCTGGGTCCATCTGGCTCTATGAAAGCATATTTTCCTTTATGTAACTTCTGAAATCACTATTAAGGCCACTAGAGATGGAAAGCTGGAGTTACTGCTTTGAGTAAATTTACCCTTGGTTCCAGAATAAGTCCTCTGATCACAGCAATATTCTCATTGATTTGTAACTGTGCATTTTGTATAAACACAATTTTTAAAAAATAATTTAACTGATTTTTATCACTGCTTAAATGCATGTTTTAAAATATGGAAGGTTATACTTCACCATGATCTTTATATATAAATTACATAAATATGTCTTTCTTTTTTCCTCACTTTAAATCCTCAAGCTCACAAAAGTAATAGAATATATAAATATACTATTCTCTAGTATTATCAAAATGCTTAGTTTTTCAAACTTAACATTCTATTTCATACTTCCTTTTCTGTTCTCATGTTATTCCTTTTGCTTACAGTCCCTCCACCACCCTTTTTAACCTAGATAACTGGTTAATGTTTAAGACTCAGTTTAGCCATCATCCCTTCCAAGAAATTCACCTCAAATTCCAACATGTGATCTGCTCTCCTCACTGATACCATGACACCCATCATATATTTGTGTTTACTTCTTGAACAAACATTTATATATAAAACAATGTACTTGATGATCAGGATATAAGTGAGCAACATTAGTCATGACTCTTACCTTCATGGGACTTATGGTTTATCTTGTCAGTTACCACATTAAAATAAAATTCACTATTTTATCTTTCTACCCTTTCTAAGTTATAAGCTCCTTAATACCAAGGCCTGTGTATATTCATATCAGTCCCCTTAGGGACTAGCACTATCCTGAAATATAATAGGCACACAACTTGTGTTTGTTGAACTAAACTGTCTGATTATTCCAAAGACAAAAATGTCATTTTTCCAAATCATCAGTGCCTTGACTCTCTTATGTGATCTGTCCCTACTCTCTGCTACGGATTTTTATAAGGATAAGAGATCCTATCCCATTAGGATAAGTGGGGAGTGGGAGATGTTGGAGGAAAAGAAGGTATAACTCAGAAATATAAAGAGGTTAACTCAAAACTGTAGCACGTTTTCTACTTGCTCTTCCTGCATTCTCACCACATTAACTCTATACTATCATGTATTCTCAAATCATGTCTTCTCTCACATAGACGAATTAAAGAAAACTATGTGTGTGTGTGTGTGTGTGTGTGTGTGAGAGAGAGAGAGAGAGAGAGAGATAAATTGGACATCTTCCTAAATTCTGATGTAGACGAGCCTTACATATGAATCAATGAGTCAGCATTAAGTAGCACTCATAACACACCTGAGATGCCAAAAATGATACAGGCACCCAATCCACTAAATGAAATCGGGTCAATATTAGGATCAATTTGGCATTTTCACTTGACTTCCATTGTCCTCAAAACTCAGTTTCAATCCATTCACCCCATTCACCTGCGTTTTTATGTTCCAAATGACTGGCTTCCACATTATCACACATGAGAGCTCTTGGGATGGTATTTTACCAATTCACTTTTGGAAACTAAAATAGCAATGGCTAAGGTAGTCAATGAAAGATAATACTGTATGTTACCTAGTAGTATTAGATGCAGTGAGATCCAGGAAGTTGTCACTCTGTGTTAGAGTGACAAAAACGCAAGGAACTGGTCTGACCTACTGACATGACAATTATTTAGATATAATTGTTCAGATGATTTACAGAACTAATACCCTGAGTAGATCTTTATTATTTAACCCTTCCATACTCCATTCCTTGCTTCACCCAGCTCCCTCTCCCTATTGCTTACCCTCACCCTCCCCCTCTCCCAACACACACACACACACACACACACATTTTCACAATCTACAAATATTTCTCTACTCAAGAAGATAGTGTGGCTCCTGTATTTATCTTCACCTGCTTCTTCTCTATTATTTGCATAATAAAAAAATAAATGTTAAATGTTTTTTAAAATGTGTTTCTTGTCCATTTTACTTTAGTGTTAATCACATTTTCCACTTTCCTCTTGTGTTATGAAGGAAAATTAAGCTCCCTCCTCCAAACTGTAGCCACTGTTGTTTCTCAGCCTTTTGGCTGAAATCATGTGCAAATTGTACCACCTACAAGATTATCTTTGCCACAACAGGTAAGCACCTTTAAATTCTATTCTTGTACCAATTAATTCTTATAATAAATAGAGGTGACTCAGTCTCTGTAATGCGAATAAAGTAACTCTATTATGCCCTATAGCTATGCATCTTTATTTTAAAGAGCTGAAATTAAAATAAAGCACAGTTAACTAAATTGTATTTCAATCTCATAATTATTAGAACTTTAATCAAATTACTTGGTCATTTTTTCTCTCTTTGCCAATATTGTAAAAGCTATTTTGTAGAATATGTTTCAGCCTACTTTCCAGCAACTTAAAGAAAAGATGAAATAGGTACTTGTCCTCTGGAAGCTCTGTAGCTACCTGTGTGTATTTTTTATGCTATGCAAAAATGAGCTCATTTTTTCTATGAATGGGCTAGGTAAATGCAGGTAGATTTGACATTTTAAGATTGTCATCAATTCTGAGACTTGTTACCTTCCTTGTTCCTTTAAGAAATCAATTTCATTCAAGGTCCTTTTCCCCCTAGAATTTGGCACTGGGGTTTCAAATGTATGCTATCAAAGGCAAGATTAAATAGGATTGTATCAAGTTGACCAAGGTTCATGCTAGGAACCATTTCAGATATTGTCTAACATTGAAAATACAATTCTTCAATTATACTTCCCAGACAAAATTAAATTACCTTGAATACATGGTCTAGTTGGCTTACTCCTGATAATACAATGCTAAATGATGAAATCCATCCTTATAGCAAAGTGGATCTGATAAAACATTTAATATATCATAAAAAGGAAGAAAGGTAAATGAAAAGCAAAAGACCCAGGAACTAGTAAAATGTGATCTCTCAAACAGTTTGCCGTCTAAAGAACCTCACTTACCCCTTCTACGCTAATGGATGTAATTACGTGTTGACTTGTTGAATTTATCTTTCACTTACCTATTATTAATATAACACATTTATTTGGGCTCTTTGCTACTTTTAAGGCTTTCAGGTTTCTGAAGTATTATTTTCTTCATGCCTATTGAAGTTTAATGAATTCTGAGTACCTCACTTATTGTAGGTAGGCTCTGAATGGACTCATATTCTGCTTTGTTATGAGATTTCCATGAGGTGGGGTGGATTTCAACAATTCAGTGTGAACATTCTGAATCATCATTTTTTAAATTTATCATTATTATTTTGGAGATGGAGTCTCGCTCTGTTGCCCAGGCTGGAGTGCAGTAGCGCGATCCCGGCTCACCGCAACCTCCGCCTCCTGGGTTCAAGCAATTCTCCTGTCTGAGCCTCCCGAGCAGCTCGGACTACAGGTGCACGCCACCATGCCCGGCTAAGTTTTTGTATTTTAGTAGAGACGAAGTTTCACCGTGTTGCCCAGGCTGGTTTCAAACTCCTGAGCGCAGGCAATCCACCTGCCTCGGCCTACCAAAACGCTGGGATTTCAGGCGTGAGCCACCACACCCAGCCTGAATCATCATTTTTAAAATAACAAAAAGTAGCACAAATCCACTGAAGAAAATTTAGAAAATACAGAAAATCTAAAAGGGGAAAAAAAAAACTAAAAATTACTTGAAATCTCACCATGAATTCATTAAATAAACATTGTTAAAAATTGTGTGTCTTTAGTATTTTCTATACATGTATGTGTGCATAAATATCATAAAATCACATTCAAATTCTTTGTTTTATATCCTGCTTTATGTAAAATTAAATTATATACATTTCTCATGTCATTACATATTATTTTAATACATGCTTCTTGATGGTGTCAATATTCCATCATTTGAATGCATCATAATTTATTTAAATAATCCCTCATCTTTGACTATTTAGACTGATTTCAAATGCTTGTTATTAAAATAATGTTGTGGTCAGCATCCTTTTAAATATGTCTTTCTATGCATCTCTGATTGTTTCTTTAGAATAAATTCCAATATGTGGAATTACTAGGTCACAGAGTATAAAGCCATTTAAGGATTTTTGTATACATATCGCTACAAACTCTGAATAAACTAGGTATCGATGGAACATATCTCAAAATAATAAGAGCTAATTATGATGAACCCACAGCCAATATCGTACTGAATGGGCAAAACTTGGAAGCATTCCCTTTGAAAACCAGCACAAGACAAGGATGCCCTCTCTCACCACTCCTATTCAACATGGTATTGCAAGTTCTGGCCAGGGCAATCAGGCAAGAGGAAGAAATAAAGGGTATTCAAATAGGAAAAGAGGAAGTCAAATTGTCTCTGTTTGCAGATGACATGATTGTATATTTAGAAAAACATCGTCTCAGCCCAAAATCTCCTTAAGCTGATAAGCAACTTCAGCAAAGTCTCAGGATACAAAATCAAAGTGCAAAAATCACAAGCATTCCTATACATCAATAATAGACAAACAGAGAGCCAAATCATGAGTGAACTCCCATTCACAGTTGCTACAAAGAGAATAAAATACCTAGGAATACTACTTACAAGGGATGTGAAGGACCTCCTCAAGGGGAACTACAAACCACTGCTCAAGGAAATAAGAAAGGACACAAACAAATGGAAAAACTTTCCATGCTCATGGATAGGAAGAATCAATATTGTGAAAATGGCCATACTGCCCAAAGTAATTTATAAATTCAGTGGTATCCCGATCAAGCCACCATTGACTTTCTTCACAGAATTAGAAAAAACTACTGTAAATTTCATACGAAACAAAAAAAAGAGCCCGTATAGCCAAGACAATCATAAGTAAAAAGAACAAAGCTGGAGGCATCATGCTACCTGACTTCAAACTATACTACAAGGCTACAGTAATCAAAACAGCATGATACTGGTACCAAAACAGATATATAGACCAATGGAACAGAAAATAGGCCTCAGAAATAGTGCCACACATCTACAGCCATCTGATCTTTGAAAAACATGACAAAAACAAGCAATGGGGAAAAAATTTTCTATTTAATAAATGGTATTGGGAAAACTGGTGAGCCATATGCAGGAAACTGAAAATAGACCCCTTCCTTACACCTTATACAAAAATTAACTCAAGATGGATTAAAGACTTAAATATAAAACCTAAAACCATAAAAACCCTAGAAGAAAACCTAGGCAATACCCCTCAGGACATAGGCATGGGCAAAGACTTGATGACTAAAACACCCAGAGCAATGGCAACAAAAGACAAAATTGACAAATGGGACATAATTAAACTAAAGAGCTTCTGCACAGCAAAAGGAACAATCTTCAGAGTGAACAGGCAACCTACAGAATGGGAGAAAATGTTTGCAATTTATCCATCTGACAAAGGGCTAATATCTAGAATCTACAAAGAACTTAAACACATTTACAAGAAAAAAAACAAGCAACCCCATCAAAAAGTGGGCGAAGGATATGAACATACACTTCTCAAAAGAAGACATTTATGTGGCCAACAAACATATGAAAAAAAGCTCATCATCACTGGTCATTAGAGAAATGCAAATCAAAACCACAATGAGATACCATTTCATGCCAGTTAGAATGGCAATCATTAAAAAGTCAGGTTACAACAGATGCTGGAGTGGGTGTGGAGAAATAGGAATGGTTTTACACTGTTGGTGGGAGTCTAAATTAGTTCAACCATTGTGGAAGACAGTGTGGCAATTCCTCAAGGATCTAGAACCAGAAATACCATTTGACTCAGCAATCTCATTACTGGGTATATACCCAAAGGATTATAAATCATTCTACCATAAAGACACATGCACATGTATGTTTATTGCAGCACTATTCACAATAGCAAAGACTTGGAACCAACCCAAATGCCCATTAATTATTGACTGGATAAAGAAAATGTAGTGCATATACACCATAGAATACTATGCAGCCATAAAAAATGATGAGTTCACGTCCTTTGCAGGGACGTGGATGAAGCTGGAAACCATCGTTCTCAGCCGACTAACACAGGAACAGAAAACCAAACACTGCATATTCTCACTCATAAGTGGGAGTTGAACAATGAGAACACATGGACACAGGAAGGGAAACATCACACACAGGGGCCTGTCAGGGGATGGGGGACTAGGGGATGGATAGCATTAGGAGAAATACCTAGTGTAGATTATGGGTTGATGGGTGCAGCAAACCACCATGGCACGTGTATACCTATGTAACAAGCCTGTACCTTCTGCACATGTATCACAGAACTTAAAGTATAATAAAAAGACAGATGATAGATAGATAGATAGATAGATAGATAGGTGATTTGTCAAAGTTTTGTCTAGTTTTATTATCTTCACAGATTATTAAGCAAGATTGTGGAGAATATATGTAAAAGTATTGACAGTGGTAAGGGAGAGTAGTCCAGATAATTTGAAATGGATAAGCCAAGTACCTTCACAAACTGTGATTACACTAAGGAAGCTTGTAGGTAAAAATGACTTTGGAATTATTTATCCTGATAGCGACTGCACTTGGTGTGGGCGGAGAAAACCCCTTTGGTACTGTCTGTATTAAAAGATACTTTGACAGGCTATTACCAATAAGGTGTTTTGCTGAAAATTTAGATAAATTAGACAGTTAGATGTGTGTTAATTGTACTCTCATATTCGAAAGAGCAAGATTTACTATAGCCAAGATCCTCATAGAGAACGAATGTAAATGATGGCATGATTTTTAACCTTAATATTATTGTAAATAATGGACATCTTTCTTAAAATACCTAGGCTTAACCACTGACTTGCATTAGAAATCATATTTTAAAAGATGATATATACATAGAATAAGATTAATAAATATAAACTTTTACCTAAGATTCCTTTCTCAGTAATTATGAACCAATATGCTAATTATTAATCTTTGTTCACTTTGTCCCTAACCTCAGGATTAATGAGAATACTGCTTGAGGATCAAAAATTTTCTACTGCAACATTACAACTCTTTGTCCCATTTAAAATGAAAATTCTTGCAAATACCACTTGATATGTTTTCCTAAAGAATAACTGTCTTTAACAAAAGATCAAACTGCTTCCAAATCTTATCAAAGAGGAGGCATGAAGTTATCTTTCCAGCATCCCCAATTATGATTATTAATTACTACAATTTTCCTCTATCATTGTAAAACTCTGTGCAAATCTCTTTGCTTGCATGGCATTCTTTCATTCAAAGGACTGTAATTTTCCCTTCCTCAGTACTAATTATTTGCCCTTTGAAAAAATATTTTATTTATACTTACATATTTTGAATCAAACTATTTCCTACCAACACAACACACAATATCACAAACATAAAACTTCAGACTATTTTTTAAAAGTTTGATGTTCAAAACCAAGTTTACCGTAGCTTACTTTAAAAATCACATTTATACACAACTTAAATTTTGAACTCTTGTCGGACCTATAATAGTTTCAACACAGCATGTTGAAAAACAACAGCATGAACAAGAAATTTCAGGGCACCCAGAAAGTGTAGGTACATCTTAATAGCCATCTGTCTATCCTTCTAAATCAAATAAAGCACACATATTTATCTGTTCACTCTTCCTCAATACGGTGGGAGATACTTTATGAGTAGAGATAAGCAGTATTTAGCTATGTTTATCTTTTCACTTAAGGGTAGAAGATGAGAGTGAATTGGCTGTGAAAGCAAATATTGTTTCATTAGGTTATACAAGATTGCTAAAAGTCACCTGAATAAGTGAGGGCACTACAGTTAAAGCACCAAATCTCCTATGATCTTTGACCAGTAGTATTTTTTTTTAACAGTGTGTCATCACAGTGTAAAATATGAGTTAATCTTGATCAAAAAGCACTCACTAATGATACAAAAGTTCTGATACATCACGTATGGGATGCTCTAATAGGTACATCACATCAATTCAAAATGGAGCTTGTTGGTGGTAAAAATATGATTAACGAAATGCACCAACACTCAACAGAACTGAGATGTTTAGCTACTGTAAAGATCTAAACCATCACTGATGCTTTAGTTCCAGTATTTATCCCACAATCCAGAGAAGATATGGTTCTCATTTTTGAGTGAGTTGTGGTGACCATGAGGCTATATAGTAACTTTGGAGTCAGCCCAGAGGATTCCCTGAGTCCTCCAAACCTAGTGTTTGCTTGCACTGATTCTTAAGTGCCACAACCTGTCTCCAGGAATCTAAAACTACAACATCCAGAAGAAAGCCAAGTTGAACAAGAAACTGTGGATCTTCTTTACTCTAGGCCAACAGTGGTAGACAGAGGCAAATCCATTTAATAGATACTTGCTAAGTACCTATGATGTCCCAGGTACTGTTCTAGCACTGTAGACAAAAGATATAAACAAAACAGGCAAGATCCTTGGCCTATGAAACTTACATTCTGATTCTGCACTGATGCTCTATAATTGAAAAATAATAGGTAAAAAATATCACAGCAAATGTTATCATTTCATTGTTTGTTTTCTGAGAAGACGGCTCTTCTGGAATGCAATTTAAAGATGGGAAGACATGATATAATCAGCAAAAAAAGGGCAATTTCAAAGTTCTGAGACAATTTAAATAAAAGGCTCTTTTTGGAAAAAAAAGTAAAGGGAGTGAATGGAAAGAAGCTTTGTTTCATAGGACAAAAATAAAATAACGTGGAATGTAGTAGAAGAAATAAGAAAGGTCTGTGTCAATTTTCTAAAGCTAATTAGTATTATAATTATTGAGCACCTATTCTGTGCCAGGCACTATGTTAAGGATTCAACAGTAAACAAAACATACTTTGCTGTCTCCAGTCTGTAATCAACATGAAGTATGTTGAGCATAATGATGGAGGTGATGGGGCCTATGGGAGTATACATTAGATTTTGAACAAGTCTGAAGGGTAAAGGGAACCTTTTTGAGAGAGTAATATCTATCTGAGATTTGAAGAATGGGTTGGGCAAGGAGAGAAGGTGAAAGAAAGAGTGTTTCAAGCCGAATGTATAGCAAATGTGAAGGCCTAAACTACGAGAAAGGGCATGGCATGTTCCAGGGACAGAAAGATCAGAGTGCCTGGAGGTTGGAAAATCAGATTGTGCAGACTCTAAAAATAAGGTGATGATTTTGGATGTTATCCACTGAAGGGAATTAGTCATGTGAATGTTATTGCATTTACATTTTTTGAAAAACGATCTTTCTGTCTAGTGTGAAGAATGGACTGGAAAAGAAAATGATATGATAGAAGCTCTGAGAAGACCTACTTTTAAATTCCATATCAAAGAACATCATATCTGAATTCTCTAATATTGGTGGAAAGGAGAACATTAATGGAATTTAGAATTATGAGAGTTACATCAAAGTTGCTTTAGATACCCTCCCCACCCCTGTGATTCTTGAAGGGTAAGATTGGGATACACCTGGAGCCCTCTCTCTTATATCGGATTTGAGGGTTCTTGTTCCTGGGGCCCAACTCCTTAATCCAAAATACATTAATCTACTTCTGAACTAAGAAATTGAGGAGACAAGATGTAAGTCACTGTCAAAATTTATTAATTCATTCAATTAATAAAGGTGTCATTCCAGTTATTAAAGATATACCTGTGAACAAGGCAACAAGGTCCCGCTTTCCCTGGACTTATATTCTAGTGAGGGGAGACAAATAAAAAGTATACAATTCCAGATAGAGATAAGTGCTATGTGTATAGTCCTAAGAAGTTAACAGAAAATTGGAAAATGGGCTTAGCTGGCAGGAACAGAAACAAGGGTAGAGGGGAGTAAATGTTATGAGAAATTAGGCCAACCGCAAATGGCTCACTAGCTCCCAAGCATCCTATTACAAGCACCTGGCTCACAGCCCACCTGCATCCAAGCAGTCTGTCTTCAAGCATTCAGCCTAAGCAGCACCACCTTATAAAACTCCCCTCCAGCCCGTGCCTCTTGGCAGACAGCCTTCTTTCTTCTGTCTTGCCTTTTGCTCCCTTGCAATGTATCTCCTCCTTTCCTCTAAATAAATCTGCCTTTCTAAACTCATTACTGTCTTGGTAAATCCCTTTACCATCCATGCACTACCTTCAGATAGTCATTGACCATGACATTATGAAGAAGTACTTAATATGAAGAAATAAGCAATAGAGAGTGACTGCCAATGATAGATGGTATTGGATAAACATGTGTTTAGATTCAGTGGTCAGGCAAAGAATCTCTATGGCAATAATACTTGAGCTGTGATCTGGATGAAAAGAACATTATCCTAGATCAGAGGGCATAGTTTTCTAGGGAGGAAGAATGAAAAGTGAAAGGATCCCTAGGAGAGAATAAGTTGGATGTGTTTGAGGGTCAGAAAAGTCAACATGGCAGGAGCTTTACAAGGAGAAAAATGGCAGAGTATGAGGTTAAACAGGTATATAGTGGGAACCAGATAATGTCAGATAATGTAAAGCATTCTAGATAATTGTAAGTATTGGGGGCCAATTATAAGTATGATGGGAAACCCCAACAACTCAATACTAATTAAGCACAATCCTAAATGTACAGATTACATCCACCTAATAGAGCATCATCCACTCTTAACCTGGAATATCTAGCTGATACCTATATCTAGGCAAATTAAGGTCTCTATGAACAATAAAGAGATCAATTATTGCCACTTGTGAGTTTAATTTAGCAATAGTGAGAAGTGTGTAATAGGGTTTGGACTGAACTTACACTGACTTCACATAAACTCAAAGAGTAATCAGAGAGTAGCTATATATACAATCATTTAAAAGCTTGAACTTATGGCTTGGAAATACTTAACAGGCTTCACTTCAGGAAATCCTTGAGAGTAATCACCAGTAGAGTGAGCAAAGGCATTTGTCTATCAAACGGTGAAATTTCAAAATTATCAAGAATCGGTCTTTAAATTGTTTCCAGATTTTTGGGCATAAAATTATGACTGTTCAATATGTTTTCTGTACAAAGATAAGACAGCCTATGAGTTTTCATAGCAAAGGCAAATATTATCAAAAAATGAATTCTTAAGAGCTTATTTTGCTTCTGAATCAATAAGAAAAAGAACTCTTTTCTTTTGGTTAAAAAGAGTTTGTGACTATAAGCGTCTATATTAAATCATTTTCTTTCTTGAGAGTAATAATAGAGTGAGTAAGCCAGAATAGAAACAAGTAAAAACCAGAATTTCTTGCAGTTGGAATTGCCATGGCTCTATCTTACATTCTTCAGAAAGTTCACTTCTGTTTAGTCAGTCATTTAAATGCTCTTTTCCTTACTTGTCTTGATTCTTTTCCATAATGATTATCTTTCATGTGACTGTTAAGCTTCTGCATTGTGACAGTCTAAACTAGTGTTTTGATAGTTCCCCCTTTCAAAGAAGGCAAAAAGAAGACAACTGTCAAATACATGACAGGAGCAATACAAACTGGGGATACCGTGCCCCATTAAACCCAGAAGAGGTTCCATCATATTACCTGATTACTAGTTAATAAGAACTTTTGAAACAACTCATTTGGTAGGCTTTGGGACTGCTTAAACTGGGAGGTTTTAGTTTGTCCAATATATGCACATATCAGGTACTCAACAAATGCTTGAGTATATAAGCATAAATATGTGCTTATATAAAATAATTAAGTAATAGGAGATTAAGGTAAATGAGGTTCAACAATGTTAACTAATTTGTCCAATTTTCACAATTAGTACACTTTGGAGCTATAATTTCAGCCCAAGTCTAATTCCAAAATGCATGCTATCTCCACTACATCATTGATTATCAAATGAGTAAGTGAATAAATGAACAAAACAGAATTTCATAAATGAAAGAATATTTATGACTAGAAATAAAGCGTTTTCTTTTATAAGTAAAGTTCAGGTGCTCTATTTGACAAACTTAGACGTTTAATATATCACAAGCTAAGCACACAAATTACAAGGATTATCTTACATTATAAAAAACTCTTGCTCATAACTAAATTTCTGTCAAAAATCAACTTATGCTTCTGTCATTTTTATATCCAAATTAAAAAGAAATATAGAAAGTCTCTATTTCTTCCCGATTTAATCTAGCAGAGTTGTATATTTCCAGAAATTTATCCACCTCTTCTAGACTTCTAGATTTTCTAGTTTGTGCATGTAAAAGTGTTCATAGGAGCCTTGAATGATCCTTTGTATTTCTGTGGTATAAATTTTAATAATTTCTGTTAATTACAAATAAATGTAATTGAGTTTATTTGAATCTTCTCTCTTCTTTTCTTGGATAATCTTGCTAATGGTGTATCAATTTTGTTTACCTTTTCAAAGAACTAGCTTTTTGTTTTCTTTACCTTTTGTATTGTTTTTGTTTGTTTGTTCGTTTCAATTCCATTTAATTCTGCTCTGATCTTTGTTATTTATTTTCTTCTTCTGGGTTTGAGTTTGGTTTGTTCTTGTTTCTCTAGTTCCTTGATGTGTGACATTAGGTTGTCTATTTGTGCTCTTTCGGACACTTTGATTTAGGCATTTAATCCTGTGAACTTTCCTCTTGATACCATTTTTGCTGTATCCCAGAGGTTTTGATAGGTTGTGCTAATATTATTGTTCAGCTCAAAGAATTTTTTTAGATTTCCATCTTGATTTCATTTGTAACCCAAAAATCATTCAAGAACAGGTTATTTTATTTCCATGTATTTGTATAGTTTTGAGGGTTTCTTTTGGAGTTAATTTCCAGTTTTATTCTACCGTGGAATAAAATTAACACTTGATATAGTTTCCAGTTTTATTCCATTGTGGTCTGAAATGATACTTGATATAATTTTGATTTTCTTAAATATATTAAGACTTGTTTTGTGGCCTATCGTATTGTATATCTTGGAGGATGTTCCGTGTGCTGGTGAAAAGAATGTATATTCTGCACTTGTTGGGTAGAATGTTCTATAAATATCTGTTAAGTCCATTTGTTCTAGGGTATAGTTTAAGCCCATTGTTTCTTTGTTGACTTTCTGTCTTGACTACCTGTCTAGTGCTGTCAGTGGACTATTGGAGTCTCCCACTATTATTATGTTGCTGTCTATCTCATTTCTTAGGTCTAGAAGTAATTGTTTAATGAATTTGGGAGCTCCCGAGTTAGGTGCATATATTTTTAGGATGGTTATATTTTCCTGTTGGGCTAATCCTTTTATCATTATACAATGTCTGTCTTTGTCCTTTTTTACTGTTGTTGCTTTAAAGTCTATTTTTTTTTTTCGAATATAAGAATAGCTACTCCTGCATGCTTTTGGTTTTCATTTGGGTGGAATATCTTTTTCCACTCCTTTACCTTAAGTTTATGTGAGTCCTTATGTGTTAGGTGGGTCTCCAGAAGTTAGCAGATACTTTCTTGGTGGACTTTTATCCATTCTGCCAGTCTGTGTCTTTAAAATGGGGTGCTTAGGTCATATACATTCAACGTTAGTATTGAGATGTGAGGCACTGTTCTATTCATCATGTTAGTTGTTGCCTAAATACCTTGGTTTTTTTTTTTCATTGTGTTATTGTTTTATAGGCCCTGTGAGTTTTATGCTTTAAGGAGCTTCTATTTTGGTGTATTTTGAGGTTTTGCTTACAGATTTAGAAGTCTTTTTAGCATTTCTTGTAGTGCCAGTTTGGTAGTCCATTTGTAGCTACTTGGATGGAGTTGGAGACAATTATTCTAAGTGAAGTAACTCAGGAATGGAAAGCCAAATATCTTATGTTCTCACTTATAAGTGAGAACTAAACTATGAGGATGCAAAGGCATAAGAATGATACAATGGACTTTGGGGACTCAGGGACAAGGATGGGAGTGGGGTAAGGGACAAAAGCCTATACCTTGGGCACAGTGTCCACTGCTTGGTTGATGGCATCACCAAAATCTCAGAAATCACCACGAAAGAACTCCACGTAACCAAAAACCACCTGTTCCCTAAAAGCTATTGAATTAATTTTTTAAAAAAGGAAGGGTGCAAAACAAAGACACAAGTGATCAGAATAAATTTTTAAAGTCTGCTGTTAGCCATTGCTTCAAAACACGCAGAACATAGTATATTTGATTGTATATTGCAAACTATACAGATATTTCTACAAATATACAGTTTCATAAAACTTTGTCATACTATTCACTATTTGAGCATAATACTTTTCATTCATGTGCATCTTCATATATAATATATTCAATTAGATTTGCAGTTGATGTTTTACAAGTTTAATTGTCTGTGTCTATACTTGATTGTTTATCTTTGTGTCCTGTCATAATTTCAAATGATTGGGGACTGATCAAAGAGTACGATATGACCACAGGTACAGTAAAACAAACATTGGGTGACATTTACACAGGGCTGCAAGAGGGAGGAACTCCCTCACAGCAGGAGTCTCTCTACAGACTGTGGTGAAGGGGGCTGTCTCATCAGAAGGGGAGAAGAACAAGGAACTCCCAGGGGAGAAGGGGATCAGGGAGTGGGCTTATGTGTTTAGGTTATATTACTCAGAAACATGGTGGGGAGTTACTGGGTCAGAGACTCCTAAGGACCCACCGCAGCTTGGAGTTTTATAACCAGAAGGCTCTATCTTATCACTGGTGAGCACATGTGGGGTAAGGTTTCATAGGGTATGCAAATAAGGTGGGCTCCAAATTGCTAAAAATCTGCTTTTGGAGATAATTTTTAAAATAGTTGGATGTATAAAAATTTGAATTTGGTGTTGGTGGGCTTATGAGCTAATGGGTTTTATCCTTCAGTGAAGAAATAACATAGGGGCCAATATACAGAGGCCATCTTTGGCTCGTTCTGTCTGTAAAATAATGGTAAAATATTTGTGTATATTCATAGTTGCTACTTATGAGTTTTCATGGTTTCAATTTCAATATCCCTACATATACACATATGTGGCTATTTAGAGAATACAGTCAGATGTAGTCACATTCTCAAAGTCTTCATACCTAAATAAAAAATAAGTGATTCAAACTAAAGGACATCTTTAGTATAGTAAAAATTTCCAGTGATTTGAAAAACATAATTGTATTATTTATGATATAAGCAGTCATGTAAGTTCAGTTTCAAAGACAATGGTTTTGACATGAACCATATATACACACTTATGTATTTAAAGTACAGTTGACCTTTGAACAACATGAGCTTGAACTTCAGGGGTCCACTCATACATTGATTTCTGCATCTGTCACCCCTGAGACAGTAAGACAAAGTTCTTCTCTTCCTCCTCCTCCTCAGCCTACTCAAGATGAGGAGGATGAAGATCTTTATGATAATCTACTTCCACTTAATTAACAGTAAATATATTTTCTTTATGATTTCCTTAATAACATTTTCTTTCCCCTAGCTTCCTTTTTTGTAATAAAACAGTATATAATACATATAACACACAAAATGTGTGTCAATCGACTGTCTATGTTATCAGTAAGGTTATTGGTCAACAATAGGCTATTAGTAGTTAATATTTTGGGAAGTCAAAAGTCATATTTGGATTTCTGACTGTGCAGGAAAGGTCAGTGCTTCTAATTTTCTTTTTTTTTCAGTAGACAATGATGTCGTTTATTTAAAATGTTTACTCCAAGAAATATATATATAAAAAAATAAGACAATTACAGCACTAAACCAGGCACCTTCGACCAAATCACAACCTCCTCTTTGATTCCCCTTCACACTAAGCCTCTTTCAAATTCTTTTTCCTGAGCTGGAAGACCAGTCAGATGCCCGCAGGGTCGCGCCAAGCACGTTCCCAGCCGGACAACTGTGTACCTTTCTCTAGGAGTGCGTGACACCCTTCCCCCACAACTCCTTGTTTTAAAGGATTTAACCTATTAGGAAGCCCATTTTTCAATCTAAGCCAGAAGGAGGTGCGGGACAAGGCAGTCTTCACTTTGAAGGTCCTTTTCCTGCTCCAGTCCCTGGGCTAGGGTTCTAGAAGAGGCTGGCTGCCGGATTTACATGAGGCCACCGAAGATCCGAGTCCAGCTCCGCCCAGGGCGGCTCCTGCAAAGGCTGGGACCTCGGGTGGTGCGTCCTCAACCCTCTCGGTGACCACGACTCAAAGGAGAGACCTCAAGGGTGCCAGGAGCACAGGTGTCTGGGCTGCATTCCAGGAAAGAGACTTCTCCAGGGAAATGGATCAGGCTGTCACATGGAAGCTTGAGTCAGAGATGGTGGTTATGGGGTGATTTGGACAAATTAGGTTAGTTTAGCAAAGCTCTGAAGTAGCAGAAGCTTCTCCCCTGGACTACTGATTGAACACAGAACAAGAGATGTGCGTGGCGTCAGACTAAGTCTTAGAGAGATGCAGGCCAGTCTCCTCCCACAGGGCCTTGGGACTGGCAGGACAGATACTGCTACATGCCCTCCAAGGGCAGGAGTCACGGTAAGGAGCGACTGGGGTGGAAAATAGGGA
Organism: Homo sapiens; assembly: GCF_000001405.40. Taxonomy (NCBI): domain Eukaryota; kingdom Metazoa; phylum Chordata; class Mammalia; order Primates; family Hominidae; genus Homo; species Homo sapiens. The sequence goes on from NC_000023.11 coordinate 99,939,093, forward strand.
AAAAAGCAACAACAACTAGATCATTTTTGGCATTTTAACATGGAGACAGTGACAAGTGGTAACAATAGCAAAAGAAAAAAAAAAAAACTTGAAGAGACCAATAATTAACTTTCCCATCCACCCAAGTCTCACACTTAAGTTCTAGTCCCATCTCCCCCATAAGCACCACTGAACTAAATATCTATTTTAAAGCACCCAAACCAGTCCAGACCCTCTGGAAACCAAGAGCCCCAGCCACAGCTGTCGCCTCTCTTGGGTCCGGGCGAGAGGAGGGTTCCGGGAAAGGCACCTCATAACTCAATCAGCGCAGCACACACGGCGGCGGCGAGCTCGGGCACAGGCACTTGACGGGGACGCGGGTGGCAGTCACAGCATCTGTGCTGACACGCGAGGAAGGGGACTCTTCGGTAATCCCAACTATTTGGTACCAGAGCCAAGCAAACGTGACTAAAGGGAGCTGGGTCAGCAGAACGGTACCCCGAGTCTCAGCAACAGGACGGCCCGCGCGAGGCAGGATCCAAGCAGGGGAGAAAAAGAGACCAAAGCACAAGGCGATCGAGGCTGGCACAGAAAAGGCTGATCCTTCTTGCAAGGACTGGAGAATGCATTTGACTGCTGGCTGATCAATCTCTAATTGGCGAGTGCGCGTCACAAGGCTCAGCCCTGGCTCCACAGGGAGCCACGAAGCTGACTTAACTGATACAAATGTTCCCACCTCTGCCCCACCCCCAAGTCCCCATGGTTCCACCATCACCTGATTTTCATTTGGACTTCTTTAACAGCTAAAGTAGATATAAATGGCTAAACACAGATCCCCAATCCCCCACCAGGCGGGACACGGCCAATTCTATAATGTTGCAGCCAGAAGGCTGTGGGCTTACAGGCAGCCAAGGGGAGAAACAGAACCCACACCGGCCCAGGCCGATCTGCAAGAAAAAGTGGGAAAGGAGTGACTCGGATGCTTCCGAAGCACGCGAGCGTGATTTTGGATGGAGGCCGGCGGGCGACTTTGCCTAGCTGCTGCCGGTTCCTGTAAGGGACATTTTTTTCTGAGTAAATGGCGATTCCTCTTTCATGTAGCATCTGCTTGGATCACGATGCTAATTGTAACTGGAAAGGGGTGTTTTGGGGAGTGTATTCAGGAGAGGAAGAAAGAAAAAAAAAAACCTAGATTGCTCAAAGTTTCTGCCTCTTTTATAGGACGTAGAGCACACATTTTTCCCTTAAAAAATATGTTTTTGCTATTGTGAACACTGCTGCAATAAACATACGTGTGCATGTGTCTTTATAGCAGCATGATTTATAATCGTTTGGGTATATACCCAGTAATGGGATTGCTGGGTCAAATGGTATTTCTGGTTCAAGATCCCTGAGGAATCGCCACACTGACTTCCACAAGGGGAGAGGGATAGCATTAGGAGGTAAACCTAATGTTAAATGACAAGTTAATGGGTGCAGCACACCAACATGGCACATGTATACATATGTAACTAACCTGCACGTTGTGCACATGTACCCTAAAACTTGAAGTATAATAAAAATAAAAAATAAATAAAGATATGTTTTGCTATGGATTGAATATTTGTCCGCTCCGAAATTCATGTTGAAATGTGAGTTGTAACATACTAAGTAATGTACGTTGTAACAGTACTAAGAGGTGGGATTTTTAAGAGGTGATTAGACCACCAGGTCTCTGCCCTCATGGGTGGAATTTATGCCATTATTAAAGAGTGAATTTGGCCCTCTCTTGCTTTCTTTTGCCCTCACGAAAGCTTTCATGAGATGTGAGCCTCCAATCATGGACTTCCCAGCCTTCAGAACTATGAGCCAATAAATTTCTGTTCATTGTCAATTACTCGGTCTGTGATATTTTGTTATAGCAGCACAAAGAACCCTAAGACATGTTTCAACAGAGCAATTTTTAGGGAAATGGAGGAATCAGAGAATAAGGGTGAAATATGTATCTAGACTGGTTGAAATTTGTTTCATCAGTAAAATCCTTTTAGCTACATACACATGGTCAAGAGTCTCTCAGTTTATAGTACTGGCCCCTTGTACCAGTGTAGAATGATGATAACTTGTTTCAAGAAGCCCTACCACCTCGTATTACACACCTTTTGCTTTAGGTACTAATCTTCACTTCCCAAAACACCAGTACTCTTATATTCCACCACAAAGCATCCTACTTAGGATTCCCAGTATTTTAGTGTTGACTCTTGTTTCTCACCTCTATCAAAACATGCTTTTCATAAATATCATGCCTTTGAGAACCTAAGCGAATAGTTTCTCTAATGAACTCATCCAAGTTTAAGCACTAATGGCTTAAAGTTTATCCCTCTTTAATAACATTGTGTTTTCTTTAAGTACTTACATCAAAAAGATAGGCACATGAGGTCTAGAGTTTGAGACCAGCCTGGCCAACATGGAGAAACCCCATCTCTACTAAAAATATAAAAATTAGCCGGGCGCAGTGGCAGGCGCCTGTAATCCCAGCTACTTGGGAGGCTGAGGCAGGAAAATCGCTTGAACCCGGGAGGCGGAGGTTGCAGTGAGCCAAGATCATGCCACTGCACTCCAGCCTGGGCGACAGAGCCAGACTCCCTGTCAGAAAAAAGAAAAAGAAAAAGATAGGCAATTAAAAGACATTGAAGACAGAGAAATATTTGAGGTCAGGAGAAAGGTCTCTCAAAATATACCATTTGATTTACTGTCTGTTTCATCTATGCCTAAAGAAATGCCATTTAATCAAATAGCTAGAGGAGTAAGTTCAAGGAATCTCTAAAATAATTTCCTCTCAATTGTATTAAAACATATATTTAAAAGTCATATACTCTAATGTATATATAGTATTGATTTATGGTGCTATAGTGGAAACGAAATAAATGTCCAAATATAGGGTATTGGGAAAATAAATTACCAATCAGTCATACAGTGTGAAACAATGTAGACATTAGAGGTGGTATAAAAGCATATTTATTGATATGAAAATATGGTCATATGAAATTATTAAAAAGTGACAAGTCAGCTTATAAACCAATGCATGTATCATATTTTTAGAAACACACACACCCCTAAAAAATAATGTTAATATCTCCATATAGTGGGTTTATAGGCAATTTTTTATTATCTCCTTTTTGCTTGTCTGCATTTTCTAACTTTTTAGATCAAAAGAACGTGTATTTCTTTTTATAATAAAGTTTTTTTTAAAAATTAGTAACTGATACATTCCTTTAAGCAGACAACCATGAGTAATTTAAGAACAAGGTACTCATTAACATATCTTCAACAGCTAGCCTGACACCTAGAACACAGTAGATAATTAAGGTTTTTAATCAAAGGTAAACCACGCAAGCGATTGGGTTTCAGATTAATCAATTCTATAGGACTAGAATTTTAGCAGTGTAGTCAATGTATCCTGCTCTCTTATCCATTCCTTTTGAAAAGCTTTAGGTTGGGCTTCAAAATTTCATTCAGAAACCATCATATGGTTATGAAGTATATTTGATATAAAATATACAACTAATTCGGTGAAGAAAGTCCATGGTAGCTTGATGGGGATAGCATTGAATCTATACAATTGGAGAAGACAGTGTGGCAATTCCTCAAGGATCTAGAACCAGAAATACCATTTGACCCAGCAATCTCATTACTGGGTATATACCCAAAGGATTCTAAATCATTCTACTATAAAGACACATGCACACATATGTTTATTGCAACACTATTCACAATAGCAAAGACCTGGAACCAACCCAAATGCCCATCAATTATAGACTAGATAAAGAAATTGTGGCACATATACACTATAGAATACTATGCAGCCATAAAAAAAGATGAGTTCATGTCCTTTGCAGGGACATGGATGAAGCTGGAAACCATCATTCTCAGCAAACTAACACAGGAACAGAAAACCAAACACTGCATGTTCTCACTTAGTTCTCACTAAGTGGGAGTTGAACAATGAGAACACATGGACACAGGGAGAGGAACATCACACACCGGGGCCTGTCGAGGGGTGGGGGGCTAGGGGAGGGATAGTATTAGGAGAAATACCTAATGTAGATGACAGGTTGATGGGTGCAGCAAACCACCATGGCACGTGTATACCTTTGTAACACACCTGCACCTTCTGCACATGTATCCCAGAATTTAAAGTATAATAAATGCATATGTATTAAATTACATATTTTAGAGGCTACTTCATAATGCCCTAATAACTTAATTTCTTGAAAGGTTTCACATAGCAAAACTATTTCCTTGTAATTATGTTATAAAAATGTTCTCAGCTTAAATAACATCCATCTCCACTCCACTTCAGTCCTCATCTTATACTTAACCATTGCATGGAATTTCCTGGTTGCTCTAACTGTGTTCCTCCTAGTTTTCTGATTGTTTCCTATTATCATGTTTTAATAACTTCCTCAATACCTTATTGGCCTCACCATGCATCAGGAATCCTATTTTCAAATGCTTCAACTGAATTCTTACCAATTCCCTGAACCTCTCAACTCCTTTATCCTTGTATTATACCTACCATGCTGAACCCCAACCCTGAATTAACCCAACCAACCATTTTCTTGAATCTCCTTCCCAGTTTATGCAAGTTGCTTCAAGAAAGACACATCACCAACCTGATTAGGTACATTAAATATTCATGATCTAAAATTTCAACTGAGACCCCACTTTTAATCATTTCTTTTCATTTCTAAATAATTACCTCCTTACTGAATCCACTGCAGCAACTAATATAAAACTTTTCTGTTCCCCTCAATCTCTGCAAACTGAGTATTCTACACTTATTGCATACTTACTTTTTGTTTTTCTTCAGCTCCAGTCATTCTGGGTTCAACATCAAGCATACTATGAAAACTTAGTCACTGCAAAGTACCAATTCCAATGATATCTTCCAGTTTATTGGTATAATCTACTTATTTGTATAATTTGTTACTGTTGGCAACCCATCATTCCTAAATTTTCTCTTCCAGTGATTTCTGTGATGGTCTCATTTTTCTTCTCTTCTTTTCTCTTTGAATTCTTCTGTCCTTCTCATGAATTCCTCTTCTAAGCATTTCTTATTTAAGGTATTTCCCAATGTTCTGTTCCTGATCCTCTTCTTCTGCCATTTATTCACTATTAGCAATTGCATCCTTTCCTATAACTTCAACAATAAACTGCCCAACCCCTGATTCTTTTCTGAAGTGCATTACCAAATTTGTATCTGCCTGATTAGCATTTATTAATATTCCAGAAGCATCTCAAACTTAACGTGTATAAACCATATCACCTCATGAGACTTCCAACTTTACTTATTCCTTCTGTATTTTTCAGGTACTTAAAGCCAAAACCTCAGCATCCATTTTTATTCCTCCGTATTCCTAATCATTCTCTATATTTAAGCATGAATTATATCTTGTTACCTCTATCGCTATAATATTATACCCTCTTTCCAAGAAAATTTAAGTATTTACTATCTTAGCTCAAGCCTCATTATCTCAGACTTTGACTATTATAACAACTAGTGTTTCTGACTTTAGTCCATTGTTTTGCTCTCCTAAATCATAGGTAGATGGTATTGCATCTTTTCACTATTCAAAGATGTTTATGAGCTCCCACTGCAAACAGAAATAAAGTCGAGTTCATAATTCTGACATGTATAGTACTCCATATTTCTTCCCCAATCTACTTTACCAGACTCATCTGTCACTCAGTTGACCCCACAACTATTGAGACACTGTGGCTATGGCCTTTACCTTGATCACACCTCTATCCCGACATCCCAACCCCAATCTCTCAGTACTAGGCTTACTAAACCTTCATTCCTAAATTCAATAACCACTTAGATACAAAACACTATAATGGGCAAGTAGGTAAAAGAAAAAAAGAGTTTCTGTCATCAAATATTTTATAGTCTAACGAAGAGAGAGATGAATGAATCATTATGCTATGATATAGTACCTGTTGTAAGAGAGGTGTGTAGGAATAGGAAGATTGTAGAAGAAAACCTGCTTGAGCAATCTGGACACAGCTTCACACAGAGCTAACATTTGACCAGGGTGATCGAGTTGACCTATCTCTCATCTCTCTGTATACCTCAAAATTAATTTATTTCTACCTCTATTGTAACACTCATTACAGTCTTCTTTGTACCATTTCTTCATGGATTCACTAATTCAACAATCCTTATCATCTACTATGTGCCGGACACTTATCTAAACACTAAGCAAGAACAAAACAGACAAAAACCTCCAATTTTCATGGAGATTTGATTCTGGCGTGAAGAGATAAAGAAGTAAATTATATTGAATATAAGAATGTTAAAAATGCTACCAAAAATTAAAGCCAGGTAGAGGGCTAAGGAATACTGGGGTTGGGATACAATTTTAATAGGAATTTTGTATTATTTATGATTCTTATACTAGATTTTGGGTTTCTTAAGAGCTATTTCGCAGTGTGGCTATTTCAGTTTTGCATTGTGATGTCTGATAATTGTTTGTCAAATTAAATTGGTTGTAACAAATTTTCTTCAAATTTCTATAGACTTTTTGTTTTCTTTTATCCAAATCTCTAACAAAGGCTATATTGTTTGCATGGCAGGAAGATGATTGCTAAAATGTTCTATACGAACTTTTTAAATTTGTGTTCTGTCAAAAGGATCAATTAGATATCAATATCATTTACTTAAATTTCCCACCTTAAATTTAAAATATCAACAAAAAATTGTGGGTGTTCATGAAATTTTTTGTAAGAGAAATTTGTTTGTATAGTGACCCAAAAGTATAATAAAAAATGTAAATAATTTGTGTTTCACAACTAAGTCAAGCGCCTTGAAAATAATATTTAGGTGGCAGAATAACAACAACAGTTTCCAAATTACAACAGAGTTTTAGCCTGTGAAAGATGTTGAACTTTAATTATGAACTGCAAGTCTGTAAAAAAAAATTAATGTTCTCAACAGTTTCCCTGGATTGTCATTTTGACATCTACATTCACTATGGAGAATCACTGATACAATTTCTGTCAAATGAGATTTTTATTAGCTTGTACATATCATAACTCAGTAAAGATATTGTCTGAGTCTGGGCTGATCTTTAACTATAATCTCAGTTTTCACAATGTGTTTAATTAGCTACCTAACTTTTTTGTTTGAAGATCAGTGAATTTATTTTTTAATGTCTTCAGACTGAATTCAACTATCTTACTTTGTGATATGAAAAGTGGAGCCAACCTTGAATAATAAGACCCTGTGATTAATTGTTGTCACAGCAATAATCTGCACTGCAATTTTCCCCAGCATTGTTAAAGCATTGAACCACTCAATGCAGGGGGAAAAGACACTATGGAGAAATTCAAGATGAGTTATATAAGCTTTACCACTAATAACAAGATCTTGAAGAAGAGCAATATGTGTCACTTCTGGTATCATAAAGATAAATGTCATAGCATTTCCAACCACAATGATATACAAACAAAAGACCTCGCAATTTCAGAAATATAAAGTATATTCAATACTCTCTAATTCCTTCTCACTATAAATTTGGTTATAATTTCATAGGTAGAAATTCATAAAGCTCAGATTCATCTTTCAGATAACTTCCCATTTGTCAAATTTTGTATACTAAACTAACTGAAAAATTACTGAGAGCTTCCAGTGCACCAGTTTTTGTTTTCCCTCAATATTAATCATTTTGATTATCTCTCTGTTTTTATAGGACACAATACCCTATCAGGCACTATAGAAGAGATCAAATGCTCCCTCTGCAGTCCCTCCAGGAGAGGGAGATATATTTGTTCCCTTGTTTGTTCTTTCATCCAGGTTAGCCACAGTTCCCCATAAACCCACCCAGAAATTTCCCTCTGACTGTTAATGACAAATTAGCCTTTCATCTAAAATCAGATAATATGGTTGAATATAAATGTTGTCTGGTAATTAGCTTATATTATTAAACATTGGTAATGCCTTCCAGAAACAGTTTTGGAAGTCATCTGAATGACCCAGAATAAGAACAGCCAAAGCACTCAGTCAGGGAGGCTGAGCTAAGCCTTCAGGAGCTATGCATATTTAAGCAGATTTGATGATATCAAAGGGTAAGTTATGTGTAGGCAGTTTTCCTTGCTGAGTCCCTGTGTAGAGAACACAGCTTTTTCTCTTTTTCCTTTTAGATATGGGATTGAAGGTTTCCATTCAGTTCATGTGTGCACTAGACAACAACAAATATAGTTAATCCAACTGCAAGTTCTTAAGCACACATCCAATTCTTATTCTCTGAGGTCCAAGAAACATCCCTTCCACTTAATATTACTCACCTCAAAAATTTGTGAAAAGTGTTTGCTACGCACAAAAAAAAAAAAAAAAAAAAAAAAAAAGCTTAGTATAGTCAATGTCTTCCTCCCATTTAGTAGATGTGTGTCAGCAAGGACATTTATTTTTAGAATGTGTTTACTGGAAAAATGCAGTGGCATTTGAATGATTGTTTAGGGAAAAATAACGTCTTTGGGTGAGCCATAAGTGAAGAAAAAAAGGTCATTTGAGAAGATTTCAGCTGAAGGAGAAATTGATAAAGAATATGGAAACGAATTCTAATTAGACTGAAAGGTTCCAAGACTGCACCCTGTGGTGAAATTAGTGTCTTCAATAGACAATACGCCTCGTTAACAATAGGAATCTAACTTTTATTACACTTTTCTTGAATTTTTCGCTTCAAGTTGTAACACTTAAAATATGCGTTAATGACCAAATGAATTAATTTATTTGCTGTGGCTATTCTGTGTCTCTTGAGTGAGCAAGACATCTAGCCTGAATATTTGAAAAGAGAACTAGAATAAATTCTATGGTGCATAATCTGGTAACAGATAATGGTCTGATGAAAAGAGTCACCTTTACAGGAAGCACAAAGAATATTAACAAATGAAGGCTACTATTACTATACATGTTAAATCATTTAGCATTTTCCAAATGAAGCCAGGATGTTGTAGAAATTCATTCTGTGTATCTGACTGTGATGTAGTTCAGTCTTGATCAAGAATCCCATGTCAAAATCTAACAAGGAAGATCCAAGAGTGGTATTAAAATTATTTACAGGAGGTAAGTAAGTAATTTTAAAGTCTTTGTTTAATAGACAAACCTTCATCACTCTGGGAAATCTGGGCTTAAATAATCCCTTTACCTAATTAAAAGGAAGACAAAGTTAGGTCATGTTTAAAACTTAAATATAATGTGGTACCCATCCTCTTAATTGCGTAACAGATTCCTGCTTTTTGCACTTAATTGTATAATTTTTTAAGACTGACAGGTTTCAAATACAGTAAGATAATCAACTAGTGTTTACAGTCTGTCATTTTGCTATTAGAAATATTTTATTCTAACATCCTAGAAGAAAGGAGAAAAAAGAAATATTAAGTATTGCTTAAAGTTGGCTTAACTGGTTGGGGAGTTGAGGGTGGAGAGAAAACATAAATTTTGATTTGTTGTTTCATTCACTTCATAGGTCATAGCAAATGAAAAAGGAGAATTACAAGGGGGAAACACCCAGGTACAACATGAATTATCTGTTGGACTGGTGTAATGTTTGACTACGGTGTTTCTGATTTCCCAAATGACAAATTTTTAACGTAATAAGGTCCTCAAACCCAGAAGGATTATTCTGATAAGAGAAGTAAAGATAATCCTTGAAGAAAGGAAATAAACCAAAGAAATAATTTGCTTTAACTCCTGGTTGTTGTTAACAAATGTACATGCTCAATATAAGACAACTCATTGGGGTATAATGATTTTAAAATTACATCTTTGGAAAATATGAATTAGCCCTCGCAGAGAATGAGGTAGAAGTGGGAGAGCCTGCATATACTAAATACAATATTTTGACCTTTAGGGTTGTGACTGAGGAATGAAGCAAAGACAATTACCCCCAAAAGTAGAAGAACACAGTATTCTGCACATAGAGAAATTAAACAGCTATTTGCTTCTAATATATTTTTCTGACAAGCAATGAATAAAAGAGACAATGTTATTAAACTACATTACTCTTCATCAGAAAATGAATGGAATAATTGTTTTGTTTTTTATTATATTTTAAGTTCTGGAATACCTGTGCAGAACGTGCAGGGTTTTTTTTTTTGTGTTTTTGTTTTTTTGTTTTTTGTTTTTTGTTTTGAGACGGTGTCTCGCTCTGTCACCAGGATGGAGTGCTGTGGCGCGATCTCAGCTCACTGCAACCTTCAACTACCTGGTTCAAGTGATTCTCCTGCCTCAGCCTCCCGAGTGGCTGGGACTACAGGCACACACCACCACACCCAGCTAACTTTTGTATTTTCAGTAGAGATGGGGTTTCACCATGTATACATGTGCCATGGTGGTTTGCTGCACCCATCAACCCGTCATCTACATTAGGTATTTCTCCTAATGCTGTCCCTCCCCTAGCCACTCACCCCTCGACAAGCCCTGGTGTGTGATGTTCCTCTCCCTGTGTCCATGTGTTCTCACTGTTCAACTCCCACTTATGAGTGAGAACATGCGGTGTTTGGTTTTCTGTTCCTGTGTTAGTTTGTTGAGTAAGATGGTTTCCAGTTTCATCCGTGTCCCTGCAAAGGACATGAACTCCTCCTTTTTTATGGCTGCATAGTATTCCATGGTGTATATATGCCACATTTTCTTTATCCAGTCTATCATTGGGCATTTGGGTTGGTTCCAGGTCTTTGCTATTGTGAACAGTGCTGCAGTAAACATAAGTGTGCATGTGTCTTTATAGTAGAATGATTTATAATCCTTTGGGAATTTTTTTTCTTATAAATGTCAGGTCTGGTAGAAAGGAGAAACTGTATGAAAGGAAAATATCATCTGTACTTCTTGCCAGGTTTTTCATTGCTAAAACCTGATTCCTTTTTAATTCCTTATTATTTCCTGTACTCCTTGAACATTTTCCATCCAAGCTATTGGAGTCCTAATCTAGAGAGTGAGTTTTGTGTAACATAACTTATAGTACAAGATTGAAAGCATTAAGCAAACTTTTTGCCAGTAATAAAAATGGTACATTGGTGACTTACTTCTTTTATTTCAATTTTGAAGAATGACTTCAGAACTCAAAGAATAATAAAATATAAACTTTCAACATTACTCTAATTTTTTCTCCAATTATATGTGACAGACAGCCAGAAGAAATAATCAAAGCAGAAGTAAGGGTTGAGAAGCAAATCTCAGAATGACAAAAATTATTCTTAAAGGAACATAGGTTGTAGTCTGTAGCAGGCCCAGTTGCAGTGCTGGGATACTTTCAACACTGGAGTGCTTTCTTATTAAGGGGAAAGGGAGATATTTTAGGCTTTTGGAGAAAGGTCAGTCTAAATGTTATGGCTTCTGAAGATCTCTATTTCATTTAACACCTTTAACTTGATGACCCCAAATCAGTATTTCCATCCCCAAATATTTCCTTGAGCTGCAGATACAAAGATCCAACTAAACAGCAGAACTTTACACTTAAATGTCCCTAATGGCACAAAATTACCAAGTATTATTCTCCTGTGCTACCTGCCCCAAGTCAATAGCATTCCTTGCTTAAGCCAGAAGCCTGACATCGTTGCCTGTAATTCATCAATTTCCAAACTGAGGCAATACAGGAGCCTCCTCCAAACTAATCAGAAAAAGTCCTGCTTTTAAGCCTGTATTTTCTTTTCCAGGAAGCACATTCACATCTGCCAGGTGACACAAGCCAGAAACTTGGTAGTGATTACAGATTTCTTCCTCTTCCTACCTCTGATCTCCATTCAGCTCTCTCCTTTCTCTCTCTTTCTCTCTCCGTAAAACCAGAGAATTCTCTTTTCCGTAACTCCCAAATCTGTCTACATCATATCCCCACAGCCACGACTCTAGACCAGACCTTTAACATACTTCCCCCAATGTCAGTTTCCAAACTACACCATTGATATCAGAAATACATTTTGAAGGCAAAATGTGTTATATTATTCACTCTATCATTAAATGAAAAGAAGGATTAAGAGGACAATCATATTAAGGAGGAAGAAATGTGGAGCACTCTCTAATTATATTATACTTCTTGAAATGTGAATGTCATCTTTGACTCCTTCCCCTCCTCATGTTCCTCCCACACTTAGCTGCTACATCCTGTTCATTCTAACTCTAGAGTGTCTCTAACATTCATTTCCATTCCTACTGTCACTAATGTAATTCAGGTCCTCATCATTTTTCATACAATTTCCTCTTGTTAAAACAAAACTACTTAGTTTCTTGTTCTGCTTATACAAGTAATGCAAACTCATTGCACTAAGAATTTTCAGAAAATGCAGAAATATAGTGGAAAATGTAAAAATCATCTGCTATCTCACTTTTCATAAATAACCATTGTCAACATTTTGGTATAAATCCTTCCCGACTTTTTCTATATAAATTTTCCTCCATCTCTATCTCCCTCTTCCTTACTCCCTCTCTCTTTCCTTCCTCTCTTCCTTTTTTCTTCCTTCTTTTCCTCCTACCTCCCTCCCTTTCCTTCCTTCCTTCCTTCTTTCCTTCCTTCCTTCCTTCCATTCTACCTCTCAAATTTTTATTAAACTCCTATTATGGACCAGACACTTTGCTAATTGCTAATGATATACCTGTAAACAAGAAAATGTATTCTCACCAAACTCACTTTCTAGTGGAAAAATCGGGCAGCAACAAATAATTACAGGTTGTGATTGGTGCCGTAAGAGATATAAATAGCATGCTATAATGAGGAATGACAGGTTACCTAATATAGATGGGGTTGTCAGGAAAGGTCTCTCTGAGGGAGGTGACATTTAAGCTAAAACCTGAAGGATCAGAAAATATAGGTCAATGTTTGTAAAGTATCTGTCATGGGAAAAACCGTTCAAAGCCTTTTTGATTTCTGCTTTTCTTTTTTTAACACATGCCTAGACAGTCTTCCCCCATGAACAGTATTTTATAAACACTGACTTCTATTATCATATAGTATGATTTTATTGTTTGCCTTTAAATATTTTGTCCATCTGTGATATTTGGATAAGATGTTGTATAGAGATCTGAGGCAGAGATAATAGTGATCAATCATCAAACACTTCAACTACTCTCCTTCATTTCCCAGACAGCTTATTGCTAGGAAAGACTATAAAACTAGTTCTGGTAGGATGTGGGAAAGAATAAAAAAATTAACTTATGATACCACAGCCATCTTTTCCTTTTTTGCGATTTCTAAAGAGGCCACATGCTTCAGAGACTGCAACTATAAGATATTGCTACTTCTGTCGTCATGGATCCCTGAGCAATTATCTGAAGCAGAGATCCCACTGCCAATCATTAATGGACATGTAGTTTAACTGTGAGACTAAGTTTTGGTTTTGATAAGCCACTGAAATTTCATGGGTGATTTGTTACTGCAGCATAATATAGCCTAGTGGTTCTCGAACTTTAGCACGCAGCGGAATCACTTGGAAAGTTTATTAAAACACAAATTGCAGGGTCTCACCACCCGAAGTTTCTGATTCAGTGGGTTCTGGAGTGGTGCCTGAAAACTTTCATTGCTAAAATTTCCCACATGATACGGACACTCTTGTCCAGAAGATACACCTAGAAAACCACCACTCGACCTCACCTACAGAAGAGCTAATTTGATTTTAGTTTTTCCAAATAGCAATTTGCTCTGAAAATATTCCTTCATTTTGATATTGCTTTTAAAGTATCCCCTTATTATAAACTAACTTATGCATTTGGGCCAATTACTAGCACTCCAGTGACTTTCCCACAATGACCTGGTTGCCTAATCAGGCACTAGAATCACACTTTAAATTTTTATAACTACATAATTTAATATTTGTTAGAATAAGTCTCCTCTTGTTGCTCTTATTCCAAAATGCCCATCTATCCTTGCAAGTTTTTTTTTAACTTTTTGGCCTTTCTGATAAATTTTAGAATCATTTTTCTAAGAAATAAATGAAAAGAAAATCCCACTGAAATTTTTACTGGGTTTATGTTAAATTTAAATATTAATTTTGAAAGAATTTTATTTAAGTTATTCATGTCAAGAATATGAAAATTCTCTCTATTCAAATCTGCTTATACGTACCTTAGTAAATTTTATTATCTCTTGCCTGGACTGTTGCAATAATCTTCTATAATTTTCCTACGAATTACAATATGACATAACAACACTCCCAGATCAAATTGCCAAAAGCAGGATTCCGAACATGAAATTCTATTATTTGAACTTTTTTATGCTATTTCATTGCTAAGAAAATAAGGTAAAACCCCTTAGCCCATGCTTTAGTCTTTAGCTAAAATCTCATGATTGAGGAAAATCTAATGCAATTGGCAGTCAATATATCTAACAGCAAAGGAGAGATTTTAAAACTTCTGAAGTTCAAAGCTGGGTGGGAGGCAATACATTCTAAATTTAATATACAACTTATCACACATGATAAATAAGTTTGTTCAGGTAAAAAGGACTACCCTTCCAAATTAGTCAGAACATATTGAGACTTCAGATTCTAGGGGTGTTCTCTATTCTGTTTCATTTTCATCTTGCAAGCCTGTGTAAAGAGGTCAACTGTTGAATTAAGCCAGCTTAAAATTACTTTAAAATGAGTAAAGATATTGAAGGGTTAACTGGAAAATCAGTATTTTCTTCTTTTAGTTTAGATTCACTTATTATTAGGTAACACAGAGGGAAAACTAATGCATTTCCTAATTATATTGAATAATGGAGCATACGAATCACTAAGCAATGAAATCCCAGGCAATTGTGAGATGGCTTGTTTGTGAGGACTCCTGTAAAATTTAGTGCCTATATTATTTAGGGTAATATTAATAGCTATAACCAAGAAACTCTGAAAGTTCCAATGGCTTAACAAAATAGAAGTTAATTTCTCATTAATGTTAATAGTCAAATGCAGTTTTTTCCTGGTCAGCATGTAGCTTTCTCTCACGTGGTGATTCAGGAACCTAGTTTCCTTTGTAAGGCCTTGAAATCCTTTGCATCCGGCTGGCAGACAGAGGAACTAAGCAGCGAAAGCACACCAACTTTATCAAGATAAATTATTGCCAGGGTGACATGCATCATTTCTGCCCACATTTTATTAGTGAAAACTAGTCACATGGTCACAATAGAATGCAAAGGTTACTATAGGGAGATGTCACCATTGGCTGGACAGCTATCTTTAGGTGACAACTCCACACTATGGAAATGGAGGAGCATAAGTGTTTGCTGAATGGTAAGTCATCTCTGTCAGTGTCTTTAACCATGCTTCTAAAGTGATTAAAGGTCTGGATGGAGTGGGATATTATAATTAACATTTTATTTTTTTCTTTACCACCTTCTAGCCATGACATACTATAATATTCATCATCTGAAATTCATACTTTGACATTCGACCATCCTGTTTCATGCATGAATTGTTTCATGTGCAGATTTTTTGTCTCTCCAAACAGATTATACATTCATCAGGGACATATAATATGTAGCACAGAATAGATGCTAAATATTACTAAATTCAATTGGATGCTATCGCACTTCTACAAACTCCGTAAGAGCTTCTTATAATCCTCCACATCAAAATTAAGCTCCTTAGCCTATGCTGTTATTCTTCCAACTACCTAGTCATCTGCATCGCTTCTCGTACTGTCTAAATCAATCTAATTTTCCAAAAATCATTAAAAATATAAAAGCTTTTTGATGGCAGAGAATTAAGGCAAGCAAACCTCTCCTTACTCTTTAATTCAAGGTAGAGATTATAAATTATACTAAATTTATGTGCAATAGGTGCATACAGATATAGATAATTCATGGCTGAAAATAAGACTAGATGTCTTGAGAATAATTGAATAAGGAGTAAGAATATAGAGAATGGTCTTCATTGATTCCTAAATATTCATCTTAAAAATAGATATGATGGCATTTCTTGTGTATGCCTTAGCCCCTCACATTGTAAACCACCAAAAATGTGGATAATGACTATAAAATTTGTTGATTCCAAGCCCCAATCCAGAAAATTTTTTTTCATCCACTCCAGAACTATGACATGTCCTGATTTTCCCAGAAAGTCTTAGTTTATGTCTGTAGTAGTAGAATAATTATTAACATGCTCCTTTTCACTCTTAAAAAGTGCCCATCTTTAGACAATAAATAATATGATCATCCTATCCAAATGCCTCAAGTCTTCTTCCTATTCTGAGTGATGGGTAGATGATACTGCCTTGATGATTCCTGAATTTTTTTGCTGTTGTTGCTGTTATTCCACACTGCTGCTCTGATAGATGACTTATTATGAGGCTATGTTGTCTGCCACTGCCAAAATGACTAACAAAATGTGAGCAGTCCTATTGCTGATTGCACCCTCGTCATATGAAGGCTACCGCTCCAGTCACTGACTACTCTGCCTCCACTTTCAGTGTCACTCACTCCATTCTCCATTACAATGAAACTTGAAGTTGGGAAAGGGTAACTTTCCAACTAGTAAGTACAATTAGGCACCCTAAAATAACTTACCCCTGTGAGTTCTGTACTCTTGAACAGTTTGTGTCAAAGATTATTTGGATGGATCACTTGTTGACACATACAAAAAAAGCCTCTCCCTCCCATCTATAGGCCCATCACAATTGATTATATGTTTTTGATCAGTACTCCTAGAAATTGAGGGTGGTGTTTTCTCCTCATTTTGTCAGAACTGTAAATTCTAATGTTCTGAAGGACACAACTTCTAGTCCTCAAAAATTGCTCCAACATTTCCCTCAAGAGGCAGGAGATACACCTTCAAATAGTATCCCCTGATTGTCTCTTTAGATATCCCACTGTCTATAGAATAGGTATGCAGATTAGATCCCCATCCTGAAAGAGTTTTTTTCAATGATGCCATAATATTACATTAAAACAGTTTTTATTTTTAATTAGATTATTTTTAATATTACAGTATCTCTTTACTTCTCAATATGCTCTTTCCCTTGTTCTGCTGTTATTTTAGTTGCTGTTGTTGTTGTTTTGTTTTATTTTGTTTTGGTATTTTTTGTAGTATGATGTTAAAATAAAAATATTTGTTTGAGTTTTGGCTGAAGCCCTAAAATATCAGATGACACATCCCAACAGGTGGAAACCCATCATGTAGAATTGACAAAGGTGGTTGAATACTTCTATGAAGATATTAGGATATCTCATTTTCAGCCTACTAAAAAGGTAGGAGAGTTTGATAAAAAAAAAATTGGTGTTTAGGAGGGGATTTTAGGAAAGAGCTGTTGGTATGCTCTGAGTACCACTTTCTCAAAGGGTGAATAGTGTGGGATGCTTGCCCCTTATCACAAGTTGAAGAGTCTTCAACAGAATCATATGAAGAGTTTAAAATACGTCTCTGGTAACTTGATAGATAGTGGATTGATGCATGGCTTACAGCATTTGGATAATCTAATGGCAATGCTTGTTGGCAAGTTGTTTTGAAAGCAGAGAAAAGGGAAGTTGCTGTATTTGAGGAACGTCTGCACTCCTAAAGTTTGTTGGGACAAAGGATACATGAGTATATCCTGTAGATCATATGACATCCACAAAAGAAAAAGCCAGCATGGAGTTCCTTAGAACTTTGCCCAGATAAGCCAAGAGACTTCCAATTAAGGAATAAATAGCCAGATTCCTACAGGATGAAAAAGAAACTGCAAATAAAAAGCCACAAGAGATGCATTGATAAGCATCAGGAGAATTGCAAGTGATGTATTTTCAGCGATCACATGGTTTCTGAAAGCAAATATTGCATTTCATGAAACAATCAAGCTTAAATCCCTACCAAACCCGGGGAGTGTTTTTGCCTTCTCCTGACAGTATAATAAAGTACTTCCTTTCCTGCCCTCCTTTTGTTCCTCTCCTTCTGCATTTCTAGTACCATGAGGAAGTCACACACACACATACACACACACACACATGCTTAACATAATAGAAGAGGAGGAAGAAAATGCAAGGTAGAGAAAACATGTCCTCTTTCCTGTACAAACTAGTGAGCCTGCAATAGGCCTGAGCTGGGAAAAGAGAAAAGTTTTGAATAAAATCGATAGTTTTGATTATTATACTATTTTAGATATATTGATTACTAAAATGAGACTCTTATTACTTGAAAAGAACCATAAAAGCTATTGAACTTTCCTTGAGTTTGCCCAGGGGCAAGGGAAGAAGTCATCTCACAGAATAAGTTTAAAGGACTCATAGAAAATGAAAACGTAGCTGCTTTCTGATTATATCCCACAAGTCATGTTTGATATATGCACCAGTTACATGGCAATCATCTTCAAATTGACTATTTTTCCTCTTACTTATTCTTGAATAGAAAGATATCTAGCAAGATCTAAAATTCTGTAACAGATAGCATATGTAGATTTCTCTTGACTTTGTTCTTTATCCATTTGTCTGTTGGACAAATATCTTTCTCAACTCTTTTAAAATAAGTGTTAGAAATTAATAGTTAAAGAATGACATTAAAATAAGGAACACTAGGGTTCATACCCTGGCTTTACCACTTTCTGCGTGACTTTGGGAAGCTATTTGCATTTTCTCATCTGTAAAACTAGGTTGATATTACTTAGCTTACAAGATTGTGAGGATGATGTAAATTGGTGCATATAGCAAGATGCATGGCATGCAGATAGTATTATTTACTAAACATGAGGTCTTGTGCATAGTTACTAGCCCAATAGCCCAATTCTAAGTATCTAATGGGTTTTTACTTTTTATTTGTTGTGTTAAATAGACTGAAAGAAGATCTTTTATTGTCCTCACAAAACCATACTCTAAGATTCTTATTATACGGAGATGGTTTCTAATATCACTACACAAGCATACATTGCTTAAAGACACCCTACTCTGTCCATCCATGCTACATTAGTTAAACAATATTAGCTTCTGTAACAAATCTAAAATCTCAATGGCTCATGACAGTATTTCTTGCTGAAACAAGTCTTTAGTGAGTATTCAGTGGGTTAACTTCCAGTCTGCTCTCATCTGATGGCTCTGCCATATAGGGCCTTGGAGTCCTTCTTCACCTTCAGCTGGAAAATGGAAAAGGCGCCATAGTAAAGAATGCCTGCTTCCTAACCACTTCTACCTGGAAGCAACACATAACACTTTTGTTCACCTTCTTTTGGCGAGGAACATGGCCATATATAGATGCAAGAAGGACAAAGAGCATAGTTTCTGGAGGGACAGCTGTTTCCCTCAAACAATTCTATTCTATGGAAAGAGTATGAGTCTCTGCCACGGTGGCCCACAGTACTTAAAGAAACTATGGACCCCCAAATTAGTGTATTACTGTTAGTTCTTCCCTACATCATGACTGAATCATTGTGGGAGTTGTAGCTTCTAACTATATATAGAAAGTGAAATACTGATAGAAGTGAAAGAATATGGTGGGAAGGCTGAAAAAGCAGGGCCTATGCAGTAGAAATATTTCCACCCAGTTTTATAGTACAAATTTGCAACTCAGAACCAAAGAATAGATGGAAAAAAGTACATCTAATTTTTTTTTATATTAGCAGGTTTGTTCCACTCACAGGAGTCTAGCAGCATATGTTAGTTACCAGCTGCGTTTCTAGAGTCAGTTCCAATGGCCTATCAGTACACACTTTTCTCCATATTCTTGGAAACTGATTGATTAATGGTCCCAGTTTTATAAATGTTGTGAGTTTTTATTTTTATGTGTCTTCAAAAGTGTTTAGTGGGAAGTTGGGAGAGATTGCATCTGGTACAATTAGCCAGATACCAGTCATTTTCAATAAATTGCCTATATTTTAAGGTATTTCATAATCCAGTCCCAACAGATCTATTCAACTTTATTTCCTGGTATTTACTATGCTCACTAGTCAGATATTTATTCTCACCATCCTACATATAAGTCAAACTCATTGCCATAGATGAGGTTTCACTTCTATTGTCTTCCCATGACTTAAAATTTCATACTGTATCTTCCCTAGATACCCAAATATTATTCATCCTTCAAACCCAAATCAACAATCATTTCTTCCATAAAATTATTTCTTATAACTCAATTCTCAATAAAATGTTTTCTTTGAAATACTATAGTAGCTATGGTCTATAGAGTTTAGCATTGTAATATGTGACGTCTGGCATATAGTATCTTAAGTTTTCTTTGTTTCTTCTCTGTGTTATTGTTCTGTACCTAACAAGTTTATATATTATTTGAAGGCAAGAAGTATGCTTTATCTTTCTGTATACTTCCATGGCATCAAAAATACAGTTGACCTTTGAACAACACAGGTTTGAATTGGGCAGGTCCACTTATATGCAGATTTTTTTCAAACAAAGGCAGATTGAAAATACAATATTTAAGACATGTGAAACCTACCTATATGGAGGGCTAAATTTTTGTATATGTAAGTTCTGCAGGGCCAACTTCAGGATTTAAATAGGAACAGATTTTGGTATATGGGGAACAATGGGGGTTGGAGAGGTGAGGGGTGGGGAGGTTTGGGAGGTGAGGGGCCCTGGAACCAATGAAACATACCACTGCAGTACTTACTGATAAACAAATGGACTTTGCCTTCCAAAAATAAGTTTAAACATACAGATTTCTATCTCTATATAAAATGGATAATTCAGATGTGCCATGGAATTTTTTTGCATATTTAGAGAGGCTTAGGGAAATGTGTTTTTAAAATTTTTATTGTAGTAAAATATACATAACAAAAAATGTACCATTTTACCATTTTTAAGTGCACAGTTTAGTAGCATTAATTACATTCACATTGTTTCGCAATGGTCACCACCATCTATCCCAGAACTATTTCATCATCCCACATTGAAACTCTGTACCCATTAAACAATAAATCCCTCCTTCCTCACTTTTTCCTAGCCTCTGGCAACCACCATTGAGTTTCTGTATCTATGACTTTGATTATGCTGGATACTTTATGTAAGTGAAATCATACAATATTTACCCTGTGTGTCTGGTTTATTTCACTTAGCATGATGTTTTCAAGGTTTGTTTACATTGTAGCATGTGTCAAAATTTTATTCATTGTTTAAGGCTGAATAATATTCCATTCTATGTATATACCATTTGTTTACTCATTCATCCATCCATGGATATTTGGGTTGTTTCCAACTTTGGGCTGCTGTGAAGAATGTTGCCATAAATACTCAAGTACAAGTATCTGTCCAAGTCTCTGATTTCAATTCTTTTGACTATATATCCACAGAAAGAAATGCTAGATTATATTGTAATTCTGTTTAATTTTTGAGGAATCACCATGCTGCTTTTTACAGAAGCTGTGCCATTTTACATTCTAATGGGAAACATGTTTTTAAGTCCTGTTTACAAGTTAAAAATTCTGCAGTTTGGTAGAGGCTAGTAGGGTTTCCCAGGTATGCAGAATAAATAGAAATGGATCAAAGACGAAGCAAGCTATATTGGAAATTATATTTTCTTACATTTTCTCACCAAACTCAGTATACACATCATATTTTTTTACCCCGATGACCACCTCATTTCCTACAAAGTCTATTAGTTAGGTAGATGTCATTCTACTTCCTGGAAAAGTGGAACCAACAAGTGATATGTGATTATAGATGAGTGCCACAGCCCCTACAAACAGGGAAAACACTTGAAAAAAGTGTAACTTTATTTAGGGGCTTCATTCTCCCTTAGGATGCAACTCACATTTATACATACACACACACACACACACACGGAAAAAAAATCATGGTATTCAATACAATTATACTGTTTCTTTATTGCCTACCTTCAACCCCCTCCAAAGAAGGGATCCATTCAACCTTGTCCATAATGCAATATGCCAAAAATTTCTTTGCTATCCTTCAACTCATATCAAATGTTGGCTATGTTATTACTCAGGAATACAGCAAGGTAGCTGGAGTTATTTTTATTTTATTTTTTGGGACAGAGTTTTCCTCTTGTTGCCCAGGTTGGAGTGCAATGGCACAATCACTGCAACCTCCACCTCCTGGGTTCAAGCAATTCTCCTGCCTCAGCCTCCCGAGTAGCTGGGATTACAGGCGCCAGTCACCACACCTGGTTAGTTTTTGTATTTTTTAGTAGAGATGGGGTTTTACCATGTTGGCCAGGCTGATCTCGAACTCCTGACCTCAAGTGATGTGCCCACCTCGGCCTCTCAAAGTGCTGGGATTACAGGCCCTGGAGTTATCTTAACTCCCCAGTTATGTTCCTTGAAAACTGAGACTGCCTTTTGTTTCTAAATTTGTCTTTTTCTTCTGCAACAAATAATGTACATTTTCACATAGAAGGTGTTCCAACATTACATTAATTAGTAAAACAAGAAGAAAGTTGATGTCTTCTAATAGCTTACCCTACCCATATAAGGTATGCATTTGAAAAACTTAACTCTAAGCCAAAGAAATTGAAAAAAAAAAATACATCTGATACCTTGACTAAGGAAGCTGTTTGAAGCAGAGGAACTTTCAATGTTTCTTAAATCACATCTAGCAAGCTGTTGACTTTACACCGGGTGGGTGAGTACTGCCCACAGTAAGTAGTGATGAAAGTGGAGTCAAGACACTGAAGCACCATATTTCTGTCTAATTGAGAATCAGGTTAAGTTAGACAGGAGGGACGAAGAGTGGATGAAGGAGGCCTTCAAAATACAAAATGAATCACTCTGGATTTTTTTCTTATGTTTTGCAAAATGTCTGCAAGATACAAGGAAGAATATTTAGACTGGTAATGAAAGAAAGCAAAGTAGGCATGAAAATAAATACTTTGCTACTCACCATCTCAGCAATTCCTGCTCTACTTAAATCACCCCCAGTCACTTTCTGTTGCTTGCATCTTAGAATTCTGACTGACAACCCTGCCTACCTCTCTTTGGAAGAAGGTAACCCAGCTCCATGTCAATTACAGTTTCTTATGTAATCACTCACTAGATAAATTTTCATTTTGGCAAGCATGAGGCTGTGTTTAACAGCCAGTAATGTAGGTAAAATGAATCATTTAAGTAATAACAACATAGCCACTGACACTTGTCTGCCTCTCTAAGTAGATTACTAAGAGGCAATTAATTTAAAAGACTGAAATTTTATTTATTTCACAATCAGATGAAAACACCATGGGTCTAATGCCAAGGAATATTCTTGGATTTGACATTTCAGTTCTCTATATTTAACCAACTAGAATTTTCCCCACTGTTACTCATAAAACCTTTTTTAAAGAAGTATTTCCCTGAGAAATATGCATTTCTTCATAAAAATACAATATAGTTTGGTAATTCTCAAGATGAACATGATCTTTTTGATACAATGTACCTCTTAAACACCAGGTTTACATGAAAAAATTTACATTAAGCATGACAGAATGGAAACATACATGAAAACTGAGAAGATGAAAGACACAATTCTTAATTCAAGTGAATCAGATGCCATATGACAAAATTCCTAGAAGTGATACCGCAGTCCTGTCTCCTTTCCCCCAATTTCACAATCAAGAGGCCA